>NC_000002.12:66042625-66667625 GCF_000001405.40 Homo sapiens | reverse complement strand
TAATGTCTTACACTGTATAGAAAAGGCAAATCCCTTTTAAAGGAGGCCACTTTACATAAAGCACATCTATTGTAATGCATTTTTCCTCACTCAAGCCAATGAAACACATCTCTGTTCTGGTTGCTCTAAACGAGGCATGTGGATTCAGCAGCTGCAGGGATCTAACCAGGTCTGGACTGACCACGTTGATGGTTTGAACAGGAAGGAAGTTTGGTTCAATGGAAAGAGAACAGACTCCAAGATATGATAAGAAATGGGTTTTTACCCTAATGCTGCCACTGGCTGTCTATACAAGTCTGAGCAAGTCGCGTAATATTTCTCAGCCCCAGTTTCTTCATCTATGAAATAGGTATGCTAATACCAACCTCTCTGTATTGTTGCCATGGTTAACAGTAACGTATGAAAAAAACACCATGTCAGGGCTTGACACATACCAAGTGCCCAAAAAAAGGAGAACAATTATAAATTGTATAAAAGCAGTAAATTTTATTTTTCAAAAATATGAATGGTTTTTGATTGAGCAGATCACTCTGGTCTTGGTCTCAGTAGATAATTAATGTACATTGGATGACTAGTTCAGTGCATATATTAGTGAATTTGAAGTACGCAGTAAAGCATATTATGCACAACACACAGTAAGGTAGAAATCTGGCTTATTATGTCATCTCATCACTTCGAACAGCTCAAGAAAGGCCCAAATGTTCCAAGCGGGAAGAATGGCAAGTAATGGTCAAATACCTACTTCCTCTCATTCCATAAACCTACCTTTAAGTGAGTGCTCCCAATCTTTGGTTGAAGAGGAATAGCTATGCTACATTTCCCAGGAGTTCAGACTGCAGCAGGGACCCAACAGTGGCTTTCAGAGATGGGGATCAATCTGACAGTGTAATGCCTAAGACAGAAGTCCCATAGAGGGCAACTGTTGCACCCAGAATACTTCTAGAGGCACTTGCTTGGAGATTTACTAGGTAAGGCTTTTTACATTGCCCAGGCTGATATAAACTCCTGGGCTCAAGCAATCCTCCCACTATCAGGAAGTGATTTCCTGAGTAGCTGGGACTACAGACATGGACCTGCACATCTGGCCCTTTTTTTTTTAAATCTGTGGACCTAATCTCCTTGTAAAGTCCCATCATCTCACTATCTTCACTATCAAACTACTTTTCCTGAAGGAAAATGCCAGGAAGAGTAAAACAAGTTGAATTTTCTAGAATAGCATTACCAATATGGTTTTGTTTTTTGTTGGATTGTTCCCTAATATCTGTAAATACGTGAGAATAATATTTTTGAAATGTGATCTTTGCTATTCTGGCAAAGGGGTTTAATTGGATGGAAAGGACCTAGCCCATGGCTGGACACATGGTAGGTTCTCACTAGATAAGCTGGGCAGGTAAACAGGCTGCAGACCTTCCTTCAGCTTTGAAAGGTAAGGGACAATAGTCATTATCATCCAACAATTTGAAGAGCTATCTAAACAGCATCCTTTGGAAAAGCACTCTTGCCATGCAAATTTACATTTTCAATCTTAACCTAAACAATCCTGAAGTTAGCTGGAAGGTCAGACCAGCAGCTAATAAAATCACCAACTGAATTTAAAATTAAAAAAAAAAAGTCCTTCCCCTGCATAGGACATTTTTAGCTTTCCCTCTCCTTTGGTCGCAGCCTGAATAAGATTTTCTTTAGATTTTTCAAAAGTAAAAGTTGGAGTTAAATAATATGTGAGCATTGGAGGCAGAGATCTGCTAGATGTGTTTCTTAAACAGTTCTTTATATGGGCAAATACAGCAGCTTGATTAAGAGATGCATACCTTGATCATCTGTCATTCTCAAGTCTTTAAGCCCTGAGGGGTCATTTGTGCCAGATCGGGAAAGAAGTATGCCCCAAGAGACTGAGGACAGCACTACCTGGTAATCAAAAAAGAGAAATGAACATGGCATTGAAGAGACTTAAAGAGGCAGGCACAGAACTCATTTGTTTATCCCCTAATATAAATTTCCTCACAGATCTTGTTCATTTCTGCTATCCTTCTCCCTAGCTGAAAAGGAAATTGCATCATTTCTCTTCCTCTGCCTTTGCATCTCTATTCTCGTAGGGTGCTCCTTGCATCCTCAAGCGTGCTGGATGTCAGCATTGCCCACATCTCTAGACCAGGCCAGCATGGTCCCCAGAATGGATTTCATAGGTTTCATTAGACAAGGGCTCTTCTCACAGGATCTGAGCTACAGGATCTTGAGAATCCAGAAAGGAATGCAAGCCCTGGACTGAGGTCTGAGAGGTTTGATCTCAGCTCCAGAAGGCCCTGACCCATGTCCAGCTTGCAGCATCCCATACCAGACTCAGACAAAGTGAAATGACTCAGCAAACCCCATTTATCCAATCTGGTACAGATGCTCCTAACGGATTTATGTCCATTGTACTTTGCTGCATTTCCTTTTTGCAAGCTGGCTAGAATTCATCATGGTTTTTTCTCTACTTCTCATTTTGTATTCTACATTTTGTAAAGTGACATTTTTTCTACCTGCACCTGTCCTGATACCTACTCCACAGCAATAGACATAGCAGCCTCAATAAATATTTCATAAATGAATACAGGAATTACAGAATTCTATGAGAAAAGGGGTTACACCAGCATTTATCTAAAATCCTGTGTCCTATATCATTAATTAAGTGGACATAATACCATGTATCTGTCTCAGAGTGTCAAACTACCTTCTAATAACAATTCATTGACATTTAAAAGTTGTAAAATCAGAGAACACGGAGAACACCCACTTCCACACCAATCTCATTTTTTGCCAAAATCTTGAGTTTGGCAGCTGGTGAAAATGAATGAATATTAAACCTTTGGAAGTTTAATGATTTAGACAATATAAACCAACAATGATCTTATTTTATTAATTTTTATTCATGTATTGTAAAATATTTTTGAATATATAAAAATATCTGAATAACAATATACCAAATACATTTGGGTCATGGCCTAGTGTAGAAAATTAAACATTACAAGCATAGTTGTGTACTCCTTCCAAGTGCATCTCTCTCCAACCCGCCAACCAAAGGAAACCCTGATTCTGAATTTGGAGGATATTAATCTGAAGCATATTTTTATAGCTTTACATATATGTAACTATCCCTAGACAATGTACAGAATCATTTTGCATATTTTAAAATTTTGCATGAATGGCATCATATCATACATATGTAATTTAGTTTTTGTTTTACTCTGTACTTTTAAAGATATATCCATTTTGATACATGTTACTCTAGTTTACACATTTTTCACCATCACATATTATTCCATTATGTAAATATGCCATATGATATTCACCCATTGAGAGCCTGAGTTTCAAGAGAGGAGAAAGAATGACAGGGAAGAAAAGAACAGTCAGATAAAACTAACCCTTCCATTTACACACGTCACGGCTCCAAGCCATGGCTTGGTTGCCCTGATACTTTTCTCCTTGCTGCTAAAGAATACTGTGTGAATAAGTGGCTAAGCAGAATTGTTAAACAAATTAACAACAGTGTAAGACAAGTGGTGACAGCCATGTGCCACTGACTACTCCCATGCTTCTCCCTGGTAGTAATGGCTTTCTTCACTGCACTAGGGATGCAAAGGAATACCTGCAAGAGGCCATATATCAGCTAACTGAACATCATGCCAAGTCACCCTTCAGAATGCAATTTCAGTTTCTCTGGGAAAATCATTTATTTTATCATTTCTTTAAAACTGTATATTTGGAGTTATGCATCCCAGAAACACCTGTAGAGTGTGCTTATTTCATGTCATAATCACCTCTCTGGAGAATCCAGGCTTGTGCTATTCAGTAATTGATCAAAAATTGTTCAGTTGCCTCTCAAAGACAAGCCCCAAGATGAGCAGTTTTCCTTCCCCTCTGTCCTCAGCTACCCAGCTCTGTCTGTCTTGACATTCAAATCAGTATGTGTGAGGACACGAAAAGAACAATCCCCAAAAAAAGGGGCCTGGGAACCTCGCCTACTCCAGTGGCATCTCTCCTACCTGGTGCACTATAAAAACTAACACCTGCATGCCAGATACATGCAGCCGAGGATGTGGGACTGCTGCTGCATCTTGCAGTTCTTAGAGGGAATTGGGCAAAGGAGCTCCTTGGCTGATGGAATGTCTGAGGAGCTGGAGTAGCAGTGATAGGAACAGTTGTGTGGGTCTGGCCCCAGATGTGGGAGTCTGAAATTGATAGCAAGAGGGTTAGTGCAAGGTCAAGCAAGGTTAGTGGCCAAAATGCTATCAAGTGTAGGTCTGCTGTTGACACACAGAAGAAAGAAGAAATCCACTGACACTATTAATGATGAGTCCCTAAATAAGGAGAGAGATATGACAGGAAATCCACAGTGAGTACTCAACACAGATCATTATGCCCTTTAGTTCTACACTTCTCTTTCAGTCATTATATTCTAATTCATATTTTGAGAAAAGGCTCTTCTTCCTGCAAAGCCCCTTTAAAATGCAAGCAAATCTGTGCAATGGAATACTACACAACAATAAAAAGGCACAATATACTGTTACACAAAACATCATGAATGAACCTCAAAATTATCATACTGATACAAAGAAGAGAGAAACACACACACACACACACACACACACACACACACACACACATATATATATATATATATATATATATATATATATATATATATATATATATACACTCTATGTTTCCATTTACATGAAGTCTGAGAACAGGCACTACTAATCTTTAGTTATAGTTGTTAGAAAGCAGTTATATGTGAGTGGGGGGTGGCAGTTGACAGGAAAGTGGAAGGATGGAAGTTTCTGAATGATAGAAATGTCTTGTATATTGTTTTGTGTGGTGGTTACACGTGAAACTGTGACTGTCAATATTCATCAAATGGACCTTTAAGATCTGTGCATTTTATTATAGGTGATTTATAGATAACTTCTAATGCACTTTTTTTAAAGGTTACATAAAAATAAATATATAAGTGAAATTACGCCAAAGATGGGTTTGGCTAGGAAAATCTTTCCATAGAAAGCATGGATTCAGAGAGAGCGCAAGTTGGCTGACTAGATGCAGCCAACTGGAACAGCTGCCACAGAGGGACCAAGACAACTCCTAACAGATCTTCAGAGGGAAGGCCCTGAGGATGGACAGAGGGAAGACACAGAAGCTGGGCTGAAGGGAGAGGAAGCTGGGAACCCTGCACAGGGCTACTGCACACCAGGACTTATTCGTGGCTCCCAATAACTCCTGGCAAGGAGCAAATGGCTCTCACCACAGGGCTCTGGAATCACTGCAGGAGGAGACCCCTCGACCGCCACCTGAGTTGGCAGGGAGAGCTGCTTACAGAAGTGGTAGGGGCAGCAATGAGGTGGAACTCAGATGGTTTGGTGCCAGTGCATCTGTAGCAAAGCACAGCCAGAGACGGCCATCCCCCTAGGTTCAAGTAGCTCCCATAGGAGACTTTAGCCCTAGGAGAACTGTCGGACCTGAACTTTGCAGATTGGTCTTACCCATCAGACCAGCCTGGTCTGATTTGGGCACTCCTTGTTCTCCTGGCCTCTCCTGAGGCCCCAGCCTGGCCCAGCCTGCTTGCAAGGCAGCCTCAGGTGCCCTGAGAACCCACATCATAGCTCCTGTACTGGCAACCATGCCTGACCAGTGGAGTGCTCCAGCAGGGTGGCCCCCATGGCCATGCATCAGCTCAACCACTCCCCACACAGCAGCTTCCCCTGTGCCCACAGCAACCACCCACATTATTTTGCTGGACGTGTCTGCACAGGCACGTGTTGTCTTCCTTACCCCACCAGTGCCGCGTGTGCATACACCCTGCCCTGCCCTGCCCCTGCTACAGTGAGAGTGCAGCCCATCCCACTTCCCCACACTGACTGCCGTTGCAGTTAGAGCCCTGACAGGCACAGAGCCAGCAAGCCCCAACCCCACCAGTGCCCTGCTCTTGCACCAACACTGCTGCGAGAGTGAAACTAGGTACAGAAAACAGCAAACCCTTCCCTGCCCTGAGCGACCACCCCTGCCTGTGGTGCAGAGAACACACACAGACCTATGCCTGCCAGTGCTCCACCCCGTGCCAACACCACCATCAGCACAACTGTGTACACAGTTGCCAGCAGGAGCCCCTGGTCCCCTTGAGTTATGTTGCCTCCACTACTGTGGTGAACACCCGCACAGAGGCAGGCACCCTGGCACCCACTAGCACCCTGCTGCAGCTGAGGAGGGTGCACCCCACCTCACTGCCACTGCAGCTGCTGCTGGCATATGTGACCTAGGACAGATCCCACTGTCACCACACTATGAAACTCTGGATGACACTACTTATTAGAGTGTAATGACCAGTGGTCTGGGACCACCTCAGCACCCCCACCACAGTGGATTCCTAACCTCGAGGAGCCAAAGAACAAAGTTGGAGCCTGAGTGTTTCCAGTAAGAACACTCAGGAGCCTGGAGCCTGAGTGTTTCCAGTAAGAACACTCAGGAGCCTGATACAAGTCCCCCAGATTTAGAGCACACAGTTTAGAGGTTGGGAGCTGAGCACTGGCCCCCTAAAATCTTCCAGAAATTAAGCCAGTCAGCTGAATTTACCTTACACCATAATCAAACTCACAAGGTCATCAAATAAGATAAAAGAAGAAAAAACCCCATTCAAAGGTCAGCAACTTCAAAAACTGAGGGAATGTCAGCCCACAAAGATGAGAGGGAACCAATGCAATGCAAAAACCCTGACAACTCAAAAATCCAGAGTGCCTCCTTTCCTCCAAATGACCACACCACATCACCAGCAAGGGTTCTGAACCAGGCTAAGATGGGTGAAATGACAGAAATATGATTCAGAATATGAATAGGAACAAAGATCATTGAGATGCAGGAGTACATTGAAACCCAATCCAAGGAAGCTAAGGATCACAATAAACTAATGCAGGAGCTGACAGACAAAATAGCCAGTATAGAAAAGAACATAACCAACCTGACAGAGCTGAAAAACACACTAAGTGATTTCATAATGGAGTCACAAGTATTAATAGCAGAATAGACTAAGTGGAAGAAAAAGTCTCAGAGCTTGAAGACTGGCTTTCTGAAATGAGCAGTCAGACAAGAATAGAGAAAAGAGAATACAAAGGAATGAACAAAATCTCTGAGAAATATGGGATTATGTAAAGAGACCAAATCTATGACTCATTGGTATCCCTGAAAGAAATGGGGAGAGTATAAGCAACTTGGAAAACATATTTCAGGATATCATCCATGAGCACTTCCCCAGCCTAGCTAGAGAGGTCAATATTCAAATTCAGGAAATGCAGAGAACCCATGTAAGATACTTCACAAGATCATCCTCAAGACACATTATCATCAGATTCTTCGAGGTCAAAATGCAAGAAAAAATGTTAAAGGCAGCTAGAGAGAAAGGTAAGGTCACCTACAAAGGGAATCATCAGACCAACAGCAGACCTCCCAGCTGAAACCTTATAAGCCAGAAGAAATTGGGAGCCTATAGTCAACATTCTTAAAGAAAACAAATTCCAACACAGAATTTCATATCTAGCCAAACTAAGCTTTATATTCAAAGGAGAAATAAGATCCTTTTCAGACAAGCAAATGCTGAGAGAATTCATTACCATTAGACCTGCCTTACAAGGTCTCCTGAAAGAAGCACTAAATGTGGAAAGGAAAGGTCATTACCAGTTACTACAAAAACACACTTAAGTACACAGACCAATGACACTGTAAAGCAAACACATAAATAAGTCTGCAAAATAACCAGCTAACATGATGCCAGGACCAAATCTACACATATCAATACTCACCTTGAATATAAGTGGGCTAAATGCCTTAATTAAAAAGTGCAAAATGGCAAGGTAGATAAAGAACTAAGACCCATTGGTATGCTGTCTTTAAGAGACACACCTCACGTGCAATGACACATATAAGTTCAAAATTAAGGAAAGAAGAAAAATCTAAGCAAATAGAAAACAGAAAAAAAGCAAGTGTTGCAATCATAACTTCACACAAAACAGACTTTAAACAAACAAATATCAAAAAAGACAAAGAAGGGCATTACATAATGGTAAAGGGTCAGATTGTACAAGAAGACCTAACTATCCTAAGTATGTATACAACCAACACAGGAGCACCCAGATTCATAAAGCAAGTTTTTTGAGACCTTCAAAAAGACTTAGAGTCCCACACAATAATAGTGGGATACTTCAACACTCCACTGACAGTACTAGATAAATCATCAAGATAAAAAATTAACAAAGATATTCAGGACCTGAACTCAGCACTGGATCAAATGGACCTGCTAGACATCTATAGAACTCTCCACCTAAAAACAACAGAAGATACATTCTTCCCATTGCCACATGGCACATACTGTAAAATCAATCACATAAACACAAAACACTGCTCAGCAAATGCAAAAGAACTGAAATCATAACAAGCACTCTCTCAGACCACAGCACAATCAAATTAGAAATCAAGACTAAGAAATTTGCTCAAAATCATACAACTATATGAAAATTGAGTATCCTGCTCCTGAATAACTTTTGGATACATAATGAAATTAAGGCAGAAATCAAGAAGTTATTTTGAAAGTAGTAAGAACAAAGATACAGCATACTAGAATCTCTGGGACACAGCTAAGGCAGTGTTAAGAGGAAAACTTATAGCACCAAATGCCTACATCAAAGAGTTAGAAAGATCTCAATTTAACAACATAACATCACAACTAAAAGAACTAGAGAACCAAGAGAAAACCAACCCCAAAGCTAGCAGAAGACAAGAAATAACCAAAATCAGAGCTGAACTGAAAGAGGTTGAGACAGGAAGAAACATTAAAAATATCAGTGAATCCAGAAGTTGGCTTTTTGAAAAAATGAAATAAAATGATAAACCACTAGCTAGACAACAAAGGAGAAAAGAGAGAAGATCAAAATAAACACAGTTAGAAATGACAAAGGAGATAATACCACTGACCCCACAGAAATACAAATAACCATCAGAGAATATTATGAACACCACTATGCACACAAACTAGAAAATCTAGAAGAAATTGACAAATTCCTGAGCACATACACCCTCCCAAGACTGAGCCAGGAAAAAGTGAATCCATTAACAGACCAATAACAAGCTCTGAAATGGAATCAGTAATAAATAGCCTACCAACTAAAAAAGCCCAGGACCAGATGGATTTACAGCTGAATACTATCAGATGTACAAAGAAGAGCTGGTACCTTTCCTACTGAAACTATTCCAAAATTTGAGAAGGAGGGACTCCTCCCTAACTCATTATATGAGGCCAGCATCATCCTGATGCTGAAACCTGGAAGACACAACAGAAAAAGAAAACATCAAGCCAATATCCTTGATGAACATCAATGCAAAAATCCCTCAACAACATACTGACAGATTGAATCCAGCAGCACATCAAAAAGTTTATCCACTACAATCAAGTTGGCCTTATCCCTACTTGAGAGAATGCAAGGTTGGTTCAACATACGCAAATCAATATATATGCTTTATCACATAAATAGAACTAAAGACAAAACCACAAATGCAGAAAAGTCTTCGGATAAAATTCAACACCGCTTTCATTAAAAATTATCAACAAACTAGGTGTTGAAGGAACATACCTCAAAGTAATAAGAGCAATCTATGACAAACCCACAGTCAGCATCATACTTTACAGGCAAAAGCTGGAAACATTCCCCTTGAAAACTGGCACAAGACAAGGATGCTCTCTCTCACCACTGCTATTCAACATTTGTATTGAAAGTCCTGGCAGGGGCAATCAGGCAACAGAAAGAAATAAAGGTATCCAAATAGGAAAAGAGGAAGTCACTCTTTGCAGATGACATGATTCTATATTGAGAAAACCCCATAGTCTCTGACCAAAAGCTCCTTAAGCTGATAAACAACTTCAGCAATCTCAGGATACAAAAGCAATGTGTAAAATCACTAGTATTCCTATACACCAACAACAACCAAGCTGCAAGCCAAATCAGGAATGCAATCCCATTCACAATTGCCACAAAAAGAATAAAATACCTAGGAATACAGTTAACCAGGAAAGTGAAAGATCTCTACAGAGAGAATTAAAAAACACTGTTCAAAGAAATCAGAGATGACACAAACAAATGGAAAAACATACCATGCTCATGGATAGGAAGAATCTATATTAATAAAAAGACCATACTGCCCAGAGCAATTTATAGATTCAATGCTATTCCTATTAAACTACCAATGACATTCTTCACAGAACTAGAAAAAAACTACTTTAAAATTAATATGGAACCAAAAAAGAGCCTGAATAGCTAACGTTATCCTAAGCAAAAAAAAAAAAAAAAAACCTGGAGGCATCACGTTACCTGACTTCAAACTCTACTATAGGGCTACAGTAACCCAAACAGCATGGTACTGGTACAAGAACCGACACCTAGACCAACGGAACAGAATAGAGAGCGCTTATGAGAAAGGCCACACACCTACAATTATATGATCTTCAACAAAGCTGACAAAAACAAGCAATGGGGAAAGGATTCCCTATTCAATAAATGGTTCTGGGATAACTGGCTAGCCACATGCAGAATACCAAAACTGGACCCCTTCCTTATACCACATACAAAAATAAACTCAATATGGATTAAAGAATTAAATGTAAAACCCAAAACTATAAAAATCCTGGAAGACAACCTAGGCAATAACATACTGGACACAGGAACAAGCAAAGATTTCATGATGAAGATGCCAAAAACAATTGCAAGCAAAAACTGACGAATGGGATCTAGCTAAACAACAGAGCTTCTGCATACACAATGAAAGAAACCATCAACAGAATAAATAAACAACCTACAGAATAGGGAAAACATTTGCAAATAATGCATATGACAAAGGTCTTCCCTTTTCTGCAAGAGGCTAATCCATGAGCATGTTAAGTTTTTCCATTTGTTTGTGTCATCTCTGACTTCTTTGAACAGTGTTTTTTAATTCTCCCTGTAGAGATCTTTCACTTTCCTGGTTAGCTGTATTCCTAGGTATTTTATTCTTTTTGTGGCAATTGTGAATGGGATTGCATTCCTGATTTGGCTTGCAGCTTGGTTGTTGTCGGTGTATAGGAATACTAGTGATTTTATACATTGCTTTTGTATCCTGAGATTGCTGAAGTTGTTTATCAGCTTAAGGAGCTTTTCAGCATTGGGTTTTCTCAATGGCCTTGTTCATTTTCAGGTGCAAGTTACAGAGAGTGAACAGTTTATCTAAGTAATAATAACATGTTGGATAACCCCCAAGATCAAGCTCAGGATGTACTGATACAAAATCAAAAGAAAGATAAACAAGGAGTTACACTCAGGAAATCTTGGCAAAGGTGAAAAGAAGTTGTTATACCATGTCAGCATCCTTTTATAAGACCCAACACCCAAATTTTAGTATTTTCCGCAGACACTTCAATAGTCTTTCTTCATTTTACTCATCCAACAAATATTTATACAGTGTCCATTATATGGGACATGAGCCTTTTGAGTTGCTGTATGTACTGGGGTGAATGCATTGGTGCACCATTCTGACCTCTCCCCACATCCACTTCTCCATACTCCGTCTCTTCCCCTTCATACAACTTCTGTGATCTCAGTGCAGTTAGCTTCAACCATCCGCTAGAAAGAAAAGGACTTGGATTCACCAATATCCCACTATTGTCAAAAAAATTAATAGTCTATTAACATGGCATTCTCCTCAAAACACACACAAACACACACATACACATTTGCATTTTTTAAATGTTAATGCTTGTTAGCTTAAATGCATCTTTAATTGTCAAATTTCAGATAAGAAAGTGAAGTCAAATTAAAGGTTTGGGTAGTAGCAGTAGGAAATTGGCAAACAGGGGAATATCCAGGGGTTGGCTCCTGGAAACAGTTTCTCAAATTTGCTTTACCCTGTTTCTGTCTTTAATCTTTATCTGACTCTACCATTTTAAAAAATTCACAAGGATTTGATGTAAGAGATGAGGGTGGGAATGAAGGTGAAGACGTTCAACCCTGTGTAAGATGGAGGGGCAACAATGAATGTTTGTGTAGACATCATTTTCAGAGTGGAGATTTTTAAACCTGGAGATTATCCAAAATAGAAATGTTTTAAACTTCAATTTCCTAGGAACTTTTTGGGGACTGATTAGTGAGCAAAGAATTTAACACCTCTTATTATGGAATGAATGTTTGTGCATCCCTAAATTCATTGGTTGAAACCCTAAACCCCAGTGTGACAGTGTTTGAAGATGGGATTTGGGGAGATCATTGGGATTAGATGAAATAATGAGAGGAGCACTCATGATGGGATTAGTGCCCTTATAAGAAAGGACACTGGAGAGCTAATGTGCTGCCTGCTCCTCCCCACGCCTCTCTCCACCTTTCTCTCCGTGTGCTCATACAAAGAAGTCATGTGAGCACACATTCAGTTGGTGGCTGCCTACAAGCCACGAGAAGAAGCCTCAGAATGAAGCCCACTTTGCTGGAACCTTGATCTTAAAATTCTCTATCTCTAGGACTGTAAGAAATAAGCCCAGTCTATGGCATTTTGTAGTGCATTGCTAGTTAATTGATACATTCCTGTTCTATATTCCCAAATCAGACGTAATAATTTGCTATAATTCCTCATATTATTTACCTTCTCCCTTATTATCTCCTTGGCCAAATCTCTCTCTCTCTCTCATCACACATACACACACACACACACACAGACTAAGAAAATAACTACTCAAATACAATTGGCAAAATTAAACATATCTTTAAAATATGCTTTGCATACTATATACAGCTTGAATTGAAAATGAAATAGATCAGCCTAAGAAGAATGTTTTTCTGGTTGCTTTCAGTCATCTTTTATGATGAGTCCTTATAAAGCTCATGTGAATAAGGATGTACGATAAGCACATACACACACACACCATCTTCTTCTCTGATTTAGGATTTACTGAAACTACTGAAGTTCTCTCCAATATTTTGGTTGATTCAGTGGGGTTTGTTTTTCCTGCAGGGCTTCAAGCGTGGTGCTGACTGTCTCACAGTGAGAACCCCATCGAGCAGTTGCCATGAGAGCTTAGCTGAGTTGAGCAGCCTGGGGAGTAAGTTCATAAACTGAGGAATTCATTTATCTTCCACAGTAACACCCCCTCCAAAACCAACTACAAACTACTTAACCCATCAAAACTGAGAGCTGCCAAAGCCACTTTCCTCCTGGGACTGTAAATGCCTTCACAGTCAAAGTCACAAAGCTTTTCAAGCTGGTGCACTGGTGATTGGTTTAAACTGCTAAAACTCTGATTATCTTTAGATTCCAATTTCTCATTTAAAATCACTAGTCATTCTAGATACATGATGATTAAAAAAATTGAAACTGAAGATAAAAAATAAATGAGGAGTCACATTACCATCTTGTTCATGTCTCAGGAGCTTCAGACTTACGGCAGTAACATTGCCATCTACCTTCTATTTCCACAGGCTCTCAGAGTGGATATTAAGTTTTATAATCAAAACAAATGTTTTACTTGAACAGGAATCCAGGGGTTTAACAAACTCTAGAAATGCTAATGTGAATGACCTGCTACATTAACGTAGGTAAGAATTCCTCTGCCTTTATTGCCATTCTGAAGCATGCTAAACAACATGAAGAAGGTTGGAATAATGCATTTTTTACTTCTCTCGCCATGTGTTTGGAGTCTTAAATCACTGGTGATTGGTTTTCATTCATTCATTTGTTGACATCTTTATTCAGTCAGTCATAAACATTTACTGTTAGCTAAGATACAGGTGCAAAAGTATTGATTACAAAGTGTTTAATAATATCAAAATCTAGAAAGAAACTAAATATTACTCTATACAGAGTGAATGAAGTAAATCACAGTCCATCCTAGCCTGTAGCAGCTAAAAGATATGAGGTAAAATTATATGTCTTTTCATGGAGAAATGTGATTGTTATATGACTGGGGGCCCAGGAAGGAACAGATTTTAGAATGACATTTCTAGTGTGATTTTTAAATTAAATTGTGTATGTGTGGATATGTATATTCCTATAAGAGTCTAGAAAATATATGCTACCTTGTTAACGGTGATCATCTCTGGGGTATTACTGAGTGAAATGGTTTTGTATCATTTGATTTTCTTACAACAGATAATCTATCTCTTTACTACAGAGTTGCATTTACTTGTTATGTGAGCCCATGAAAGAATTATACCAGGACCCCTTGTGGTTGGGTGGCACCATGTGATTGGTTCTGTCTAAAGAGTTATGAGCAAAAATGGCATGTGTCACTTCCAGGCTGGAATGTTTAATTGCTGGTGCAGGATCCTCCTGAGCTCTTTTCTTTTGACACAAACCCTTGAGATGGTGGCTCAAGTTTGAGATAGCGGCTGCTCCATCAGCCTAGATTCGGAAATGAGATGTGGATCGGAGCTCTCAGCCAATCCCCAGTGGACACTTAATTAGAGCAAAAAATTAACTCTTATTATTCTAAACTTTTAAGATTTGGAGAGTTTGTTCATGAAGAATGACCTTGCCTATCCTTACTAGTACAAGTAAGAATATATTAATTTTATGTTTAAAATAAAGATGTTGCTTTTCTAAAAAACAGTATGTGTGAGCCTGTTAATTTTATTCTGATGAGTGAGCCCTCCAACTTTGCTGTTTTTCAGGGTTGTTCTAGGTGTTCTGGGTTCCTTGAATTTCCATAGGTATTTTAACATGAGTTATCAACTTTTACCAAAAAAAAAAGGTAGCTGGAATTTAATAGGAATTGTGTGAATCTGTAGATCAATTTGGGAGAGTATTATCACCTCAGCAATATTATCAGGAGCAGAAAAGATAACTATTGGGCACTGGGCGTAATTCATGGGTAATGAAATAATCTGTATAACAAACCCCGTGACATGAATTTACCTATGTAACAAACTTTCACATGTACCCCTGAACCTAAAATACAAGTTAAGAAAGCAAAAAACAAACAAACAAACAAAAAAACCCAATACCGACTTCCAATCTATGAACATGGAATATCTTTCCATTTATTTAGATCTTCTTTAATATCTTTCAATAATGTTTTATTGTTTTCAGTGTATACATCTTATACTTTTTAAATGTATTCCCAAGCATTTTATTCTTTTAATTCTATTATAAATTGAATTGTTTTCTTAACTTCACTTGGGCTTGTTCATTGCTAGTACATATAAATAAAATTGATTTCATATATTGAGCTTGTACCTTGCAACTTTGCTGAATTCATTTATATTAGATTTAATCATTTTGTGTGAGTTCCTTAAAATTTTTTTATACATAAGACCATATCATATGTGAATAAAAATAATTTTACTTTTTCCCTTCCTGTCTGGATGCCTTTATCTTGTTTTCTTGCTTAATTGCTCTGGCTAGCGAACCTCCAGTACAAATGTTGAACGAAACTGATGAGAGAGTGGACATTCTCATATTGTTCTTAATCTTAGGAGGAAATCACCATTATATATGATCATAGTGATGGATTTTTTTGTAGATGCCCTTTATTAGGTTGAGGAAGTTGACTTGCCTTCGTTTGTTCAGTGTTTTCATCATAATAAAGTGTTGGATGTTGTCAATTTTTTTTTCTGCATCTATTGAGATAATCATGTGGTTTTTGTCCTTTATTCTATTGATGTGGTGTGTAACATTGATTGATTTTTGAATGTTAAAAGAAGTATTTCACCCTTAGAAAGAATTCATAGATATGGCTACAGAAAGTTAATTGGAAATTCATCACTTCATGCCATCCTCTACCTCTTGGTGCATCTTCATGTGTTAATCAGGATAGACTAGATTATGCTTCTGTGACATATGACTCCAAAATCTCAGTGGTTTAACACACACAAATTTCTCACAATATAAAGATTGCTTTAGGTCAGACTCAACAGTGTAGTGCTTCATCATCCATATAGTAACTCAGAGATCCAGGCTGCTGTGATCTTGTGGGTTTGCTATCTCAACACATTGCTCTTACACTCACTACCTGAGGAAAATCAAGAAACTGAAAAGTCACACAGCAGCTTTTTACTGCCTCAGCCCAGAAGTGACACATGCCACTTATTCTCAAATTTCATTGCCCATAATTAATCACACACTCTTGCTTTACTGCAAGGGAACTGGAAAATAAAATTTTTATTGTGCCCAGGAGGGAGGAATACAAAACAGAATTTGGAAACCCATAGAATTTTCTCTGCCACAGACATAGAAATATTATGTTCCTTATCTGTTGTTATGGGTTGAATTATAGCCTCCCAAAAGACATGTTGAAGTCCTAACCCCCAGTACCCCAGAATGTGACGTTTTTGGAAATAGAGTTTTTATAGTTGTAATTAGTTAAGATGAGGTCATATTGGAGTTGGGTGAGTCCTTAATCCAATATCACTGGTGTCCCTACAAAAAGGGAAAAACACCATGTGAAGACAGAGGTACACAAGGAGACCATCCTGTGATGACAGAAGCAAAGACTGGGATGATACACCTGCATGCCAAGAAACACCAAGGAATTACGCCACCATCAGAAACTAGAAGGAGGAAAGGAGGGATTCCACCAGTCTTAGAAGGTGCATGACTCTGCTGACACCTTGAGTTCAGGCTTCTAGTCCCCAAAACTGTGAGAGAATAAATTTCTGTTGTGTTAAGCCACCTGGTTTGTGGTAACCTGTGATCACAAGTCTAGGAAACAAGTACACCAGTCAAAAATATTGTTATGACTATTGTACTCAATCTAAGATGTCATCAATGGAAAGACATGAATTATTTAATGGACCTCTAAGAAAGGAAAAAGGCTGCCAATTAAGTAATGACACCCTACCTTAATGATAATCCTGCATGACACGTAAATTGGTCACATCATCCTCTCATTGCTGTGCAGCATCTTTCCTCGATACCAAGAGATTTGGCAAGTTTTTGTGTCTTCAGGTGTGTGGTTTGGCACATGAAAGGCAATCATTTTGCACATTTCTCACTAACAACACACAATTCAGCCATAGATGCGTGTGGATTTAGTACCTTTTTTGATACCATGAAGTACGTTGTTGTTCTTATGCAAGAAAATATAGAATCCTATTCCTTCTCCCAAAATCGCTTTCCTAATGTCAGATATATGCCCCACTGCTCTCTGCTTGCCTTTCTGCATCTACAGTAACTTCTCATCTCAGAACTATGTTATACTATAAATTCTGAAAGAAAGAGACTTTAAATGACAACTAAACTCTCAACACATAACAACAATGCAAATAATTCAATAAAAATACTGATGCCGTGAATAGCTATGACCAAATTCATGCTTGTGCAGGTAATAACTACATCACAACTGCCACGGGGCCAACAGCTGTTGTAAGTCACTATCAATATAAGACATATTCCAAATTCAGAGTGTGAAGAGATGGGCTTTTTAAAACCAATAACCTATAGTGATGCAATAACAACAGCAACAATTAAATCAGGCCACTCAGTCTCGACCAAGCATACGACTTTGTCTTGGGATAGTAGTTCTCCAAGTGTGGTATGGAGATTCCTGGGGTATTCCTGAGACATTCTCAGGAAGTCTATGAATTCAAAACTATTTTCCCCAAAATACTAAAGTGTTCTTTCCATTTTCGTTTCTGTTCTCTCATTATAGTACATAAGAGTTTTCCAGAGACTACATGATACAAAAAAACAAATCCAGAAACAGATATGAGAATCTGTCATCTATTCAGCTGAACATTTTGCCACTGTTCTCATTATTTTTTTGTTTTGAAAAATGTTTTCACAAAAAAAATTATCAAAATGTAAAATGGGATTTAGATAAGTGAATAAGTAGTTTTTTCTCAGTTCCAGTTTCTAATATGGTAAATATCAATGGGTATAATAACAAAATGAAAATTCTCAATAATTTAAAAAAGTTGTATAAGGATATGAGATCAAAAAGTTTGAGAATCACTGTTTTAGTGAAACCACCTTTGGCTTTAAAGATACATGTCTTGGTTCACTGAACAAATCCTGCAGTTAGGATTGGATCAACACAGAAACAAACTCAAACATTGAGAGGATGAGAGTACCCTTCTCTGACATATGTAACTCAAAAACAAAAAATGCCCATAAAATGAAATTTGGTATTTCAGTAAAAGATATGTTTACTGCTTTAAAATAATTCCTTTGAGTGTGTGTGTGTGTGTCTGTGTGTGTGTGTCTGTGTCTCTGTGTGTGTGTGTCTGCCTGTCCTTCCTTTCCTGTTTCTGTCCTTTGATGCCTCAAGCATGTGGTTGTTTGGGCTTCATCCTCAGCTCTACGCTAACTTGGCTTTCCACAGCATGCAACTAAAACAGAGACTCTGGAATTCCTCTACATCGTCTTTTTCACAATCAACCTACGAGACTCTTTCATGAGTTCCTCCCCTTTCATGACTGCCTTCAAATAAGACACTTTTTTCTTCCCATGGTTAAGGCAAGGAGCCAGAAAATGTATCACAGCCTTCTACTTTATCTCACAGAATTGTATTAGCACGTACTTTCTTTAGTGCTTTGCATTGACACATTATAGGCTTAACATTTTCCTTGCAATTAGCAAAACTATAATTGGTGGACTGTTTAGTATAAAGTAGAAAAGGGTGGGTTAGGTTTGTCCTAGGATGCTTCCCACTGGCTCATCACTTCTTGCTCTTCCCCCAAAGTGGTATCCCATTGAGTAAGTATGAGAACAAATTAAATCCTGCTGTAGTATTTATTAATTGATAGCAGCTTTGCGGTGGGTCCACTGAAATATAAATAATTAACAGACTATTCATATTTTGAGAAGTGACTCTTAAAAAAAAAAAAAGGTCATTAAGAACCAAATAAATTGGGGGGTGGAGCCAAGATGGCCTAATAGGAACAGCTCCAGTCTACAGCTCCCAGCATGAGCGACACAGAAGATGGGTGATTTCTGCATTTCCAACTGAGGTACCAGGTTCATCTCACTGGGGAGTGTCGGAAAGTGGGTGCAGGACAGTGGGTGCAGCGCACCCAGCGTGAGCTAGGGCAGGGCGAGGCATCACCTCCCCTGGGAAGTGCAAGGGGTCAGGGAATTCCCTTTCCTAGTCAAAGAAAGGGGTGACAGATGGCACCTGGAAAATCCGGTCACTCCCACCCTAATACTGCGCTTTTCCAATGCTCTTAGCAAACGGCACACCAGGCGATTACAACCGTGCCTGGCTCAGAGGGTCCTATGCCCATGGAGCATCGCTCATTGCTAGCACAGCAGTCTGAGATCAAACTGCAAGGCGGCAGCAAGGCTGGGGGAGGGGTGCCCGCCATTGCCGAGGCTTGAGTAGGTAAACAGAGCTGCTGGGAAGCTGAAACTGGGTGGAGCCCACCGCAGCTCAAGGAGGCCTGCCTGCCTCTGTAGACTCCACTTCTGGGGGCAGGGCACAGCCAAACAAAAGGCAGCAGAATCCTCTGCAGACTTAAATGTCCCCGTCTGACAGCTTTGAGGAGAGCAGTGGTTCTTTCAGCACGCAGCTGGAGATCTGAGAAGGGACAGACTGCCTCCTCAAGTGGGTCCCTGGCCTCCGAGTAGCCTAACTCGGAGGCACCCCCCAGTAGGGGCAGACTGACACCTCACACGGCTGGGTACTCCTCTGAGACAAAACTTCCAGAGGAACAATCAGGCAGCAACATTTGCTGTTCACCAAAATCCTCTGTTCTGCAGCCTCCGCTGCTGATACCCAGGCAAACAGGGTCAGGAGTGGACCTCCAGCAAACTCCAACAGACCTGCAGCTGAGGCTCCTGACTGTTGGAAGGAAAACTAACAAACAGAAAGGACATCCACACCAAAACCCCATCTGTACGTCACCATCATCAAAGACCAAAGGTAGATAAAACCACAAAGATGGGGAAAAAAAAGAGCAGAAAAACTGGAAACTCTAAAAATCAGAGCACCTCTCCTCCTCCAAAGGAACACAGCTCCTCACCAGCAACGGAACAAAGCTAGACAGAGAATGACTATGACGAGTTGAGAGAAGGCTTCAGACAATCGAACTACTCCGAGCTAAAGGAGGAAGTCCTAACCCATGGCAAAGAAGTTAAAAACCTTGAAAAAAAATTAGATGAATGGCTAACTAGAATAACCAATGCAGAGAATTCCTTAAAGGACCTGATGGAGCTGAAAACCAAGGCACGAGAACTACGTGACTAATGCACAAGCCTCAGTAGCCGAATCGATCAACTGGAAGAAAGAGTATCAGTGATGGAAGATCAAATGAATGAAATGAAGTGAAAAGAGAAGTTTAGAGAAAAAAGAATAAAAAGAAATGAACAAAGCCTCCAAGAAATATGGGACTATGTGAAAAGACCAAATCTACGTCTGATTGGTGTACCTGAAAGTGACAGGGAGAATGGAACCAAGTTGGAAAACACTCTGCAGGATATTATCCAGGAGAAATTCCCCAATCTAGCAAGGCACGCCAACATTCAGATTCAGGAAATACAGAGAACGCCACAAAGATACTCCTCGAGAAGAGCAACTCCAAGACACATAATTGTCTTGAAATGAAGGAAAAAATGTTAAGGGCAGCCAGAGAGAAAGGTCGGGTTACCCACAAAGGGAAGCCCATCAGACTAACAGCGGATTTCGCAGCAGAAACTCTACAAGTCAGAAGAGAGTGAGGGCCAATATTCAACATTCTTAAAGAAAAGAATTTTCAACCCAGAATTTCATATCCAGCCAAACTAAGCTTCATAAGTGAAGGAGAAATAAAATACTTTACAGACAAGCAAATGCTGAGAGATTTTGTCACCACCAGACCTGCCCTAAAAGAGCTTCTGAAGGAAGCACTAAACATGGAAAGGAACAACCAATACCAGCCACTGTAAAAACATGCCAAATTGTAAAGACCATCGAGGCTAGGAAGACACTGCATCAACTAACAAGCAAAATGACCAGCTAACATCATAACGACAGGATCAAATTCACACATAACAATATCAACCTTAAATGTAAATGGGCTAAATGCTCCAATTAAAAGACACAGACTGGCAAATTGGATAAAGAGTCAAGACCCATCAGTGTGCTGTATTCAGGAAACCCATCCCACCTGCAGAGACACACATAGGCTCAAAATAAAGGGATGGAGGAAGATCTACCAAGAAAATGGAAAACAAAAAAAGGCAAGGGTTGCAATCCTAGTCTCTGATAAAACAGACTTTAAACCAACAAAGATCAAAAGAGACAAAAAAGGCCATTACATAATGGTAAGGGATCAATTCAACAAGAAGAGCTAACTATCCTAAATATATATGCACTCAATACAGGAGCACCCAGATTCATAAAGCAAGTCCTGAGTGACCTACAAAGAGACTTAGACTCCCACACAATAAAAATGGGAGACTTTAACACCCCACTGTCAACATTAGACAGATCAACAAGACAGAAAGCTAACAAGGACACCCAGGAATTGAACTCAGCTCTGCACCAAGCAGACCTAATAGACATCTACAGAACTCTCCACCCCAAATCAACAGAATATACATTCTTTTCAGCACCACACCACACCTATTCCAAAATTGACCACATAGTTGGAAGTAAAGCACTCCTCAGCAAATGTGAAAGACCAGAAATTATAACAAACTGTCTCTCAGACCACAGTGCAATCAAACTAGAACTCAGGATTAAGAAACTCACACAAACCACTCAACTACATGGAAACTGAACAACCTGCTCCTCAATGACTACTGGGTACATAATGAAATGAAGGCAGAAATAAAGATGTTCTTTGAAACCAATGAGAACAAAGACACAACATACCAGAATCTCTGGGACACATTCAAAGCAGTGTGTAGAGGGAAATTTATAGCACTAAATGTCCACAAGAGAAAGCAGGAAAGATCTAAAATTGACACCCTAACATCACAATTAAAAGAACTGGAGAAGCAAGAGCAAACACATTCAAAAGCTAGCAGAAGGCAAGAAATAACTAAGATCAGAGCAGAAGTGAAGGATATAGAGACACGAAAAACCCTTCAAAAAATCAGTGAATCCAGGAGCTGCTTTTTTGAAAAGATCAACAAAATTGATAGGCCACTAGGAAGACTAATAAGGAAAGAGAGAAGAATCAAATAGACGCAATAAAAAATGATAAAGAGGATATCACCACTGATCCCACAGAAATACGAACTACCATCAGAGAATACTACAAGCACCTCTATGCAAATAAACTGGAAAATCTAGAAGAAATGGATAAATTCCTTGACACATACACCCTCCCAAGACTAAACCAGGAAGAAGTTGAATCTCTGCATAGACCAATAACAGGCTCTGAAATTGAGGCAATAATTAATAGCTTACCAACCAAAAAAAGTCCAGGACCAGATGGATTCACAGCCGAATTCTACCAGAGGTACAAGGAGGAGCTGGTACCATTCCTTCTGAAACTATTCCAATCAATAGAAAAAGAGGGAATCCTCCCTAACTCATTTTATGAGGCCAGCATCATCCTGATACAAAAGCCTGGCAGAGACACAACAAAAAAGAGAATTTTAGACCAATATCCTTGATGAACATCAATACAAAAATCCTCAATAAAATACTGGCAAACCAAATCCAGCAGCACATCAAAAACCTTTTTCACCATGGTCAAGTGGGCTTCATCCCTTGGATGCAAGGCTGGCTCAACATACGCAAATCAATAAACGTAATCCAACATATAAACAGAACCAAGGACAAAAACCACATGATTATTTCAATAGATGCAGAAAAGGCCTTTGACAAAATTCAACAACCTTCATGCTAAAAACTCCCAATAAATTAGGTATTGATGGGACATATCTCAAAATAATAAGAGCAATCTATGACAAACCCACAGCCAATATCATACTGAATGGGCAAAAACTGGAAGCTTTCCCTGTGAAAACTGGCACAAGACAGGGATGCCCTCTCTCACCACTCCTATTCCACATAGTGTTGGAAGTTCTTACCAGGACAATCAGGCAGGAGAAGGAAATAAAGGGCATTCAATTAGGAAAAGAGGAAGTCAAATTGTCCCTGTTTGCAGATGACATGATTATATATCTAGAAAACCCCATCATCTCAGCCCAAAATCTCCTTAAGCTGATAAGCAACTTCAGCAAAGTCTCAGGATACAAAATCAACGTGCAAAAATCACAAGCATTCTTATACACCAATAACAGACAAACAGAGAGCCAAACATGAGTGAACTCCCATTCACAATTGCTTCAAAGAGAATAAAATACCTAGGAATCCAACTTACAAGGAACATGAAGGACCTCTTCAAGGAGAACTACAAACCACTTCTCAAGGAAATAAAAGAGGATACAAACAAATGGAAGAACATTCCATGCTCATGGGTAGGAAGAATCAATATCATGAAAATGGCCATACTGCCCAAGGTAATTTATAGATTCACCATCCCCATCAAGTTACCAATGACTTTCTTCACAGAATTGGAAAAAACTACTTCAAAGTTCATATGGAACCAAAAAAGAGCCCGTATTGCCAAGTCAATCCTAAGCCGAAAGAACAAAGCTGGAGGCATCACGCTACCTGACTTCAAACTATACTACAAGGCTACAGTAACCAAAACAGCATGGTACTGGTACCAAAACAGAGATATAGACCAATGGAACAGAGCCCTCAGAAATAATGCCACATATCTACAACTATCCGATCTTTGTCAAATGTGACAAAAACAAGCAATGGGGAAAGGATTCCCTATTTAATAAATGGTGCTGGGAAAACTGGCTAGCCATATGTAGAAAGCTGAAACTGGATCCCTTCCTTACACCTTATACAAAAATTAATTAAGATGGATTAAAGACTTAAATGTTAGACCTAAAACCATAAAAACCCTAGAAGAAAACCCAGGCAATACCATTCAGGACATAGGCATGGGCAAGGACTTCATGTCTAAAACACCAAAAGCAATGGCAACAAAAGCCAAAATTGACAATTGGGATCTAATTAAACTAAAGAGCTTCTGCACAGCAAAAGAAACTACCATCAGAGTGAACAGGCAACCTACAAAATGGGAGAAAATTTTTGCAATCTACTCATCTGACAAAGGGCTAACTCAAACAAATTTACAAGAAAAAAACAACCCCATCAAAAAGTGGGCAAAGGATATGAACAGGCACTTCTCAAAAGAAGATATTTATGCAGCCAAAAGATACATGAAAAAATGCTCATCATCACTGGCCATCAGAGAAATGCAAATCAAAACCACAATGAGATACCATCTCACACCAGTTAGAATGGTGATCATTAAAAAGTCAGGAAACAACAGGTGCTGGAGAGGATGTGGAGAAATAGGAACACTTTTACACTGTTGGTGGGAATGTAAACTAGTTCAACCCTTGTGGAAGTCAGTGTGGCGATTCCTCAAGGATCTAGAACTAGAAATACCATTTGACCCAGCCATCCCATTTCTGGGTATATACCCAAAGGATTATAAATCATGCTGCTATAAAGACACATGCACATGTATGTTTATTGTGGCACTATTCACAATAGCAAAGACTTGGAACCAACCCAAATGTCCAACAATGATAGACTGGATTAAGAAAATGTGGCACATATACACCATGGAATACTATGCAGCCATAAAAAATGATGAGTTCATGTCCTTTGTAGGGACATGGATGAAGCTGGAAACCATCATTCTCAGCAAACTATCGCAAGGACAAAAAACCAAACACCACATGTTCTCACTCATAGGTGGGAATTGAACAATGAGAACACGTGGATACAGGAGGGTGAACATCACACACCGGGGACTGTTGTGGGGGGGGCGGTGATGGGGGAGGGATAGCATTAGGAGATATACCTAATGCTAAATGACGAGTTAATGGTTGCAGCGTACCAACATGGCACATGTATACATATGTAACTAACCTGCATGTTGTACACATGTACCCTAAAACTTAAAGTATAATTAAAGAAAAAAGAACCAAATAAATTAAGATATCAAAAGGAAAGGTGGCTAGGCCCTGTGGCTCACACCTGTAATCCCAGCATTTTGGGAGGCTGAGGCCGGAGGATCGCTCGAGCCCAGGAGCAACATAGTGAGACTCCATCTCTACCAAAAAAAAAAAAATCAAAAAATTAGCCAGGCATGGTGGCACATGACTGTGATCCCAGCTACTTGAGAGGCTGAGGGGGGAGGATTGCTTAAACCAAGGAGTATGAGGCCTCAGTGAGCCGAAATGGAGCCACTGCACTCCAGCCTAGGCAATTAAGCAAGGCCCTGTCGAAAGACAGAAAGAAAGAAAGTGGAAGGAAGGAAGGAAGGAAGGAAGGAAGGAAGGAAGGAAGGAAGGAAGGAAGGAAGGAAGGAAAGAAGGCAGGCAGGCAGGAAGGAAAGAAGGGAGGGAGCGAGGGAGAACAAGAAGAAGTGTATCCAGCTTAGTGGGTCTTTAAATGTTCAAACCAATGACTAACATTCACTGAGGACTTACTTACCACATGTGTCAAGCACTGTTCTAAGCTCATTGCATCTAATAGCTCATTTACTCTCCACAACTAACCTAGCAGGTGGAAACTATTATTTTCATTTTAGTGATAAGGAAAGTCAGGCAAAGAGAGGTCAAATTACCTCCTGAGAGTCACTCAGTGTAACTCGAAGAGCCTGGATCCAAATCTAGGCAGTAGGACCACAGAGCCATAGTCGCTAGGCTACACTGCCTCTGGAATCATGTCCTTGGTGACTTGGAAAGCTGTGTACACTACCCTCCAGTCAGTCACTTATTAATAGTAACTGGCGCGGTTATCAAATGGACTCTTGCAGCAACCCAGTGCTGTGTTCAAGTAACCCTTCTTTTACTTAATAATGGCTCCAAATGGCAAGAGTAACGATGCTAGCCATTCGAATACACCAAAAAGAAGGTATAAACTACTTCCTTTAGGTGAAAAGATGAAAGTTCTGGACTTAAGAAAGAAAGAAAAAAAATCCTATGCTGAGGATGCTAAGATCTACAGTAAGAATAAGTCTTCTATCCATTAAATTGTGAAGAAGGAAAAACAAATTTGTGCCAGTTTTGCTGTTACACCTTAGCTACAAATGTTAAGGCTACAGTGAGTGATAAATAAGATAGAAAAGGCATTAACTTTGTGGAAGAAATGAACAGAAACGTGTTTCCATTAGCAGCAACCAGGTTTGGCACCACCTGCGGTTTCAGAAATCCACTGAGGTTCTTGGAATTTATCCCCACGGATAAGGGAGGATGTCAATATGTTGGTGAATTTTTAATTTGCCTCAGTTTCAGATCCATAATTATATGTATCTAATAAGTCATAATAAAAAATAGCGTTTCTTTTTCTTAATTCATTCTCCTCTTTTTACACAAACGTTTTTTGGACTCATCAATCCTTCACCCCTGAAACCAAAACATGTGGCTCACTCACCCCAAAACATGTTCCCATTTGTTCTCCATCTGGCTGGAATTCCTTTTACAGTTGGGAGTTTGGGCTTCAAAGAAATCCCTGAACATGTCCTCAGTGAATCTACCTACCTCTTCCTGCCGGCTGTATCTTACTCCTTTAATCTTAATCAAGTTTCCTGGCTATCCTCTTTCCTCGATGCTCATCCTGAAAAAAGAAATTGGCCTGAAGTTAAATAGCCCATAAAGGAAGTAGGTAGGCTTCTGAATGCCCGCGATTTCAAAGGACGTGAATGAACCATTGGTTCATGTTGGTTTTCTCCACGGCCCTTTAAAATAGACAGGGTGAAACTTTTGTCCATCACCATTTTGCTGATGGATTGAGAAAGAAGGAACCTGCCACAAACTGAATTAGCACTAAGTAATTTTCCCTTTCTTTATGTAAACAAATGCCTTTCAATATACAACAATTCTTGAGGTGTTCAGGTTACATGCTTATTTTAAGATCTTTGTTTACTTTCTGATCTTCATAGGTCATTGACATCCCATTTAGCACTGGTGACCCTGTTTATACAATTTTGATATAAATTAAAAAGTGTTCTTGGGGATGAGATTAACATTCGCGATTCCAATCTACCACATAAGCAAACAATAGCCTTTGCTCAGTCCTGTATATAATTGTTCAAAAGCTTAAGTGTAGACTCCAATACTCAGAGCAAATCTGATCAAACAGATTTGCTTTCTGACTTTTTATTGAAAGCAGGATGAGATATCAGCCTATGTAAACTCCAATGGAATAACTTATGGGATTTTTGATAGAATGTAGTCATAATAAAACACTGGATAGGGTATTTCAGGTTTTAATTAATGAGAAGAGACAAATCAATAGGGGTATATTTCTACATCTTAACTTGGACTTAAAATGTGTTTCTTTTTCACTTAAAATTCAGAAGGTATTGTTCCTTTTAACCTATTTTATTCTCTAGAAGGAAGGGGGCGAATAATATTTTTGGAATTTGGTTTCTAATTTTTTACATAATTTGTATTAAGCTTCCCTCCTAAACAATGTTAATAATTACTCCTTCATAAATACATATCATTCTTGTGAATAATTGCAAGTATTTAAGAAACTATATTTCTGATAGCTTACTCTGATCCTATTCATACTTCATGAGTGGACAATTCCTTATCCTAATTAGGAAAAACTATCCTAATTGTATTAAAAACTGTCATTCCTAGGCAAAGAAACGAATCTGGGAATACAGATAAGATGAAAAGGCCCATACTGTCTCTTTGTTAGGCATATATCCTAAAGAAATTATTGAACAAATATACAGAAATGTACAAAGGTATTGATTCAGCATGATTTGCAAATGCAAAAAAGATGGAAACAGCTTAAATGTACATCAAGAAGGAGTTGTTTTGAAAAATTAGGATGCATGAAAACAGTGGTATACTTGGCAGTCATTAAAATGATTATGTGGATCATTTATTAATGTGAATAGATGACCATGATATATTAAACTCATTATCCAATTATTAATCACCTAGTAATAAGTAAATAAAGATTGTTTGAGTATGCCTCTGTGTGTGTGTGTGTGTGTGTGTGTGTGTGTATAAAGAACACTGTATACCAAAGTGTGTTCTAAGGAAAACTAATCTATTGAAATAAAGCTTCTCTCATCAAATAAGTTTGGGAAACTCTACATTTTACCTCCCTTCTGTGAATATCATAGTACACATCAGCATATTAAAGGCTCTGAGAAGTCCTGTAATAAAAGAAAACCTGTTTATGTGCATTTAACCCCCAATTTCCTAAACCTATTTTAGCATAAATACCTTCTTTTTTTTTTTTTTTTTTTTTTTTTTTTTTTCAGATGGAGCCTCGCTCTGTCACCTAGGCTGGAGTGCAGTGGCTCGATCTCTTCTCACTGCAACCTCCACCTCCCGGGCACAAGTGATTCTCCTGCCCCAGCCTCCCAAGTTGCTGGGATTACAGGCTCCCGCCACCACACACAGCTAATTTTTTTATTTTTAGTAGAGACAGGGTTTCACCATGTTGGCCAGGCTGGTCTTGAACTCCTGACCTTAGGTGATCTGCCCACCTCTGCTTTCCAAAATGCTCAGATTACAGGCACGCACCACCGCGCCTGGCTTATAAATACCTTCTTTCAAGTGCCCTGTAAAACAAGCTTCAGCAACTTTTGGCAGTAGTACGAAAGACGATATCTTTTTAATGTATGTTTTCTGAATTATTTTGCAGTAAATATGCATTGCTTTTAAGATTTAAAAAATGAGCTAGATAAAACTATTTTTAAAATTATTTTGAGAAAAAAGCACATTGACAAGATGTAGTCAGAGATATTTAAGTACATTGCTATACAAAAGGGCAACTTATGAAACACATGTGATGTGATGGATCCTCTTTTTGTAAAAACAAAAAATATATAAGTTAAGGAAAAAAGAAGGCATGAATTCAAGTTTTACCATTTATATCTCTAGGTCATCAATGATAGGTAATTCTTACTGTTTTACTTTGTTTTCAAAGTGCTCTTTATTAAGTACTTTTGCAATTGGAAAATTAACAATAAATTTTTGTATGAAGGAGCACACATGTATTTTAAGAGAGAAAAAGAAATGGAGCAAAGAAAAATATGCCCCATAGTCTCCATTCAAACATATTTGCAGTTGCTTCTATTTATTTGTTAATACAAGACTTTATCTTCCTCAGGTTAAATCTATTATAAAATTTTTAAACCCCATGAGGTGTTTCTCTGAATGTTTCTTCTCTCTTTCCTGACTATGCTCTTCTTGCTCTCTTCCAGCTCTTGGTTCCATTATGTGAGGAATAAAGGACGACTTTTCAGAATATCCCAGCATACCACCCACAAAGATAATACTGTAGAAGTTACAGGTACTTGGGAGGGAAACTCCCATTATCAAATCACATAGTGTTGCACTGGTCTGAGAAATTAGCAGCAAAGCATCCATGGATATCTTGAAAAACAAAAATTATAAATCCTGTTGATAATATTGTCTACTTTGTTGTTTTCATATATTCACTTTGTTACGTTTGGCAAAATTTCAGCCCCTTAGTTTTACTGATAAACTTAGTTTATTACTAAAAATAAGCTTGATTATTTGAAAATATTCTTTTTGGAAATGTAATTTTTGTCCAAATTACATTTCTAAGGAAGTGTATAAGTGTATTTTTACAAGATATGAATATAGAGTAATGAGACTTTCAAAACAGACCTTAGCTTCCATGCTCAAATGAAAGTTGTTCTTCAAAAATTAATGTTAGGAGGCAATACATATTTCAGTGACCCTTCCACTGCTTAAAGCACTTGAAAAGTCCTGGTGGATAAGCTTTTTGATGTGCTGCTGGATTCAGTTGGCCAGTACTTTATTGAGGATTTTCTCACTGATGTTCATCAAGGATATCGGCCCTGAAATTTTGTTGTTTTTTTTTTCTTGTCTCTGCTAGGTTTTGGTATCAGGATGATGCTGGCCTCCTAAAATGAGTTAGGGAGGAGCCCTCTTTTTCTATTATTTGGAATAGTTTCAGAAGGAATGGTACCAGCTCCTCTTTATACCTGTGGTAGACTTTGGCTGTGAATCCATCTGGTCCTGGGCTTTTTTTGGTTGGTAGGTATTAATTACTGCCTCAATTTCAGAACTTGTTATTGGTCTATTCAGGGATTTGCCTTCTTTCTGGTTTAGTCCTGGGAGGGTGTATGTGTCCAGGAATGTATCCATTTCTTCTAGGTTTTCTAGTTTATTTGCATAGAGGTGTGTATAGTATATACACACCTGATGGTAGTTCGTATTTCTGTGGGATCAGTGGTGATATCCCCTTTATCATTTTTTATTGTGTCTATTTGATTCTTCTCTCTTTTCTTCTTTATTAGTCTGGCTAGCGGTCTACCTATTTTGTTAATCTTTTCAAAAAACCAGCTCCTGAATTCATTGATTTTTTGAAGGGTTTTTTTGTGTCTATCTCCTTCAGTTCTGCTCTGACCTTAGTTATTTCTTGCCTTCTGCTAACTCTTGGGTTTGTTTGCTCTTGCTTCTCTAGTTCTTTTAATTGTGATGTTAGGGTGTTGATTTTAGATCTTTCCTGCTTTCTCCTGTGGGCATTTATTGCTATAAATTTTTTAAGTTACATTATAAAACAGGAAAAAGTCCTATTACTATAACATTACACTTTATTTTTGAACAAAGATAAAAATCCCCAGCTTGAACATCCACTTTATTTGTAATATATTATCTCCAATTGTTTTGAGGGTGCTTCCAAAAATAAGCCAACCACCAAACACTAAACAAGTGTCTGCCAAGACTATAAAAACAAACAAAAAATACAAGAACAACAACAAAAGCCTTATCATAGACTGTAAAGTCTTTCAAAGCATGAATTCCAACCTCTTTTCAGCACTAATAGCATTGAAATTTTGCATAAATAAAAATTCATGGATATTCAGGGCCCATGGGAGGCTGATTATTAAACATTATATATATAAATATTGTTTGTTCATATACATATATATATATGTTTGTATATTGCCTACCCCTAAAAATGTACATATTTTGATGTATAAATATAAAACTTACATCCCCCAATTGTATTTAGCTTTGAAATGTGATTAATGATATCCAGTTAGAGATTGACACACAGGTTACAGTCTATACCATGAGAGAATCCATCAAAAAAAGATGTAAAAGTTCCAGTCAGTCATTCTGATTTACTAAAACATGAAGCAATGCTATTGACGATGAATCTTGCACACGTGGCCTTTATGATCTGCAATAAGGCACACCATCCAAATTTGTAATTTAGAGCTCTGGAGTGTTCAATTTTTGTGATTTTGTAGAGACAAATACTAACAAATGTATGGCACCCATATGCTTTCCTGTCTTTAAGCGTGGACCCCACTGAAACTAAGAGCTATATCCAGCTTTTTGGAAGAAGATAGAAAGATTTGTTTAGGAAGAAAGCTATGGGCCACTAATATGAAAGAAGATTTGAGAAACTAACTTTTCATTTGCAATTGGCACAACCTATTCCTAACAAACAATTCTGAAATGTTTACACCATGATACTTCCCTTCAAATAATTTTCAAAGGACTTTCCAATTTAACTTTAAGACATTCAAGTCAAAGTCTTAAAGTATCAATTATAGGAGAACTTGTTTAATATTTTCCAGGATAGCAACAAATTCCCACTTTTGAAATAATAAACAGTTTTTATATAACAATGAGGAATCTAATACATAGTTTTCAAAGAATTCTGAAAAAAAAGAAAGAACTCTGAAAGAAGCAATTATTTGACTACACAGTAGTTGGCAAAATACAGTCTGCAGACCGAACCGTGTAGACCACCTGTTTTTGTAAATAAAGTTTTACTGGAGCACAGCCAAGCCCATTTGTTTATGTATTGTCTACTGCTGCTACAAAGGAAGACTTGAGTGGTTGCAATCGAAATCTTATGGCCAGCAAAACCTAAAATAGCTATCATCTGGCCCTTTACAAAAAGTTTGCCAACACTTGGACTAGAGTATTAATTTTATTTTCTAATAATTATTTGTCAATAACAGTGAATTCACAAAGATTTTCCCACTCCATAGGCTAGAAAACTAAGTTAGACTCAGTAGTACAAGATAAACATTAATGACATCATGTTTCCCAACATAAAGACATTTGGAACTGGTGATTTACTCAGCCTAGCACCACACCTGCTTAGTCTAGATCCACACATCTGTATCAGAGACAGAGTATGCAATTCACAGTTTCTGCCATTTTTACAAGAACAAAGCTTCAGTGTAAAGGCTTAGTCACGTATAATATTTATAATGTTATATCAAAATCATCAAATGAATTACAAATAAGACATGATGAACTAGTGTTTAGAATGGGAAGGACATTTCTCACCAGGTGCTAATAATTTGAAGGTAGATTTGACTGCAGGCTCACATAAGTTGATACAGCACTCCCTTAATCAAAGGATAGCTTAAAAGAGTATGAAATGAGCTGACACATTTTGACATTTTCCAATTGCAGATCAGATACATGTGCACTGCACATTGGAAATGCATTGGAAAGAGTTTTCATCCCTTTAAGTTATGGATTTTAAATCAGTTCCTGAGATGAACATTTCAAACATACAAGCATACAGTTTTGAAACACTCACCCAAACCTGGGAGATGGAACATGTGCATGAAAGTCTTGCCCATTCCTGCATATCCCCATTTTACACTGTGAATTGCAAAGTAGATTATAAAAGGACCAGAAGAAAATGCAGATAACTTTTGGTCAATAGCATGGGAAAGAATATCTAAACATAAAAGAAAAGGAAAAAATTATAAAGGAAAACATATTTGATACATAAAATTTTTAAATATCTGTATATCAAGAAGAGTCATAAAAGCTACAAAGCAAAAGAAAATACATACAACTTAAAGGTTGTATTCTTTTTTTTTTTTTTTTTTTTTTTTTTTTTTTTTTTTTTTTTTTTTTTTGAGATGGAGTCTCGCTCTGTCGCCCAGGCTGGAGTGCAGTGGTGGGATCTCGGCTCACTGCAAGCTCCGCCTCCCGGGTTCATGCCATTCTCCTGCCTCAGCCTCCCAAGTAGCTGGGACTACAGGCGCCCGCCACTACGCCCGGCTAATTTTTTGTATTTTTAGTAGAGACGGGGTTTCACCGTTTTAGCCGGGATGGTCTCGATCTCCTGACCTTGTGATCCGCCCGCCTCGGCCTCCCAAAGTGCTGGGATTACAGGCGTGAGCCACCGCGCCCGGCCAAAGGTTGTATTCTTAATGTATTGCAAGTCTATAAACTTATGAGAAATGATAAATAATACTTATTAAATTAACCATTCAAAAAACCTTAATTGAACTCATACCCTAATACTGTTTGAGCTTCAGTGGGTGACCCCTGCCACACTGTTCCATGACTGACAGGTGTCCTAGAATGTGAGACTTTCACTGCTAAAGCCAGTACAGTCCCAGACGATCTTCATAGTCAAATAGGACTGGATTCAAGTTTGTATTGCCCCTCGCATGACTTTCAACATGTTACTACACATTAATGAGTCTCAATAGCCTCAGTTCTAAATGGGTGCCAACACAAGTACTTTAAGGATTTGGGGGACTAAACAAGAAAAATGTACAAAGCTTACACACCTGGCACACAGCACATAATAAATGGTAACTATGATGATTTTTATTATGATCATCATCACTATTGTTATCATCATTGTTTGGCAGCTACGAAAGCCTAGTGGTCTCTTCCCAGTATCCATTCTTATTCCTGTCCACTTAACTCCAGTTTGGGGAAAAGATTAAACAAACACTGCTGAATTCCTGGATACAAGTCATCATCTGACCTAGTTCTGGCAACTGAAAAAAAAGGGAGCAGGGAGTTTTTGATGGGACTTCCAGGAAGGCTCTTTAAAATATGTGGATGTATGGGAAGGGAGGGAGAGGGCAGACTTCGCTGGAATGGACATTTCGTCCTTGGCTCTTTCATTTCTTCCTGCCTGAAACATGGACTTGATTCTGGAAACAAAGCAGCCATCTCATAATCCCAAGGGTGAAAAGCATATGCCAGGGGTGGCTTAGTGGAAAGATACAAGTCCATTTCCCTACTGGCATCATGGAGACACTGTACCCGTCCTAGGTTTTTGACTTTTGGACTTTTCATTCTGAGAGAAAAAAATAAAAGTCTTTATTTAATCCACTGTTTCCAGGTTTGTGTTATTCACAGCCAAACACAATTCCCAAGTGATACATCAGTCATACTAATAGAAATGTAGGCAAAGGATTCAAACAGGCAATTTAACAATAACAAAAAAAGGCAAACATTGGGTGCATCTATGAAAAAAGTTATTACATTATTATTATTACATAAATATAAACATGACACCATGTTTAGCTGTCATGTTGACAATAGAGAATAATATTTAAAACACCATATTTGAGGCAGTAGCAGCCAAAATGGCTGAACAGGAATGGCTCCGGTCTACAGCTCCCAGCGTGACCGATGCAGAAGACGGGTGATTTCTGCATTTCCATCTGAGGTACCGGGTTCGTCTCACTAGTGAGTGCCAGACAGTGGGCGCAGGACAGTGGGTGCAGCGCATGGTGCGCGAGCCGAAGCAGGGCGAGGCATTGCCTCACTCGGGAAGTGCAAGGGGTCAGGGAGTTCCCTTTCCTAGTCAAAGAAAGGGGTGACAGATGGGGCACCTGGAAAATCGGGTCACTCCCATCCTAATGCTGCACTTTTCCAACGGGCTTAAAAAACGGCGCACCAGGAGATTATATACCGCACCTGGCTCGGAGGGTCCTACGCTCACAGAGTCTCGCTGATTGCTAGCACAGCAGTCTGAGATCAAACTGCAAGGTGGCAGCGAGGCTGGGGGAGGGGCACCTGCCATTGCCCAGGCCTGCTTAGGTAAACAAAGCAGCTGGGAAGCTCAAACTGGATGGAGCCCACCACAGCTCAAGGAGGCCTGCCTGCCTCTATAGGCTCCACCTCTGGGGGCAGGGCACAGACAAACAAAAAGACAGCAGTAACCTCTGCAGACTTAAATGGCCCTGTCTGACAGCTTTGAAGAGAGCAGTGGTTCTCCCAGCATGCAGCTGGAGATCTGAGAACGGGCAGACTGCCTCCTCAAGTGGGTCCCTGACCCCTGACCCCCGAGCAGCCTAACTGGGAGGCACCCCCTAGTAGGGGCAGACTGACACCTCACACGGCCGGGTACTCCTCTGAGACAAAACTTCCAGAGGAACGATCAGACAGCAGCATTCGCAGTTCACAAAAATCCACTCTTCTTCAGCCACTGCTGCTGTTACCCAGGAAAACAGAGTCTGGAGTGGACCTCTAGCAAATTCCAACAGACTTGCAGCTGAAGATCCTGTCTGTTAGAAGGAAAACTAACAAACAGAAAGGACATCCACACCAAAAACCCATCTGTACATCACCATCATCAAAGACCAAAAGTAGATAAAACCACAAAGATGGGGAAAAAACAGAGCAGAAAAACTGGAAACTCTAAAAAGCGCAGTGCCTCTCCTCCAAAGGAACACACTTCCTCACCAGCAACAGAACAAAGCTGGACGGAGTATGACTTTGACGAGTTCAGACAAGAAGGCTTCAGACGATCAAACTACTCCGAGCTACAGGAGGAAATTCAAACCAAAGGCAAAGAAGTTAAAAACGTTGAAAAAAATTTAGACGAATGTATAACTAGAGTAACCAATACAGAGAAGTGCTTAAAGGAGCTGATGGGGCTGAAAGCCAAGGCTCGAGAACCACGTGAAGAATGCAGAAGCCTCAGGAGCCGAAGCGATCAACTGAAGAAAGGGTATCAGTGATGGAAGATGAAATGAATGAAATGAAGCGAGAAGAGAAGTTTAGGGAAAAAAGAATAAAAAGAAATGAACAAAGCCTCCAAGAAATACGGGACTATGGGAAAAGACCAAATTTACGTCTGATTGGTGTACCTGAAAGTGACGGGGTGAATGGAACCAAGTTGGAAAACACTCTGCAGGATATTATCCAGGAGAATTTCCCCAATCTACCAAGGCAGGCCAACATTCAGATACAGGAAATACAGAGAACACCACAAAGATACTCCTTGAGAAGAGCAACTCCAAGACACATAATTGTCAGATTCACCAAAGTTGAAATGAAGGAAAAAATGTTAAGGGCAGCCAGACAGAAAGGTCGGATTACCCACAAAGGGAAGCCCATCAGACTAACAGCTCATCTCTTGGCAGAAACTCTATAAGCCAGAAGAGAGTGGGGGCCAATATTCAACATTCTTAAAGAAAAGAATTTTCGACCCAGAATTTCATATCCAGCCAAACTAAGCTTCATAAGTGAAGGAGAAATAAAATACTTTACGGACAAGCAAATGCTGAGAGATTTTGTCACCACCAGGCCTGCCCTAAAAGAGCTCCTGAAGGAAGCACTAAACATGGAAAGGAACAACCGGTACCAGCCACTGCAAAATCACGCCAAATTGTAAAAACCATCGAGGCTAGGAAGAAACTGCATAAACTAACAAGCAAAATCACCAGCTAACATCATAATGACAGGATCAAATTCACACATAACAATATTAACTTTAAATGTAAATGGACTAAATGCTCCAATTAAAAGACACAGACTGGCAAATTGGATAAAGAGTCAAGACCCATCAGTGTGCTGTATTCAGGAAACCCATCTCACATGCAGAGACACACATAGGCTCAAAATAAAAGGATGGAGGAAGATCTACCAAGCAAATGGAAAACAAAAAAAGGCAGGGGTTGCAATCCTAGTCTCTGATAAAACAGACTTTAAACAAACAAAGATCAAAAGAGACAAAAAAGGCCATTACATAATGGTAAAGGGATCAATTCAACAAGAAGAGCTAACTATCCTAAATATATATGCACCCAATACAGGAGCACCCAGATTCATAAAGCAAGTCCTGAGTGATCTATAAAGAGACTTAGACTCCCACACAATAAAAATGGGAGACTTTAACACCCCACTGTCAACATTAGACAGATCAATGAGACAGAAAGTTAACAAGGATACCCAGGAATTGAACTCAGCTCTGCACCAAGCAGACCTAATAGACATCTACAGAACTCTCCACCCCAAATCAACAGAATATACATTTTTTTCAGCACCACATCACACTTATTCCAAAATTGACCACATAGTTGGAAATAAAGCTCTCCTCAGCAAATGTGAAAGACCAGAAATTATGACAAACTGTCTCTCAGACCACAGTGCAATCAAACTAGAACTCAGGATTAAGAAACTCATGCAAACCGCTCAACTACATGGAAACTTAACAACCTGCTCCTCAATGACTACTGGGAACATAACGAAATGAAGGCAGAAATAAAGATGTTCTTTGAAACCAACAAGAACAAAGACACAACATACCAGAATCTCTGGGGCACATTAAAAGCAGTGTGTAGAGGGAAATTTATAGCACTAAATGCCCACAAGAGAAAGCAGGAAAGATCCAAAATTGACACCCTAACACCACAATTAAAAGAACTAGAAAAGCAAGAGCAAACATATTCAAAAGCTAGCGGAAGGCAAGAAATAACTAACATCATAGCAGAAGCGAAAGAAATACAGACACAAAAAAACCTTAGAAAAATTAATGAATCCAGGAGCTGGTTTTTTGAAAAGATCAACAAAATTGATAGACCACTAGCAAGATTAATAAAGAAGAAAAGAGAGAAGAATCAAATAGACGCCATAAAAAATGATAAAGGGGATATCACCACCAATCCCACAGAAATACAAACTACTATCAGAGAATACTACAAACACCTCTATGCAAATAAACTGGAAAATCTAGAAGAAATGGATAAATTCCTCGACACATACACACTCCCAAGACTAAACCAGGGAAAAGTTGAATCTCTGCATAGACCAAGAACAGGCTATGAAATTGTGGCAATAATCAATAGCTTACCAACCAAAAAGAGTCCAGGACCAGACAGATTCACAGCCAAATTCTACCAGAGGTACAAAGAGGAACTGGTACCATTCCTTCTGAAACTATTCCAATCAATAGAAAAAGAGGGAATCCTCCCTAACTCATTTTATGAGGCCAGCATCATCCTAATACCAAAGCCTGGCAGAGACACAACCAAAAAAGAGAATTTTGGACCAATATCCTTGATGAACATTGATGCAAAAATCCTCAATAAAATACTGGCAAACCAAATCCAGCAGCACATCAAAAAGCTTATTCACCATGATCAAGTGGGCTTCATCCGTGGGATGCAAGGCTGTTTCAATATACGCAAATCAATAAATGTAATCCAGCATATAAACAGAACCAAAGACGAAAACCACATGATTATCTCAATAGATGCAGAAAAGTCTTTTCACAAAATTCAACAACCCTTCAAGCTACAACCTCTCAATAAATTAGGTATTGATGGGACGTATCTCAAAATAATAAGAGCTATCTATGACAAACCCACAGCCAATATCATACTGAATGGGCAAAAACTGGAAGCATTCCCTTTGAAAACTGGCACAAGACAGGGATGCCCTCTCTCACCACTCCTATTCAACATAGTGTTGGAAGTTCTGGCCAGGGCAATTAGGCAGGAGAAGGAAATAAAGGGTATTCAATTAGGAAAAGAGGAAGTCAAATTGTCCCTGTTTGCAGATGACATGATTGTATACCTAGAAAACACCATCGTCTCAGCCCAAAATCTACTTAAGCTGATAAGCAACTTCAGCAAAGTCTCAGGATATAAAATCCATGTACAAAAATCACAAGCATTCATATACACCAATAACAAACAGAGAGCCAAATCATGAATGAACTCCCATTCACAATTGCTTCAAAGAGAATAAAATACCTAGGAATCCAACTTACAAGGGACATGAAGGGCCTCTTCAAGGAGAACTACAAACCACTGCTCAAGGAAATAAAAGAGGATACAAAGAAATGGAAGACTATCCCATGCTCATGGGTAGGAAGAATCAATATCGTGAAAATGGCCATACTGCCCAAGGTAATTTATAGATTCAGTGCCATCCCCATCAAGCTACCAATGACTTTCTTCACAGAATTGGAAAAAACTACTTTAAAGTTCATATGGAACCAAAAAAGAGCCTGCATCACCAAGTCAATCCTAAGCCATAAGAACAAAGCTGGAGGCATCACGCTACCTGACTTCAAACTATACTACAAGGCTACAGTAACCAAAACAGCATGGTACTGGTACCAAAACAGAGATATAGATCAATGGAACAGAACAGAGCCCTCAGAAATAATGCTGCGTATCTACAACTATCTGATCTTTGACAAACCTGAGAAAAACAAGCAATGGGGAAAGGATTCCCTATTTAATAAATGGTGCTGGGAAAACTGGCTAGCCATATGTAGAAAGCTGAAACTGGATCCCTTCCTTACACCTTATACAAAAATTAATTCAAGATGGATTAAAGACTTAAATGTTAGACCTAAAACCATAAAAACCCTAGATGAAAACCTAGGCATTACCATTCAGGACATAGGCATAGGCAAGGACTTCATGTCTAAAACACCAAAAGCAATGGCAACAAAAGCCAAAATTGACAAATCGCATCTAATTAAACTAAAGAGCTTCTGCACAGCAAAAGAAACTACCATCAGAGTGAACAGGCAACCTACAAAATGGGAGAAAATTTTCGCAACCTACTCATCTGACAAAGGGCTGATATCCAGAATCTACAATGAACTCCAACAAATTTACAAGAAAAAAACAAACAACCCCATCAAAAAGTGGGCAAAGGACATGAACAGACACTTCTCAAAAGAAGACATTTATGCAGCCAAAAAACACATGAAAAAATGCTCACCATCACTGGCCATCAGAGAAATGCAAATCAAAACCACAATGAGATACCATCTCACACCAGTTAGAATGGCAATCATTAAAAAGTCAGGAAACAACAGGTGCTGGAGAGGATGTGGAGAAATAGGAACACTTTTACACTGTTGGTGGGACTGTAAACTAGTTCAACCCTTGTGGAAGTCAGTGTGGCCATTCCTCAGGGATCTAGAACTAGAAATACCATTTGACCCAGCCATCCCATTACTGGGTATATACCCAAAGGACTATAAATCATGCTGCTATAAAGACAGATGCAAACGTATGTTTATTGTGGCACTATTCACAATAGCAAAGAATTGGAACCAACCCAAATGTCCAACAATGATAGACTGGATTAAGAAAATGTGGCACATATACACCATGGAATACTATGCAGCCATAAAAAATGATGAGTTCATGTCCTTTGTAGGGACATGGATGAAATTGGAAATCATCATTCTCAGTAAACTATCGCAAGAACAAAAAGCCAAACACCGCATATTCTCACTCATAGGTGGGAATTGAACAATGAGAACACATGGACACAGGAAAGGGAACATCACACTCTGGGGACTGTTGTGGGATGGGAGGAGGGGGGAGGGATAGCATTGGGAGATATACCTAATGCTAGATGACGAGTTAGTGGGTGCAGCGCACCAGCATGGCACATGTATACATATGTAACTAACCTGCACATTGTGCACATGTACCCTAAAACTTAAAGTATAATAATAATAAAATAAAATAAACACCATATTTGATAATTACCAAATGTAACAATTATTTTTATTATGCTATACCTTCTTCTGGATGTTTTTTTTTCTTTACTTTTTTTGAAATTGGGTATTGCTGTTAAAGAGGGTCTCACTCTGTCACCCAGGCTGGAATGCAATGGTACAATCATGGCTCACTATAGCCTCAACCTACCCAGGCTCAGGTGATTCTCCCACCTCGGCCTCCCAAGTAGCTTGGACTACAGGCATGCACCATCACGCACAGCTAGTTTTGGTATTTTTTTGTACAGAAAGGGTTTCACCATGTTGCCTAGGCTGGTCTTGAACTTCTGGGATCAAGAGATCTGCCCACCTCAGCCTCCCAAAGGGCTGGAATTACAGGTGTGTGCCACAGTGCCCGTCCTCTTTTGACCTTTCAAAAGAAATAAAATGCAATAGAAGTGTCCTTTTATTCACATAGAGGGGAACAACACACACTGGGGCCTGTTGGAGGGTGGAGGGTTAGGAGGAGGGAGAGGATCAGGGAAAATAACTAATAGGTACTAAGCTTACTACCTGAGTAATGAAATAATTATGACACAAGTTCACCTCTATAACAAACCTGCGTATGTACCCCTGAACTTAAAATAAGTTAAATTAAAAAAAGAAGAGTTGGCTTCCAGGCAAGATGGCCGAATAGGAACAGCTCTGGTCTGCAGTTCCCAGCAACACCAACACAGAAGGCAGGTGATTTCTACATTTCCAACTAAGGTACCCAGTTCATCTCATTGGGACTGGTTTCACAGTGGGTGCAGGCCACAGAGGGCACGCCAAAGCAGGGTGGGGCATTGCCTCACCTCAGAAGCACAAGGGGTTGGGGAACTCCCTCCCCTTGCCAAGGGAAGCCTTGAGAGACTGTGCCATGAGGAACAGTGCATTCAGGCCAAGATACTACGTTTTTCCCACAGTCTTTGCAACCCTCATACCAGGAGATTTCCTCAGGTGCCTATGCCACCAGGGCCTTGGGTTTCAAGCATAAAACTCACCAGCCGTTTGGGAAGACACCAAGCTAGCTGCAGGAGTTTTTTTTCATACCCCATTGGTGCCTGAAGCACCAGTGAGACAGAACCATTCACTCCCCTGGAAACGGGGCTGAAGCCAGGGAGCTGAGTGGTCTTGCCCAGCAGATTCCACCCCCATGGTGCCCAACAAGCTAAGATCCACTGGCTTGAAATTCTCGCTGCCAGCACAGCAGTCTGAAGTTGACCTGCTCGAGCTTGGTGGGGAGAGGGGCATCTGCCATTACTCAGGCTTCAGTAGGTGTTTTTCCCCTCACAGTGTAAACAAAGCCACTGGGAAGTTAGAACTGGGTGAAGCACACTGCAGCTCCGCAAAGCCGCTGTAGCCAGACTGCCTCTCTAGATGCCTCCTCTTTGGGCAGGGAATCTCTGAAAGAAAGGCAGCAGCCCCAGTCAGGGGCTTATAGATAAAACTCCCACCTCCCTGGGACAGAGCACCTGGGGGAAGGGGTGGCTGTGAATGCAGCATCAGCAGACTTAAATGTACTTGCCTGCTGGCTCTAAAGAGAACAGAAGATCTCCCAGCACAGCACTTGAGCTCTGCTAAGGGACAGACTGCCTCCTCGAGTGGATCCCTGGCCCCCATGCCTTCTGACAGAGAGACAACTCTCAGCAAAAGTCAACAGACACCTCATACAGGAGAGCTCTGGCTGGCATCTGGCAGGTGCCTCTCTGCAAGAAACCTTCCAGAAGAAGGAGCAGGCAGCAATCTTTGCTGTTCTGCAGCCTCCACTGGTGATACCCACACAAACAGGGTCTGGAGTGGACCTCCAGCAGACCTGCAGAAGAGGGGCCTCACTGTTAGAAGGAAAACTAACAAACAGAAAGCAATAGCATCAATATCAACAAAAAGAACCCTCACTCAAAAACCCCATCTGAAGGTCACCAACATCAAAGATGAAAGGGAGATAAATCCACGAAAATGAGGAAAAACCAGCTCGAAAAGGCTGAAAATTCCAAAAACCAGAGTACCCCTTCTCCTCCAAAAAATCACAACTTCTCACCAGCAAGGGAACAAAGCAGGATGAAGAATGAGTTTGACGAATTGAAGAAGTAGGCTTCAGAAGGTGGGTAATAATAAACTCCTCAGAGGTAAAGGAGCATGTTCTAACCCAGTGCAAGGAAGCTAAGAACTGTGATAAAAGGTTACAGGAACTAGTGACTAGAATAACCAGTTTAGAGAAGAACATAAATGACCTGATGGAGCTGAAAAACACAGCACGAGAACTTCGTGAAGCATACACAAGTATCAATAGCCAAATTGATCAAGTGAAAAAAAGGATTTCAGAGATTGAAGACCAACTTAATGAAATAAACAAAGAAGACAAGACTAGAGAAAAAAGAATGAAAAGGAACAAACAAAGCCTCCAAGAAATATAGGACTTGTGAAGAGACCAAACCTACATTTTATTGGTGTACTTGAAAGTGACGAGGAGAATGGAACCAAGTTGGAACACACTTCAGGTATTATCCAGAAGAACTTCCCCAACCTAGCAAGACAGGCCAACAATTCAAATTCAGGAAATACAGAGAACACCACAAAGATACTCCTCAAGAAGAGCAACCCCAAGACACATAATTGTCAGATTCACCAAGGTTGAAATGGAGGAAAAATGTTAAGGGCAGCCAGAGAGAAAGGTCGGGTTACCCACAAAGGGAAGCCATTCAGACTAACAGCAGATCTCTATGCAGAAACCTTACAAGCCAGAAGAGAGTGGGGGCCAATATTCAACATTCTTAAAGGAAAGAATTTTCAACCCAGAATTTCAAATCCAGCCAAACTAAGCTTCAAAAGTGAAGAAGAAATAAAATCCTTTACAGACAAGCAAATGCTGGTGATTTTGTCACCACCAGGCCTGACTTACAAGAGTTCCTGAAGGAAGCATTAAATATGGAAAGGAAACACCGGTACCAGCCACTGCAAAAACATACCAAATTGTAAAGACCATTGACACTGTGAAGAACCTGCATCTACTAATGGGCAAAATAACCAGCTAGCATCATAATGACAAGATCAAATTCACACATAACAATATTAATCTTAAACGTAAACAGGCTAAATGCTCCAATTAAAAGACACAGACTGGCGAATTTGATAAAGAGTCAAGACCCATTGGTGTGCTGTATTCAGGAGACCCATCTTACATGCAAAGATGCATATAGGCTCAAAACAAAGGGATGGAGGAAGTTTACCAAGCAAACGGAAAGCAAAAAAAAAAAGCAGGGGTTGCAATCCTAGTCTCTGCTAAAACAGACTTCAAACCAAAAAAGGTTTAAAAAGACAAGGAAGAGCATTACATAATGGTAAAGGATCAGTGCAACAAGAAGAGCTAACTATCCTAAATACATGTGCACCCAATACAAGAGCACCCAGATTCATAAAGCAAGTTCCTAGAGACCTACAAAGAGACTTAGACCCCCACACAATAATAGTGGGAAAATTTAACACCCCACTGTCAGTATTAGACAGATCAATGAGACAGAAAATTAACAAGGATATTCAGGACTTGAACTCAGCTCTCCACAATGCAGACCTAATAGACATCTACAGAACTCTCCACCACAAGGGAACAGAATATACATTCTTCTCAGCACCACATAGCACTTATTCTAAAATTGACCACATGATTGGAAGTAAAACATTCCTCTGCAAATGCAAAAGAACAGAAATCATAACAAACAGTCTCTCAGACCACAGTGCAATCAAATTAGAACTCAGGATTCAGAAACTCACTCAAAACCACACACCTACATGCAAACTCAACAACCTGCAAGGCAGAAATAAATACATTCTTTGAAACCAATGAGAACAAAGATGCAATATACAAGAATCTCTGGGACACAGCTACAGCAGTGTGTAGCAGGAAATTTATAGCACTAAATGCCCACAAGAGAAAGCAGAAAAGATCTAAAATCAGCACCCTAACATCACAATTAAAAGAACTAGAGAAGCAAGAGCAAACAAACCCAAAAGCTAGCAGAAGACAAGAAATAACTAACATCAGAGCAGAACTGAAGGAGATAGACACAAAAAAAAAACCCTTCAAAAAAAACCAATGAATTCAGGAGCTGATTTTTTGAAAAGATTAACAAAATAGATAGACTGCTAGCCAGACTAATAAAGAAGAAAAGAAAGAAGAATTAAATTGACACAATAAAAAATGATAAAGGGGATATCACCACTGATCCCACAGAAATGCAAACTACCATCAGAGAATACTATAAACAGCTCTACACAAATAAACTAGAAACTCTGGAAGAAATGGATAAATTCCTGGACACATACACCCTCCCAAGACTAAACAAGAAAGAAGGTGAATCCCTGAATTGACCAATAACAAGTTCGGAAATTGAGGCAGTAATTAATACCAACCAACCAAAAAAAGCCCAGGACCAGATGGATTCACAGCCAAATTCTACCATAGGTATAAAAAGGAGCTGGTACAATTCCTTCTAAAACTATTCCAAACAATAGAAAGAGAGGGCTCCTCCCTAACTCATTTTAGGAGACCAACATCATCCTGATACCAAAACCTAGCAGAGACACAACAAAAAAAGAAAATTTCAGGCGAATATCCCTGATGAATATTGATGTGAAAATCCTCAATAAAATACTGGCAAACCAAATCCAGTGGCACATTAAAAAGCTTATCCACTATGATCAAGTTGGCATCATCCATGGGATGCAAAGCTGTTTCAACATATGCAAATCAATAAATGTAATCCATCACATAAACAGAACCAGTGACACAAACCACATGATTATCTCAATAGATGCAGAAAAGTCCTTTCATAAAAATTCAACACCCCTTCATGTTCCAAACACTCAATAAACTTGGTATTGATGGAATGTATCTCAAAATAATAAGAGCTATTTATGATAAACCCACAGTCAATATCATACTGAATGGGCAAAAGCTGAAAACATTCCCTTTGAAAACCTGCACAAGAAAAGATGGTCTCTCTCACCACTCCTATTCAACATAGTATTGGAAGTTCTGGCCAGGGCAATCAGGCAAGAGAAAGAAATAAAGGGTGTTCAAACAGGAAGATAAGTCAAATTATCTCTGTTTGCAGATGACATTATTGTATATTTAGAAAACCCCATTGTCTCAGCCCAAAAACTCCTTAAACTTCAGCAAAGTCTCAGGATACAAAATCAATGTGCAAAAATCACAAGCATTCCTATACATCAATAATAGACAAACAGAGCCAAATCATGAATGAACTCTGATTCACAATTGCTACAAAAATAATAAAATACCTAGGAATACAACTTAAAGGGATGTGGAGGACTTCAAGGAGAACTACAAACCACTACTCAAGGAAATAAGAAAGAACACAAACAAATGGAAGAACATTCCATGCTCATGGATAAGAAGAATCAATATCATGAAAATGGCCATACTGCCCAAAGTAATTTATAGATTCGATACCATTCCCATCAAGCTACCGCTGACTTTCTTCACAGAATTAGAAAAAATACTTTAATTTCATATGGAACCAAAAAAGACCCCATATAGCCAAGACAATCCTAAGCAAAGAGAACAAAGCTGGAGGCATCATGCTACCTTATTCAAACTATACTGCAAGCCTACAGTAACCAAAACAGCAATGTACTGGTAGATATATGGACCAAAATTGGCCACATAGTTGTAAATAAAGCACTCCTCAGCAAATGTGAAAGACCAGAAATTATAACAAACTGTCTCTCAGACCACAGTGCAATCAAACTAGAACTCAGGTTAAGAAACTCACTCAAAACCACTCAACTACATGGAAACTGAACAACCTGCTCCTGAATGACTACTGGGTACATAAAGAAATGAAGGCAGAAATAAAGATGTTCTTTGAAACCAATGAGAACAAAGACACAACACATCAGAATCTCTGGGACGCATTCAAAGCAGTGTGTAGAGCGAAATTTATAGCACTAAATGCCCACAAGAGAAAGCAGGAAAGATCTAAAACTGACACCCTAACATCACAATTAAAAGAACTAGAGAAGCAAGAGCAAACACATTCAAAAGCTAGCAGAAGGCAAGAAATAACTAAGATCAGAGCAGAACTGAAGGAAATAGAGACACAAAAACCCTTCAAAAAATCAATGAATCCAGGAGCTGGTTTTTTGAAAAGATCAACAGAATTGATAGACCGCTAGCAAGACTAATAAAGAAGAAAAGAGAGAAGAATCAAATAGACACAATAAAAAATGACAAAGAGGATATCACCGCTGATCCCACAGAAATACAAACTACCATCAGAGAATACTATAAACACCTTTATGCAAATAAACTAGAAAATCTAGAAGAAATGGATAAATTCCGAGACACATACACTCTCCCAAGACTAAACCAGGAAGAAGTTGAATCTCTGCATAGACCAATAACAGGCCCTGAAATTGAGGCAATAATTAATAGCTTACCAACCAAAAAAAGTCCAGGACCAGATGGATTCACAGCCGAATTCTACCAGAGGTGCAAGGAGGAGCTGGTACTGTTCCTTCTGAAACTATTCCAATCAATAGAAAAAGAGGGAATCCTCCCTAACTCATTTTATGAGGCCAGCATCATCCTAATACCAAAGCCTGGCAGAGACACAACAAAAAAAGAGAACTTTAGACCAACATCCTTGATGAACATTGATGCAAAAATCCTCAATAAAATACTGGCAAAACAAATCCAGCAACACATCAAAAAGCTTATCGACCATGATCAAGTGGACTTCATCCCTGGGATGCAAGGCTCGTTCAATACATGCAAATCAATAAACGTAATCCAGCATATAAACAGAATCAAAGACAAAAACCACATGATTATCTCAATAGATGCAGAAAAGGCCTTTGACAAAATTCAACAAGTCTTCCTGCTAAAAACTCTCAGTAAATTAGGTATTGATGGGACGTATCTCAAAATAATAAGAGCTATCTATGACAAACCCACAGCCAATATCATACTGAATGGACAAAAACTGGAAGCATTCCCTTTGAAAACTGGCACAAGACAGGGATGCCCTCTCTCACCACTCCTATTCAACATAGTGTTGGAAGTTCTGGCCAGGGCAATTAGGCAGGAGAAGGAAATAAAGGGCATTCAATTAGGAAAAGAGGAAGTCAAATTTCCCTGTTTGCAGATGACATGATTGTATATCTAGAAAACCCCATCGTCTCAGCCCAAAATCTATGTAAGCTGATAAGCAACTTCAGCAAAGTCTCAGGATACAAAATCAATGTGCAAAAATCACAAGCATTCTTATACACCAATAACAGACAAACAGAGAGCCAAATCATGAGTGAACTCCCATTCACAATTGCTTCAAAGAGAATAAAATACCTAGGAATCCAGCTTACAAGGGATGTGAAGGACCTCTTCAAGGAGAACTACAAACCACTTCTCAAGGAAATAAAAGAGGATACAAACAAATGGAAGAACATTCCATGCTCATGGGTAGGAAGAATCAATATCGTGAAAATGGCCATACTGCCCAAGGTCATTTATAGATTCAATGCCATCCCCATCAAGCTACCAATGACTTTCTTCACAGAATTGGGAAAAACTACTTTAAATTTCATATGGAACCAAAAAAGAGCCCGCATTGCCAAGTCAATCCTAAACCAAAAGAACAAAGCTAGAGGCATCATGTTACCTGACTTCAAACTATACTACAAGGCTGCAGTAACCAAAACAGCATGGTACTGGTACCAAAACAGAGATATAGACCAATGGAACAGAACAGAGCCCTCAGAAATAATGCCACATATCTACAACTATCTGATCTTTGACAAATCTGACAAAAACAAGCAATGGGGAAAGGATTCCCTATTTAATAAATGGTGCTGGGAAAACTGGCTAGCCACGTTTGCTTATTATTTGCATATGCAAATGTTTGCATATTATTTGGTGGAAATTTTGCCTTTATTTCATTTATTTGTAGGAGTCATTTATATATCCTGGATAATGATACACAGCTTGTTATATATGCTCTTTCATAAAGCTGTTTAAAATTCAACATCAAGTTAATCAATCTTTTTTAGTTTTTCTCTTCTTTTTAAAATTCAGATGGAATTCACATAACAAAAAACTTATCCTTTCAAAGTATGCAATTCCACGTTTTTTAGTATATTTAAAGTTGTGCAATTATCACCATTATTTAATTTCAGAACATTTTTATCACCCCTCCCCCAAAAAAATCTCATACCCATTAGCAATCACTTCCCATTTTGCCCACCCCCAGCCCTTGGCAACCATGAATCTCCTACTGTCTCTATGGATTTACCCATTTTGGATGATGTATATACAGGAAATCTGACAATATGTGACTCTTTGTGATGGCTTCCTTCACTAAGTATAATGGCTTTAACATTCATGCATGCTGTAACATGTAGCTGTACTTCCATTTTATGGCCAAATAATATTCCATTGCAAGGATTTACCACATTTTGTTTATCCACTCATCAACTGATGGAAATTTGGGTTGTTTCCACTTCAGGGCTATGATAATTAACACCAGTAGGAACATTCACTACAAGTTTTTGGTGGACATACATTTTCAATTACCTTGAGACTCTGCCTAGGAGTAGAATTTCTGGGTCATATGAAAACTCTGTATTTAAATACCACACATGTACAACTATCTGATCTTTGACAAACCTGACAAAAACAAGAAATGGGGAAAGGATTCCCTATTTAACAAATGGTGCTGGGAAAACTGGCTAGCCATATGTAGAAAGCTGAAACTGGATCCCTTCCTTACACCTTATTCAAAAATTAATTCAAGCTGGATAAACGACTTTAATGTTAGACCTAAAACCATAAAAACCCTAGAAGAAAACCTAGGCAATACCATTCAGGACATAGGCATGGGCAAGGACTTCATGTCTAAAACACCAAAACCAATGGCAACAAAAGCCAAAATTGACAAATGGCATCTAATTAAACTAAAGAGCTTCTGCACAGCAAAAGAAACTACCATCAGAGTGAACAGGCAACCTACAAAATGGGAGAAAATTTTTGCAATCTACTCATCTGACAAAGGGCTAATATCCAGAATCTACGAAGAACTCAAACAAATTTACAAGAAAAAAACAAACAACCCCATCAACAAGTGGGTGAAGGATATGAACAGACACTTCTCAAAAGAAGACATTTATGCAGCCAACAGACACATGAAAAAATGCTCATCATCACTGGCCATCAGAGAAATGCAAATCAAAACCACAATGAGATATCATCTCACACCAGTTAGAATGGCAATCATTAAAAAGTCAGGAAACAAAAGGTGCTGGAGAGGATGTGGAGAAATAGGAACACTTTTACACTGTTGGTGGGACTGTAAACTAGTTCAACCCTTGTGGAAGACAGTGTGGTGGTTCCTCAGGGATCTAGAACTAGAAATACCATTTGACCCAGCCATCCCATTTCTGGGTATATACCCAAAGGATTATAAGTCATGCTGCTATAAAGACACATGCACACATATGTTTATTGTGGCACTATTCACAATAGCAAACACTTGGAACCAACCCAAATGTCCAACAATGATAGACTGGATTAAGAAAATGTGGCACATATACACCATGGAATATTACGCAGCCATAAAAAATGATGAGTTCATGTCCTTTGTAGGGACATGGATGAAGATGGAAACCATCATTCTCAGCAAACTATCACAAGGACAAAAAACCAAACACCACATGTTCTCACTCATAGGTGGGAATTGAACAATGAGAACACATGGACACAGGAAGGGGAATATCACACACTGGGGCCTGTCGTGGGGTGGGGGGCAGGGGGAGGGATAGCATTAGGAGATATACCTAATGTAAATGATGAGTTAATGGGTGCAGCACACCAACATGGCACATGTATACATATGTAATAAACCTACACATTTTGCACATGTACCCTACAACTTAAATAAATATATATATGTATATAAAAGAAAACTCTGTATTTAAAATTTTCAGGAAGTACCAGACTGTTTTCCAAAGCAGCTGGAGCATTTTACATTTCCACCATTCATGTATGAGTGTTCAAAATTTTTCACATACTCTTCAAAACTCCAACAGCCCATCTTTTTTATTATAGCCATCCTAGTGAGTGTAAAATTTTATGGCATCTTATTGTGACTTTGATTTGCGTTTCTCTATCAATGCTGAACATCCTTTCATGAGCTTATTGGTCACTTATAAATCTTCTTTGGATAAATGTCTAGTGAAATCTTTTGCCCATTTTTAATTGGGTTATTTGTCTTTTTATTGTTTATTGCTAAGTGTTCATTATATATTCTGGATACAGGTACTTTGTTAGATATATGTTTGCAAATATTTTTCACATTTTGTAGGTTTTCTTTTCACCTTCTTGATGGTATCCTTTGAAACATAAACGTTTTTAAGTTTGATAAAGTACAATTTATCCATTTATTTTGTTGTTTATCCTTTTTCTGTCATAGCTAAGAAACCATTGCCTAATCCAAGCTGATAAAGATCTACACTTTTTTTCTTCTAAGGATTTTATAGTTTGAGGTTCTTATATTTAGGTCTTTGATCCATTTTTTAGTTAATTTCATATATGATGTGAGGTAGGGGTCTAAATTCTTTCTTTTGCAGGATACTATTTTATTTGCGACTACTTATAAAGTTCTTGTACACCCTGACATAATATTTTCCTATAATTTTCCCAAAGGTGTTGAAAATATGGGTGTTTTTTAGATCTTTAATCTATCTCAACTTTGATTTTTTTATTTGCTATAAAGCAGAAATCCAGTTTTCTTCTTTCCAGATGACTATCATTTGACACAGTGGTAATTGCTAAATATTCAATCATTTTCTTCATTGACCTGTTAAACAATAAATCTTTATACATGCTTGGATACATTTCTGTCTTATTATTCTATTTGTCTAACATTTAAATTAGCATAAATTAATAATGTATTTACATTTTTTAATTTCAATGATTTTTTTATTTCTATATCTTCTATTTTGCTATTTTATAAATAGGGCCCTACTTTTTCCATGACTTTCTAATGTTTCTTTGTGATTTCTGTTCCTTCTGTTTTCCTTAATTAATTAACATATTGAATACATAATCTCATTTACATTATTCTATAATATCCAGTTTGGGGGCCATTACATTACATAAAAAATCTCCTGTTTGTTGTGTCTGCTGATTTTTCCTCATAGAGGTTTGTATCTTCACATTATGAGGTCTATGGGAGTTCATTTGGGAGAAATCTGGAGGTAAAGAAAGCATATTAACAAAGCAGTTTTCACGTTCTGTTCCAAGATGGCTGAATAGGAACAGCTCTGGTCTGCAGGTCCCAGTGTGATTGATGCAGAAGACGGGTGATTTCTGAATTTCCAACTGAGGTACCTGGTTCATCTCACTGGGACTGGTTGGACAGTGGGTGCAGCCCATGGAGGGCTAGCCGAAGCAGGGCAGGGCATTGCCTCACCCAGGAAGCACAAGGGGTCGGGGAATTTCCCTTTCCTAGCCAAGGGAAGCCATGACAGACAGTACCTGGAAAAATGGGACACTCCTGCCCAAATATTACACTTTTTCAATGGTCTCAGCAAACAGCACACCAGGAGATTATATCCCATGCCTGGATTGGCGGGTCCCACACCAACAGAGCCTGGCTCACTGCTAGCACAGCAGTCTGAGATCAACCTGCGAGGCAGCAGCCTGGCAGGGGGAGGGGCATCCACCATTGCTGAGGCTTGAGTAGGTAAACAAAGCAGCCAGGAAAGCTCAAACTGGGCGGAGCCCATCTCAGCTCAGCAAGGCCTCCTGCCTCAGTAGACTCCATCTCTGGGGGCAGGGCATAGCTGAACAAAAGGCAGCAGAAACCTCTGCAGACTTAAACATGGCTGTCTGACAGCTCTGAAGAGAGCAGTGGTTCCCCCAGCATGGTGTTTGAGCTCGGAGAACAAACAGACTGCCTCCTCAAGTGTGTCCCTGACCCCCGTGTAACCTAACTGGGAGACACCTCCCAGTAGGGGCTGACTGACAAATCATACAGGCGGTGCTCCTCTGGGATGAAGCTTCCAGAGGAAGGATTAGGCAGCAATATTTGCTGTTCTGCAATATTTGCTGTTCTGCAGCCTCTGCTAGTGATACCCCAGCAAACAGGGTCCGGGGTGGACCTCTAGCAGACTCCAACAGATCTGCAGGTGAGGGGCCTGACTGTTAGAAGGAAAACTAACAAGCAGAAAGGAATAGCATCAACATGAACAAAAAGGACATCCACACCAAAACCCCAGCTGTAGGTCACCAACATCAAAGACCAAAGGTAGATAAAACCACAAAGATGGGGAGAAACCAGAGCAGAAAAGCTGAAAATTCTAAAAACCAGAGCACCTCTTCTCTTCCAAAGGATTGCAGCCCCTCGCCAGCAACAGAACAAAGCTGGACTGAGAATGACTTTGACGAGCTGACAGAAGTAGGCTTCAGAAGGTCGGTAATAATAAACTTCTCCGAGCTAAAGGAGGATGTTTGAACTCATTGCAAGGAAGGGAAAAACCTTGACAAAAGATTATATGAATGGCTAACTAGAATAAACAGTGTAGAGAAGACTTTAAATGACCTGATGGAGTTGAAAACCATGGCATGAGAACTACACGACACATGCACAGCTTCAATAGCCAATTCAATCAAGTGGAAGAAAGGGTATCAGTGATTGAAGATCAAATTAATGAAATAAAGTGAGAAGATAAGTTTAGAGAAAAAAGAGTAAAAAGAAACGAACAAAGCCTCCAAGAAATATGGGACCATGTGAAAAGGCCAAATCTACCTTTGATCGGTGTACCTGAAAGTGATGGGGAGAATGGAACCAAGTTGGAAAACACTGTTAGGAGAACTTCCCCAACCTAGCAAGGCAGGCCAACATTCAAATTCAGGAAATACAGAGAACAGCACAAAGATACTCCTCAAGAAGAGCAATTCCAAGACACATAATTGTCAGGTTCACCAAGGTTGAAATGAAGGAAAAATGTTAAGGGCAGCCAGAGAGAAAGGTTGGGTTACCCTCAAAGGGAAGCCCATCAGACTAACAGCTGATCTCTCAGCAGAAACTCTACAACCCAGAAGAGAGTGAGGGCCAATATTCAACATTCTTAAAGAAAAGAATTTTCAACCCAGAATTTCATATCCAGCCAAACTAAGCTTCATAAGTGAAGAGAAATAAAATCCTTTACAGACAAGCAAATGCTGAGAGATTTTGTCACCACCAGGCCTGCCCTAAAAGAGCTTCTGAAGGAAGCACTAAACATGGAAAGGAACAACCAATACCAGCCACTGTAAAAACATGCCAAATTATAAAGACCATCGATGCTAGGAAGAAACTGCATCAAATAATGGGCAAAATAACCAGATAACATCATAATGACAAGAACAAATTCACACATAACAATATCAACCTTAAATGTAAATGGGCTAACTGCCCCAATTAAAAGACACAGACTGGCAAATTGGATAAAGAGTCAAGACCCATCAGTGTGCTCTATAAAGGAGACCCATCTCACGTGCAGAGACACACATAGGCTCAAAATAAAAAATGGAGGAAGATCTACCAAGCACACGGAAAGCAAAAAAAAAAGCAGGGGTTGCAATCCTAGTCTCTGATAAAACAGACTTTAAACCAACAAAGATCAAGAGACAAAGAAGGCCATTACATAATAGTAAAGGGATCAATTCAACAAGAAGTGCTAACTATCCTAAATATATATGCACCCAATACAGGAGCACCCAGATTCATAAAGCAAGTCCTTAGAGACCTACAAAGAGACTTAGACTCCAACACAATAATAATTGGAGATTTTAACAACCCACTGTCAATATTAGACAGATCAACGAGACAGATGGTTAACAAGGATATCCAGGACTTGAACTCAGCTCTGCACCAAGCAGACCTAATAGACATCTACAGAACTCTCCATCCCAAATCAACAGAATATACATTCTTCTCAGCACCACATCATACTTATTCCAAAATTGACCACATAGTTGGAAGTAAGGCACTCCTCAGCAAATGTAAAAGAACAGAAATCACAACAAACTGTCTCTCAGACAACAGTGCAATCAAATTAGAACCCAGGATTAAGAAACTCATTCAAAACCGCACAACTACATGGAAACTGAACAACCTGCTCCTGAATGACTACTGGGTAAATAATGAAGTGAAGGCAGAAATAAAGATGTTCTTTGAAACTAATGAGAACAAAGATACAACGTACATTTGAAGTAGTGTGTAGAGGGGAATTTATAGCACTAAATGCCCACAAGAGAAAGCAGGAGAGATCTAAAATCAACACCCTAACATCACAATTAAAAGAACTACAGAAGCAAGAGCAAACAAATTTAAAAGCTAGCAGAAGGTAAGAAATAACTAAGATCAGAGCAGAACTGAAGGACATAGAGATACAAAAAACTCTTCAAAAAATCAATCAATCCAGAAGCTGGTTTTTTGAAAAGCTCAACAAAACTGATAGACAGCTAATGAGACTAATAAAGAAGAAAAGAGAGAAGAGCCAAATAGACGCAATAAAATGTGATAAAAGGGATATCATCACCAATCCCACAGAAATACAAACTACCATCAGAGAATACTATAAACACCTCTACGCAAATAAACTAGAAAATCTAGAGGAAATGGATAAATTCCTGGATGCATACAGCCTCCCAAGACTAAACCAGGAAGAAGTTGAATCTCTGAATAGATCAATAACAGGCTCTGAAATTAAGGCAATAATTAATAGCCTACCAACCATAAAAAGTCCAGAACCAAACGGATTCACAGCCGAATTCTACCAGAAGTACAAAGAGGAGTTGGTACCATTCCTTCTGAAACTATTCCAATCAATAGAAAAAGAGGGAATCCTCCCTAACTCATTTTATGAGGCCAGCATCATCCTGATACCAAAGCCTGGCAGAGACACAACAAAAAAAGAGAATTTTAGACCAACATCCCTGAGGAACATCGATGCAAAAATCCTCAATAAAATACTGGCAAACTGAATCCAGCAGTACATCAAAAAGCTTATTCACCATGATCAAGTCAACTTCATCCATGGGATGCAAGGCTGGTTCAACATACGCAAATCAATAATCATAATCCATCACATAAACAGAACCAATGACAAAAACCACATGATTATCTCAATAGATGCAGAAAAGGCCTTTGAAAAAAAATCAACAGTGCTTCATGCTAAAAACTCTCAACAAACAAGGTATTGATGGAACATATCTCAAAATAATAAGAGCTATTTATGACAAACCCACAGCCAATATCACACCGAATGGGCAAGAACTGGAAGCATTCCCTTTGAAAACTGGCAAGACAGGGATGCCCTCTTTCACCACTCCTATTCAACATAGCGTTGGAAGTTCTGGCCAGGGCAATCAGGCAAGAGAAAGAAATAAAGGGTATTCAATTAGGAAAAGAGGAAGTCAAATTGTCCCTCTTTGCAGAATAAATGATTGTATATTTAGAAAACACCATCGCCTCAGCCCCAAGTCTCCTTAAGCTGATAAGCAACTTCAGCAAAGTCTCAGGATACAAAATCAATGTGCAAAAATCACCAGCATTCCTATACACCAGCAACAGACAAACAGAGCCAAATCATGAGTGAACTCCCATTCATAATTGCTACAAAAAGAATAAAATACCTAGGAATCTAATTTATAAGGGATGTGAAGGACCTCTTCAAGGAGAACCACAAACCACTGCCCAACAAAATAAAAGAGGACACAAACAAATGGAAGAACATTCCATGCTCATGGATAGGAAGAGTCAATATAATGAAAATGGCCATTCTGCCCAAGGTATTTTGTAGATTCAGTGCCATCCCCATCAAGCTACCAATTACTTTCTTCACAGAGTTGGAAAAAACTGCTTTAAAGTTCATATGGAACCAAAAAAGAGCCCACATTACCAAGACAATCCTAAGCAAAAAGAATAAAGCTGGAGGCATCACACTACCTGACTTCAAACTACACTACAAGGCTACAGTAACCAAAATAGCATGGCACTGGTACCAAAACAGACATGTAGAGCAATGGAACAAAACAGAGGCCTCAGAAATAACACCACACATCTACAACCATCTGATCTTTGACAAACCTGACAAAAACAAGAAATGGGGAAAGGATTCCCTATTTAATAAATGGTGCTGGGAAAACTGGCTAACCATATGTAGAAAGCTGAAACTGGATCCCTTCCTTAGACCTTATTCAAAAATTAATTCAAGATGGATTAAAGACTTAAATGTTAGACCTAAACCATAGAAACCCTAGAAGAAAACCTAGGCAATACCATTCAAGACATAGGCATGGGCAAAGACTAAAACACCAAAAGCAATGGCCACAAAAGCCAAAATAGACAAATGGGATCTAACTAAACTAAAGAGCTTCTGCACAGCAAAAGAAACTATCATCAGAGTGAACAGGCAACCTACAGAATGGAAGAAAATTTTTGCAATCTACCTGTCTGACAAAGGGCTAATATCCAGAATCTACAAAGAACTTAAACAAATTTACGTGAAAAAACAAACAAGCCCATCAAAAAGTGGGTGAAGGATATAAACAGAGACTTCTCAAAGGAAGACATTTATGCAGCCAACAGACATGAAAAAATGCTCATCATCACTGGTCATCGGAGAAATGCAAATCAAAACCACAATGAGATACCATCTCACACCAGTTAGAATGCCAATCATTAAAAAGTCAGGAAACAACAGATGCTGGAGAGGATGTGGAGAAATTGGAATGCTTTTACACTGTTGGTGGGAGTATAAACTAGTTCAACCATGGTGGAAGACAGTGTGGTGATTCCTCAAGGATCCAGAACTAGAAATACCATTTGACCCAGCCATCCCATTACTGGGTATATACCCAAAGGATTATAAATCATGCTGCTATAAAGACACATGCACAGGTATGTTTATTGTGGCACTATTCACAATAGCAAAGACTTGGAACCAACCCAAATGTCCATCAATGATAGACTGGATTAAGAAAATGTGGCACATATACACCACGGAATACTATGCAGCCATAAAAAATGATGAGTTCATGTCCTTTGCCGGGACATGGATGCAGCTGGAAATCATCATTCTGAGCAAAGTATCACAAGGAGAGAAAACCAAACACCGCATGTTCTCACTCATAGGTAGGAATTGAACAATGAGAACTCATGGACACAGGGCGGGGAATATTACACCCTGGGGCCTGTCCTGGGGTGGGGGGCAGGGGGAGGGATAGCATTAGGAGAAATACCTAATGTAAATGATAAGTTGATGGGTGCAGCATACCAACATGGCACATGTTTACATATGTAACAAACCTCCATATTGTGCACAGGTACCCTAGAACTTAAAGTATAATTTTAAAAAAAAACAGTTTTCATTGACTCCTGCTAGAATCCTAAATGTTTCACCTATTTTGTGACTTCTTTTAGGATAATTTGTTGATTTGAATTATCCACATCATGACAGCAGGAAACTTTCAGATCCCTTTCCTGGTCGTGGTGTTTCCATTTCCATCAGGTTACTCTCATATTTTTTCACCTGAAACCCAAGTGTATGCCAAGATCCTTCCCACATCCCTGAACCAATGGGCCTATTCTAATCCCTTTTTGGTGGACAAGGCATCCTTTAAGACTCACAGCTTTACTCAGGATTAGCATTAATACATTTTCTTTTGGAATACATATAACATCCTTACATATGAATTGTAAGGATACTTTTAAATCACTGCAACATACTGAAGGTTTGTAGACATCAAGGCTGAATGCACTACTACATTAAGACAATACTTTCATTTATATATATTTAAAAAACCTTATCATGTCATTGCACTTCCCAACATAATTAGAAGGAAAAGAGCCAGGACACAGACCTTCCCAAAAAATGGGTTGCAGAACAATCTAATCTCCTTTTTCTTAGAGCAAAAATAACCATCATTCTGTCTCGTCTTTAAAAAATAATTTCACATCCCTTGAGGTTCACTGTTCTAAATTTGTTTTGATGAACAAATGTATACATCATAGGCATCAAACTGTTTAGAATTAGACAACAGGCTGGGCGTGGTGGCTCACATCTGTAATCCCAGCATCTTGGGAGGCCAAGGTGGGCAGATCACTTGAGGTCAGGAGTTTGAGACCAGCTTGGTGAAAATGGTGAAACCCTGTCTCTACTAAAAACACAAAAATTACCTGGGTGTGGTGCTGTGCACCTGTAATCCCAGCTACTCAGGAGGCTAAGGCAGGAGAATTTCTTGAACTTGGGAGGCAAAGGTTGCAGTGCCCCAAGATTGAGATTGTGCCACTGCACTCCAGCCTGGGCAACAGAGCAAAACTCCATCTCAAAAATAAATAAATAAAATATAATTAGACAACAATTCACTGAATCGATGGGAAAATCTTATTTTGCACTTTATAATATTGACATCTACTGACATATACCAGCAAACTTTAATTAAGAAGATTCTGATCAATTCTTTTTATTTAATTTTATATATGTAAAAGAGTAATACTATATAGTTGGGTTTTTCAGTAATTTCATTAACCAGTCCCTGTCTTCCAAGGTTTTACTATGTCTGTAACTTTTTGCAATATGTTTGTATTTCTTTTCAGCAGAATTTAGCCTAGCATCATGAGTATTGGATAGATAACAACAAAAATTTTTTAATATAATCATGGCATTTCCAACAAGCGTAAGTATTCTAAAATGTTATGCAAGCCAAAAAAAATTATCGGTAAAGTTATAGGAAAATATATTACGGGAATACCATAATGAACCGTTAGTAAATTAATTTACAAACCCCTATTTTATCAAAAAGTTCTGATTGCTCTTTAGTATGTCTCTTAATGCAAGAGCTTGGCCCTAGCCTCTAGTGACAACCAACTTGTAGGCCTTTCAAAGCAAAACCCAATGCCTCCTTAAAGGAAATTTGAAATGGCAAGACTGAGAACCAGATTATAGTCGGACTGCGAAAAACATGAAACCTCTTGGAAAATCTTAGCAAAATGAGTTAAATAATACTAGTTGCCGGCAGCAAATCCATATCCATAAGGGTCTGCAGCAATCTCAATTCTTGCCTCCTCAGAAGAAAGAATTAGAGTGAGGTGCATAAGGCAGAGGGAGAGACTGAGGTAAGTTTTAGAGCAGGAGTGAACCTTTACTAAAAAGTTTTGAATCAGGAATACGAAGAAGTAACATACACTTGGAAGCGGGCCAAGCAGGCGACTTGAGAGAGTCAAGTGCGTGGTTTGACATTTTGACTTGGAGTTTTATACGTTGGCATACTTCTGAGGTCTTGTGTTACTTCTCTCCTTATTCTTCCCTTGGGGTGGGCTGTCCACATGCACAGTGGCCTGCTAGCCCTTGGGAGGGGAGCACATGCAGTGTGTTTACTGGAGTTGTACACATGCTCACTTGAGACGTTTTTCCCTTACCAGCCTAACATTCCTAGAGGAAGGTCATATACCAGTTAAACTCCACCATTTTGCCTCTTAATGCGCATGCTTGAGTCCACTCTCCCAACTCCTGAGATTTTACTGGGAAGCTGCTGATCACCAGTTTCAGGTGTTTCTACCTATTGGAAGATGGCCGTTCCCTGGTGCCAGCTGTGACCAATTATTATTTTACAGCGAGAGTTAACAACCACGTGACCATCACCTGATGGTCACCTGGCATTCCTGATGTGGTGTTGGGGAGCCCTCTCCTGCCCTGCTCATGCCTGACTAGCTACCTACTGTAGCAGTATGGAGAAACAGGTTTTTTTCTATTTTACTCTATCATGAGTTCCATTTAATAAAATGTTAATTAACAAAGACCAATCATTGGCCATTCAGGATTTAAAAAATAAATAATATCTATTTAAGTGTATGCTAAAATGTGCTTAATATAGCACAAAATGTATGACATTTTCATAGAAATACGTAGATTAGTAGCAAGATAATGGGCAACGAGTAACATTTCCTTCAAGCTATTAAATTATTTTAATGTTCCATAGTACAGGGAAATGTGGATCTAATTCGAGGTTATACTTTTAAGGACTCTTATCTGTATTTCTCCAGTGAGTTGTTATTTCAGAACATTTTGTAACTCTTAGTAGAGACACCTCTTATTTTATAGTCCTGCAAGTTGAAAAAAAAAAAAAAAGCATTTGGGAGTTTCTGACACTATAAGGTTTAATTTTCCTAGCACAACTGAACTATTAGAAATTTGACTGCTATCCAATGTACTTAATGCCTTTTATGTTTCCTGTTCATTTTGGATGGGAGCAAAAGAAATGAGACTGAGTCATCTTTTAAGTCAGCCCCTTAAGAATAGAGGATTTAAGACTAGAGATTGCACAGGTGTGAGTTGCCTGACCCAGTGATCATATTATACTAGGTGAGGGATGGCTTTAACTCTAATTCCAAAAACACAGGAGATAGCCCTGAGTCCAAAGCCAAATTGAAAAGATGGGCGGTCTGAAACCTGGGGAATCTTATTAAACCAATCAATCAATCAAGAAATATTTATAAAATGCCTAAAATGTGTTTAGTTGTACTTTAGCTCTTAAAGATCAAACATTGAAGACAAGGAAAAAATAAATGCTTGAAGAGACGGAATATTATATTCTACATTAGATAACAATTTAAAGATAAAATCAGCCTCAAAAGAGGGAACCAAGGAGCAAAGAGAATACAAGTAAAATCAGAAGCAAAAAAATAGAAAAACAATTGACAAAGAGAATTAAATGTAAACAGAGATCAAATAGCATTAATGAATACTTTTATAAAAAGCAATTGAGGGCCGGGCGCGGTGGCTCACGCCTGTAATCCCAGCACTTTGGGAGGCCGAGGCGGTTGGATCATGAGGTCAGGAGATCGAGACCATCCTGGCTAACAAGGTGAAACCCCGTCTCTACTAAAAATACAAAAAATTAGCCGGGCGCGGTGGCGGGCGCCTGTAGTCCCAGCTACTCGGGAGGCTGAGGCAGGAGAATGGCGTGAACCCGGGAAGCGGAGCTTGCAGTGAGCCGAGATTGCGCCACTGCAGTCCGCAGTCCGGCCTGGGCGACAGATCGAGACTCCGTCTCAAAAAAAAAAAAAAAAAAAAAAAAAAAAAAGCAATTGATTGGCTGGGCATGGTGGCTCGCACCTGTAATCCTAACAATTTGGGAAGCTGAAGTGGGAGGATCTCTTGAGCCTGGGGGTTCGAGACCAGCCTGAGCAACATAGTGAGATCCATCTTTTTTTAATTAAAAAAAAGGAAAAGAAAAGAAAAGAAGAAAGCAAGCAATTGAATAAAAGGGTCACGCTTGTCCCAGAAGAGGAGGAAAGAATTGAAGTAACAAAACTGACTCTAAGATAAAATAATGTCAGAACTAAGAAAGACCTCAGGGACCTGACCCCCAGTTCCTCCAAGTTGGAAGGCAAGGGCCAAATGAGAGTTGGTGTCCTGCCTTAAGATCACACAAAGAAACAGACCTCAGACTAGAACCCAAATCTCTGACTCCCATGCTGCCACTTGCAACACAAGTTCAGCTCAGGGTCTTAACGCAAAGAGAGAAATAATTAAAGCAGTGGCCATAAAGAGGAAAAAAAAAAAAAAAGCTTAAGAAAAGAAAGAAAGGGCTTGAATGGAGGACACAGTAACAAGACATCGTTAGTAAGGCCTGAATTCTAGGAGGTCCAGCCAAGCAGAAGTGGATGTGTATTTTATTTCGACATGCCAAATACTTATTTGAGTTTTAAAATGCCCTTTGCTTTTTTTCATAACACCTACTTTTTTCGTGTTCGTAAGCACTAAAATAGAATTTCAGAAACTTTATAGCACACTCGACCTTTTTCAAATCTCCCAGACAAACTCCAAACTCACCAGCCTTCCGCGTCTCAGGAGTGTGAAATCTTATTTTCCAGTTCTCTGCTCAAATTTAACAAGCCACCTCCTGCTTAACCTTCTTCTGTGAAACCTGAAAGCACCAGACAATTGTACGCCCAACCCTTGCTCCTCTGAGCTTCCCCACTCTTCCCATCAGGAGTCCATAGAACCACAATTTCAAATCTCTGGTAATAGCCCTCTGCTACCCCAAGTGTAACATAAACCTTAACTTCGTATCTTTGCACCTTAAATACAAAAGAACCCCAACTTTAAAAAACAAAAAACAAAAAAACTTCTTTTTAACCATCCCCTCACCCTCTGGCTTTAAAAGAGCGACATTTAGAGAGCATTCAATTATCTCAAAAGTATCAAAGACTGATTAAATAAATCTATGCCAAGACTGGGGTTTTCTTGGTGATATTGTTGTTTCTACTGCTTTCTGGTGAAGATATACTCAGTGAAAACACTATGGCTCTCAATTAGGCAGCTGGGTGACTTATAAATATATATTTATGTCTGAAGCCTAAGTGGCCATTGGCTTCCCTACTGTTTTACTTAGCTAACAAAACAACTCTATCAAAGTAAGTATTATTCCAAAACCCAACTTCCTGTGCAGAATGCTCCCATATGCCCCATCAGTCTAGCTCTCTGATGAACTACATCGTTTCTTATAAACTGTCCATGGCCCATAAATTTCCAAGCATAAAGGCTATTACTGTGCTGTGCAAATCTGCTGAGAATTTGGGCCTTTCGAACTCCATTTTACCTGGTTGAAAATGACACTGGGGGAGAAAGTCCATCTGCAAACTTCCTCTCTTCTCCCTTGTTCTCAGGCTCACTTCCTATTTTGATCAATGAGAATTACTTAATGTGTACAGGACTAGAACAGGGGTTGCTTTTGACTAATTTTAAGCAACTTCTGCATGAAATTGGCTTTTTTTTTTTCTTGCAAGTGCTACATAGCAGAGTAGAGAAAAGAGAGATTTGGGCAATTTTCTAATTAATCTGGGCAATGTCATTTAGAAAACTAAGAAGGGAAAAATAATCAATTTTTCTTGTCCTAGCTAAATAGTTCTGTACAATAGTGGAAGAGGCATCATAAGAGAATAGTTTAGAATCCCAGGGAATGGCTAAATCTAGTTTATATCAGTACAAATTATGCTATTCAAGACTGTATCCTAAGCAGAAAACATAAGGCTGCTACCAGATCTCTAGCCTAAAAATGAACAACATTGCTGGGCATCATCATAATCACCACTGGCATCATCTGCCCTTATGTTTGTGCTTTGCAGTGTACAATAGTTTCCCAGACACAATCTCATTCAATTTTTATGAATAGGTACAAAGTGTTTAGAAGAAGAAATGGGGCACTGGCCTGCCCTTGTCTCTGAGACTTCTTGACAGCTCATCACCAACTTCATTCAGTTTAATTTAACGATTAAAACAATAATGATGATATTGATAGCAGGTAGGCTACGCAGTGTGACCTGGAGGCCAGGCTATCGCTACGAAGGAAATTAACACATAAGTTGATGTTTTCCAAAGTTAAACCACTTAAATTTATCAACATCAAATCTGATGGCTTCGAGGGCAAATGAATTCATCTCAGAATTTTTAAGACAAATGAGGAGGACTCCCCAAGTAAAGGATGAAAAGGAAGAGAAGAAGGAAGGCAGGAAGGGAGGGAAGATTCTGTTTATATCAAACATGACATTTCAAGGAGGGGGGTTCCTTTTGCTAAAGAAGTGGTCTCACCTTGCCAGTCAACCTAGAATCTGCCAACCTAGAATCTGTCTTTTCACCTTCACACTTCCATTCACATCTCATTAAGAAAATAGTGAGATGCTCTTGCTATTGTTAGTCTCTTTGACAGAGAATTGCAGTGTTTTATTGAAGAATTCTCTCTGGCAATACAAGGAAATTGTGGCGGTTTGTCTGATGTAGGTATTTAGTGCAAAAGGGGCTAGTAATTTCTAGGGAGAAAAGAGAGGTTTTGCTTCCTTAATCACATTAAAAGCATTAAAAATTCTATTTTCAGGCACTTATAATCCCAATATGAAAATGTTCATCAAATAAACTAACTATAATATATCTAATCTAGAAGATTTGGGGTAGAGATGAACACAGAATGAAATAACATCTCAGCAACCCAGTGTCTGGATCTAAATATTGCTTTCAGTGAAGTCTTCCTTGCTAAATTACTGTTGCATTTTATAATATCGTGACAGTTTTCATCTCTCATTTCTTGAAAAACATTGTTTATTTTACTATAATATATACTCCACAACAATTAGGATTTAGCAATGCCATCTTTTCCCCATATGTAATTCTCTATGCTATTTATGTATGATTCTCACTAAAGTTCTCTTTCCAGGGAAATATTCAAAATTAATAACATGGTTCATTATCCATTACATACTGTTGAATGATTTGTAAAATCCTGATGTGAAAATCCCAAGTGATTAAAATATGGTATAAAAACTAGCACAAAAAGTTATTTTTCATTGTTTACTCTGAAATTCATTTGTTTAAAGTGCTTATGTGTTGTGCAAGATAAAGTTACTCTCTCATGCAAGTTTTCTTTTAAAAAGATCATAAAATCTCACTGTGAATATTTAACTGAAGAGTAATAACATAGTGTCAGATACTGACACAGTATAATGGTATAACACTCAGCATTTTGACATCTGTCCAGACAGATGTTTAAAACTTTTTCAAGTTTGTCAGGATTTTTTTTTAAGTTTTAGAGAAAAAGATCTGGGAATCATTTTTTATACCAAAGCTACTTTTGACAATTTCACTGTCAACAATTTAATTAATTCAAACAGAGACAAGAAGTCCAGTGACTTCTATAGGCTTTCCAAGAAGAATTCAATCAAACTGAAAGTATATATATATATATATGTATATATATATATATATCCATCAGCAACTTTTATTTTACTGAATCACCATCATGGATCATCTTGTCTATTTACTTGGCTTATGTGTATACAAAAAACATTGTTCCTTATTTTGATTTTTTTAAAAATCAGAATCACTATAGCAAGGAATTTTATTTTGAGAAGGAATCATTAACCTGTATAGCAGCAACAGCTGTATTTTGTTAGAATATGTTCAAAGAGTAACCCTGAGTTCTCCTTTTCATACGCTATAATGCTGCTGCTAAATACGAATGTAATATATTTCTTTTTAATTAAAAGTAGTTGTGTTGTGGTGTGATTTTTAATAACTTCAGTGTCTTCAGATTTCTGCATTTTAGATTCATGTTGAAACTTGTACACCACCACATGCTGATTGCAAAATTCATTAGCGCATAAATCCTGTTTTAGTGATAGTCCTTTAAACAAAGTTGGTTTCATTGTGAAATGCTCACTGGTTGGCTTATTTATTATAAAGATTTGTCAGGCAGAGCAGTTATGTTAATCAGTAACCAATAAAAGATTTAAATCTATGGATATGTCAGCCGATTTATTACTGAAAAATGTTTGGGGCTTCTTAATAAACACTCATGAAAACATGTTGTAATGGTTACTTCAGAAACCTTATTTCCATACTGCATACAAAGTTTAAAGGAGATTCCCTAGTTTAGTGGAAAACAGAGAAGAACATACATTATTTTCTTGAGTTTTATTATCTGACTATATGTCCATAGAAGATACTTAACTTGATTTGCTTTGGAATCAATATGCAGTTTACTATTTCTGTTTTGCTACAAGGCTTAGTGTACTATCACTGAAAATAAAAGAAGTCTTTTCTCATAGTCCATGTCTCTTATAGGTAATAATATCTAATATCAATAATTTTCAACAAGGTTAAGGTAACTCACCCTTGGAAGGTTTTGATCTTATAATCTTCTTATTGATAAATCTTTCCAGAAGAAAAGCATGATACCAAACATAACTAGAAACAAATTCAAAGTAATGAACAAAAGCTTCCTTTTCTCCACTGGGCCACTTTAGAAAACTAGTAAAAAGTACAAAACACCATTATTTTACAAGTGGAGTTTATGTACAAGTTGTGAGATTTTGAAAAGTCTCTAGGGCCTCAGTTTCCTCATCTTTAAAATGGTGCTGGGGGAGGGATTTAAAGGATTGAAATAGATATATCTAAATTTCCTGAAAATACTGAGATTGTATGATCCTATGAGTCCATTAACAATCTTCATTTAACTCATAGGACAATACATTTATGACCACAAAGCTAATGCAATGTCTTGCAAATGGTGTATTTTTAACAAATAGTCACTGGTAGTGGTTACTGAGTAGTTACAACCCATGTTCCCACAAAGTTAAGGAAACTTTATGACTTTGTCCAGAAAATTCAGTCAATCTAGCCTACGACGGGATGGACAATTAAGATTTTAAAAGAGAATAAATATTCTCAACCATTTTTGGCTAAATATATTCAGCTAATTGCTCATATTTCCATTTTCTTTTGCCAAGGTCTCTAAATATATGTTCTGCCCATATTTGTCTTTGTAAGGCTTTGGCAATAAAGTTTAGGATTTCTTCCTTTTTTCTTCTTCTTTTTTTCTTTATTGTTCTATTCATTTTAACTCTCTCAGTCAGCAAAGGACATGTGTAATATATTTTCACCATAACAGCATCTTTTGCTGAGATAAAAATGATTGTAAATATAATAAGCAGGAGAGCATATATTTAGCTATCCTTAAATGGATCACATTTAAGTGGAAAACTTTTTCCCCAACACATGTACTCAAGTATGAAACCATGTCTTTGTAATGCACCCTCTACTTGTGCCCAAAGTTCAGTATATCAGGAGGACAGAATTGTTTTGTGTCAGTTTTGTGTTTGATGTTAAGATAGCATGGGGAGGGGTGGTGGATCCCACCTGGAATAAATTTTGAGTTTTGTTTGATGCAATAACTTTCATCACAAAAGCATCTTGCCCATTCCGAATCTGTTTGCAGCATGACCTTGAACGATGTGCAGTCTCTGATGGACTTTATAGGAATAGTTTAGAGCAGCAAGACTTTAATTTTCTTCCAAATGCATCTTTCTTTGAATTAAATGGAGGAAACACTGTGAGTTTGCTGTCAATATATTCTAACTGCTAAAAGTGCTGTAGCCCAAAAAGATGTTAAAGGACATAAAGGCCCAAAATATTCAACTGTGTGTATTTCCATGATAGCTTAATATTTTGTAAGTTAAGTGTATTCAACTAAAGGTTGAACCAGTAACCTCAGAGCTTTACAGGCTTTCCCAATATATCAAGATATGCCCACAGGAAGCTAGGCATATATTTGGAAGCTGTAATTAGAATTACTTGGTTATATATAAGAGAAAAAAGCAAGCTAACAGTGGCAAACAGAAATAAAGAGAGAGGGAGGAAGGAAGGGGAGAGAGGAAGGAAAAGAGCAAGGAGAGGGTGGAAGGGAAGGAAGAAGAGAGGAAGGAAGGAAGGAATGGAGGGAAGGAAGGGAGAGGAGAGAGGAACGAAGGGAGGTAGGAAAGAAGGAAAGAAGAAATTAAGTTTCCTTCTTGTGTAAAACTAGAGGGAGGCAGCCCAGGACTGGTAAAGCAACTTTAAGATGTCATCAGTAACCTAGTCTTCTCTCTTTCTGCTCTGCCATCTTACCAGGTGGTTTCTATCGTCAATGCCACTCGATGGTTTAGGATAGTTGCTAAAACTTAGCTGTAACATTCCAATTGCTACCTAACAAGTAGAAATAAAAAGAAGGGCAAGAGAAACAACAGACACTGGGGTCTACTTGAGAATGGAGTTTGGGAGGAGGGAGAGGAGGAGAAAATATAACTATTGGGTACTGGGCTTAATACCCAAGTGAAGAAATAATCTGTACAGCAAACCCCCCCTGACATGAGTTTAACTGCATAATAAACCTTCACATGTATCCCCAAACCTAAAATAAAAGTTCAAAAAAAGAAGAGCAAAGGGGTTTCCCCCAAGCAGAGTCCACTCCTTTTAAACAGCTTTCCCAGAACCCCACAGAGCACTTCTGTTTCTATCTGCTTGGCCAGAGTTCAGACATGTCCACACTTAGCTGCAGGAGAGGCTGGGAATTATCTCGAATTCTGCCTGGCAAGGGGCCTGACTAAAACTCAGGTTCCCTTCTTAAGAAGGAAGGGAAAGTCAATGTTGGGGTAGACAACAAGCAGCCTCTGCTACAGAAATGCTTAAATGACTGGGGTGTGAAATATTTTTCAAGGCGTACTCTAAGAACAAGGGGGAAATATGCCTCATAGGGCTCCTGTAACTTTAAAGTGACAATCCCATAAAGCACATAATGCCTGATGTATACATGTTCAAGAAACAGTAGCTAAATAGTAGCATTACTTTTAATGGCAAAAACCACAATTACTTTTGCACCTACCTAATATTAGGACTAATCATGTGTATTTTTATCATTTTCTTTCTTTTAATTTTTATTTTTAGTTCTGGGATACATATGCAGGATGTGCATGTTTGTTACATAGATAAACATGTAGGATAATCATGTATATTTTTAATCTCTAACTTCAAGTAAGCAATCAAAGGCTCCAGAGACACAGAGAGTGGTATTCAGCCCCTGTTTACCTGATAAGTTTATCTCTGACCTTTCCCTGTCTTTTCTCCTGCACTCTTAATTATTTCTGCTTCTAGTTCAGGTTTTTAAGTCTCCCTTGCCACACCTTAGGACTCTCAACTGCACCCACTCAATAGTATTGTGTAAACCCGTGAGTTACTACTTCAAATTTAGAGAAAGTGTATGGTTTAAAAGAGACATAGTTATGAGAGGCAGGAGAGCATGATGATTAAGGGCTTGGACTCTGGCATCAAATGTAAAACCCCAGCACCAACATTTGGTCAAGGGTCCTTAACATGTCTAAATCTTGGTTTTCTCATCTGCAAATTGAAGATAATAGTTCCTCTCTCACAAATCATGCATGTAAAGCACTCAAATCAGATTCTGGCATGTTTTAAGCAATTAATAAATGGTGGTGATTGTTATGCTATTAGAAGAAAGGGTGGGAAAAAAAGAGAAATCACAATCATGGAGAGCCTCCTCTATGCCTCTGTGTTGGCATTATACTTGGTATAAAAGTTTTATATAGCTTTCATTCCTTGCACTAACCCTGCACATTGTTGAGTTTGCTATGGCTTGGCATTTGTGTCTCCTCTAAAATCCATCTTAAATTTTGTTTTTTTGTTTTTCTGGGGTTTTTTGAGATGAAGTCTCACTCTTGTCACGCAGGCTGGAGTGCAATGGCACATTCTCGGCTCACTGCAACCTCTGCCTCCCGAATCAAGCAATTCTCCTACCTCAGCCTCCCGAGTAGCTGGGATTACAGGCACCTGCCAGCACATCTGGCTAATTTTTGTGTTTTTAATAGAGACAGGGTTTCACCATGTTGGCCAGGCTGGTCTCAAACTCCTGACCTCAGGCGATCCACCCGCCTTGGCCTCCCAAAGTGCTGGGATTACAGGCAGGCATGAGCCACCGCGCCCAGCCTCATCTTAAAATTTAATCCCCCAAAGCAACAGCATTAAAATGTGAGGTGTTGGAAGTGATTAAGTCATGAGAAGAGAGCCCTTATGAATGAAATTAATGACCTTTTAGAAGGACTGGGGGAACTAGGTAGGCCCTTTTTTGTCCTTCTGCTTTTCTGCCATGTGAGGACACACAGACTGCCTCTTCTGCCATATGAGGATGCAGCAACAAGGTACCGTCTTGGAAGCAGACAGCAGTTGTCACAAACACAGACTCTACTGGTGCCTTGATCTTGGACTTCCCAGCCTCCAGAATGGTATGGAATAAATTCCTATTCTTATTAATTGCCTAGTCTTGGGTATTTTTGTTATAGTGGCACAGACTGAGACATTTTCTTCATAGATAGAAAACAGACACTTAGAATGATAAAAGAACTTGCCAAAGATGGAGAACTAATCAATGTCAGTAGTGTTATTTGGTCCCAGGTCTGTGTTTCTGAAGGTCATGCTCTTCCCACTCATTCATCAAGGAGAAGCTGGCATACCAATTTCTAATTCAACCTCTTGATATACCAAAGAGGCAGAGCAAAACATAAGACATGGGCCACACTGATTACTTTCAGGACTGACTTGACCTCAAAAGAATGTTTTTAGCCTTTGACATGAACAATAATTCTTCTTTTGAATATGGGTTTATCATCCTATTTTTAACATTAAAATGGCTCAGTCACAAGGGAATTTTAGGAAACCTACTGCTAGTGTAGTTTTTTAAACGTTTAATTTAAATCTTATTTTATTGTTCCCCAAAACTAGAGTTCCCTTTATATGACTGCTATTCACATACTACACATGGATCTGAAACAGTTAAGTAAAATGAACATCATTTTTTAATGATACCTCTCATGTAAGAAACGTGTATTTATAGATCTTCTGGTAATTCTCTGCATTAATTCCTTGACCTCAAACTGACCAGAGAAGGTCAACAATTCCTGTAATGTCACTGAGTGGTACATTTTCATCTCTAACTTAGCTGAAAAGTATATAAAAGCACAAGCAGTCAGAAAGCACCCAAATAGCTATGCAGCTGAGATGACCCCAAAATGCAAGTTAATCCCTCCAAGGTCAGTTGTAATTTATGTTCAATTAACTGGCTCAAAAAGCCTGTTTCAGACAGAAGCCAGAAATTAGGAAGCCTGTTGCTTGACTTTTTAGTGGGGAATGTTTCTCGTGATAGCGGCCATGAGGGGCCAAAAGAGACTATCAACTGGGCTTTCCCCTACATGAGAACAGTTAAATCTTTTCCTGCTACTCAACTAACCACACTGACTCACTCCAAGGATGTACTTTTAAAAAAAAAAAAAAAAAGGAAGGATTTGGATAGAAAGTCTATTGTAACTGGAAACTTAGCATGTGAATAGGAGAGCTGAGCTCAGTCTCCATTTCAACATGGAAGGTACAAAGTTAAGCCTCTTTTAGGACATCGAAAAGACACAGGAGGTAACTTGGAGTGGTTTCCATTGACCAAATCTAAAAAGAAAAAAAAAGCATCAAAAAATAAATAATATAGTAATAAATCATAACCCATTAAATAAAAGAATCCATTAGCCCATTTTAATAGAAAAAAAGTGCATGAATAAATAAAGTTGGAAAAAGGCAAAATGCTTCCTTACAATAGAATGCCAACTGATAAATATATTAAAATAATGGAGTTAGAGAATCATCAATGGGTGTTAACACTAATGGACCAACGTTTGATGCAGAACAGAATATTTCTATAATAATCTCAAAATAACTCTTATTTGGCAGACAGTAACTTGTGATCAAAATAATTAAAGTAAATGTCACCATTGCTGAGACAAACGGACATTATGTGCCAGCTGATACTGTGTACTGAAGGCACAACATCCCTTCTGCAGTGCTCCTGCCAACAAAGCATAACCTAAATCCAATCAAAAGGAAATATCAAACAAACCCCAACTAAGGGACATTCCACAGAACAACTGGTCTGTACTCTTCAAAAATGTCAAGGTCAACAAAAACCAAAAAAGGCTGAGGAACAGCTTGTTCCAGATTAAAGGAAACTAAAGAGACGTGACAAGAAGTAATGTACAATCCTGGAGTAGACTCTGGATTAGGGGTAAAAATGATATAAAGGATATTATTGTGGCAATTGATAACATTTAAATATGGGCTGGGGATTAGATAATAGTATTGTATTGATATTAAGTTTCCTGATTTTCATAGTTATCCTGTGGTTATATAACAACATTTCTTTGTTCATAGAACATACATACTGATTTAATAGTAAAAGAGTATAATGTTAGGCTAGGTGCGGTGGCTCAAGCCTGTAATCCCAACACTTTGGGAGGCCAAGGTGGGCAGATCACGAGGTCAGGAGTTCGAGATCAGCCCCGCCAACACGGTGAAACCCCATCTCTACTAAAAATACAAAAATAAAATAAAATAAAATAAAATAAAATAAAATAAAATAATAGCTGGGCGTGTTGGTACACAGCTGTAATCCCAGCTACTTAGGAGGCTGAGGCAGGAGAATCGCTTGAACCTGGGAGGCAGAGGTTGCAGCGAGCCAAGATCACACCACAGCACTCCAGCTCGGGTGATAGAGTGAGACTCCATCTCAAAAAAAAAAAAAAAAAAAGAATATATATATTGTCACCAACTTACCTTCAAATGATTCAGAAAACAAAGTATATCAATTATATGAAAAACAGAGTGATAAAGGAAAATTAAGATGTATACAATTAGTGATATCTGAGTAAAGAATTAAAGGATTACAGGAGTTTCTTGTACTATTCTTGCAATTTCTCTATAAGTTTAAAATTACATCAAAATGAAAAAGTTATTTTTTAAATTAAAACAAAACAAAATCACTACTAGTTAAATATGCATTCTGAAATATTTAAAAGTGAGATAAACTGATATCTAGTGTTTGATTGATTTAAAATATTAGAGCAAGTGGAGGAAGAGAGAGAGCGAGCGAGAGAGAGAGTGTGTGTGACAGACTTAGGGAAGGGAGGGAATACATGAAACAAAAGTACCAAAATGTCAGGCCTGGCACAGTGGCTCACACCTGCAATCCTAGCACTTTGGGAGCCCGAGGCAGGTGGATCACTTGAGGTCAGGAGTTCAAGACCAGCCTGGCCAACATGGTGAAATCCCATCTCTACTAAAAACACAAAACTTAGCCCAGGGTGGTGGTGCGCACCTGTGATCCCAGCAACTCAAGAGACTGAGGCAGGAGGAGAATTGCTTGATCCTGGGAGGCAGAGTTTTCAGTGAGCCAGGATCGCGCCACTGCCCTCCAGCCTGAGTGACAGAGTGAGACTCCATCTCAAAAATAAAAAAAAAAAAGGACCAAAATGCAAATGCAAAATGTTGATCATTGTAATTCTTGAAGTAGAGTGATGAATACATGGAAGTCTGTTATACCAGTCTCTTGACTTTTGTGTACATTTGAAAACTTTCCATAATAGAGGGGTTTTCAAATGTTAAACTCCTCTAAATCTATGCCAAGCCTCCAATCCCAGCAATGACAACTCCCCCTAACCCACACTTCCACACACATACACATGTACTCTAGTTTGCCCACACTCCTGAGATCCATGACAAAGACTCCAGATGGTTTGGATCATTGCCCAAATTATAATTTGGGTTCAAAAGCAGCATTTTATGGGAATTATTTCATATTTAATGAACATTTACCTATGTCTCAACACAGGAAGTGACAGCAACATGCTTAATGCACTTTGTTAATACATAGCCTGGACGTGGTGGCTCATGCCTGTAATCCCAGCACTTTGGGAGGCCGAGGTGGGCAGATCGCCTGAGGTCAGGAGTTCAAGACCAGCCTGGCCAACATGGTAAAACCCCATCTCTACTAAAAATACCAAAAAAAAATTAGCTGGTGTGGTGGCTCGCTCCTATAATCCCAGCTACTTGGGAAGCTGAGACAGGAGAATTGCTTGAACCCAGGAGTCAGAGGTTGCAGTGAGTCGTAATTGTGCTATTGCACTCCAGCCTGGGTGACATGGGCAAGAGACTCTGTCTCAAAAAAAAAAAAAACAAAACATAGTGATAAGGCTTATATTCATTAATCTATTCAAATAAATGTAGTACGGCAGCAGTCTCCAACCTTTTTGGCACCAGGAACCAGTTTCATATAAGACAATTTTCCCATGGACTCGCATGATGTGGAGGGATAATTTTCGGATAATTCAAGTGCATTACATTTATTGTGCACTTCATTTCTATTAGTATTATTACATTGTAATATATAATGAAATAATTATACAACCTACCATAATGTAGAATTAGTGGGAGCCCTGCGCTTGTTTTCCTGCAACTAGATGGTCCTATCTGGGGATGATGGGAGACAGTAACAGATCACCAGGCATTAGATTCTCATAAGGAGTGCACAGCCTAGATCCCTCACATGCACAGTTCACAATAGGGTTCATGCTTCTGTGAGAATCTAATGCCACAGTTGATCTGACAGGAGGCAGAGCTTAGGCAGTAATGCAAGTGATGGGGAGGGACTGTAAATACAGATGAAGATTTACTGGTTCACTCACTTGCCCGTGGCTCACCTCCTGCTGGGTGCCCTGGTTCCTAACAGCCACAGACAAGTAAGGGTCCGTGGCCCAGGGGTTGGAGACTGGTGTTGTACAGCATGGATAGAATCAGAGACCCTAGGGGAAAGAGCCTTTCTCACAACACTTTGAGATGACACATTCCCGCATGCAACTTGACATTAGGTTCTGAAAGTTTTTCATCTGAGATAACATTTACATCTTCAACTGAGTTTTAAAAAGGTAATATTGGGGACATTTGTAGAAAAACAGCATTGTCTAATGTAAGACTAAAAACAAAAGTTGATGTTGACCAAGCTCCAGTAGATACTCCCTGAAATATGGTGGAACCAGGGGTCTTTCTGGGAAACCTGATCAATAAGAGATTGTGTTTGCTATGATTTTCATCACTGAAGGGATCCCAAGTTGCTACTTCAATTAGAATTGGAGAAAGCCATTTCAAAGTGTTGCTAAATTAAACCATTTAATGGCAATTACAATAACAATATAATATTTAAATTTGGATAGCATGTTTTAAAAGCACCACATACACGTTGGTCTTTTAATATTCTTCTCATAACACCTTTAAAGTAGCATTCAAAGATAGAATCTTCCCCATTTTACAGGTGAACAAACTGATGTTCACTATGATTGACTTTACCAAAACCACACAATAAGTAAATAGGAACACTAGGATTTATTTTTTTATTTTTTTATTTTTTTTTCGAGACGGAGTCTTGCTCTGTCACCCAGGCTGGAGTGCAGTGGCACGATCTCGGCTCACTGCAAGCTCCGCCTCCCAGGTTCACACCATTCTCCTGCCTCAGCCTCCCCAGCAGCTGGGACTACAGGTGCCCACCACCACGCCTGGCTAATTTTTTTGTATTTTTAGTAGAGACGGGGTTTCGCCGTGTTAGCCAGGATGGTCTCGATCTCCTGACCTCGTGATCCGCCTGCCTCGGCCTCCCAAAGTGCTGGGTTTACAGGCTTGAGCTGCTGCGCCCAGCCTGGGAACACTAGGATTAGTTTATAAAATTTCCCAATTTCCAGTCCTCCGTATTATTTCCAAGAACAATGACCAGGAAAATTCACCAAAGGCAAACATTTAATGAACATCCTTTTGCTTATAGCAGGTTCAGTACATTACCTGTTATTGTTACTAAAGCGGACCTTACAGGTCAGTATAGATTATTCTAAGCCAACAGCTACAAATAGGCTCACCGGGCAATGTCAGATGTTTTTGCGCTTCTGCGATACTTTTAGTAGCATCTGCTCTCAACACAGAAACACACAACTTAATGCCATGGAGATTCCCCTGTCAACATCGTCATGCTGACATTTCTAAATGTTCTAAAGTATTTTAGAAATGCATTTTTAATTAAAAGTGCCTAACCTTAGAATCAACTTGAGATAGATACCTTAAATACTGCAGAGAATTAACCAGGTAGGGTGACTGGCCCAAATTTTACAGTCATAAAGGGGGTAAAATTATTGACTATAGCTTTATGCTCACATACAGGCTTAATTCCTACTAAACATAATGAAAACCCTGCCTACAGACTCCATAACTAAACTTCGTTAAAAATGGAGTATTGTCGGCTGGGTGTAGTGGCTCATACCTGTAATCCTAGCACTTTGGGAGGCCAAGGCAGGTGGATCACGAGGTCAAGAGATTGAGACCATCCTGGCCAACATAGTGAAACCCCGTATCTACTAAAAATACAAAAATTAGCTTGGTGTGGTGTTGTGCGCCTGTAGTCCCAGTTGCTCGAGAGGCTGAGGCAGGAGAATCACTTGAACCTGGGAAGCGGAGCTTGCAGTGAGCCGAGATGGCGCCACTGTACTCCAGCCTGGCAACAGAGCAAGATTCCGTCTCAAAAAAAAAAAAAGAAAGAAAGAAAGAAAAAGAAAAAAAATGCAGTATTGTCATTTGAAAAATAGTGTATTTTTAAAATGACTTCAATAGAGTTCGCGCTTATAGACATGCAGGACGAGGTGAAGGAGAGTAAGAAAGGTTTAAGAGCTGAAAAGAATAATGAAGGCACCTCTCCTGCTAAGTGCTACAAAAATGTTTGGTAAATATTTGATAAATAAAGTTGAGGTAAAAACAGAGTTTCTCAGTAGATATCTCCTAGATTCATTTTCACGTTAAAAAATAATTGATGCATCCACAATTTCTGAAGTTGTTGAGAATTCAAACTCTAAACCTCCCTGTATTGCTTCACGAGGGTTGCCATAGCAAAATACCACAGACCTGGTGACTTAACAAAAATTTATGTTCTTGCATTCTGGAGGCTTGAAGTCTGAAATCAAGGTGATATGGTTTTGCTGTGTCCCCACCCAAATCTCATCTTGAATCGTAGGTCCCATAATTCCCATGTGTTGTAGAAGGGACCTGGTGGGAGATAATTGAATCATGGGGACGGTTTCCCCCATACTGTCCTCGTGGTAGTGAATAAGTCTCATGAGATCTGATGATTTTATAAGGGGTTTCCCCTTTTGTTTGGCTCTCATTTATCTCTTGTCTTCCACCATGCAAGATGTGCCTTTCACCTTCAGCCATGATTGTAAGGCCTCCCCAGCCACGTGGAACTCTGAGTCCATTAAACCTCATTTTCTTTATAAATTACCCAGTCTTGGGTATGTCTTTATCAGCAGCGTGAAAATGGACTAATATGCAAGGTATGGGTGGGTTAGCTTTCTTCTGGGGCCTTGCTTCCTGGCTTGCAGTTGGCTGTTTTCTCACTGTGTCCTTACAGGGTGCTTCCTCTGTGCTCCAGCATCCCTAGTGCCTCTTTTTATGTCTAAACTTCCTCTCCTATAAAGACACCGGTTAGATTGGGTTAGGGCCCACACGTATTACCTCATTTAACCTCAGTTACTTCTTTAAAGACCCTGTCTCCAAACACAGTCATATTCTGAGGTACTGGGATAGGACTTCAACACATGAATTTTGAGGAACACCATTCAGTCTATTGTCTAAAGCCTCAGCCAATTCCTGGAAAGTTTTGAGCCAAGCTGCATCAAATTTCAGACAAGATTTGAGTACCTTCCTCAACCCAAGCTTAGTTTCAGATTTTCATCATGTAGTTTGGTCCCCTTTGTGGCTTATTGTCTGTCCTGTATTGGAAACTTAGAGGTACTGGTTTGTCCTAGATATAGGGCACAAACCAGAGAAAACAACCCTTCATCTATTTGGGAGCTATCCAACTGCATGTGCTGCAAAAAGAAAAGTCAAAACTCCAGATATTTACTTGAATCTACTTATGGGAGCTCATTGCCCCATTTGCCCTATGACCAGCCAGACAATCACATATTTACATTTTTCTTTGTTCATATAACCAACAACAGGTGAAATTCCTACCAGTATAAAGGTACATAACTTAGTCAATGACACAGGCAAAATATTCTCATGACACGCCTTGTGGATGAGCTGGGGTAACAGATAATGTTCACCCACAGGCATGTGGGTGCTTTTTACCTCAAGACACTGCTTAATGACTGCAGTGTCTAAATTACCCTTCCAGAGAGAAGAGGTATTATGAATACATGCCCGCATGGCAGGGGTACCTCAAGATATTGTGGATTGTGAAAACTGCCATTTGTCGACTGCAAACATGAAGCAAGAGTGATGTACATCGTTGACAGAATGATCTTCTACCTAACAGGGTTCTGGCAACCTTGCTGCTAATTTCACTCTGTTTTCCTGTTCCCAGAACGAGAACTCTGATACTACATACTTTTGGGTTCTAAAAAGTACTTCAAACACACACCTGGATGCATGAACACACTCTCTCCTGGAATGATAACTCAGTATGCTTAGGTGTTGCTGAAGAAAACCCCACAGCCGTGCACAAAACCTTGCCCCTTAATCTCCAATTCCATGTAAGTTCTCGATACCAGCCAGTAAGCTTCGCATTTCTGGTCAGCTCCCTCTCCCACTTCCTGTGATGACTGTTAATGTTTCACATTTATCTCAAGCCTTTCCCTTTCCTTTACTCTTTGGGGTGACCAAATTTCTCAGCTTGTCCAGGACTGAAGGGGTTCCTGGGGGACAGGCCTTTAAGTGCTACAACCTGGTCACCCTCCTACTTCCTCACTCATCAAATGACATCTCTACCCATATCTCAAAAAAAAAAAAAGGCGTAAGTTTTTAAGTATGAACTGCTACCAAATTCTTCCTCCACTACCCCTGACCTGGACATACAACTCTACCCATTACCTGCCTTCGACCTTGAAGGCCAGGCTCTTCCCCTGCTGAGGAATAGCTCCGTTCCTCCATTCCCCACCTGGATGATGGATTTCTCCATTATTTAACACTCTTTCTTGTAATATCAGCATATCCTCTTCCTTCCCTTCATTATACAAATATGTTCAAGTCTTTCCCATCTTCAAAATTATATATCCTTGTTCCCCTTTATTACTGACGGCCTGTTCCTTTCTTTTCTTTCACCATAAACCACTTGAAAGAGATTGTGAATGATCTCATCTACTCCAATGACTCCTCCCAAATTTTTATCTCCAGCCCAGACTCCCTCCACTAAAACGCAGACCCATATTTTCATTGTCCTAATGAGCATCTCTATCTTGATAAATCAAAAGTATCTTAATCTCAAAATACCTAAAACAAGTTTAACATCCTCCTTTCTAATATGTTCCTTCTTCTAAGGTTATCTTTCCAGCAAATGGAACCACAATCTGCAGAATTTTCCAAACCAGAAACCATGCCATGGTTCTCAATATCTCATCCCCCTCCTCTGTGCTTCTATCACCTAATATCTTCTGGTAATCATCACGCTTACCTCCCATCCCCACCATCATCACAATAGTGTTTTCACTGGTTTCTTAGCTCCCTGGCTCTACTTCAAACTATTATTCATGAGACTGACACCTGTGAGGTCATGGACTGAGCTATTCCTATTACCTGGGAGTAGACAAAACCTTTTATCTAGCCCTCTGAACACCAAACTGGCCACAAGGATGGTTCCTTTGGGTTAGTGAGCAATATCTAATTTGTTCATTAAAATGACAGAATCGATGTCCCACTGGCTTTGTGGCTGAATCAGATAACAATGTAAGTTAACTGAAGGCAGCCCAGGATGATGACTGTATTTCTTCATAGAAATGCCATTTGTTGGTGGGCAGCATTGCACCTGTATGGAGACCCATGTCTCTATTTTTGCAGCGTTTTGCAATGTTAACCCCTGTAGTCTCTATTATCCGGGCCTCTGGGGCTTAATGATTGAGAGCAAGTAAAGCTGTTACAGAAGCCACTGGTCATTTCATGTCTTTGGCTGTTAGAATCTTCAACTCATGTCCTACAATGTCCCACATCTTCCTCTTTACTCGGGCTGCACTGGCAAACTTGTGACTTTCTAAATAAGTCACTTTCTTTTCCAATTCAGTACCCTTGCCTGGAACATTCTTCTCTTCCTTCTCCAGCATTCTCAAATGAGTATCTTCAGAAATGAATATGAAAGATTTTCATTTGAAAAAATATAATAAGAAATGCCACTCCTGGAACTGTCTCCTTTCAAAGCTATTCTTCGCCCTTCCTTGCTCTGCTCTAGATTGCAGGACTCCAGAATATGTATCCCTCCCTTATTCCTTCCATAGCTCCAGCTCCCACTGGACATGCCTTCCCCGGTTACATCTTCTACCAAGTAGTCCCAACCCCTGGAGTCTGGTGACTCACCTGCGCCCTCTGTCCCTCCAGTCTAGGAGTGGTTAGAGTTTCCTGCTATTTCCTGCCTCAAGGTTGCCTTGCTGCCAGCTGGTGGGCTTTGCAGCCTCTCCTATACCCTGTGTAACCAATTTCCTGCATTCGATTCCTTCCCTTGTATACACTCAGAGTGGTTTCTGTTTACTTGTTTAAACTCTGATTTAAAAACATACCCTGATCTCTACTCCCCCTCACCTTAGCCCACGACAAAGACTTTTGGGGGCTCCCTTCTTCCATTTTCTTGGTTTAACTTTTGTATTCGCACAGCACCTGTGTATACTGCTATGGATTTGGATTGTGGGGTGTTTATCAGCTCTACCCTAAGATGAGCTCTTGAGGACACAGACAACGTCCTGTTAATTTCAGTATCTACAGTGTCCTGCTGACTGCTTAAGATTCTAAAGCCCACATACAGAGAATTTTTTCAGTCTTACAAAGCATTTGATGGAATATGCTAGAAATGTTCAAGGATTTAAGACAAGATCCAGCCTAGCATAACACAAAATTTAAATAAAAACTAGTAAATCTGTGGATTTTTACAAGCTGGGGAGGGATGGAGTTCTGCCTTAGAAGCTGGGCTTCTCTCTTTGGAATATGGCATGTTATTTTTCAGTCTGTTAGATCACAATCTAGTCATTGGTGGAAAAGTCACCTTTTATTTCAGTGAAGCAACTTAATCAATAAAGGTATTAATTACCTTCAGCAAATACTTTGGAACAATAAGGCACTGTCACTTTCCTTCTGGTGGCCAGAGAAGAGCAAAGGAAAGTATCTCAGAATTCTGAGATGCTTAGAACTTTGAGGACAGAGTAATATTCCCTTATGAGTCAGAAAAAAATCTAGAACTCACATCTAGAACTCTCTATGAGTTCAGAAAAAATCTAGAACCCTCTGAGATTTTATTTTAGTCAATATAATTTAAAACAATGCTTTACCATATTCTGCAACACAAAATGATTTATAAAAAAGAAATATATTATTATTATTTAGAGATTAGGAGAAAGATCCATGGAGAATGAATTGCATATGTTCTAGCAATTCATTTAGGATAACTAATCAGAGTGCCTGCAAGTCTGGTCAGTGAGCTAACCACCTCCGCCCCCCAAACCTTTCCACTAATGGACTCTTTTCAACTAGGACATAGGTGTGATACAACTGTATTTTTCTTTTTCTTTTTTTGAGACGGAGTCTTGCTCTGTCGCCCAGGCTGGAGTGCAGTGGCGCCATCTCGGCTCACTGCAAGCTCCGTCTCCCGGGTTCATGCCATTCTCCTGCCTCAGCCTCCCACAACAGTATTTTTCTATCTATATGCTGTATTACTATGGACACCTTGAATGCTGTGTACCATAAAATCCTTAACTTTTAAACTTCAGCGTAAAGTAATGGAAACATCTTTGCATATGGCAATATTGTAACACAAGGAAACCAGAAAACAGGCTTCTAATTGTCTCCTTAAGATTGTAGAGGGCTATGCAAAACGAATTCATTTCTCCTTAATCGTAACAGTATATTCATATTATAAAATTTGTCTCGAGCTGACTTCCTGCTCTGGTGCGAATCATGGTGGTGGCTGACTTGGCAAGGTATGGCCCATGCGTTGTGTGAAATAGTGCAGGTGTCAGTTGCAACAGAGTCACCATTGTCCTCCTGTAATGAAGTCAGTTTAAACAGCTAAGTGTCTGAAAGTGAATCCCAGTGTCTGGTGTCCAGAAGGTCAATTATCGCAGGGTGTTAGACCATTGGGATTGCATTACTACTAACCAGGGTGCTTTAGTTTTTGTTTTTAATAATGCAATGCTAGTCTGTACTAATAAAGAGAACATATTACAGCAAATATTGAATCAGACATTGTGATACCATGACAGATCTAAATTGCCACAGTTTATACAGAGTCCACAAAACAACACTGACCATGAATTATACAAAGCATTTTATATACAATTTCCATCAAATTCCAGACTTTTGTTTTAGAGGAATTTTACTTGAAACAAGTGGATATGTCCTAAATTTTTTTTTCTATTTAATACATATATTCTACCTCTTGTAATAATTGCTACAGACAACTCCCAATTTTTTTGTGGTGAGGGGAATTAATATTGAACTACCACATGCTTTAATTTTTTCCAGATAACTTCCAGAAAATATATTTTACCTCATATAAGATTTTATAGGCATTTACTTGGATTTTCACATTTGTGTTTGTTATTCTTCAAAGATATTTCCTCCTAATATGAAAATTTTATTATTTTTGAAATTCTTCATGTGACAATGAAACAGGCATTTTCTAACACACAGAGCTAATACCACCTTGATGGGAAAATTATATTAAAATGGTATATTGTTATGTATACAAATGCCTATTAAACTAAAGTGTTGTATATTTTGCTGAATTTTACAAAATAATTCATCACTCCTTTTAAAGTCCTACTTTTTCCTTTAATGAATTTTGTTTCATTTATGGCAAACCTAATTATTTAAAACTAACAAACATGCATTGAAATATTATGGAAGTGGTGTTTGAATTATATATTTCAAAAGATTTTTAGAATATTTTCTTTATTTTAATCTAGGGGTGAATAAATATATTTCTTTGTTGCAAAATTGGAGAAACTACAGCACTTAGCATTTCTGGGCATTAACTCTTATTGCCTAGGCACCAAAAGTTGGTTTAAAAATGCTAAAATTATTTAAGGTTTTAAACTTTCTTTATAGAGTTCTAAAAGGACAGTAAATAGATATATATATATATATATATATATATATATATATATATATATATATATATATCTTTTTCCTTGCCAGGCATATTTAGATAAATCCAGCTGATTTAAAAATTAACTTTTTAGAACTTAACTTGATAGTTACAAATGTTTTAATTTTTGGAAGCCATTACATGTTCATTTTCCTTTCAGCGTTAATTATCCATAATGATCTCCACTTATCATATACTCTGGAGAAAACTATATTTGTTTACATTTTCCAGTGCTTTTTAAAATAAAAATAGTTTTCACTATTAACAATAATGAGAAGGCTTTTCAATTATTAAAATCTTGGCATTTTTGAAGATTTGTCTCAGGCTATTTTAAATAGAAAGTTCTAATGTGAATAAAACTGTTACATAAATTCCCCAAATAATAGCTTAATTACTTATAAACTCTGGAAACAATTAGTTCATCATCCTTTGAAGTGAATAAGGCAACTTGCCAGGCTGCGAGCAAAAACGCTTGTCACTTTTTCATGTAATGAGCTTAGTTTCTTTTTGTTATTTTAGATTATTTTGAAAAGGAAACTCGGAGGAATACACTTTAATGTTCAAAAGATTAAAAGTTGAATCACTCACTTCATAAATAGCCTCTGCAACAACACTTAATAAAGTACCGAAAGAAATATTGAAGGCTCTGAAGGTTATAATTTATGTTCTTATGGAAATCATTGGAACAGATAATCTGGTTCAAAGATAAAGTTGTGCTTGAATGACACCAATATTGTAAAAGATTGACGAGGATTGTCCTCTCTTTCAGCCTCATAATACCATCCTTCACACAAACCACCAAATTACAGGAGCAGCCCCTTCTCTTCCCGCTCGCAGCTGCTCTTCACTTTCTCGCCTTACCTTCCTCCCCCATCTGCTACTTCTTGCTGTCTCTAGGTCTCCATCTCCCCACACGCACCTCCTTCTCCCTCGCCCCACGCGTCTGGCTCTCCCATCTCCCCTGAACCCCTCTTTTTCATCGCAGTTCTTCACTGTCAGGTGTTTCCCCCCGACTCTGGCCAAACAGATCAAAGGAAGTTCTGCATGTAAGTGGTTATTGTGAGACTGAAACACTGTATGTCTGAATATTATCCAAAAAATGAGGAAGAAAATAAGAAGATCGGAAGAGGATGCTGACTGACTTCGTCTTGGCAGGTTCCGGATCTGCCTGAGTGGTCGCAGAGTGCAGGTGGGGAGAGCAGTTCTGGGAGGCCGCCCCCTTAAAGGCCAGCCGGTGACTATGATTGCAGCCAGGGCGTCAGGTGGAACCTACACCTGAGGCCGCCAGCTCTCTTCCGACCTTGGCGGTCAACGAGCAAGGTCATCTTTAACTCCATCACCTGGCCAGGGGGGTGTTTACCTGGCTCCCAGAGAGAGAAACCGAGGGCCAAGAGAGGCGGGCATGTCCCAAGGTGCCAGGAGGGCTCCCCTTGGGGTCCATCCGGCTGGGGAGGACCCATGCCAGATCCGGGACAGTAAACTTTTGGACCATTGTGCATATTTCAAAATGATATTAACATACTTCCTATACTGCTCCCCTACTGGAAGTCATAATTACAACTCACCCTTCTCTTTGTCCACCAGAATCGCTTTGAGCAGTCCCAGCAAGTCAACCTACTTTGGGCATGCGTTTTGCATTTTGCAGTGCCCCCATCCCTCCCCAGACCTATATGTCAAGGAATAGGGAGCTGAGACATGACACGTTAATGTTTTTAACAGGGGATGCTCTCTGCTCCCACAGAAAAGGAGGGAGACCCTGAGGAGAGGGCGGCCGAGAGGGAGAGGGAAGGAATCACGGCGCCACTCCTGCGGAAATTCATATTCCGTGTATGTTCCTCCGTCACCTGAAATAAATCCTGCCGGCCTACCCACACAGACCCAGCAGCACTTATTTATTTGCATGTCATGCTTATAATATGGTAGAAAGCAAGACGGATCTTCGAGGAGGGGAGGGGATGAGGCTCACCCTTCAGGCTCACTCTCTTAAATAAAAAAGAATTGACCGGCTGGGCGCATAAGAATTTATCTTGAGTTTGTGGTCATTATCTCTATTATATAGCCCCGGCAATAAATAAATCGGGTAGTTACTACCCAACAATAAAACTGTAGTGTATGGGACACCTTACTATTACTTTCTTAATAATCTGCCGTTTCTTTCACTTTAAATCTTCCCAGTCATGTCTTCACACTCGTCTACAAGGATCTATCTTCACCCCTTGAGGTACCAGACCGCTCGGATCATTTTTATATGTTGTGAACACAATAAGTTTTCCTGCCTAGACTTTCTGTTTTTCCTCCTATTTCTAGGCTGCCTAATCTGCTTCAAGACAAAGGGTCGGCCCAGATCAAATGTGTTTTTTCCTCCTCTCTATTTCAATCACGTTGGGCGTCCAAGTTAATGAAGATCGCCCTACATGCGGCAGCCAGCTACGGGGCCGCTAGGAAAAAGGGAGCAACGCAGGGTCCAGGAGACCCAGTCCCGGGAAGATGATCTGTGCTTCCGCGGTGGGCACGCCCTTGGGCGCGCGCGGGGTCCAAAGGCCGAGTTGGAGAAGCCCTGCCTAGGGTAGTTCTACCTCTCAAGACCCTCAACCCTATTCTTGATTGTGTGTGTGCCCATGGAGGGATTTCTGGGGGTCTTGACCCCTCCTACTTCTCGCAGCTCGCCCCCTGACCCGGGCACAGCGCGCTACCCGCGGACGCAAGCGCGAGCAGCGTGGACCCGCCAGAGAAGTCGGTCCTCGCTCAAGTGCGGGCTCCCCTGCGTCCGCGGTCATTAAAACCTCACGAGGGGGGCTCGGCCTAGGGAGCAGACGCATGGGTAGGAGTTGGGGAGGGAGGCGTCCTGAAAGGTTCCCAGACCCGCGGGCTGGGGAGAGAGCCTCTGCGCTCACACCTGGGGCTCGCCTCCTGCGCGCAACTGTTAGTTACGCGGCTCCCACCCCAGTTCCTACTGGCAGCCAGGCGGGAGGCGCAATCTGTTCGGAGCCAGAGCCTTGCAGAGCCCCAGGGCCCCCAGCCCGCGGGGAGAAGGAGCCTAGCCGACGTCCGGCCGGCGCCTTCCAAAAGCAGCTCCACATTTGCTTTCACGCCAGCGCGGAAAGTGACCCGTCCCCGCAAAGCGGACAGCAAATGACCGCCTCATCCGCGGAGCCACCCCGGCAGGGCGTCTGGGGAGGTGCGCGGGGAGACGAGAAAAGGGACAGTGGGGCGGCGGGGAAAGAAAACAAACAGACCTGCATCGCTCCCCCTTTTGTCTTTACACTGCTTATCTCAAGAAATCAACTCAACAACACTCAACAACAACAAGCTGCCACCAAGCTTGTTTTTGTTTGTGTGACTTAGATCACAGATAGAACTAGGGACCAAACCTCCAAGTGTGTGTGTGTGTGTGTGTGTGTGAGAGAGAGAGAGAGAGAGAGAGAGAGGAGAGCCGCAGCGAGGCTACTGATGGTGAAGGGACGGTGAACTTCTCACCTTTCTTCAACTCAGAACAACACGTCCTTTAAAAAAATTCCGCACCGCCGAGTGTGTGAGTGTATGTGTGTGTGTTTCGCTGTTAATTGCATTTTGCTGGGATGATCTTTTACGACTCGAAAACAAGCAGCTGGGAAAATATTCACGTTTGGGACAGAAAACATTTTTTATTTATATCTTTGACATTTAAAAGAGCAGAATTAATTTGTCCTGTCTACATTAGCATTGAGAGAAAGTTTCAGAAATCTACCCGGGGGGAAAGGGAGGGGGGGAAAAGAAAAAGAGAAAAAAGAAAGCGAAGAAAGGAAAAGAAAAGCTAGGCTTGGTTTTTCTTATTTCAGATCTGTAATCAATCATTGAAATAGGAGGCAGCAAAACTGTAAAGATTCGATAGATTAAAATGCAAATGAAAGGTAGAAAAAGAAACATTAACATGGCGATCAAAGATTTAATAACCATAAATCAAGTTTTTTTTCTGTTGCAGCTGCAGTTTGTGTGTTTATGTTTTAATCATGTTCGTTCCATAAATAAATAATTTTGAAACGAGACTAATTTTTCATTATTTTAACAGTGGGCTACAACACTAAATATTAAAAATAGAAAGAGTATATGATGCAGATCCCCAACCAAATAAGAGAAAGACTTGTGTTGATTGGTTAAAATCAAGGGGTTTCAATTTTATGTTTTGAAAATCAGAGTATTATGCTAAAAAATTCTATCTTAACTGACAAAGCCCAAAGTTTTATTTTCTCTTTAATATTTTATGTTAACGACAAGATACCATTTATATTAAATATATGCATGGCTACGTATCCATTCCAGTCTGAGCATTTTCAAAGAACGGAAGTGTCAGAATATTAAATAATACAAACATATATTATTTCAAAGTGCCTTGACAGAATTTCTGGAAAATAATACTCTTTAGGATAATCTGCCTTCCAGAGAAAAAAGTGATGGTTCAACACAGTTAAAACTTTTCTAGCTTTATTATTAAAGTTATTTTTCCAAGGGGGAATATTTTAGCCGTTTGTTTTATTATTCAATTTAAGGTTTTATGTCAATGTGTCAAATTATCAGAGCACACTCTAAGTACTCATTTTCTCAACTATAATGAAAACTTTTCATTTAGATCTTTTTATGTAAAACATTAATTTATATCGTTAATTTAGAAGTATCTAGAACTTAAAAAATAAAACACCTGAACTTAGTTTCTCTCTCTCTCTCTCTTTCTCTCTGTCAACATCTTATTAACATAGAGAGGACATACATTTTCAGAAAATTTGAAACTTTTTTTTTCTGCTAATACAGACTTGCAATGTTTAAAATAAGCTTTTTGCTTAATTCTGCTTTTGAAGGAATGATTCCCCCTAGTATACTAAAATGATGGGTTAGAATTGTTTCAATTTCTCCTCTTTCCACAAATGATCACCAAATATGGAATACATATTTCCTTTCTGAAACCTTTAAGTTAAATGTGAGCTAAGTTTATGTCCACTCGCCGCCCCCCGCCCCCCCCCCCGCAGCCGAACAATCACGTTTTCACTGTGACAGTCCAATAATGCATTTAGTTTAAAATTACAATTACACTTGGACCTTTTCTCCTTTGTATTTTTTCATTTACTTCAGTGCAACAAGATGACTTGATTTCCATAGGATTACACGAACTCTATTCAGTGTTACTGGGATATTTCTGCTCAACTAAATGCTTGCCTTAATAGACAAATGAACTTCTTTTTATTTGCTGGAGTTTGTAGATGGTTTTAGATAACAGTGTGCAACTGATTTAGTTATTGTTGTTGTGAGAATCGAACAGCCACAAAAGTCATTTCTCTAAACTGAAGAGATATGACTCTGTAAAAAGGAGAAGCAAGGGCAGAATCATGGGGAATTATTTCAGTTTATAGCTATTATTAATTAAACTGGATGTGGTTTTATTCTGATCTTTTAGTACCGACCTTGTTAAAAGCTCCCAGCTACCTGCCTTTTTCCCCTCATCCCCAATTTTTTTTCTATTTATTAGGACTCATGTGGATTGGGATTGCCTTTTCTGTATTATATTACCAAGCAGTTACAGTGTAAAATCTCATGCACCTTCAGACGATCGCACCCCTCCCAGGGGGAAAAAAAAAAAAGAAATGCTTTTTTTTCATTCAGTTTTAGCATCTTGTTTCGTTGAAATGCAAGACAGGTACTTGATTTAGCATTTAAGCAAAAGGTTACACAAACCGCGTTTTAGAAAGTGTTGGGATGTCCGACAGGGTCAGCCCTAGATCAGATCATTTTTTGAATGCAGACCTAAAGATAATGAGTACTTGTTGTATTAAAGGGGACAAACAGTACTTTGGCTTCCTCTGACCCCAGAATGCACGGCTCGGTTTCATTGATCATCCTCCTTTATGAGATAATGCAATTACAAACATCAATAAGGGGCTGCAAGGGGAATCATTATGCGGTGACAGTGATAAATGACGGTGCAGAAATAGCATGCTTTTCCCCCCTAACAATCCAGGAGCCCAGGGGCTCCGGGGGCTGAACACAGTCGCCAAGGAAACAGATGACATCCCAAACGGCACCAAAAGAAAAAAAATGAACAGTCTTTCTTTGCCTTTCACTCTTTTCCGTCTTCCAAAGAGTTAGTTTTGGCTCAAGCAGCAGCTGCTACACAAGGCATTTCGTTATTTCAAACATTAAAGACTGGAACGGGCAGTGGGAGTCTCCTCCCCTTTCATCCCCACCCCCACTAGATAACACACAAAGCTCGCTGTTCACAGTTTAGGACTACCTGAAAATGCACGTCTCAAAAATCAGATTGGGATGGGGTGGAGGGGCGTCGGGAACGTGGATTTGCACAGCCCTTGCGTTGTGTTTCCCCTGCTTTTGTCCAGTGGAAACTGAGTCTCCAGAACAAGCTGGCGCCTCGCGGGTCGGCCAGTAAGGGAACGGGTGCGCGTGGCTCGCCTCCATCTCCCCGCAGTGCCAGACGCTGCTCTGTGCCAAGGCGGGGGCTGAGGAGCAGGCGACTGCTGGGGGTGTTTGCTGCTGTGCTGGGTTTCTTTGGGATGGAGTTATCAATGGGCGCAGAGATCGTCCCTAAATCGAGAAATCTGGTTCTTTAAAGCCTCAGGGTGCCCTCAGCAAGCGGCTTCAAAAGGGCCTCACTGAACATTCCCCACCCCACCCATGCCCAGAAAGGTGGGCGAGGTAGATGGGCGCAAAAAGGCGTCGGGCTACCAGACTTCTGCGACGGCCCTGAGGCAGCGGGGGACTAGGAGAGGGGCAGAACCTCTGGACACTAGGTGGAGAAGGGGAACTTGCCACTTTGGGGGAGGGGAGGAGGAAGAAAGAGTACTGAGATGTGAGGGAGGCCTAGGAAGAAAGGCAGAGGGAGGGGAGAAGGAAAGCAAGCAAAAGCAATCCCACCCTTACAGGAGGTCGTCACCCCGCAGAAAACAGACACAGGGTTTCTGACCCCTGCCCGGTCCGCCTCGGCGTGGAGCTAGGGACCCCCGCTCGGCGCTCCCTGCCACACACGGCCCCCACCGGGAGGAGCGGGCCAAGCGGGTGCCTGAAGCAGGTGACTTTATTCACTGCTTCCCCAATCGGCGAGGTCCCGGGACTCGTTTTCCGCCTGGAAATTAAGATCATTGCTCGCGTAATGACCTTAATGCTTTAGGGTAGAGGTGAGTGTGTCTGCGAGTGGGCAGGGGTAGAAATTACCGACCCGATCGATGGGAGACTGGCTTAAAACTAAATCCCTTTTCTCCAGGGCTGCACCGCCCGGGTTTCCCCTCAGTGGGCTGAGAGCGCCGGGATGTCAGGAGGCAGCGCGCGGAGGGGTGACCCGTGGGGCGCGGCAAGCCAGAATCAAGGCCCTAAAAATGCTTCCCCCATCTCCCCACTGAGACCCCCAGGGTACTATTTTCAGAGCAAAGGCGCTTTAAAGCTCAAATGTTGGCGAACTGATTGCTCAATACGTTGTTTGTTTTTCCTTTCAGCTCCGCCTAGGGAGAGAATGTTTCAGACTCCTTGGCGGGTAGAGCGGGCCGAAAAGGGAGCCCTCCCTCTCCCAGCCATCAGCTGTCTTCCTCAGGTCCCCGACCCCACCTTTCTCGCTCACTACTTTTTCCCCAAACCCTGGGATTCCCAGGCTCCTGTAGTCTCCGCACCGTGGCCACCTTAAGTGAAACGCGCCGCTAGCAGCCAGTGGGTAAGGCATGGCATGGGAGACGAGAATGAGACAAGGAAAAGTGCCCAGCCAGGCAGGGCGCCCCACTACCCAGTTCCACGCCTCTCTCCATCGGCGTCCAAGCGCCTACCCGGGAGCTTTGCAGCATGAAGTTACGTTTTTACTGCCTTCCGGTGGGCCAAGGGCCTGAGGGTATCCGAAAGGCTGGGGAAAGTTTGCAGAGCTTTTAAAGTGATCCTGAGGAGCTTCTGCCTAAGGCGTCGGGGTGCTGTCTACGGCTTCCCGGCTGCGGCTCCAGACTCGGGCACTCTCCTCCCAACGCCCTCCTAGTGGGCCGTGCACGCGTTCCATGTGCCCTCCAGCCCCCAGGCTCTCTGGGTCGCGCTCCCAGGGCCACTATGGGACTCTGGAGTCTGGGGCCCCCGATGTGGCAAAGTCTATTAGGAAGTCTCCAGGCTACTACAAAGCACTCCGTGAGGTTCCGAGGAAAGAGCGCCCGGACCTGCACCCAGGAGGTGCCTCTCCACAACCTCCTTCGCAGACCCCTGGTCGCCCCATCTCCAGAGACAAAGTCAACAGTCCCTTAGACTAGACTCAGATGGGGGTGAGGGCAGGAGGGTAAGGCAGGCGCCCGTGCAGCCCCCCCACCCCCGCCACCCCCCGCGACCAGAGCTGTGGTCTCTGGGCAAAGACCTGCCCGCCCACGCACTGGGGCCTAGGCCGGGACCCAGCGCATCGAGGGACTCAGGGGTAGCACGTCCTGGCTGGAGCTCTGCGCAGTTGCCCGCTGGATTTCCTCTCGGGGCACGGAGCCGGGCCCAACCCCAGGACTGGAGCCTATACCCTTCCGCTCCTCCCGCAGACTTGGGGGACACTGCACACAGCAACTAACCCCGATCGCAAAGTCGAGCGCGAAGTCTGCACGCCGCGTGGGAGACGCGAGAGGGAGGGGGAGGGCAGGGCTTGCGTTTTTCCTTTTCAGAATCCTTCGACTTCACTACGAAGTTTGCTGGTAGGCGCCTCTGCTCCGGGGTCGGAGCCTCCCACCAAGGCTCCTTCCCCTCCCCTTCTCCCCGCCCCCGCGAGCCGAAGCAGCCGCAGCCTCCACCAGGACCCGGCCGCCCGCTCGATCCCCCTGACCCGGACCCTGCGCCCAGGTTGCAGCGCCGCCCTCCCGGCCTTGCCCCCGGGCTCGGCTGGGGGCTCTTTTCCCCGGGGCGAAACTCGCCCGCCTGGCTCACTTCAAGGAGACACCCGCTGCCTCCCGAGGAACTCCTAATACCATCCATACAGCTTTAATGCGTTTATAATTCGATAAGTGATTTCAATTTGAAATTGTTAGTAACTAATTTTATGGGTAATTTTTCCACATCAAATATTTAAGCATCAGATTAAGGGAGCCAGTTCCGACACTGGATAATAAGGGGGTTTCCCCCACTCCCGCGCCTCCGCCTCCCTCCGTTTCCTACCGAGTCGTTTTTCGAAATCCCCAAAAGATGGCAGTCGAAGCCGACTTTCCTCTTTTCCTGTGGCTCTGCGAAGGGAGGGGGAGAGAGGAGGATGGGGGAGTGCGAGAGTGGGGGGCGGAGAGAGAGAGAGAGACAGAGAGAGAGAAGGAGGAGGAGGAGAAGGAGAAGAAAAAAAGGGGGGAGAGAAAAGCTAGACGGTGCATGGACTTTTCAGACGAATTCTTTCACACGTTTCTAATACAAGCGAAAAGCAGTGGTGAATTTCCTGGAAAAGTCCTGGCAGAAATGAAAGCCAAAAAACGTGCCTTGTGGCCTCAGGGTACGGGATGTGAGAAACTCAGCACATTCAAGCTAAATCTTCATTTTAGAACAGGAGAGGGAGAGGGAGACCCAGAGAGGAACCGACTCGACTGACTTTAGGGTCTTTCTTTGTATTTTAACATTGTATATAAATACTACACAACTAGGCAACGTGTTTCCTCGAGGACTGGACTCTGCGAATTACATAATGAGGGGAAAGAGGTAGGGGTGGGGAAGGGGAAGGGGTGGGGGCAGACTGCAGCGGGCGGAGGGGAGACTGGGGCGAGCAGCGGATGAATTGCAGACCAGTTGCCAAAACTTTTTTTTTTTCCCTGCTGCTGCTGCTGCGGCTGCCTTTGCTGCTGCCTTTGCTTTGAATGTGGGTAACTAGGAAACAGCAAGCCGTCTGAGAAGACGGAATTTCCAACGTGTAAAATGTTCTTAACGGAACCATTGAGCGAGTGCAATAAGGCGTGAGGGGGAACTAATCTTCCCATTTAAATGTTTGTGGCAATTTTATCTAAATGAATTTTAATGCTAAACGAGGGTAATTCCCCATTTGTAGCGCGTTTACTTCTCTTTCCTGTGCTTCTAAAGCAGTCGAACATCATGCAATGAACAATAACAATAAAAATACTGTCAAGGCATATTATTCATTTTGAATGTGTTATAATTACAGCTGATTAAATATGATAGGGTAAAATATTTTTAATTTTTTGAAAAAAAAATTTAAATCATATTAAAAAGTAGTCTCATTCAGCCAGAGCCAGCCCCCTTTCCACCCCCCCCCCACCCCCCCACCCCCCCACCACCAAATAAAAATAAAAACCAGGTACAATTTTGTGCCCTTGTTTAGAGGAGGGCGTTTTGTTTTTGCCTTTTAGGAAACATCAAAAACACTCTCAGCACCTCTATTATTTGCCTCTTTCGGATAAGTGTCCTCAATAACCTTCGAGCTGGCTCTGAAATTTACAAGAGGAAAAGCTAAAATAGCATTAAGAGGGGAGGGCATCGAGGCAGGGGAAGAAAGGAACTGCGAAGAGCGAGGCTCTCACCTAAATGGCTCACAGAGGGGGAACTCACGGAAATAGCAGTTTATTTTTTCTAATTCCTGGACACTGCTGATCTCGATTCTTCAGAGTCACCATATTCCCTAACTACTCTTCACTTGTAAACCTCCCTCCCCTAGCGCCTCTCTCTTTCTCTCTGTCTCTCCCTCTCGCCTCTCTCCCTCTCCCCACCACACCTCCTCCCCTTTCTTTCCCTCCCCCACCCATCCTGAGCCTCCTCAGGAATAAAGGCTGAAAATAACCAACTCACCCGGGCATGTACTGGAGAGGAGGAGCAAATAGACAGTTTATAAAGTTTATTATTAATTGTTAAAGTAAATAAATGGTTGTTAACTGCTAGCAACCACCTATCAAAAGAGAATGATTTCACTCACATCGACTATTTAGGTAGAGGAAGAATTGCCACTAGGTCAACAAGGGAGATTTAAACAATCCCATCTATGGGCTGGGGAGGGGTAGAAGCGCTGCCAGAGATGGCTGCAGTAGGCTGAGCCTTGCTCTCTGCGCATCCACGTGTTTAGAAACAAGGCCCCATCAGCAAAAGGTGAGAATGCATTGCTACTCCAGCAGGTGAGTCAGTCAATCACACATCACCTAGTAAAGCCAACCCACAGCTGGTTTCTCTTTTCGAATAGAAAATAGAATTGCTAAGGGCCGGTTTATAGGGTGACTTGGGCCTGAATGTCAGACTTGAGTTTAAGGCTCTCTCTCCTCCGACCCATCCTTTGTTTACAAAGCAATCACTACTGAAAGGCTTATTTTTTAAAACGAATTTGCCTTAATTAAAATATTTGTATATTTTCCTTAGCTTTGGGAAGCACTTTTTATAGCAGCAATTTTATTTAAATAAAATTATAAGCTATTCCAGCTTAAACATATTATTTTCTACCATTTAGCCGGCTGCCATGCAGAAATCTTGTACAGCTGTTCTGGAAAATTGGTTAATAACCAGTTTTATCCAATGAGAACATAGAGCATATTTATAAAAATTAGATTTTGAAGTCTGGTCTCTTCAATTCATGTAGTTAATTTCCTAATAAACATATACTGCTCATCCTAGGTAACATCCTTTAGTAAAAGACTTAACTTTGTACTTAGGTTTGCCTTTATGTGCAAGAATAATTTCACTGATATTAGATGAGTAATTCTGTTGGATGTAATTCTGAGTCTAGAGTTAGTTTAGTGCCTTTAGGCCTCAAATTTGCTGATATTAGGAGTTCATTAAGTCAGCTTAAAGAAATCAGTGGTTATTATTAAACAACTTACTTTGCGGTTAAAATTGTCAAATACATATATGGCTTAGGGAGCCAAAATTAATTTTTATATTTACTGTATTAATCTTTAAAAATCTGGGGGGCAGTAAACAAATTTTTCAAGCAGTGGAGTCAGCATGACAAAAATAATCTTGTTTTTATTTTAGATTCAGATTTCATTACTGCACTCAAACGACTACAACTGGGCTTGGCGTTATTATACAATCCAAACTGTTTCCATCAGAAACGCTAAGACTCAGTGTGCAATGATTGTTATTAATAATTAGCTCCTTGGTTTCTTGATAGAAAAAGGCTATCAACAAGCATTTGTTTATCCACAACAAAAAGTATAATTAGCTTATCCCACTTAGTAAATCTTGTATGCATGCCAACTCATACCAAACTGCTACTTTTACAAAAAAAAATTGCAATAATACAGTTCATTTTTCCAGTCCTTTTTGCACAAAATTTATTTACAATGTCTACATAAATGCTCCAAGGTGGGACTATGAAAAAATACACACATGACCGATGCTTTGCTCAGAAATAAAGTCAACATATTAAAAATAAATCTTCAGTCTATGTTTTAGAGCTGCTTAAAACAGGAAGTGATGTATAAGGTGGTGGTTGTTGCATGGGGACAATGATGCTTGATGTGACAATTAGGCTTCTAAACACACGGCCTTTTGGTTTCCATGCCTCCTCCTACCAGTCTCCTTAAGACACTGCCTGCAACAGCTGATTAATCATTGTTGATGACTGCAGTTTTTCCCATCCTTCCCGATTTACATCTGTTCAGGCCAATTCAAATATGGTGAGTAAATGAATTAGACATGCAAATTCAAGCCCCAGGCTAGAAAGAGGGAGAGAGAGGAAAAGAGAGAGAAAGAGAGAGAGCGCGCGCATGGCTGAAATCCTAGGCGAGAAGAAAGATTCTTCTGCCTGATAGTTATTTTAATGCTCTAAAAATCCTGCAAATCAGACCTTCCTGTCCCTTGCAGGATAACTGTAAGGCTTTTTAATGTAAGGAGGCTTCTGGAGGAAGTGAAGAGCTATGGAAACAACACACATAGTGTGGAAAAATTTCACATTTTTTTTAAAAAATCTATAAGAAACAACGTAATATGGATAACAGTATAATAGCATTTACAATATTTCACTCTTTGTTCTCTTAATGTCTTATATAGTTATTTAGCATGTCCCCCAAATTGACTTCAGTTGGTATTTCCTGCTTTTTAAAGGTCCCTATGAAGAATTAGGGATGCTCCTTGGTCCAGAGTAGATGCCAAGAATGGAACTCCACAGTCATTGCAGAAAAAACATGATTTGAAATCAGTCACCATTGCAGACAATGCATATTCCCTTAAGCTACTGAGCATGAATGTCCATGACTTGTCCACTCATTGTTGGGTCTCCTGTATTAAGAACTGTGGGGCTTGATGCTGACATTGGCATTCCAGGGTGGGGCGGTCCTCCATGCATCATCACTGTTGGGTGGTGAGGGTGTCCAGGAATGTACGTATGCATGGGGGGCCCATGACGCAGCTGAGCAGGATGGGGGGGCATCTGGGGTTGGGTATAACTTGGCTGTCCCATACTCACACCCATTGGACCACCCCGGGCTACATACTCCCCTGGCATACTTTGCAGCCCTGTAAGAAATTCAAAAGAAAGAAACAAAAAGAAAATGTTATGAAAAAGCAATAGTGTGGTCCTGGCTATGACAATCCTATAAAAGCCAGAGAACCCTGTGATTAAGGGAACATGGTTTTGTAAAGCATTCTTTTGATTCATACAGAAGAAAATAAAATGAGAAACATCATGCTGGAAACTCACATTTTGCCACTATTTTCCTTTCATTGTCACTGTTATCAGGTCCGCCTACTGAGGTCTTATTTATTAAAAAGAATAAAATTGTTATTTGAGGTCTGGTCTGAAGAAGCACTTTTGTCTCCTGAAATATTCTCTATCAAGAATACAAGAATACACTGAGCTGGTCACCAAACATCTCACAGGCAGCTGAACTACACAGGCTCACTAAGGGTGATTACTTAGCAAAACCTGTACTTAAAAAAAGAAAAAAATCAAAACAGTTATCAATGAATTCTTTCCACATGGTTTCTTAGAGCTGGGGAAAAGAAAATCTTCACAAAACACTGTCCACCTTATAATGATTTTGAGAACAATAAGAAAAATTGGACCTAAAACAATACCCCTCCTGCTTTGAGGGGGCCTCTTGTCTTCTGCATGGATTGCTATAGTTGATGGAAACTGACAGGTGTATTGTTTCTGAGAGCTATAAGCTCCATAATCATCAAGGGTGAAAGGCATAACGCTATTGCTAAGTAGGTTCAATTGGCTTTAGTTCTAAGTAATAGTGCACTGTGAATACGATGAACACCTTCGAATAAGGTCTCCAGGCTCTAACAATGAATGGCTGCTTAATCTAGCCTAAAGGAACATTTTTGAACTAATGAAAATTGCTTATAAAATATACTGTACCCACAGCTCTTTAATCAAAAAAGATGATAATTTTTTTTGTAATAACCTAGTAATTTAATTGGTCACGAAGCATAAAATACATCATTTAAATTTAATTGACCCAGAAACTAAGAAACAATATTTAAATTAACTAAGCTAGAGAATTCCATGATGAGGTAATAAGACTGTTGCATTCCCCAGCTCAATGGAATGTTTTCAGAGCTAATTGTTAAACTTATATTTGACTCACACCCAGAGAAGATGACCAGTACGAATTACCCCTGGCCTCAGCAGTGATTTTAAATAGTGCATAAATATAATCAGAGACACAAGCAAGACTCTGAAATAACTGCTTTTAATTTCAAAAACAAAGCAAGAACAGTGCTATTAGGGGTAATTTAGGAAGTGAACAAGAGCCTTGGTGTTCAAAACAGTTTTACTTGTTTGAACTCGAATTGCTGGAGTGTCTTTATAGGAGAGAAAATGCAAGAGTGAGAATCTGGGACAGTTTTCCTAGGCCCACTTCACTAGGCCTGCCACTGATGATTGCATTAATGATCTCTATTTTTGTATACTGAATAAGTCAAATCCATTTGTCACACTGCAAGTGATGGCATACTTAATTTGGATATAGTCAATTAGCCTGGGCTAAGCCCCGCAGCCTGCTGTGCACACCTCTATTTTGTATTCTCCCTTTTCCCATTGCCACACGTAATCCCATTATGATGGACAGACAAAGGAATAAACTAAGAAAAAAAATCAAAGTTTAGTTGACTGGAGCTCAAAATATGCCTTTACTTACCCTAAGTAAAGCTTGTGTTTATTTTACCTAAAAGAAGTCTCTGTTTAGCTTTTCGGTGTCTTGCAGGTTAGTGTAGAAATGTAACTCATGCATCAACTGCGGTTAGACAGATTTATGACACTTTGGGGACATGCTCTTCCCTCTCCTTGCACTGCTGCAGACTGCTTACATTTTGCAAATCAGTCTGTTGCTATGACAACCCACTCCCCCACCTCCTGACTGCTTCTTGTTTTGTCATGTGGTCAGTACTGTACAATAGCAACACACAGGATAAATGTACATCATACACAGTATTTATAAGCTTAAAAGCTTGATCACAACCAAAAAGAAAATGATGGAAGCAAGAAACCAGGAGTTTAATGGAAAGGAATGAACAAGCATGAAGCTATGGGCAAGGAGAACATAAGAAAATGCAAGAGGAAAAATATTCCTAGGACAAAGTGAAAACAAAGACCCCATTTGTACTTACTTCCCCCTTGCTTTGCGATTGGTTAACTAGATGAAGGTTACATGTAGTGCCACTGCCCCTCCATGCCCATATTCATGCCCATTCCACTCATAGGTCCTAGAAGGGAGATAAAAATCCAAGAAGAGGCCAGAAAATGAGCAAAGTCAACAGATAGTGCCAAAAGACCCTTAAAAAAAAAACAGGATCTAGAGGGTTGAGAAATAGTGAGATCTTCAGTGCATAAAGATCCTGGCTTCCCCTCTGCAATATCTTAGATGCACAGATAGCAGACAAGGCAAGGCAGCCAGCTTGAGATAACAGAAAAGGATGAGGCGGATTTACCTGTGTTGATGAGGGGATGACACTCTTGGAGTCAAAAATGAGGAACTACCACAAAAACAAAGTCTTACCTGGTGCTCTAATTCCCATATGTTGCTGACCGTCCATTACGAAACCTCCCATGGGCTGTCCATCAGGATTATAAGGTGTTCCTTGACTTACTACAAAAGTACAGAATGTGGTTTTTTAATAACAGTCTCTGAGAGCAAAAGAAATAGCCCAAGAGAGACTAAGAGGAGAACATACCAGAGAAAGAGACAGAACATAGCAGGCTAGTATAATTTTTTAAACATTCAAAGTGAAATTTCTCTCAGACTAGATCTACACACCTCTGTGACTGAGTTTTTAAAACATCTAGCTCAAAGAGGGAACAGTTAAGGTGTGGAAACTTTCTGCTTGGGTTTTGTCTGGTGACCACATAATGGGTGTTGGAAGAAAAAAAGTTACAGGAGTAAATGTGTGTTGCCTCAATGCGATGCTAACATAGTTTTCCATAGTGCTCCCTAAGAGATGAGAGAGTATTTCATAAAGAAAGTAAAGACTCACATCACCCCTAGCAAATACTCTTGTTATCTTACTGGCATATTATAATGCAAAAACAAATCCTAGAGAGATGTTTCTTGGATTTTTAGATCCACAAGCCAGGATCCCATAGAAGTATCGCCATTTTAAGCTCATAATTTAAAAACAAAACAAAAAGACTGTTATTAAAAAAAAAAAAAGTCGAACACCAGAAGATGGATATTAACAAGAGAAGGTCTGAGAAATAAGAACCATGTATTTATACCACTACCTGAATCCCGTGTTTTAACTGTACATGAAAAGCTGCTTCAGAAGTAAGCTGCCTTGGGTTATTAAAGCACACAAAAGCTCTACCTCATTGAATGTCTTTGAACTTTACTGAGTCCCACAAGCAATCCTGACCCCTTTGCCCTTTTGACAGGTAATAAAGTTTACAGCAATTCCACACCAAGCCATGCACCAGGGAGTGGTCATAGTAGCAGAAAGAGCTGGGAAGGCAAACTCAGAAAAAAAATAACATTAATATATTGAATGTGTACAAAGAATATTGTAACTGAGCATATTATTTAAGAGTTACTTTTCTCTGTTGGCTTTTTTTTTCCACCTTCTCCAAACGTTTTATAATGATGTTAAATTGATTAGTGTTGTTATGAAACGAAACTGGTTTAATTTTAATTGCCAGGCGTTCCTATACTCACTCCCAGTTTATTTACCAGGTAGCGGACCTCCCGGTGAATGGCTTGAGGATGGTTTTCGCTTGCGTGACTTGAATACAGTCACTATGGGGGACTTGCCTGCTCGGTTGGACTGGTCTATCATGGGCTGCACTATTCTTCTCCGGGCATTAATAAACCTGTAACCAAGAAAGTGAAACAAATCGTTATTCCTTAAAAATAAAAGGGGGGGTTGAGGAAGAGGAAAAGATGAATCGCAGTTGGAGTAAAACTAGATCTTGGCAAAATGGGACTCCTTCAGTTCTCTCCATTGCTCTATGTGCAGCCTCACGTGCTGGAAAACCTGTAACCCCCAGTGACCTTTGAGTACACAGGCTTGGGGTTTCTGAGTTGATTTATGTTTGCCTGTTTTACCACAGTTGGACACTTCCATTTCATCTTTTCATGGGGGAATTAGCAGAGTTTTCAGGAAACAATACTAGCCACCACTCCTTTCATTTGCAAAGAGAGAAAATTGGTGTAAAGAGTTAGATGCTCATAAGGGCATCTGTTACCTCTCCTAATTAGTGACATTTCAATCTTATGTTCTCTGACTTCTTTTGTACAATTTTTATCAAAACCACCCCTACCTCTTGCAAACCTAATTCTATTTTAATGCCCACTATTAAGATAATGAACTGGGATGGCAGCACACCATCAAATGAGAGAATGTCTGGAGTTTATCACCACTAACTCACACTGCTTAGGACTTCAGAGAAATGCATTCCTTGTAGAGATTTCTTGGGGTGGCTTTTTTTGTTGTTGTTGTTTTTTTTTTTTTTGCTCTTTATGTAAAGTCTGAGGTCAAGGCAAGGTCACAGATATACAGTAATTGAACTTATAGTTTTGCTTTCTCCAGCTAGTACTGAAAATTTATAAACATCTTATTAAGGCACTTAAGTTACTTTAAGTGCCTTAATAAGATAGTTTTGTACAATTATTTTTGTAGCCTCTCCAAAAGTGACAAGTCACTGACATGTAAAAAAGTATTAATATACGCTCTCCAGAGTCATACGCATGAGATTCTCTTAAGATCCGTTTGTTCTGCATAATATTAAAAATTACGTATCAAATCCAGAAAATGAAGAGGACATATTAGATTCTGAAATAGTAAATTCCTTTTAGTTCCCAACTCAGATCAAATCTGAGCAGGACATAAAAAATACAATGAAAAGTTTAATAAGGCTCTATTAATGATTAAAGGATCCATAGTCCAGTATGAATTCTAGTTTGTAAATCTGCCCACTTCAGGAAGGAAAATAGTTCCTAAAAACCAAACCATTAAACAGACAGGGACAGGTTTTCAAAACAAAAATGCATACTTCATAACATTTTAAGATTCTCAATATCCTGTATCCTTGTGTTCTTTCATTATCTGAGAAGTAATTGAAACAAATAATGAAACTAGAATCTAACTAAAAGGTATACTGTTTGTGCTAATTCTTGTTGGCAATACATATTATATCAGTTCTTGTATATGAAGTCCCTGAACTGCTAATAAAAATATTTAAAACACAGGTCTACAACAAATTGTGTTGCAAATCAGGTTATCATTATCTTGTATAAACCATGAAAACTGGAATCATGTGAGCAGAAGGTTAGATTAATTCTCCATTCTCATTATAAGCACAGGTGTAGCACAAACACCATGTGAAATAACCAATTAAAATGAAAAAAAATCTGTTTTTTCATTAGCTGCCTTCACTGCATGACCAATTAGAAAATTATTTAATATTAATATTCTGCATATACCAAAAGTAATTTTCATAGTAACTAATGTAGGTAAGAGAGCAAAAACATCTCTTTATCTATGGTACTGTTCATTATCTGCAGACTCTTAGAGGGAAGGAATTCTGTCTATTAACTTTCTTTTTCCAGACTTTTTAAAAACATAATCTTTTATGGATGTGACTTATACTACTTACCTAAAAATAGGAAGAGACATTTTTAACAGATGAGAAGCCTGGGCTCAGAGAAATTAGGTGACTTCTTTGAGGTCACATGTTACCAAAGAGATGTTAATAATTTGCTAAATGACACACAGCTGTCAGTGGTAGCAAGCACCCTCCTCCCTGGTGCTCTGGCACAGTGACTAGAGCACCGCAACTATAGTGCCACTCATCTAGAATATCCAGACTAAATAGATATATAAAAATTAGCTGGTTTCAAGCCAATTACCACTGGCAGCAACCCCAGTGTTTAGTCAAGGAAGAAGCATGACTGTGAACATTTTGTAAATTGAAAATTTTGATGGCTGCACTGTTTGTGTGTATAGGCAAAGATAAGGCTATTCAAAGAGAGAGAGAGAGAGTGAATACAGTGACTTGATTTATCTGTATTCCAAAACTTGTCTCCATCATATTCACATATTGAGACTCCCATAAACTAATTCATAATAATCAACTCAGGTTTGAGTCTATGACTATTAAAGTCGTGAGTTCATTTTTAAAAATTACACCTCAGGTTTCAAAAGGGCTGTAATGGTCACTTCGTTTGGTCACTGACATGAATCCCCTATATGATATCTGTCCCCCAAAAGTACATAGGTAACCTCTGCTGAACTAATACAGCACTCACCACCTTACTTAAGAGGCCACCCCATCTATAAACAAGGCTGTTAGAAGGTTCTGCCTTACTAGATCAAAAATATTTATGTTGGTGCAAAAGTAATTGCGGTCTTGCCATTACTTTCAGTGGCAAAAACAACAATTACAGGGGGAGGGGGAAGGGATAGCATTAGGAGATATACCTAATGTAAATGACGAGTTAATGGGGGCAGCACACCAACATGGCACATGTATACATATGTAACAAACCTGCACGTTGTGCACATGTACCCTAGAACTTAAAGTATAATTAAAAAAAAAAAAAACAATTACTTTTGCACCCAACCTAATAGTTTTATCAGCACAACTCCTTGGGGTACTGTAAGCAATTCTAATTTTACTTCCACAGGATAGCCCTTCAAATAGTTAAACATAGCCATTATGCTTTATAGCCTTCTCCCCTCTAATCCTTAGGTTAAACATTAGTGATTCTTAAAAAGTGCCTGCTAGAATGTGAGTCCTTCTAGGATATTGAGTCCATTCAATACCTGGACCACTCTCTGCTCAGTAGGCTGATCTTTGTCTATGTCCTCCTGAAGCCTTGCAGTGGACAACACCAACGACATTTATTCCAGGCCTGCTCTGATCCCCAGGTAGAAAGCAAATACACACAAAAAATACCACAGCCTCTTAGCCAACTGCCCACAGGTACTAGATGTTATTTGCTTCTTTTTGGTGGCAAGAACTGTTTGTTGTTATTAAGAACACAGATGTCAGCTACCCCTAGAATGTGTAGATATCAAAGGGGGAAACCTTTAATTAAAAAATAAAACATAAACAAAAACACTGAAAACCTGAGAAAAACTAATCACCTTTTCTGAGCTGTTTGACCACATTAGTAGGTCTACCTGCAACTTCTTACTTGTGAAACATTTAATTTAAAAAATTCAATATAATGAAATATCATTAGTACATATAGGATGTAGTAATCTCTCAGAACGTTACTGAATTACAATTACTACACTTATATGAACAACTAATTATTTGGGGTCATGATGGACATCTATGTGAAAACAACAAAGTAAATAGCAAAATATTTTATTTTTAAAACAACATCACCTTTTCGACCTTAAACAATCTCCACATTTGATTCTCTTTAGTGTATTTTATCATTATCCCAGACTATTTTATACATCCTCTCTCTTTGGAATTATGCTACACACAGCAGAGCCATGTTTAGATGGCTTCAGGGTGAATTCAGATACAAAAACATTTTCCTTCTGGGCAAAGTAATAAAATGACATTCTTGCTCCTCCCACTATAAGTCAAACTGAGGTCAGTTCCCCATCCCTCTATCTGTTTAAATAAATTGGTCCAGCTGTTTGTTTCTAAAATGCCCTTTGACCTTGTGTCTCATCCTCCCTGCTTTTGTGACAGAATGCTTTACTTTTCATTGTGGAAGAGTCTAAATTATCAAGAATTCTCTAAACACCGAACCAAAAAAAGAACTGTACATATGATGTGAACTTAAATGAACATATTGTCACTTTAAAATCCTGTCATTTTAAGAGGCATAAGTAAAATAGTTATCTTAATCCTATATGTATGTGTGTGTGTCTGTGTGTTCAAATATATATCTACATTTATGTATGAACACAAATATATATTAGAGATTCAACATAGAAGAAATAGTGTTTTGGAAGAGAAATATAAAAAAGAATGACAAAATTCCAATTTGAATATACTATAAAAAATACATTCTCCAACAGCCACAAAATGGTTTGAGATAAAATACAAATACATATCTATGAAATACACACAATCTTAGAATTTTCCATACTGATAAGGTCTCTTTTACAAAGTATGTTAGTTTAAAGATGTAAGAGGAAACTTTTGTACTTTTACAATTAAGGTCCTAATATTACATAGCCCTTAAAACTCAGATATGGAATGTCAGGAGTACACAGCCACATGACAGTTTTGCTCACTCATTAAAATAGATAGTTACACACCTTGGTTTAATGAAATATAATTCAAATTTGCCATACATTGGGATTCTTGAAAAAGTAAATCTTTTAGTATGCTTTAAGGTTAGAAAATGTCTCGTTTGCTTTTTCATTTACATTCGAACATAGGGTTTCTTAAAATCTAGTTTGCTTTGAAAACACAGTCTTCTTTTGTGAAGTACTTTTTAAGAATTGGACTCCCTGCAGGTGGTGGAAGACTGAATTAGGAGAAGAATCTTTATATTTCCTTTTTTTCATAGAATCATGAGTTAGAATTTCTTCTTCTGACCAAACTATCTCCAGTCTCAAAACAAAAAGCTTTACAAAGGAAAGGAAGATAATGGGTTTGCTCTATAGCTTTTTTTCATGTCCAAATAGAAATATATTTCTTTTTTACTTAGTTGTTTGTTTAAGACTCAAGTCCTAAAAAGCGAAAGAGGAAAGTTGGCAGGGGAGCAAAATCTCCAAAAATCTGAGACCTGGATCATCTAAAAATTGAATTTTATTTTGAATTTTTTATAGGAATCTGACAAGGAGAATGGGAAGTGACTGTGACTCATGTTTAAAAAAGAAATACAGGAAGTTTTGCTTTGTTCTTTCTTTTTTGTCCCCAGATGTTTATTTATCATTAGGCTTTTTTTTTTTCCACTGGACTAATTTCATCTATCTCCTTTTATTCTCAGTCTTTGGATACCTGAATAGTTTTCTGAGCAAGATCTGGCAGAACAGCTTTTTGAAACTGACCTTTGTCCTTTAGTTTATCCTCCACTCCTTTCCCTGGTCTCTTCCCCCAAAACTGAATTGCTAAGTTTAGTTTCCCTCTGTGAGAACCAGGAGAGGTGAGGAGATCACAGTGGGCATCTGTTAGGAGCCAAAACACAAGGTAGTTTCCCAGTTTCACAGGCAACATTTTCCACATACCTTTGCCCTTTTCCTCCCTTGTATGGCTCTCTGTAATACTGATAAAAGTAAAAAAAAAAAAAAAAAAAAAAAAAAAAAAAATTACTTGCTCACTTTCAGAAATAGCATTTTCACCTTTACTCAATTAGTTCTATTCCTCAGTGTTTACCACTCTACTTACTCCCTGATAATTAAAGGAAGCCCACATTTGGTTATGTTAGCATGCCACAGCCAACTTGGTAAACCACAGAAAATCACAATGGTGTTGCCTCCAAACAATGACATGGCTCTGCTTCACCCCCCGTCGTGTTTCTTGCCAACTAGGCGTAAGTGAACTGTCAGCAGGATAGTGGTGGACATAGAATTACTTCAGAAGGTTCCTAACTAGACAGAGAAATATCATTTTACAACATCTGCAAGTACCTAAGAAGCTAATCAACTATTAAGAAAAGATTTTGTTAATTAGTTAGATTGATTAGTGGCAATGCCTTCTATACCTACACTATCCCTTAAGGGAAGTGCTGATTATAATAATCTTTTATTAATATTTAGCTAGCGTTAGGAATATCTCTATAAAAACTTAGTAATAAAAATTAACACTGTGCATTCTTAAATATAAGATTTCTGCATATACTATTCTTTATTCAATAGAAAATAAACATGCACAGATGATAATTGATATATAATTCATTTTTGTGATTTCTATAAATATTTTCAAATTTTAGAATTTAAACCTCATGAAAAATCTTCAAATATAAAATTTATCATTGGAAGGTAGTTGTCAAATCCCAACATTTTGTTATTTTTTTATTCCAGGAATTTCCTCACCATAGCATTTCCTTCATCTATATCATAGTCATTTAAATAAAATCATATCTACTACTTTTTTTTAAAGTCAGCATCCCTTAATAACTTTTAAGGCATGTTTTATAAACAAACCCTCAGGGAAAGAGGTCTAGTTATCTCCCATGTAACTCTCTGTTCTTTTAAACAACAATAAAAAAATCACTCTGAAATTTTTCTGTTGGAACTCTTTATTTTAGATTTACATTTACATATTGGATTTAATGATCCATAACTGTTGGTCTTCAGAGTTCAAGTCTTCTACACTCCCTTTCTTTGTGAAATAAAATTTCATGAAACATGATTTTAAGATATTCAAGAAAGTTGATTCATTCTCAAGTCAAACCTTATGAAATCATGTTTTTGGCACCTTTTTCTAGTTTCTTAACCTCCTCCAGGATCCAACAGTTCCAAGATTGCAATACATCATCAGTGTGTCTGCGGGTAGGGGAGGTAGAGAACAGCGGCAGGAGGAGAATAGACAGGAGGGGAAAAGGGAGCACCTCTCTTCTCTACCCACTTGATAAACATAATATTGAAATTTGGTCAAATCATAAGAAGTCCATCAATCAGCCACATGAAAAGTTTTCCTTCTCTAACAGTGTTGGGGGTATTTGCCAAATTACTTTAGAAAGAACTGAAATTGTCTACCACAGTTGAGGAAGGTAATTACATATACAATTTTCTTTTCTTTTCTTTCTTTTTTTTTTTTTTGAGACAGAGTCTCACTCTGTTGCCCAGGCTGGAGTGTAGTGGCACTATCACAGCTTAGCAACCTCCACCTCCCTGGCTCGAGTGATCCTCCCACTTCAGCCTCCGAGGACTACAGTTATGCATCACCATGCCTAGCTAGTTTTTGTCGTTTTGTTTTTTTTGTAGAGACAAGGTTTCACTATGTTGCCCAGGCTGATCTCAAACTCCTGAGCTCAAGCCATCCAACCTCCTCGGCCTCCCAAAGTGCTGGGTGTGAGACACTGCACCCAGCCACTAAAATTCTCTTTAAAGCAGCTTGTGAAATGAACCAATCACTAGTTGACAATGATGATGCAAAGTAATATCAAAACTCATGTATTATTTTGGCCTTAGGCATTAAAATAAATTTCAAATAATTCATCACTTGGTATATATTACAGAAAATTTTCCTTGAAAGCAAATTTTGAAATGACTTCATCCTAAAAAAAAAAAAAAAAAAAAAAAGTGATGGCAGGGAGTTGTGGCTTATGCCTATAATACCAGCACTTTTGGAGGCCAAGGCAGGAGGATCATTTGAGCCTGGAGTATAAGATCACCATGGGCAACATGGTAAAACCCTGTCTCTACAAAAAATGTAAAAATTAGCTGGGTCTGGTTGTGCACACCTGTAGTCCCAGCTACTAGGGAAGCTGAAGTGGGAGGATTGCTTAAATCCAGGAGGTGGAGGCTGCAGTGAATCATGATCACACCATGGCATTCCGGCCTAGGCAACAGAATGAGACAGGGTTTATATTTATATTTAAGTAAACATAAAATATTTACTTACATGTAACAGACAATTTGCCAAATTTGAGTTTGTATAACCTTATGGAGCTAAAAAAAATAGTGGTTTAGAATATAGATTTAAAATGATTATTAGCACAATGTAGAAGCAATAGCATGATCTAGGATAATATAGCAAAACTTCCTCTACTAATGAAAAAGCTAAAATAGGTATAATAATGTCTTCAAAGAACAGAAGTGTCTCTCTTTAGTTTAATAGATGAACCATTTTTCATTTAAATTCCAATTTTTCCATATTCACAAGAAGTCAATAAAATTGAATCTAACAAAACATCCCTTACACATTACTGAATAAATGTATCTATTTAAAGCAAATTCTAGTTTTCTGCCAATCTCTATTATAAATATGATGAGCAGATAATTTGTCATCTAAACTGGGACACGTTTGAGAGTGAAGAGGCACTGTTAACAATTACACTGGGCAACAGGCATAAACCATGAGCCTCCCAGGAAAGTGGGATGCATGGTCACCTTAATGATCAAATATGTTTTATTTTCCAAAGAAAGTTTCCCCCAAATAATTTAAAACCCCGTTGTGTTAGAATGGCAACCAGCCCCCATATACATCAGGTTTTTTTGTTTACTTGTTTGTTTGTCTTTGAGACAGAGTCTCTCTCTCTCTCTCTCTCTCTCTCTCTGTCACCCAGGCTGGAGTGCAGTGGTTCGATCTCAGCTCACTGCAATTTCTGCCTCCTGGGTTCAAGTGATTCTCCTGCCTTAGCCTCCCTAGTAGCTGAGATTATAGGCACCCACCAACATGCCCAGCTAATTTTTATATTTTTAGTAGAGACAGGGTTTCGCCATGTTGTCCAGGCTGGTCTCAAACTCCTGACCTCAGGTGATCTGCCCTCCTCAGCCTCCCAAAGTGCTGAGATTACAGGCATAAGCCACTGTGCCTGGCCCTAATCAGGTATTAAAGAATCTTAGCTCCATATTGGAGTACCTTTGAGCTCCTTCCTTTCTCTAGGATCTTGCCTGTAGTTGCCTCAGTTCTCCAAGTCTTCAGCAACCATAAACCTCTAGACCTGGAGTCTCTGCTCATGTCAAGAGAGGATATCTCAAAATTTAGCTTGATTTCTAGTTCCGTCTGGTTATGAAATTAGGCTATAGAATGGCACAATGAAGATGATTTGACTTGAATGGAGGCTTGCATGCATCCTTGGAATGTTCACTGTGACCTCTGTTTTAATGAGTAAAGCTTGAAACCTAAGCTCTATGTAATAATATATGTCAATATGTAACCTGTAGACCTTTAAAATACAAATGGAAACACACTTAAAGGAAAACAATCTCTCGAATAAAGACAATAACATTAGCAAAATGACATCTTGGAATCTGTCAAATCTTTGAAAATGCTTATGGTCATCTAAGTCATTTCGAGGGAACTTTGTGCATTTTACTGCTGAGTTGCTGGATTTCAGTGTGACTATCCTTTTTCTTTTTCTTTTCTTTTTTTCTTTTTTTTTTTTTTTTTTTTTTTTTGAGATGGAGTTTCACTCTTGTTGCCCATGCTGGAGTGCAGTGGCGCAATCTCGGCTCACAGCAACCTCTGCCTTATGCGTTCAAGCGATTCTCCTGCCTCAGTCTCCCAAGTAGCTGGGATTACAGGCATGCACCCCCACTCCCAGCTAATTTTATATTTTTAGTAGAGACGGGGTTTTTCTATGTTCATCAGGCTGGTCTTGAACTCCCAACCTCAGGTGATCCGCCTCCCTCGGCCTCCCAAAATGCTGGGATTACAGGCGTGAGCCACTGTGCCCAGCCAACTTTCCTTTTCTTTGAACATCACTCGTAATTATCACAGTCAAAACACTACCCAGTGGCGGGGAAAGTGAGAGCAGTGTGTAGTGAGAAGAATATGAGAACTGAGTGGGAAAACTGCCACTCACCGGCAAGTTTTCTAGCAGTGTTTAGGTGCTGAAATTGGGATGATCGAATGAAAAGTGCTTTCCAAATTATACAAACCTAAGACAGGTCTTTGTTGCTATACTGTCATTCCCAAAAATACTTAATGGTACCAAAACTTGTATATGAACGCTTATAATGGTAAGAGATGAATATCAAATGCCCATCCACTGATAAATAGGTAAAAAAAAGATACCTTATATCCATACAATGGAACATTGCTCAGCCTTGAAAGGGAATGAAGTGCTGATAATACATGCTATGACATGGATGAACCTTGCAAACATTATGCTTAGTGAAAAAAGCCAGTCTCAAAATACCACGTATTCCATGATCACATTGGTGAAATGTCTAGAATAGGCAAATATAGAGACAGAAAGTAGATTAGTGGTTGCCAGGAGCTGTTGGAGAGAGAGACGGAAGTATAAAGAGGGGCAATAGCTAAAGGGTACAAGGCTTCTTTTTAAGGTGGTGAAAATGTCTTTTAATTGACTATGGGGATGGTTACACAACTCTGTGAACACACTAAAAACCATTGAATTAAATGGGTGAAATGATGGTTTATGAATTATATCTCAATAAAGCTGTTAAAAATAAGTACATTCTAGTGGACTGGAAGAAGCACTGGACTAGGAACCAGTCCTAGCCCTGCCTCTAATTAGCCCTGAGCCTCATCTGTCGTATGATGCATAAATTCCCTCCCTCCCAGGATTTTTACTTTATGGTTCTGTAGCATAGGGTTTCTAAAATTTTAATCCATGCTCCCTTTTGACACATCAAAAATCTTATATTCCTTTGTTATTTGCAATTTCAAAAGAAATAGCATGACTAAAAACAAAATTTAATTCTCGATATGCTTTTTAAATACTATATTCACTCAAAATGATTGTGACATGCTTCTTATGTGCCCCGCTACCCCCTCTCTGCGCCCCCTCCCACCCCGCCCCAAGTCCTGAGGATAGGAATCTCTGCCATAACCTACTATACTTTCCTTTCTGTAAACAGTATTGTCAGGTAACCAGCCAGGGGGCTGAGATCCTATATCTTTTTGTACATGTTCAATTCTTTCCATAAGCTTTTAAAACATCCCCCTACCCACTCCCCGGCCCTTTCCAAGTACATCTGAACTATGACCCAAACTAGCAAACAAACAAAGTCAACCACTGCAGATGTCCTAGTGATATAGGCCAACAAAACCCTTCAACCAGACAACAAACCTCAAGACTACTGGTTTGCATTTGATTTAGTTAGCATCCTAGAGTAAAAATACTGAAAACTTACATGCACGTGTGTATGTGTGTATAATTATATGGTGCATTAACTTCCATCCGTAGGCAACATATTGTTTTTGAAAAAAAAAAAAAAGTGACTTTATCAATATTAAGCCAGATCTCACCAAAGGCAGGACATTTATTTTTGAGCTAAGTTACATGTAGCTCCAATCATCTCCCCCAGACCTGGAGGAGTTAATGTGTTTGAAAAAGGAAATACTTTTCCCCTTCTTCAACCATAGGATCTAATCTTGTGAGGCACTGGTTAGTTAAGAGGGTAAAAAGGAAAAGAAACCTCTCAAATATGTCGGAACAGATTAATATTCTTTTGTTTATTTGTTATTGTTCAGGCATCAGGAGCATGAAAGAGTTAATTATTTTCCATATTAAGGGGTCAGGCTAAGAGCGTTGTAAGAATGAAAATAAAATAGACAGGAAAATATTAATGATTTATGAGGGCATTGAACAGGACAGCCTTATATTTGCCAAAGTTACAGGCATCCATGTTGTTGTAGGTTTTTTTTTGTTTTTGTTTTGTATGTCCTCTTTCCCCTTGAAAATCAAAAACGAAGCAGAACATAACCCTCAGCGTCTACAGAAAGCTCCTCGGCGTGCACACACTGGAGCAATGCAGACCGGATCTAAGACCAACGTTTGCCCTCGGAAACACTTCCTTCCCCCGAGCCCCTGGCTCCACTCCATTTTTCAAGAAAACTGTTCTATTCAACCAGGAGGCAACATTTGCCCCATTTTTTAATATTTCAGGCTGACTTTTTAACCACTCAAAAATGCTGTTTGTTTTCTGTAGGCACAGCCTGAAGCCAGATGATGATGTAAGTGAGAGGAGAGAGAGGGTCTCTCTGGGTACTGCGCTTCCGTGCTTAACGGTTAATCACCCAACACCAGCCTCAGCAACTGTTGACACAAAATAGGTGGAGATCAGGTCTGTGCAAGCAGAAAATACCAGAAAGGCAAACTATATGTAAACACACTTAAGACATATTTGACAAGAATAGACCTAAACCTGACTTGCTAGGAAACTACTAATGTCTAAAGCTTCAATGCCCCTCTTAGCCGAGTTTGTTTCCCCTTACAGAGCTTCCTTTGAGAAGATGAAGAGTAACATTTTAAAAACTAAAATACATTTACAGAAGACAGCTGAGACATTTGTCCCCTTGATTCACATAGTGAGTTTCAAATCTGCTCTTACATACAGGATTTATGGAATGTAATACGGTTCTTCCACGTATGCTTGGAGTGGAGCCAAATGAAAGAGGGAGGGGGGTTTGGGGGGTGGAGAGAGACGAGAGAGAGAGAGAGAGAGAGAGAGAACACGTACACACAACCACAATTCAAAAAGTTATTTCTGCTGACCTATAAAACTCATGCAAAGAAGCAAATGGATAATGCTTAAACAGTCTTTTAATCTTATCTAACTGACACCTGACAACCCATTACTTATAGATTATTAATGCATCCACTAAAAAGTTTGTCATGTTCAAAATTACTGGAGAAAAAGATTGAATGCCTGAGGAAAAAACAAATTTTGCTGTACAATAACTTCAGAAATTTCGAGCCTATTATCTGTCATGCCCTTCATAGACTCATAGCACACTGCTAAAAACAACTGATTTATCTTTATTATGAATCCTAAAATGACAGCACACATCTTTTTCATGTCTTGTGATAATGTTTAATTTCATCTAGTTTTTATTTTACAGTGTTTGATTTGCTTATGTAAGATGAGGAAAGTTACAACTACAACTTTTTAATTAATTTCTCTGTTTGTCTCCTTATCAAAGTATTTTTTTTCCTTCCCCACTCCTAGGATAAAGCTGGAATGAGAGTTTCAGAGCGCACACTTTACTTCTCTTTGATTCACATTATTACACAGTCTAGAATATTACAGCTAAAAGAGTCCTTTGAGTCCTGACTAATTCGTCCTACTTGTCCATTTTAAACCAGAGGACACTGTCGCCCAAATCCAAGGAGTAGGGATGAGGGATGAAATGTTTTGATTGCAGCGACCTGTCCCTGCATTTCCCCTTCCCATACTTGCCCTGTGTAAATTTTAAATTGTCATGAGGCTTACACCTTAGCCACCTATGGATGAGGCGTAGCCAAGCTCTTCCCCCTTGACCGTGACACCTCTCAGCCCCTCATCCCTATGCCCTCTCCAGGGAAATGGGAGTCAAGTCCTGCCCCATCGGGTTGCATGACCCACAGCCTGTTGTTTGCATTTCTCTGACCAGATACTTACAGACACACTGAAAACAAGAAGACTGGCTTAATTAGGATTTGCAACAAGTTGTGCTGACCTGCATACCATGTTCAAAGTCAACCTCCGTTGTCACTGGTTTCATTGCCTTGAAATGAATCATGGATATTCAGAAACATTGGGTCCCTGCTGGGTAAATCAGTCTCCCAACTCACTCAACTCTGAGCCTCACTTGAACCCCAACCCTACAGGGTCCCGACATAATTCCTCAGGTTGTACCAGCTGGATTGCAGCTTCCAGCTAGTGTCTTGTCCTCCTGAGAAGCTCAGCAACTGCCTTTGAATGCTGGCTGGAGGAGAAACAGTGGTTACACAAAACCATATTTGGACTTTCAAATCCACCCTTCCTACATCCTAGACCTTCATTTCTTTTCTCACCTAGACTTAGGGCCCCATGGTGGAAGGGGCAGGGTTTTTCCAGCCAGCACAGTGTTTCAAAGTGTACTCTTTCATAAGGAGCTTTCGTCTTTAACAGTATTAACGATGTGATTTTATGCAGTGGGGAAAAGCTCTGAGTAAACTTATGGTGTAAAACTTACAACAAAGTATATTTAACAGACTGCAGAGTCATTTTCAAAGAAGATTGTTTGTTGGAAATTTTTTAAATCTGAAGGAAAAAAAAAGCAGTGTCTCTGTTGAACTCTTAAGACTCTCTGACATGACAATACCTGAAGGTTTCTAAATTCACAGCTCTTTTCCCTGCGAGCTATTTGCTCAGCTTTCCTAATAATACCCTGCCTGTCTGGCGCCCCGCCAGCTCTGTCTCAGGCAATATGCAAGCTAAACATTTTTTGACTGATTTCAATATTTTCTTATGAGCAACTAGACAGTATTTTATCTAGTGAGTATTACTGATTGCTATAATCTAAGCCCAGAGTAAGCGTCTGTAAAGGTAATATTATTAGAATTGACACTCAAGGTGAAAAGCATAGCAATTAACCGAGGCTTGAAGAACAACAACCCATTCTGAAATATTCTGGGGAGTTCTTCCATTTATATTTCTCCTTTTTCTTTTTAATATACCGCACCTGTTACTCCATTGATCAATTAGGAAGTCTACTTTAAATGTAGGTTACACTTCAATTCTCAAGGGAAAAAGTTAAACCACCTGCTTAATACAATTACTTTCTATGTGTGAAGCTGTTCCATCCCTAGGTGATTCCTAGGCAAGGAAAATCACCATACAGCCCACACTTTAATTTTGTAGTTGAATAGCAAACAAGTGACCCAGAGCTTCTTGCATCGTGTACTGTTTTTTTCTTTTTTTTACATCTGTTTTCCTTGCTTTTGTGTCATACCTCTGTTTAACTTTATTGACAAAACAATCTGTGTCTAATATTCAAACAACATCTGTAAAATGTATTATTAAATTATGTTGGAAGAAAAAGCAGAACAATTCTATGAAACCCTATGACCCCTATTGATTTTTAGATCACAGAAGTTGAAAGGATAATTTGTGAATGTTTTAACATTTACATCTAAACAGGTACCTATATTTATAGAATCTTTGATTATTTGTAAAAGTATTTGCTATATTATTACCATAACTCAGAAAGAAACTTGACCTTTAACAGCTGAATCTGTTTATTATAATAAAGGAGATCTTATTTTTAAAAAATAAGTTTACATTTTTACTTGCCAGTGGCATAAATCTCCAAGGATAACATACTTTTTTCCCACTCATAATAAATGGGAAGTGATGCCTGAATGCTTTGCAGCTTTGAAAGCAATAAATGAAATAACTAGGAAAATCTGGTATGAGCACTAAATCTAAGAAATGTAGAGTACCATAGTTCTGAACAGTGTCATCTTGGCTGCTAGGATGGAACCTGGAATTTTATATGCTCTCTTGATGGAGAATAATTTTTCTCTATATATAAATACTGTATTTCACATACACTATATATTTTGCACCTAAAACCCATATTGCCTTCTCAGAGCATAAAGGGATAATCATTTAATATCAGAACTTAATAGGAAAGTGTTTGGATGAGGAGTAGTAAACAAAGAAACTGTAAAATGTATTCAGTACACCCTAGGCCAAAACTCTGCTGAGGCAGGAGGCAACTGAGGCATCCAGTAAGTACGACACAAGTACAAGAGATAAGTTTTCATCACAGGGAATTCCCAGGTCCGCAACACTGGTGTGATCATGTATAAGGGAATTTTTATCTGACCATTCTACACTCACATTTTCAATATAAAAAAATTAAGTTGGTCTATTCAGGAGAAAAAACAACCAAGTATTGATTGTGTGTGTGTGTGTGTGTGTGTGTGTGTCTTCCATAAAGTTCTACTTAAATACTTAAAGGTCTAAACAACCATCTAATCTCAAAATTTAAGATGTTTCTACTTAAATTACTAAAACATTTGCATATTGGTAATGTTTGCACTGCTGATATAACATAAGTATTTGTTAAAACCACAACAACAGTAAAAAAGCAAAGAGACAAAAGCCCCTGATGCTATTATTTATCATTTTTGGATAAAATTATAATTGGGAGCAAGGGACCAAAGAAGGAAGAATACATAAATCTCTGGTGCATATTATGTTTCGAAAATGATTACACTTTTAAATCTAAGTCAACCACAACATACTAGATTGAAATATTTAGACAACTAGTTATGGAGGTTGATTTTTTAAAAATATGCAGTCACATCAAATACTTAGATAATTTATTTAAAAATATTTTACTCAAATTATTTACATAATTGCCTCAATTCTCAAAAAATTTATTGGCATAGACTTGGCCCACAATGTCACATCTAATAAATTTCACATTCCATCCTAGGGCCCACATGCTGTAAGTACTGATGCCAACCATTTTAAGATTCTTTCTCTCCATTTTTATTCTGACAATTGGACCAAAATAAGAGTTATAACGAGATTTTCTTTTTTCCAGATTTTCTCTTAATTAATCAAATCAGTCTTATTGTTTTACTTTTAAGTTCTCTCCTCTTTTGCCTTTCTCCCCTCAAATCCCATGTACTTTAGCCTTAGCCACCTGAGGCAGGTAGTATATATCACTGTCAATTCGAGAAATGTAAAATTAGTTCAGTGATGAAGTGAAAGAACCATTAAAATGTAGCAAACTTCTTGTCTATTTTTCAGTCAAAGCCTAACTTAAAACTGCATCAGCCAGGATTTCTATGACACTCTAACAACTAGACATGAGTTTATATTTTTCACTTACATATTATATATTTTGATACATTATGTTACTGCTAATAATTATGACTGATCTACACTCAACCTGTCCTTCAGCATTTTATTGAATTGCATTTCAACAGTGACTCATAGTTCATACAAAAATGTACATGTGTATTAACAAGTTTTAAGAAATCCAAGAAGGAAGACACAGATGTTTAAAAGTTGTGGATAAATAAATGAAAGGGAAACACAGAAATACTAATGATGACATTTTCAAAATTATTATTTTTAGTAGAAAATAACTTGTACCGATGCTCAGTATAGCTAAGATGAAAAACATTTTTTATAAAAAATGTTTATAAGTGGGTGCAGTAGCTCACGCCTGTAATCCCAGCACTTTGGGAGGCTGAAGTGGGTGGATCTCTTGAGCCCTGGAGTTAGAGACCAGCCTGGGCAACATAGCAAAACCCCTGCCTCAACAAAAGAAAAAAAAATTAACTGGGCATGGTGGCATATGCCTGTATTCCCAACTACTGGGGAGGCTGAGTCAGGAGGATTACTTGAGCTAGGAGTTGGAGGTTGCAGTGAGCCATGTTCACACCACTGCACTCCAGCCCGGACAACAGAGCAGGACTCGGTATCAAAACAAAACAAAACAAAACAAAACAAAACAAAACAAAACAAAACAAAACAGGAAGAGGTTTCTATAAAAATTAATAAACCATTAAAAATTCAAATCAAACATGGTATTGTCATTATTTGTCAAACTAAAGAAAAACAATCTCTCTTACAACTTTTAGTTACTTGAGGGACATTTTCTACAGCAAACAACATTGTTAAATGTTGAAACAATTGCCAAATGCAAAGCACTGTGGTGCAAGCAAAAGCCACTTCTAACTCCATATATATACAAGTAGAGAGAAACCACACACTGCACAAAGTGGCAGTTAAGCACAGAATTGTGTTTCTGTCCCAAATAACTAATTAAAAGCTATTTTTAAGTTATTTACCCGTGCAGAATTGAATAGCAGTGTGAAGTTTAGGGTAAAGTCTGCATATACTTTAAAATTATTTTAGAGTGTGAATTAAAACTTTTTAAACATCCTTTCTCTCCCTTCTGGTTACAAAACTGAGAAAGTCGAATTGTGATCATGGACTGATTAGGAAGATTGCTCTCCGGCAGAGACTGTGCATAGAATTTAGAAAACTGTGTGTATATATATATTGCTTGAAGTCACAAGAATGCCTTCCTCTTCCTGCATTCACAGGAAATATCCCATAATAAGGCCGTCCACCCATAGTAAGCAACTTGTATTGGGATTTGTTCTCTGGTAACTGTGTTTATGAGTGGAGTTTGCTAGCAACCCTGCAGAGGAAGAGAGATGGCTCACAGGATAGATCCCCTGAATGACAGCGCTTTTCGTTTCTTAACTAGAGAGCTTGTCCTGCCACTCCTTTGCCCGCAAACAGGAACACTTCCCAGGGAAATGCGGACATTTGTGCAGCCTCCATTGTATTAAAACTGTCTCAACATCAGCTTTAAGTTTTAAAATACAGATATATGAATCTAGATGTGCACGCAAAATTGATGGTCTCCCCTATAATATCATCCAGGATATTATATTTCAAATATTACATATTTGAAATTTCATATTTCAAATATGAAATTATTACATATTTGAAATTTCCAATATGTAGTATTAACAGCCTTGAAAATTAAGACACAGTAGCAGGTAGAAATAGGCAAACAAAAAACCTCAGCAGCCACACAACTCGTAGTAACACATTTAGATGTAGTATGCCTTTGCTTGGTTTACCATCCACTGATGAAAAGGGCTGCAAAAATTGATCTCTCAAGGCAGCAGTAAGGTCATAGAAATTGATAACCCTTACAAGCAATTCTTATGTGAGTCTGTCTGTGTCTTGCAGATAGTGCACTTTGTAAATTAATCCTCCAAAGGCAAATATATTGTAAGTAGCTTGTTATCTCTAAAATACTAAATTGAAGAATACATGGGATTATATTGACAGAAATTACATTTTCTGTAATGGGGTTTAATATATCTGAAATCTCTCCCAAAGGCTCCCAGGCTCTCTAACAGAGAAGGGTCTGTTAATGTAGGTGCAATAGACATCAAGAACAAATTTATTCACCAAAATGGATTAGGCCATGTAATCAGAGATTCTGTAATATTAATCTTTGACACTTATTGAACAGAAAGAAATACTTCTGTCTGCAAACTGGCATTCCTAGTTCTCCCCTTCCCCAGCCCAGGCTTTGGGCCTTTTCTGGATTTTACTTCAAAGAGGATAAGGTTTCCCCATCATAAACACTAATCTAAAAATATTAGGACAATTAATTAGATACACTTACTTTTAGAGGATATTGGATTTCGATACCCTTCAAATATGACACTAGTCCTGGGTGATTATATGAAACCTGGCTTTCAGCACATTCACAAAGGGTAATAAATCATACTTTCTCAAAGCCTCATTGCCACACTGCTGTACATTGAGTCAGAATATTGTTGGCTGGTACTTGGTACATAATCTCAGCTTCGCCCCAAATCAGGAATTTACACTTTATTTAGAAACAGTATTGCACAGCCACGAGATGCCTCAGGTTTGGAATAGCCTCAAAGAGAAACAAATAATTTCTTCCTTTCAGTATTCAGGAGATAAGAGCAAAGGAGAGGCTATCCTTGAATGCATAGCCCTAACAAAATCTAACTGAATTTAGTTATTCAATGAATTTAAACCTGACTGATATGTGATGGTGGATTTTCTTGTTTTGTAGAAAATAGGATGATACTACTCTATCGATTACCCTGAAGGGGGAAAAAAAAAGCCATAGAGAGAGATACATTGACAGAGCCATAGTGAATGTGAATTACACACATACTTATACTATGCATAAAATTGTCAACTTATAAAGGAGGTAGAAGACAATACAATGTTTTATTTCCCATACTAGCAAATGTTCTCACATATCAGTCAACAGTTTGTTTTCACTTTTGAATCAACAAGCCACCAGGGAAAGCAGTGGCAACTGGGTGTGTCTTCTTAATGCAAAACATGAGCTGCAGGTTGCCAGAGGGGGAAACAGATTGTGTGTAAACACAAAGCCAAATTACTTACCAATTGTTCACTTGAAGGATGGTGAGTCCCGTGTCTTGTGCCAACTGCTTTTTCTGTTCTTCAGAAGGGTAAGGGTGCTGAAAGAGAATAAAAAAGATACGTGTGCATCAGGCAATATTTAGCCATTTTGTCAATAGCCTAAGTGTCTCATGAAGTCTATAATTAAAGGTAAAAATGCTGAGGTGTGTCACTCTTATTAATGGAATACTACATCATCTAATTAATGGCAGTAAAAGACAAGCCAATTACAAAGATTAATGAAGTGTATAAATAGCTACTTAGGATACTTGCAGAACCTTGACACTGAGTTTATCCTTTAACAGCTTTATTTGTTGCAAACACAGAAAGTTTAGTATGATCTTCACTGTATTTTATAGGATTAAAATAAGGACAAGCCATTTGTTACCACCTAAAAGTATACTGCCCTAACTTAATATATTCATTGAACCATAAATTTCTAAAGCTGACCCATTTGGACCAACAATCTCAGCTGAGGTCCACATAGTGACGTTCTCCCTCTAAAACACCATATTGCCAGATGCAAATATCAAATCTAAAGTGGGTGCTATTAAACACACACACACACACATACACTATTCATTTTCAGTCCTCAGCAAAAAAAACAAAATTCACCAATGTTGGTTTCCAAATCTGAATGTCAACACATGCTGAGATTCTGAACACAGGCCAATATAAGGTCAAAGACCAGCATATTTTGCATGCTAAGAACAAGCCCAGCTATGTTCCTCAAGAGTCATAGTAGATAAAAGTATTACAGGATTAGATAATAAAGTGAAATTCATACCTTCCTGTAAGAACGTTTGGAATTCTACTGAAATTAGTTTTGGCACAAATGCTTTCTGTTCACTGATCAAATATATCTAATTTGAAATACATATTTCTAAAGCTTAGGGGAGGAGCTGAGGATATGGTTTCCATCTATAGAGACATTAGCTTGCTTGAAACACCACATCTCAATAAATTATCCCAAGATAAAATTCTTCTGAGAGTCAACCCTCTATTCTATTATGAATGGAAAAGTGCACCCCCAACCCTTAATTTAACTATCTGTGCCATGGAAACTAAATTGTCGTCTATTGAATGCTAATTGACATAGCTTTTAATTTAATTAATAATGTCTGATTAGATGCTAAAAAGGCTTGTTAATGACCACTTCAGTACTCTTATATGTAAGTTTAAATATGCTCTATATCTATACACAGGGGATTTGTTTGTGAACAGCAGAGAGATCACAATTTTTCCCATAAGCATTGTCTATGATTGTCACTTAATCAATAAATACACAATTAGAATAAGGCTTTGCTTTCATGGAATATAGTGCCTTTCTCTAAAGAGCTCCAAGTATATTACAGACAGGATGGTAATTAATCCCCATTATATCCCTTTGAGTGACATAAATGGAATCTATCATCCCTTCTGTTTTACAGGTGAGGAAACTGGCCAGGGGAAGAGATGGACAGAGGCAGACATAAGTCAGTGATATTTCCTGCTTCCCTTTCAGTGCCTAAGCCTCACCATGACCAAAGGATGTAGCAGACGCCTTTCATAATCCCCATTCATGTCCCCTGTGAAATAACCTTCAGACTGGTTACCATGGCCTGCAAGGCCTGTCACCATCCAGCCTTGCCCACTTCTCAGATTTTGATACCTTCTTCTCACCCGCTTCCTACCCCTATACCAAGCCACACCATCCTTCTTTCTGTTTTCCTAACACCACCAGCTTTTCCCGTCACTCAGATTCTTACCCCAATGTCACTTTTAGCTCTCAGCTCAAATGTTCAGCTTTACCCTCCCCACCTCCCAGCACCCCGCCTTATCACGCTCACATTCATCTTTTTCTTATTTCCCTAATAGCAAGCATCACTCTCTGAAGCACCTGCTTTAATTGTTTATTTCCTTGTTGGTGTGTCTTTTCTCACTCATCTACCAATGCTAATAAACCCCTTGCCTTGCTTTCTGTTTATCCTCAAAGCCCAGACTGGGACATAACAGAAAATCACTAAATATTTGTGGAACAAAGGAATGGCTGTACCATGCCATGACAGACACTCTCCACTCAGATGCAACATCAAATTGTATAACAAAGCAGAAACAATCCAATTTAAGATCCATGACACTACTTTCTTTGCTTCATTCACAAAAGTGATGTTGACCCACTTTCTTCAAATGAAGGTATATAAACCTCCTAATAGGCTAAGATCATAAGTGACTACTCAACAGAATGCCAGCCATTGCAGCCAAAGTCTCATGACTGGCTACTGAGCTCAAAGGAATCCATTACCCTAAGGTTTAAAACATAACTCCCACTGTATAAAGATTTGGCACACAATACAAACCAAATGAATTTCTTATCCCATGGATAGAATGCTGAATTACAGCTTGATATACAGTAGGTCTATGTCTCTACTAGTTGAAGAATTGTACCTAATATAGGTGACTCTATTAGATTGTATAAATGATGCTGCCACTCATTAACTATGGGACTTTGAACAACAGACAACTTTTCTTATCCTCAATTTTGTCATCCAGAGTTCTAAGATCCATTGAGGTTAAAGATTACCCAGGCTAGCAGTTCTTACAATATTGCAGTGCCAGAAGACAAGCTCAATTTTGAAATATGCAAATATTAGCATCCCACCACTGGCACTATGTGTCATATAAAGTTGTACACTGAAGTACACAAGCAACTTCCAATCTATAACATTTCCTGTAAAATTATTTGCTGACAGTTGTCCAGGTCTTACAGAAATCACTTGCAGTGATTTTTAATAGAATTAATAAATATGTCAACAGTCCTTCTTTAGTATAGTCAGATGGCAAAACCTTTTGCCCTGTCTTATTAGTTATGTCTTAATATTATGACCAGAACTGGATAAAAATTATTATTTATACCATTTATCTTTAGTTACTTTGAAAACTGAAAATTGTCACAGTAATTTATTTTCCTGTATTTTCAAGAGTACTTTTGCATGCCTGTTTATGAGCAAGTTTTACAAACATTCTTACAAAGCAAATGGAATTCACATTTTATTTATGCAAGTGGTGTCACAAAAATTCTCTTTGAATCATTACCACTACCTGGAGCTTCAAAGGGTAGTAATATGGCTCTCAAAATTTCAGTGCAAATTTCAGTTGTTTCTTCACATCATATAGTTTCTGATTTCATAATTTAAATATCACAAAATTAGAAAGTTCTACCCTTTTTTTCCTCTGTCACTTTTCATGTGATCTGATTTTAAGTAATTGGAACAAACTGTATCTAATTTCATGCAGCATAATTGCTAGGCAGCCTCAAGCTATGGAGGCTCAGCACTCTGTCTCCATTAAGAAATTTTCAGTTGTTCGGGATATATATATATTTTTTTAATACAAATGAATGAGCCTGGACAAATTAAATGTCACAATAATCTGGCCATTGTTAAGAGGAGAAAAAGGTATCAACAACATTCCTAAACCCTTGTCTATGGTAGGTCAACTGAATGTATTTCTTTTTCTCATAGTTCTTGGCCTTAGTGTCCCACAAACTTTCAATTCCCTGAAAAAAGTCTGTAATTGCTAGAATCACATGAAAGCCGTGACTTCATGTAGTTAATCCTTAACCAGCCAAAAATTCACAAAGAAGTAGGCTTTTAAACTGAAACCTAATATGTTTCAATATCTTAAATCCTATGCATCTTTACTAAATAAAGCTTTTTGTGGACAGTATGAGTTATTCTTTTATAGACTTAAAAAAAAATGACTTGACAAAAACCCAGCATGCCACAGGCATGGCTGCTGAAAAAAAAACATTGAAAGCCCTGTTGCCTTCTGCCCACAGGTCTAGTGAGGCCATGCAATGGGCAAAGGCAGACGTCACTTTGCAAAAGAGATAAAGAGTAATCTCCGAGAAGTGCTGTTTTTAGGGAGAAAATGGGAAATTCATTCCAAACCTTTGCAACTAAAGGCCTATGTCACTCCTTGCCATCCTCCCAAACACCTTTGCTGTTATTGCATCTCAAGGACACAGTTTAAGAAAGATCAGTAGGCTCTTGTGAAGGCAAGATGGATGGCACTTCCCAGATATACCAATCAACCTAATCACTTCGGGATATCAAAGCAAATTTGACCACAGTCCCATAGACAGTGAGGGAGACCTCGCCTTTGTTGTGTACATTAGCCTCATGCTATTATCTTTTAAAAGCTTAATTATTTGCAAACAATTGATCAAGATGGGAATTTGAGAAAGGATATGCAAGGGCCACTGGGAGAACTGCAACACATTAAGAGAGCAAACAAAATTACCTTTAGATCTTACAATAAGAATTAACGATTGAGAGGGGAGAGCCAGGCAATGCAGTAGCTGCAAGGGTTCTTTCTCGAGTGTTTCCCATTTGATCTGCATTAACACCTCAGGAATGAGTGAAAGCCATAAAACAGTGATTATGTATGGGTAAAGCTGGCCCCTCCCTTCCAGCATTAAACCTGCACATGTGTATTAGGCTGGTTTGGCTGCAGAGAGAAGAGATGCTGGCCTCAAAGGGAAACTAAGTGGCTTGTGGGCAGTGGAACCCCAGCGAAAGGGAATAACTCATGAAATGATCATCCTTATTTCAATCGTCAACACCTTGACTTCTCCTTTCTAGCATAAATCTCTTGCTGAAATATAAACCACTTGCCACTCTTCATGTATTTCTGGATATTGCAGTGACTTCCAATAATGAACCAGTATAGAGTGATTGCTTAATGACCCCGTCAAAGAATAAAATGATCCTTAGGGTAGGATCCTGTATAAAAGAAATAGTTAAAGGATGTCTGAGAAAAATCTAAAAATAGCTTATGTAAAAGTTAAGCCTGAGCTGTCATTTTACCAGCCGCAAATAGAAAGTGACAGAAAATGGTGACTTACTCAAGAAAGTTATGTCTGCACATAACCAGTGTTATTTCTTGAGACTGGGATGGGAGGGGGATTTTAAGTTGGTTATCTGGTATTTACAAGTTTACAATACATTGAAAGAAAGTGTGTTTATTGAAACAATCAAGCAGACTATTTCAGATGAGCATCAATGGGGAAGAGACAGACTCTGTAGAATGCAGTTAGAAAATATCCAGCTTTACACCTTAATATCTTTGACCAAATGTACTTCTTTCATCAAAATTTCCACCCTTGGCTACAAATGTGGATGCCAAGAAAGTGATGAAGTTTATCTTATCTACCCTGGTAACCAAGTTTCAATAACATCCCCTCCCTCACCACCTTGGCCACTCTAATAGCACATTGTAATGGCAGCAGAAAATTTGAAAATAATCCTGTACAGAGCTTGCTGGTGAGATAATGGAAGGCTACACTGCCCCTTCTCAAGCCTCAGATTAGTAATTTCTTGTGACACAGAACTGCCTCTATACCGAAACTGCAAAACGGCTATAACAAAGCAATAGAGGTAGAAGCAATTTTCAAGCAAAATGTTACATGCTATACTTTAAAAGGTATGGGAATAGGTACCAGAGGAGCTGATCTAACAGGAGGAATTATGGCAACTGTCCAATATAAGCCTTATCCAGGCAATGTTCTGTTGCTTGGCTGAATATGTTGGAAGAACAATTTCAGAACTTCTTTTATCCTTTTTCCTCCAGCCCTTTGCCTCCTCCACAGCTAAGTTTAATGCATTAATATAAGTTGACCTTGAGCTAAACTCTGGTATGTGATGGGGAGATACTCCCTTTAAAGAAAAAAAAAAAATCTACCATATGGTTTTTAACTATTAGATCTCTGTGCTCTTTTAAAACTTCTACTGAGTTTTTGTCACTAAGGGAATACTGTGGATCTAAATGAAAATAACCAGCTATATATTTGACCTCTAAGAGACTAAGCAGAAACTTGTTAACCAAATATATTTATATTTGTTTAACATAATGGTTTTTTGCCTATAAAACTTCTCCCACTTTAAATAAACTTGCAGCCATTTTCCCCTCCTGCATTGACTGTGAATAGCTTACACTGTGACAATTACATTGATCTAGGATACTTTTTTCCTTTAAAAAAATCCATAATGCTTCCCTATTGTCTTTCAGCTTTATGAATTAGTTTTACTGTTTCAGTGAATGCTTTTTTGTCTTCTGACTGCACATTATCAAAGAGACACTTTGTGCCTCCTATTTGCATTACAAAAGCAGTGCACCGTGCAGTCGCAGAACATAGCCTGAATGCATAGTAGTTGAGTCCTGCATCCTCGCACATGCTGGAATCAAAAGAAGGAAGGGTGGTGTTGGGACTGGCTAAGAAGCCAGAAATGTTTGGAGCATCATCAGTAGAGTCATAGGATTTCCATCCGCTTTCTTAATTCTCCACCAACACTCCTATATTGCCTAGTTGCTCAGACTAAATGGGCTCCATTTTTTGTTTAGCGTTTGTTTTTTCTGGGGCCCAGTAGAGTCATTCTGCAGACAATCTCTCTGATTTCTGTATATCCAACAGCAGTTAAAAGAAGTTGCCAGTGGAGGTGTCAGGTAGGAATCTATAAATGTAACCTTAGCACATGAAAATGACATAGGTGTGGAAGGAAAAGTAGAATGCTGGATAATGTTTCATAACAATCTTTGTTTTTTGTACTAAGACTATATTTATAATACACAGTAGTAAAGACATTGTTTTATAGCCAATTATAAGAGACCAATACTAAAATGCCCTGCCTGTGCGGTGGCTCACACCTGTAATCCCAGTACTTTGGGAGGCCGAGACGGGAGGATCACAAGGTCAGGAGATCGAGACCATCCTGGCTAACATGGTGAAACCTCGTCTCTACTAAAAATACAAAAAATTAGCTGGGCATGGTGGTGGGCACCTGTAGTCCCAGCTACTCGGGTGGCTGAGGCAGAAGAATGGAGTGAACCCGGGAGGCAGAGCTTGCAATGAGCCGAGATTGCGCCACTGCACTCCAGCCTGGGTGACTGAGTGAGACTGTCTCAAAAAAAAATAAAAAATAAAAAATAATAAAATAAAATAAAATAAAATGCCCTCCCTGCCTCACTTATCTGATCTTTTAATTTCTCCTAAATATCAATTAAATAGAAAATGAAAACACTAAATAAAGAAGTCAGATACTTATATTAAGAAACTGCATAGTCCTTTGTATTTGGAATTTTTTTTAAAGTTGCTTACAAATTTATAAAATAACAATGTTTTAGATATATTCTTCATTAGCTACACATATGTTACAGAAATATTTTAAAGTATATACGTTTAAGACATACAGTTTAGATTCCAAATTAGTGATTACTTATATCCTCTTCCTAAATGGATTAACATTCGTGAAGGATGCTAAAATTATGTTGAACAGCTATTAATGAATCCTCTGAATATTGATTCTCTCAGTAGAAGACCATGCTTATAAGAGGAAATACAAAAATGGCCATTAAGAAAACCAGGGCTGGGAGCAGTGGCTCACACCTATAATCCCAGCACTTTGGAAGGCCAAAGTGGGTGGATCACTTGAGGTCAGGACTTGCCCGACATGAGGAAATCCCATCTCTACTAAAAGTACAAAAATTAGCTGGGCGTGATGTCAGGCGCCTGTAATCCCATCTACTCGGCAGGCTGAGGCAGGAGAATCCACTTGAACCCAGGAGGTGGAGGTTGCAATGACCCAAGATCACACCACTGCACTCCAGCCTGTGCAACAGACATCTCAAAAAACAAAAAACAAAACAAAAACAGGACAGGAGGCCCTTGGGAGTAGATAAGGGAGAAAACTCATGCTTTACTTTGAAGTGTCATTTTTGAATCATTTTAAACAATAGCTCATTCAAACTCATTATTTGTCAGTACAACAAATGCATTACAGGCATTATTTCATGTACTCTTGGTGAACCCCCTGAGTAAGGGCTGTGCTTAGCTCCTTTTCACAGATGAAGAAGCTGAGGGTTGGCCAGGTCAAAAACACACCAACAGCACACAGCTACTTAGTGCTGGTGCCAGGTCTGTCCGGCCCTGAGTTTCTCCACTTGGCTACACTCCCACTGCCATTTGTTTCTCATTTCTCCATTCCCTTTTTTAACAAAAAATATATTATAAGGGAGTATGAACCATGTTATTAATCATGGTGAACAGAGAGGAAAGAGTTGCCATTTCCCTGCTCCTCCACTCCTACCTGAATATCCACTGCTTCTGCCTGGGAGGCAGGCAGAAGGGGAGGGGAGGGGGCTGTCAGGGAAAGTTAGTTCATCAGAACCTTGACCCATGTTCTCCTTCCAGCATCCAGCCAAAGGAACTTTATTAATAGTAGCTTAGCAGTATTAATAAGAGTGGAAGAAGTAGTCATTGTAACATATATCAGGAAGTGAGAATGTGCCAGGCGCTGTTCCAAATGCTTCACTTATATGACTCCTCACAAAAGCCTTCTGAGGTAGTTAACAGCCGCTAGACCCATTTGATAGATGACGAAACTTGAGCACAGAAAGGACAAAGGAAGTTCTCAAGTTCACACAGCTGGTAAGTAGTAGAGCTGGAATTTGAAACTTGGTGGTAACATACAAGTCGGGAAAATTCACTTCCAAACGATTTTGTCTTTTATATAATAGGTGAAGAAATCCCACTGACTCCTGGTGAGTTAATCATGAATATATATGATGATTATTACTTGTTATATGAAAAAAACTATTATCTTAACGTATGTGTGTGTACCTTTTATTTCTACAACTCAGTTCTGCTAATGGAAGGAAGAGTCAATCTTGCTGTAAGTCAGAAAACTCAGTGGAAACTCACATGCCCATCACTTTATTAATGCTTGTAGCATTGCTTATACAGGAATGATAGTAGCTTATATACAAGAGCACTTTTGGCCAGGCACGGTGGCCCACACCTGTAATACCAGCACTTTAGGAGGCCAAGGCAGGTGGATCATAAGGTCAGGAGATCGAGATCATCCCGGCTAACACAGTGAAACCCTGTCTCTACTAAAAATACAAAAAATTAGCCAGCCGTGGTGGCACACGCCTGTGGTCCCAGCTACTTAGGAGGCTGAGGCAGAATAATCGCTTGAACCCGGGAGGCGGAGGTTGCAGTGAGCCGAGATCGCGCCACTGCACTCCAGCCTGGTTGACAGAGTGAGACTCCTTAAAAAACAAACAAACAAAAAAAAAAAAAAAACTCTTTTAAGGATCATAGAATCAAATGCCTACTATTTCCTCTAACCACACTACAATATGCCTTCAATTGTCAGCTTTGAAACAAATTGGGATTTGAAACAAATTGGGGTGTGTGTTTCGCCAATTACTTTTGTTTATTACATGATTCTTAATCAAATATGAGTTAAATGACATTCAAAATCATTACATTTTAGTAGACTACTAATAAAAACATATGAATGCTATTCCCAGTGATGATGCAGCTACCAGTTCTGTGCCCAATAAATATTTCTGTGAATGAATGTTATTAAAGTTAGAGATGACTAAAATCCCTCAACCTGCATTTGTGAGTAGGAGTAGATGACTTCAGATAAACACAAAACTAGCAGCTCCATTCCAACAATTATTCATCCTTCTCACTTAGTTCAACAAATCCCAGAATAGTAGAGTGCCTAGTCCAGATTTTGCTCACTTTATTTACCTGACATTTATATAATGTTTACTGTATGTTGGGCAGCGTTCTCAGAGCTTTAAGTATTTACTTATTTAATCCTTAAAACAAGTCTCTAAGATAAGTACTCTTACCATTATTTTACAGAGGACACTGAGGCTCAGAATCTAATTTACTGGCAAGTAAAATAGAGCTGGGATTTGACTCTAAGTAGTCAATTGCACAGCCTATGCTTTTAATTACTGTGTTATTCTGCTTTTCTTTCTTAGCGTCAATTTATAATTTCCCCCAAAGTTTCTCCCAAATTCACTCTATGTTGTTCTTGGGTTTATTTGTGACAAAATTCCCTTCCTACTCTCTAACTTCAATGCAACAAAATTCAAGTTCTGTATCTTTATGCCTAGCACAGGACAGAAGAAAGGATAAAGAAGACTGTTTCAACATGGAGGCTTTTCCCCAAGAATTTCACTTGAACATGCACAACAAAAACATGGCACACTATACTGGACCACCTTTCTGAAAAGAAAGTTCATGACTGATTTATACAATAAACTCCAATAAAGTAAGGATCTTTTTCAAACTATGTATAGCCCATCTCTACAATTTCAGAGAGCACGTCAGCTAAAAGGAGACCTAACACCAGCCTGAAGAACACTTTTCCACTTTAAAAATCAAAGAGAAAGGATTTTGAAACCATTAAGTAGAAAGACAAGGAAGATGAAATACTACAACGCCATTTTGGAATGAGTCTGTTGACAGCAATCATTATTGCCTTTACAGATGCCCTGTCTAGCATTAATTATTCAGGAAAAATCCTTGTCTAAAGAATAAAGTATCCGTAAGTTAGAAGCAAAATGGTACATTTGGTGAGGAGATATTTTTGAGAGAGAAAAAGATAGAGACAGGGAGAATGAGATGGAGAATTCGTGCTGCTCCCAATATGACTAAAGACCCCTGGAACTGGTACCCATTCTCTAGTGCTAATTTTCCCACTTAAATTACAGTGATGATGTAGCCTCATCTCATTAGAGATCATTGTCCCCAGTAGACAGTTGTGTTTATGGGGGACTCTGGCTGCTCCACACCTGCTGATCAGGTTGCTATGTGATCAAGACGGCATACAAACAGCAGACTGGAGCTTGCTGGACTGCAACTGATGAGCCCAGGCTAATTCAGGGGTGATTATGTAGTTTACTGGACCACTAAACCTCTTTAAGCTTGTAATTACTGCCTATTTGAGTAAAGAACATTCAAAAGCAATTCACTGCATCATGCCTGCCACAGCTGGAAGCAGGCTGCCAGCAGTCTGTAGGGACATTAAAATCTACAGGGACGTGGATTGAAGCCCAGCTAACAGACACTCTCAAGCAGCACCCTCAGCCAAGTATGTGAACATTCCTGCTCACCTCTCCTGACCAAGCTTACCATTAAAGGTCAATGAAAACTATAGAATAGCCATAAAGATGACAAATAATGGAATGTAATGGTACAAACCACATTTTAATGATTTCCCCCCTTTGTAAAGCTAAAATTTAAAAAGTCTTCACAATGCCAGAGAGAGAGAGAGAGAATGCACTTTAAATAATATACACTGCTGAGATGTACTGTGTGCTTGCTAAAAGTTCCATCCCAAAGATACCAGCTTGAAAACAAAATGCCCACTTTTTATGCATTATAAAAGAACTGGTATGTATAGTCGTTTTAGACATTTTCCACCCACTTAGCTGCTGTTTATAACCTTAGCTGGGAAAATATTGTTTAGCTAGTTGATTGACATTTTCTAAAATCATATGTGTAGATTTTTGCAGTTAATGAATTAAAAGGCCTCTCAGACACCTGAGTGAAATTTATTTTCAAGAGTCAGAGAAGATTTAAGAAAAAAAAATCAGTATTTATCAATGTTCTCATTTTCTTTTGCTGTCACCTTAACAACCGCAGTTCTTTTGTATAACAAAAGTGTAAAACATGCTTTGCATTGCTACGGGTATAATTATTACTTGTCTCTAAGTAACAGAAAAAGACTGGAACTTAATGAAGGGGGATTAAGTTAATTTCTTTTTTAGCTAACAGTTTCCTGTCTCTTAAAATGCAGACCCTGGTGAACATAATGTTTGGGAAGACAAAATTAAGCTTTTTATTTGACTAAAATCTCCACTCTGGAATATTGATATTAAAATATTAAGATGATGTTTATTCTTTAAAAGTATGTAAATTTGGTATTAAATAAAGCCACAGAAATCCTCTCTGACTACTCCATCCAAAGTCCACAGATCCCGGGGTTTATGTGTTATCTAGACATCACTCCTATTAATATTCATTAGATGGGTCTGCTTGCATTTTTATAAGCTGTGAGAGAGGCAAAAGAAACAATCAGAATTCTTTAACACACAGGCATTATCAATTCAACATATGCCAAATAGCAGAGCACCCAGATCTGAAGTTAAGATTCAAATGCAATTTACCTTTACTAAGCTAATTTTCATGAAAACTCTTTTCTCTTTATCCATTGTTGTCTAAGCTATTTAATTTTCTCTATTCTGTGCACCATGCACTTCAGTTTTTAATTTCAGAGATTATTCAGCACTATATTTTATCTTAGTTAACAACAAAACTCTTATCTTGCAATCAAACTAAAGGGAATTCCCCCTTAAGAAGAAAAAAAAAATCTAAAAACTTTAAATGGTTTTAGTGATCAGATTACCTTTATCTTTATGAACCTTCTTAAGCAAACCCTTTCCAACTCCCGAAAGCATTTATTGATGTGAATTCACTGTCTGTCTCCAGAATGGATTATAGATGAGGGAAGAGTCTTAGTCAAAATTTGGGCAGATCCACCGTATTTGTTTCCCAAAGTACACTTTCCTCATTAAATCTAACTGGGCTGGGGGCAGGGAGGTGCGGATGCCGGCACAGATGTGGACTTATTTCTGCAGGGTTATCACAAATGTTCATGGAATATCTTAGATGAGTGGGAGAAGGCTCGACCTGTCACCAACAAGACTGTGAGATAAAGTTGGCAAAAATATATTTCATCAAAGTTAACTTGAAGAATAGTTTGGGCTTTTTTTTAAGACTTTGAGAAGGGTGATCCCTTATATTTGTATATAGCTTTACATTTTCAAAGAGGTTTTATTATATTTTGCCAAGTTTGAACCTCACAATTACTGGTGAAGTTAGAATAGGTAATGTTGCCCTCATTCTATACAAGAGAAAACAAAATTTAGAGTGGACACATGGCAAGATATACAGGGTTACGTGGCTGGGAAGTTGCTGGCCCTAAGGCCTCCTACTTCTCTATCTAGTTGTCTTTACACTCTACTGAAGCTCAAAGTTTATCTTGTTAATGATAAAATAAAAAGCTGTAGCTTCATCTGTCAGAAACCTACTGTGAGTTAGTTGACCCAGCCTCTGTTTTAACGTGTAAATGTGTACTGCCCAGGATGAAACAAAGAACTAAACTAAAACTTAAACTAAAATCAAACAAAACCATCACCTTTTAAATTAGCTGCCATCATTCCTAATGAACTTATATACATAATCTTACTGGTAATGCCAAAAAGTCTTAAATAGTGACATTTGCCCCTTCTAAAACATGCTTTGGGAAAGAAATGTCCTTATCCAGTGAGGATTGATTCGTTTGTTCCTCTTTGAAACAACTAGATATAGTTTTGCTTTATGTAATGTGTTTTTCTTTGCCATTCCACTTGTGACTTAAGGTTGCTAATTACACAAAGAAGGGCCTAGTTTTCCCTTCCTAAATGAGTTCTTAAGAAAACTTAGGCCTATGTGGAGAGTCATAAGCCCGTTTAGCCCAGGAACGTGGTCATGAAGTCCATTCATGCTTCAGTGATGTGGTTACACATTTACAAATGGCAAATCTAAAGGAAAACATTTTAAAAGAATTTTTTTTTTTTTAAGACAGAGTCTCACTCTGTTGCCCAGGCTGAAGCGCAGTGGCACAATCTTGGCTCACTGCAACCTCTGCCTCCCAGGTTCAAGCAATCCTCCTGCCTCAGCCTCTCAAGTAGCTGGGAATACAAGCATGCTCCACCATGACGAGCTAATTTTTATATTTTGAGTAGAGACGGGGTTTCACCATGTTGGACAGGCTGGTCTCAAACCCCTGACCTCGTGATCCGCCCGCCTTGGCCTCCCAAAGTGCTGGGATTACAGGTGTGAGCCACTGCGCCCGGCCCAAAAATTGGTTTTAAGAGGTGTAGTTCAGTGTATCAATTTAGTTAGATAACTAAAGTTAAGTCCTTAGAACCCACAGTAACTATGACTTTGATCAACATTTCAGATCTCCAAGCCTTGCTTCCTCATTGGTAAAATGAGGATAATCACGCTGGTGGTGGTCAAATGAGACAACACGCATCAAATTGCTTAGCATAGGGTCTGGCATATATTTAGAGACTAGTAAACAGTAGCTGAATCTGAGATGACTCTTAAGATTGGGCTAATCTATGTAAAAATACATAAAATGCATACAGTTCTCAATTTGCAGGGAAGAAGATATGACTAGATAATTCTTCTAAATTTATTTTTACTGTTAAATTAGATTTTAATGTTTTCTTGTAATTCTCTTTATTTGGACAAACTTGCTTCCAAGATCTCTGAAGGCAGGGCAGCTTCATGGGTGTGCTGCCTGTAAGTGACACAGGGACCCCCACATAGACGGGCCCCATGCTTGACTTAATGTGCTGCTGTCACGATCTTGAATTTTTTTTTAAGAAGCCCTGCACAATTTATGAGGAGAATTTACACATTCTCCACAAATTACGCAATGGGTCCCATTAAAAGGAAAAGAGGCTATGTTTTCCCTATTAGATGTTTTATGCTTAGCTACAACTTCTCTTGAGTTTATTTGAGCTTCACAGAAGTAAATAAATAATTACTAGATTCTAACTTAAAGAGTGTTAAAAAAAGACACTATAAAAGCAAGATATAGAGGTGACACTGACAGTGTAGATGTGCTCAGGCCTCAGACAGATGAGTAAGGACACTTCAATGACCCTCCAGTGGCCTTCAAGGGGTCACACATTGCTGTAAGTGCCTAAGTCACCCTCGGGGACTGACTAAGGCACTGAGAAAATATTCTATATTATAAAGTCTATGGGGGAAAAATAATCAATAATAATCGGGATCCTTCAAGGTGTGAGGCCCATTCTGGCTCAGTGGACTTAGGAATGTTGAGAGCCTTTGTCTTTTGGTGGTTGGAAGTCAGAAGTGGCAATTCGCCCACCTTTCTTGGCAGGGGACGAGCACCACATTTGGCAGAAAAGTGTGCTCTCGAGAAAAGGGAGCAGAGGATCTTTTGGCCTGAGCTCCAGCTAGGATAGATCAAGAGTGAGAACTCGCCCTTGCATGCCAACCAAATGCTGCTGTAATTAAAAACAAACCTTTGGAAATAAAGTATTCGGAAATTATTTCAATTCTAGCACAGTCACAATACGAGCTCATCAATGGTTATAATTAATTGATTTGATGGCAGGATTTTGGATAAAAAAAACTGTCTTCTTTTTTAGTTCTCTTAAACAGAATTCTACTTTTTGTTAAAGGAGAGCCAGATAAATATATATATATGCAGACTAAAGAGAGAAATATATGTCATGTCATACAGTTTCAGAAGCCTCCAGCACATTTGGATTCTGTAGCTCACATCAAACCTGCTAAGATGGCAACACCAATTTTTAAAAATGCAAAATTCCATCATTTTGATGATGCCAAATGAGGAACTCGACTATTACATGCATATATTTTGTTTAATGGCTTCATTTATTTTAATAACAAAGGGAAACTAGATTTTACAGATGAAAGCTGTTTTTTTTTTCATGGCATCAAGGCAACTGGGATTTAAAAACTCTGTGATGTTAACCAATATGTGATAATGGATGCTCTCAGGGGCCCTATTTTATAACATTTTATGCAGTGGAAACCCACACTAACTACTGCCAGAGTGTTTACCCCTATTTTAAGAAGGCACAATTGGGGTGAGTGTCAGAGGGCCTTGTGATTGTTCCATGCTTTTGTGTTTTTTTTTTCTCTGAAAGGATACATGTTCAGTAAAGTGCTGGCTGTGGAAATACTGCAGCAACAGAATTAACTCACTAAAGATTTATTATAAATGAGGGAGGAAAGTGCTGTTCATGTGATTTCAGGGATAAGAAAATAATTGCATAGACCTCTTTTTCCCTGTTCAAAAATCTGCCTACGGGGTTTAATATTTTGTAGAGAATCGAAAAAATAAATCACAGCAAGTAACTTCAGTTTAATTCTTGTTGGATTTCTTCATTATACTGACTATCTATGGTGAATCAGGAAACCAGAAACTCATCAAAACTAATTCCCATAGGAACAGAAGACACTCCACCTCAGAACCTCCCTTTTACCCACTAAAACTGGTTATAACTAGTTTCAGAAAAAAAAGAAAGAAATACATGCAAAGGACATCTGGTCCACCCAAAATTCTGGTTAGATGATGCAAACCAAAAGGTCTGCGATGATTTTTTTTTTTTTAACTGAGAGCCATACCTACCAAACTCTAGTATACAACAGATGGAACTTGCCAGCCACACACAGGATGTCGAGTGATTTTACAGACACTGTCTTGGCTCAAGATGGCAGCTCATGATTAATGGCCGCCGCATCCTTGGCCCTGCTGCAGTCAGGCCTGGGGTCTCATCCTGACACACAGGGCCTTCGTCCGCAGCCAATCAGCAGATGTAAGCACATAGGCCCTGTCAAGTTGACATATCATTCCTTCGGCAATGTCAGCGAGTATTAATGTTCAATTATCTGTCCTAGAAATGACCCTCGCCTTTATGCGTTGTGTAACCGTGTACGTGGCACTCCCAAAGACAAGGGCAGAAATGTCCGCAATACACCAGCTACCAGGGAGTTGGTTTTCCAACACTGTCATGACATTGCCTTACAGTACTGAATAGGAAACCAATTTTTAATTTGTTTTCTAATACATGTTTGAAGGACTACTGAGCCCTTTATTTATTTCGCTACTTAGCTATTTTTCTGTGAGCATGTTTGCTTGTCAGTAGTCCTTCCTATTTAAACAGAGACTTCACATGAGTCATCTGTGACCTGATGATCACACTGAGCTAACTGTTCTTTGTATATGGTGATGAGTGTTCATTATGTGTAGGGTACCATTTTATTTCATGAAGCCAATTGTATATCATTTACCATCAAACCAAAATGACAACAGTAGACTCTTCTGGAGCAGTGTCAAGATCAATTCAACTTCAACTTGTGAAGCTAAAGTAGTCTGTTCAAGCCAGTCATCTCTCCTTCCCATTGCTAAAAATAAGGCTTCCAGCAGAGGAAGGTTTACCAGAACATATCTGAGATTGTTCACCTGTTAACGTGTACAGTTGCTCAGATATTTTACAATGTTGTGTGGATTTGTCTTAATTAAATTTAAAACTCCCCTTTTCTCTCAAATCACATGGCAAGAAAAAAAATTTATCTTAGCAGACAGCTGCATTTGCATGGTTTTTGTTGAACTCACATGCAAAGGTTATCAATAACAACTTTGCAAACTTCTTATACAACCAGTACTGAAAGATAATGTACAATAACTGCATGTTAACTTCCTCCAAAGCTGAGATAAAACCTTTAATGCAATCTTGAGTTCACTAACCTACATATGATGGCACAAACTTCAGTGACTCAGACTGGGGCTCAATGAATGTTCCCCATGGTACTAATTTTTTTTTTTTGAGTTGGAGTCTTGCTCTGTCACCCAGGCTGGAGTGCAGTGGCGCAATCGCGGCTCACTGCAAGCTCCGCCTCCCAGGTTCACGCCATTCTCCTGCCTCAGCCTCCCGAGTAGCTGGGACTACAGGTGCCTGCCACCACGCCCGGCTAATTTTTTTTGTATTTTTAGGAGAGACGGGGTTTCACCGTGTTAGCCAGGATGGTCTCGATCTCCTGACCTTATGATCCGCCCGCCTCGGCCTCCCAAAGTGCTGGGATTACAGGCGTGAGCCACCGTACCCGGCCCCATGGTACTAATTTTTAAGGAATAGAAAATGGAATTATTTTCCTGTGGAAAACCACTAAGAATTCATCTATTACCTTCATTTTAACATGTGAAAAACAGATTGATTATGAAATGTGCCTGTTAAAAGTCTAGCCAGTCCTTGGTCACAGTGTGGTATCTAGTGCTACTTCTATATGTATTCTCAACTACACTCTGAAAGTCTTTTTATCTTTTCTTCTTTCCTTTTTTTTTTTTTGCTTTGCCTACTGTGTTCCCAACAGCAATTTTTCCAAATGACTTCCATTCTCCTCCAGCTCCTAATCCCACTTCTTGGACATTCATCAGTTAACTTTGCCTCCAGCCTGCTAAAAGATCCAGGAGGAGAATAGCAGCCTTCTTCATTTCTAAATTTCTCTGACTTCTTCCTTATTGCTATGTTCTTACTCTGAGTCCCATCACCCTCCCCTCCACTGTCTGCCTGCCCTTGATTCTTGCTTCATTAATCAGTCCCTTTCTACTTTGATCTTCAAAGGTCTCTATTGCCTAAGTAAGTAAGTAGGCTATGCATTAACAAATTGCATGGAACATAGTAGCAATTCCAGGAAAGATAGCTGAATTCAATTGTATATGTAAACATATTCAAATATCCTTTCTCCTAAATATTAAAAAAGAAAAGAAAAACCATGCCTTCTTGTTACCACTTCCTGAAGCTTCTGTCTAAAGTATATCCTTTAGTATATTTCCTCAAGTGATTGCAAAAGGATCTACCTTTGCTGCCTCCACTGCAGTATCATCATATGCCTCATAATACAACTTCTTCTCTTCCAAATGCCTCAAACAGCTTAAAAAGTTAGCCAGTGTGGTGGCATGTGCCTACAGTCCCAGCTACTCAGGAGGCCGAGGCAGGAGGATTGCTTTAACCTGGGAGGTGGAGGCTGCAGTGAGCCAAGATTGCACTGCTGCACTCCAGGTTGGGCAACAGATTGAGACCCTATTTCTAAAAGAAATAAGAAGAAGTAGATAAACAAATAAATGACAAAAGTCACTGATGATATCCTAACCCCTGTATCAGGATCTTTTCCAGCCTTTCTACTTTATAAAGCTCCCAGAGTTTGGTCATTTCTGTTTTGCAACTGTACTCATTGCTTTGGTCAATAAATAATATCAAGCATCTATAGTACAGCTCTGAAGATGTACAGAGCAAAGATTAAATCCTGACCTCTAGATAGAAAGGCACAGCATAAATAAACAGTCACTATGATAAGCACTCCCTATCAGAGTCTCATCAAGGTGCTGTGGACCTGGGGGCAGGGGCCACTTTCCCTCTCCTGGGGAAAACAACAAATGGCTTCCCCAAGCAGTGACAATTGTACTAAGATGTGAAGGATGTGGAGGAAAGTGTCAAGTAGAGAAGGGGTCATGGAAGTGATGTATCTCAGGTGAGGGAACAGCATGTAAGGTGCACAGAGGACAAGACTGTGCAGCACTGATGGGGAGCTGTAAGCCCTCAGCTTGGCTGCAGCATGGCATGCATGGGGAGCCTGTATGAAAATGGTGAGAGAGGCGCCAGGGCACCAGTGTCAGACCTCAAGGGGTCCTTGAGTGGCACACCACGGATGTTTGTCTCATATCCTACGGGTAGTAGGGAGATATCAAAGGATTTTAAGTAGGAGGAGACTTAGCCAAGTTTTGTTTTAGAAAAACTGTGTCAAAATAAGGGATGGTTTATAAGGGACCAATGTTAGAGGCAGGAAGGCTGGGGAACGAACGGAGAAAGCTGGAGACATAGAGGACTGACCTGTGGCAGTGGCAATGGAGCTAGGTGGGAAGAAGAATGGAGAAGTGTTTAGGAGAGAGAATTGATGGGACTCAGGGATGAGCAACTGCCTGTGAAGGGGGAAGGAGAGGAACCTTCCAGGATGACTCCTGGGTCTCAGCTGAGTTGGAGTTTCTGGGTCTATGGTGATGTCATGAACTGAGACGACGCTGACAGCAAGGAGAGCCAGTTTGGGAGCCATGATGGATTTAGTGTAGGGAATGGATTCTTCGACTTTCTTACCACTGTACCTTCCTTGCTTTTATTAGAATAATAAAGCATTGGAGCTGGAAGGGACCCAGAAATTAATTCATGCCACCTCTGTATTTGACAGAGACCTGTCTGTCTGTTCGTCTCTCCTTCTCTAGGTTTTTCCTCCAGACAGCCTTCAGAAATAATAATCCCCCAAATTCTATCTTTGGCCTCCTCCTTTTCTCTCTTGGCACTCTCTGGATCTATGACTCTATATACATCTCTAGTGTCTGTGGTGGTAACTGAAAGAATGTTTCTATTTATGAGGTACAGATTTACCTCCAACATATCTTGTACTCATTCATTTCTTTGTACTCCCACAGCACAGCCTTCTTACCCAAACTGTTATAGCTGTCTTCTGACTGTTCTGTTCACTCCAGCTTTCTATAAACTGCACCAGAGATTAGATCCATGCCCTTTTCAAACATCATAGAACGTTCCGGATGTATATGGTTCCTTGTACATAGTAGGCCCTCAAAAAACATTTGACTTTCTTGGAAAAAACTTTTAATGACCCCATTTATATTGCAATTCAAAGATAAGTTAGATGTGGCCTAAAGTTTTGCCATGATTTATGGTGGGTAACATAACAAGCAGGTTTGAAAGTTGCTTTTTCCTGCAGTGTGGTGGGATTAAGTCATCATATCATGGAAACTATTCTAGCCATCTCTCCTCAAACCAAAAAGCATAAGGTATTCATAGATAAAGGCCCTAATGCCAGCATGATCCCTGTCTCCCCCCCAACACACACACACACACACACACACACACACACACACACACACACACACACTTGCTTTTACTGCAATACAGGTATCAGAGCCACAGAGATCTCTAGGGACAGCAAAGGGGCTACACAGGGGCCCCCAGCTCTGGTTGACCATACAGCAGTTGTGATTGCTCTGGAATAACTGTGTCAAAGGCATGACTCTGATGAGGCTATGTGGACTTCTGCCTCCATTCTCATTAGTTCTAGTCAACTGTGTATGCAGGACAATTTCAAGAACAATAACAAGTCATAATTTTAAGTGTCAGGGTATGGAAGTGGTAAGCTCCAGGAAGTTGAAATTTATGGCCCTGAGTTTTGTTTCCAGTCCCAACTTCATTGTACACTAAGATGGCTGTTAGATCTTTAACCTTTTCTGTCCCAGTTCCTTCATCTGTGAAATGGGGATACAATTATTAATTGTAAGATCACATGCAAGTTGACTATTAAATAACAATTAATAATCTTTTAAAATAAAATAGGATACTTGCTTGCTGTCTGACTTTTAGAAATTCAAACGTATGCTATTTCATGCATGTATATTTGGCCTTTTTTCCCTTGCAAATTCACCCCACAGTTTTTTCGGTCTCTTTTGAACGAAGTGATGAATGTTGCTGAGTGCTCGTGGTGTCTGGTCCAATATGAACATCTTTCAGGAAGTAAGTCCTGAGCACCTGTCATTTTGGTAATTGATGATGTTTTCACTTCAAGGTGTGGGCCTGAGACTCACAGGGCTCAATGAGAGAAGTAAATGAATTGATTTGACTATATCTCTTGCCCACCACTTCTGATACCGACAAATGTACTTCAGTCTTATTAAGAGGGGGTAGCTATATGTATGTATATATATGTTTGACAATGGTTAAGCAATGCCTTTATTTTATTTAGCAAATTAAAATGCTTGGTTTGTCATTTTAATTCTTTGTGAAAATTTGGTCTTCACTAAACTTACCATAAATTATAAATGCCTACACCCAAACAAAGAGTAGTCTACAATGCCATCAGAGGTCTGTCTCTTCGCTTCTTAATTTTGATTTCTAGCTCCCATGGCTTCCAGAATAGAAAGCATGCAGGGGCACACCACACATACTGTATTTCAAATGGAGATTTTATGTAAGCTTATTTTTATAGTGATTCCAAGAGTCGCTGCTCTGCTTTTTATCTATGCAAACTGGAAATAAAGTAGGCACCCTGCCAGCTCCCTGACAGCAGGCCAGGCCCGGCCTGCCATGGGTGACTTGCACAATGACATCTAAGGGGTCCAGAAAAGAACCCTGACTAATGGCTTTTGGATTCCTTATGACCTTTGATCCTCAATGACTTAGACCAAAGTAAATGACCTAATTTCAAGAAACTACATCTAGCATGTGAACTCTAATGAGTGAGAGAATTTACCTGCTAAGCAATGATTAATAGGTATGCACTACTTATAATAATTCCTTAGATCTTAGCCACACTGGAGGAAATATACTTTTCAGATACTCACTTTTGAAAGCAAATTCACCTTCCTTCCAGGATGCTGCGAAATTTGAGAGTGACAGTGCCCATGGCAGATAAAGTACACAAGGCAGTGGGAATACAAAAGGATCTCCTGGAGCAGACATAAAGTAGGCAAGAAGTGTGAGGCACAAACGCAGTTCTCCCTCAAACATATGTGTTGTTTCTGCAGTGAGTGATTCTGTTACTTTCTTACTGACAAAGGCTACCTGATCTGCAGAGCCTCTGCAGGAGTCTAGGAGCTAGCATGCCACACACACTGCCCTCACTCCATGATAACTTCCGTCGCTGCATATTGTCACCAGAGCACTGAAGCTATGAAGATGTTTCCTTGTGGTGGAGGTGAACCACAACATTCTGTATCATGGGACCTTCAGGGCTACCCCTCCACCCACCCGAACACACAAGTGTACTGTCAACAAGCCCAGAAGAAACAGTCTGTCTTTCTGCAGAGCCCTGCGTCTATCAGAAGCTTTCAGAGTACTTGAGGGATCCAATGAAAGTGCTTTGATATTCAAAAGGAACTTCTTATATGCTTAAAAAACATTGAAAGTTGGCAGAGAAAAAATAAAACATTTTGTCAAACTAATATGATAAAAACAATGGGGTAAGCTTCAAAATCAGGGGGGCAAAATCAAAGTATAAAAATCAAAGAGAAAAACAATCATCTTTCCATTTAAAATCTGTCATCTTGCTTGTGTACCTTAGATCCTTTCTATGCAAGCTGCAGTCTGTGGACCAGCAGCACCAGCAGCAATAGGAGCTTGCTGAAAATGCAGAATCTCAGGCCCCAACCCTCTCAATCAGAATCTACATTTTTAAAAAGATCCAGATAATTTAAATGCATGCCATAGCTTAAAGAGCACTGTTTTTGTTTGTTTGTTTGTTGTTTTTTGTTTGTTTGTTTTTGAGACAAGGTCTCACTCTGCCGCCCAGGATGGAGTGCAGTGGAGTGATCTTGGCTCACTGCAACCTCCACCACCTGGGCTCAAGCGATTTTCCTGCCTTAGCCTCTTGAGTAGCTGGGACTACAAGCGTGCCCCGCCACACCAGGCTAAGTTTTGTATTTTTGTAGAGACAGGGTTTCACCATGTTGCCCATTGAATTCCTGGTCTTGAATTCCTGGGCTCAAGCAATCTGCCTGTCCTGGTCTCCCAAAGTGCTAGGATTACAGGCATGAACCACTGTGCTCAGCCAAGGAGCACTGTTTTTAAAGAAGCAAAAGAATTTTCAATTCTGTAGTAATTTTCATTTTCTAGTTTTTCAGGTGATAGACTTTCACTTTTTTAAAGTTACTTGTTATACCTCAGTTAAAACTCCAGATGTGTTCATTGTTAAATCACATGATAAATTTGACAAGTTCGGAGAAATGTTGTAAATATTTTCATGAAATATTTGTGTAAAATACTTGTGTGAAAAAAAATTTAAAGGCTTCTATTTAGAACCTAAATAATCACTGTACTTCTTTTCATCATACCAACTTAGCAATGTTTCCAATGATATGACTTATCACAATATCACCTTTTTTTTTAATTTTTTAAATTTTATTTATTTATTCATTTTGAGACAGGGTCCCACTCTGTCGCCCAGGCTGGAGTGCAGTGGTGCAATCTTGGCTCACTGCAGCCTAACACACCTGGGCTCAAGTGATCCTCCCACCTCCTCCCAAGTAGCTGGGACTACAGGCATTAGCCACCACACCTGGCTAATTTTTTAACTTTTTGTAGAGATGGGGTTTCATCATATTGTCCAGGCTGGTCTTGAACTCCGGGGCTTAAGCAGTCTTCCTTCCTCAGCCTCCCAAAGTGCTGGGACTACAGGCAACAGCCACTGCTCCTAGCCACAATATTACCTTTACATACTGATTTTCAAAACCCAGAGTCAGGCTGGACCATGCCTGCTTTGTCATGAGCAAGGAAGGTAGTTGAGCAATTATTGTCTAAGTTCAGACAGCACAAGAAGGTAAACAGGACACTTCAAGCCAGCAAAACTCTTTTTCTCTCCAACAAAAGGCACCTTCTCCTCCAATGACCAGGATAATAACTTTAACCTCATTTTATTTCGATCATAAGAGCAAATTTTGGTCTCTGACATGCAAGTACATTTGGCCTTGCTTCTCTCCTTGCCTTCCTATCTCTGGTAGTCAACAAATCAACATTTTGACTGTATTTAAATTATTTATCATGAAATTGGTAATGAATTTTTAGAAATAGGAACAACGAGTGGAAAACTTAACATTCTGAGGGGCTACCAAATAAGGTCTGCCTTCTCATTTTCAGAGGCTAACACCTACCACTTAGGACATCAGAATAGCTCCACAATTCCACACGCTATGACAGTCAACCTACGTGACATGTTACCCATGTTAGTTCAAATGTAAAATACAGCATTTGTAGCCCTGGAGATTAACTGAATTATAATGCCACATTTGAATGCTACTTTACAGATTTTTTCCAAAGGCTCTGAGCATCTACTCCTTAATTAAATTTAATTTGGTTTCCACATAGAGTGCTGTTGAGCATATTCACTTCAACATACACGTCAGCTCAAAATACATCATCTTCACCTTCCAACTACAGCGTTATGAAGATGTTTCCTTGTGGGAACATTCAAAACTGATTTATGGTGCTATTGCAACAACTAAGCAACTAATCTTCCAGTATAAATGTAACACATAAGAACAACCTAACTGAAACATATAAATTCCACATATACTTAAAAATATTATTGTCTGTAATTTAATATAGGAGAATGTTTCTAAGCCTACAACCTTGCATGCAGAAGCAGTTTTTCAAGCATTAATACTTAAATGGGTCATAGACACCACATCTGTCATTCTGTCCTGAAGTCTATGAGGCAAAACCAAGACTATGCTGGCCTATTGATTTTTCTAGCATTTGCTTTAATTTACTTAACCATTGAGAAATCCATCAGTACATAAACGGCAACTGTCCATTACTGCCTCATTTGCAGACATTCTTTCCCCTCGTTTTTGGTAAATATTTCCCTTAAATTGCTATGTGTTTACAGTGTAAAAACGAATTAGGAAACTGCTCACACCTGTTTCTGTTCAGTAACTGCTGCACTGAGGTATATGTAACATGCTTAAAGATAGAATAAATATCTAGACATTATTACATCTGTGTGCAAAGGGTGGTAAATTAGATCCTAATTACATTAACAGGGATTCTGCCTCCCAGCTTAAATTTTACATGAGCACTCTGCAAAAATCCAAAAGCTCTGCTGTGGTTTCTTTATGAGCTGGTGATTACAGCTACTTCCTATGCGGTCACTAAATATTCTGTTTACAAATAAATGAAGAAGCTTTGAGCCGACTTGCCAGAGTAATAATCTATTTTTTTCTCCCCCTCCCTCTTCCCAACAAACCCTCGCCACATATGCATGGCAACAGTCAGAAGCCCTGGCTTCATCTAATTACTCCATCACATAATTTCACAAATTGCCTTTTCACTGGGGAGCCAAGTGCAAAACATGCTCACAGTGGGATTTCAGGCAGCAGCTTTCATTTACTACTCATTCCTTGTTCAATTAAACACGAAAACACCAGTTGTGTGAAAGAAGTCAAAAAGAATGCCTGCCAATGAGCCAGACACGTATATCTCCTATTTACCATTTCATCAAATACATTGTTGGCAACAGGCATCTCCAACAGGAGGATCCCCTCGCCTGGCCCACTGTTGTCTCAATGGAGCTGCCACAATAGAACCATAACCAAATGGCTAAGAGCAAAGGGGCTTATCTAAAAAGTAAACTTCCTCATCTATCAATAGGAAACATGGGCACGTAGTAACAGATTTGATATTCTCAAGCCCCTCCATTCTTTACCCTTTCTGCTCTATGACATGCCTGCCATGATCCTCACATAAGAACCTGTATTTGTATTAGATAAATGATGCTAAGCCCTTTGATGGTACAAATGGCATGCCATATTTCTGTTCTGGCTAGAAAGAAGGAACCAAATTCCACTAATCTTTAAAATTTCTCCAACGGAAAGATCATTAATCAAGTTCGTACAGTATTAGGCGTTTTCCTTTAAACTATTAATGCCTTGCATGTTTCTGAAACACACAAAGATAAATGCCCACCCATCGCATTACGGATGTGGGTGGAAGAAAAATATTGTACGATGGGTGACATTACTAGAGGGAGTGAACCTGAGGTGACACTCCTGGAAGCTGACATTTTTATATCAACAACTAAACACAGCCACTGGTAATTAAAGGTATTGCTTTGTAGCTCAGGAGCCAGCGGGGTCAGGTACCATTTTACATCACAAGCCAGTCCTTTCTGCATGTAGATTTGCCAGCATTATACGCACAGGGAGAAGGAGACATTAGCAGCAGCTGTCTCTCTGCTTTTACACTGAAAATTCTATTCATACAGACAGGTGGAGTAATTTAAAAGCCAATGTGGTACAATTTCTATGTGACTAATGTCACTGCCTACTAAAATGCCACCATTACCACTGTTTATGGAAACATTACTAAAATTACATTTTATTCATAAGAATTTTAGGATTCTGGTTATTACTAGCTTTAAAATGATCAGACCTCGGTGTCATACCCCAGAGTGGCAGCTTAATTCTCCTGGGTTTAGCAGCCTTCTTTGCTGAGAAACGACAGTTGGATTGTAGTTTCAAGAGTAATCGGGGCTGCATAAGCAGTTTCCTCTATCTCCATAAAGAAAATTAAAGACTTAGCTCTTTGGCGTCCAGGCCACGTGACAGGCAAAAAAAAAAAATCTTCAAGGAGCTAAATTCTGTGTTAGAAGGTTTAGTTAGGATCTGCATGAGGAAAGATTCTTCACCCCCCAAAGCACTATCACAGACATTGTTGGTAACAGACATGGGTAGAGAATTACATATTTCTGTAAGGAAGGAGGAGCAGTTAAATAATGTTGAAAATCTGAAATTCCAAAAACGCAAAAATTATCAAGATTGTCACAAAATATCAACAGATGTAGCTTTCTTTGCCTTTTTTATGGGCAGATATCTGCAGAAAAAGATTCCAGATAGGGAAGGACCATTCTTGACCCTTAGTTACTAATAACCATCAGATTGCATTATGAAGTTTTATGCCAAGCCCTCTGGCTTATATTTTTATTTTTTAAAAATACTAATTAGCTAGCTTGTGGAATGAGATTATAATTATATCTTTGAACTCCCACAACGCGATTTGATTTGCTGTGTGTTTGAGAGGCAGCGTGGTGGAAAGCAGATGGAAATTCAAGTCAGGAGATCCTGGTTCAAGCTCAGCCAGTTCCTCGCTTTTGATCTTGAGAAAAATCATTAACTTCTCTAAATTTCATTTTTGTCATGCTGCCCACCTTACAGGATTGTCTTATGCATCCAGTGTATAGGAAAATATTAAACAATAAAGCACTACATACATACATATTACATTTTTATTTAGCATTACAATAAATTTTTTTCCTTCAGCTGTTGAAAGGATAGAATAATCCAATGTCAAAATAGCCAAGCAATTAATAGCTGAATTTTTAAAAATATAATAAAAGTCACATTATGCAGGCAGGAGAATATTTTATTTTATTTTTTCAACGAATTCATTTTGTGAAGTTCTTCCCCCTTGAAGTTGGGAAACTGGCTTTTCTTTTTTTTTTTGAGACGGAGTCTTTCTCTGTCACCCAGGCTGGAGTGCAGTAGCCCAATCTTGGCTCACTGCAAGCTCCACCTCCCGGGTTCAAGCCATTCTCCTGCCTCAGCCTCCTGAGTAGCTGGGACTATAGGTGCCTACCACCAAGCCCGGCTAATTTTTTTTTTTTTTTATTTTTAGTAGAGACGGGGTTTCACTGGGTTAGCCAGGATGGTCTCGATCTCCTGACCTCAGGATCCGCCCACCTCGGCCTCCCAAAGTGCTGGGATTACAGACATGAGCCACCGCGCCCGGCCAACTGGCTTTTCTTTAAATAATAGATAAGAATTTTTTCTAAACTTCTATAAACTGCAACAGAAATGACCTTGATCTTTCATAGGATGAGTGTTCATGTTGGAAAAAAAAACTATACCTGCTGGTCTCTGGACATCCCAAAAACTTCCCAGGATACCAAATTCTCAGGGTAATCTATGCCACGTGGCAAATGACAGCACTTGGGTACTGCAGGGATGCTAGCAACAAAGGTAATTGTGGAAACAGATAAAAACTGACCATAGATTATTAAGAAATGAAATGCAAAGACAACTACAAGGTTAAATTAATATATACCACCCCATTTTTTAAGAGATCATGCCAACAGGACATTCAAATTCAAGCAGTTACCAAGACCTATTTCAGAATATTTCTAAAAACATAAAACCAAGTCATTTCTGTCTCATTTAAATACCAACTAATTTAGGATGTTGGCCTTCATAACATCAAGTTATTTAAGGTCTACCTTTTCTTTAGATAGAGGAATACATTTCATCTTGGGACCCGTGCTCACTGGCCTATAATTTGCTGAGTGAAGGCGTTTTGCAATGGCAATGAAAAACAAGGACTAAAAAGCCTTTAAAATGTTAGAAGGTTGCGTAGCATAACCCTTTCATCTACTGCTTACTCCTGGAGGCTCTCCACTGGCCCACCAAGAAAGAGATGCCTTATCTGAGTTCTTGAGCGCACTCTCTGGCTCTTGACACACTGAAGTGACTATCAAGTCCACAGAGGCTAGCCAAGTTGCCCACACTCCGGACTCTGCACAAGGAAGGGTGAGCAATACTGAAGTGAAAGTGCTCACACATCAGGAGCAATCATTTTGATGTGGATCTACACAATCCCTATCATTACTGCCTTGGAGCGTCAATCAAATATTTTTTTTGCTACCACATGGCTTTCAATCTATCAAAGGTAAGCTTGGGTCATGGCCCAGAGTGTTTTGTGAGCTGAGCAACAGACCATTGCAACGTGGTCTTGGTTGCAATGTGCAAGTACTCCACTACTTGGTTGCCCTCTGTCATGGACCTACATCAGTACAAGAAGAAAAATTAGAACCTTGGACAAGGCTACTTAGGGGATTAAAAGATGTAAAATGGATCAGTTTTCCCTACTAAAATTCATAGATGGCAGGGGTAGGGACATACATGAGCAGATAGTTATACTCACACTTTAGCATGAGAGACAGATATGATGTGGATGTTACCAGTTCAGTCCTAGGATCCTAAATTCCACGACATGTAGATTTACTACTACTGGCAAAACCACCAACCAACAAAAACAAAACAATCCAAAACACTGGAATCTTTTATAAAATAAATCTATCTGATTTTCCTGTGGTCAAACCTTCATATTTTAAGACAAGGTATCTTCATTAGGAATCTTAAACATGAAGAAAGAAAGAACCAAACTAGCATAAAATTCCTAGGGGTTGGATTGAGTTCGTTAAAAAAATATACACACACTCACATGTATACTTGTGGTACTCCAATTTTAATCGGAAAGATAAATTGAGGTGCATGCTCAGTGACCAAGTTTGATATTTTATCTTTAAAAATATATCATCACTAATTAAAATAAAAAGAAGACATGATATTGATACACACTTTGAAGTACAAATGGCTGGCTAGTGTTCAGTTAGGTGTATCAGTAACAACCTAACAAATTGTAAAAAGTCCATGGGCACTTTTGTTTTACACATAATCCTTTATTTAATCAGCCCAATTAAGAATATATCAGAAAACCAAACTATCGTGTATCTGTATCTTAACCTTGGGAAAAAAAGAAAATTTTTAGAATGATCTGACAAATTGCCAGCCAGACTCTACAAAAGTCTCTTATAGTGAAACAACCATTGGTGAAATGAATAAACCACTTATTTCACTGCACACAAAAATTGCACTCATACTCTGACAGTAACATAGAGTCTCAGACAGAGGTCGTGTGCTCAGAAGGGCTATATACCTGGATAAATAAGCAATTTTAAAGTTGGACTTTTGATTTTGCTTTCGATTGTTTTCCCCCATGCCTCCGCATCAACTGACTGTAATTACCCCAGGTCAGAGGTGCATAACTACAAGTGGGGAAGAAAGGCCCAGGCAAGGGGAAGGAGGTACAGAGAAGGCTGGGAGAAAGCTTTGCCAGGTCACTAATGGCCTCTGGGGCAACAATGTGGAGAACAGGCTGATGCTTCTCCTTTGATCTTCTAATTCACAATGATCATTAGTATTAACTCCGATTCTTCTGGGTGAAGAATTCCAGCTGTAGCCTTTTCAGTTTACCTGACCTAAGAAAATTCATCACCCATCCCATTAGGATTTCAATAACCAGCTAAGAAAAAGAAAAAGGCAGTTGCCCCAGAATCTGGAAACCACCCGCTTCATTATTAAAACAGAGTTTATATGATGTATATCACAGAAAAATTAGAGCATTCCAATATTCCCCTCAAGTAATTAAATAATCGACTCCATTTCCCTCCCCAGACTGATGATTCCCACTTGAGTGAAAAATAGTCAGGGTCCTTATCTAGTCAAAGTTGAAATACGCTATCTACAAAGTAGCAGAGATCTTTTAAAACTCAGATAAAGGATTTTGTCATCCAAGCCTGGGTTAGTTTCAGCAAAGCCTAGCTTTGGTCAGAGGTGAAGGTGAATGGCAGTTACATGTAAGGGAAAAAGTAAAAACTATGAAAATATTCTTCTTATGTATGTAAAAGAGCTAATTTTTGATAGGGTACATGGACATCTGCAAGGAAAAAAAAATCTTCTCGCACCTTCATACTAGTTTTCAAGGCTCTTAATTTAATGATCTGTCTGCAGATAACAGGTAGTGAAGAAGGAATCAAAGTTACCTGCTATCTCCACAAGCCACTTCCCTTGTCTCAGGCACATGACAATTAAGGTAGATTAGGACTAGTTTGAAGAAGAAACTGCCTTTCTCAAATACCCTGATGAACAGTTTGGGCAAGAATGTGAGAATATAGTTGTCCTTCCCCACCACCTTCTCAGGACTCCCCCTAGATCTTTCAGGATAGGTTGTTGAAGGATGCTGGCTGGTAAGGCTTAAAAGGAATATTCACTGTTCAAACTGGCAGAGTACAGAGGTGGGCAATAAAAAGAAATAGAAATGGGAGGAGAGGAGAAAATTTCATCTACTACCTGCCCATGTGCCTACCTGTAAGTCCTTCTATCTTTTCCTAACTTTGATCAACAGAATGGATTATCCAGATACCAATTAGATGTACTTTTTCATTGTAATAATTCATAATGTTTACAGAATAATTCTTCCAAAATGGCAAGGAGGGATACGACACTAAGATGACTCCAACAGATCTTGTTACTAAAAACGAAACCAATGAAACAACATCTGTCTCTTCTAGAGCATTCAATTCCCAATTCAATTCCATTTACTCCGTCCTTAGAGTGGCGGACCCGCAGGGCACTTTTCATCTAATAGTGTTACTATGGAAACGCTATTCTCAACCTGGAAGATTCTACAACCTCTCGCATTGGCTTTATCCACAATGAGAGGGAAGTCTTATAAATCAGAAATCAAGACATAAATTTGGCCGCACACACACACACACACACACACACACAAATTTTCCAGGCTAGAAGTGCACACATACACAAAAAAGAAAGAAAGAAAGAAGAAAGAAAATGAAACAAAAACACTTGGCACATAAGTGTGTCTAACTTAGAAGCAAAGTTTGTCCCTGTAGTAAGGCTTAACCAAATGGGATCCTCAGGATGGTGAATGGATGGGGAGTAGGAGAGAGTGTGAATGAAAATCAGTTCACCATCAGAATCACCATTCCGACTGGTCAATGCTGGATATTGACCCGTGAATGCTTGCTTCACCTGAATCTGTAGGTATGCTTTCTACCTCCCTCCCTTATCCCTAACTTTCAGTATTCCTGGAAGCACGGGAGCTCCATGCAGGAAAATATAGTCACTGCATATTTTAAATAAGAACCACATTAAGCGCTTTTCTATTTAGATTATACTTTAGACTGCAATATGATAGGATAGGAAAACAAAAAAGAAAAGAGACCCTTGATTTTTACCTTAAACGTGGCATGCATTCTTTTTCTTCATTTTCACTAAGCCTTTGGACACATATCTTTGTAATACTATGCAGCAAAAGAACTGATAACATGCAAAACACATCCAGCTTAAGCACTATGATGTCACAGGCTATGTTTACAGTTGGAATAATGCCTTCAAGAAGGAAAAAGAAACCTTGATATGACATATGCCCCTGAACTGATTGTGAATACACAGTGACTCATATGCAAATATTAAGCACGTTTTAATTGTTTGCAATAATTCATCTTCAGGCAAATGTAAGAATTCCTATTAATAAATGCCTTTATTTTCTTTCTAATTCTCTCTTATTATTTAAATCATGTCAGTCATTCCTTTCAATTCCAGGGAATAGTTTCTTTTAAGAGACCCTCTCTACTTATCGACTCTGCCAAATGCTCAACTAAGTATAAGCTGGGAATTTACCTCACTGAAATTTCTTCTTACCCCATAATCACCAAAGTTTAAAACTCGTTTCCTTTTTCTTTTATTATTTTCATTATATACAAGTATGTCCAGTTTAGCTTGCTAGAGACTGTGAGCCCAAGAGTGAGGCTTTAGTTCTCTCTTTGGAGTAGTAAAATGTGCTACTGATTAAGTCTACCTGTGGATAACTACAGACTGCCACATTTTTCTTCTCATGTAGCTGGGGTACAAATTCAGAAAGTTGGTTTTTGTTTTGTTTTGGTTTTTAATTCAGGGCCTATTCTACTCTTCTAACACAGAAATGCTTTAAAGCCTTTTCAAGGGCAGATTTTTTCACTGAATAAACCCAGTGAAAGGATTGATCCATTTATTTTAAAAAGAAATAGCAATTTGCTTTTAAAAGGTGTGAGAGGTTTTCGAATATGTCTTTTGACATTTAAAAAAAGACTAGTTTACAGTTTACTAATAAATTGGTATTGCTATTGTTTTAATTAGCCAGAATTTCAATGGCTTTTTTACATCTAGCAAGAATTCAGAAAGGATTTCCTAGATAAGTTGCATTAATCACATAGCAATGACGTGACCATTTAAAATTTGTACAGTCTTCCTAATGAATTGTGCATCCCTGAAGACCTCCCAGAACTTGAAATAAAGTCACTAAAGAATTAGTACTGAGATGTCAGTGGTTACTTACATTTAGACAAACAACAACAAAACTCTCTTTAGATTCTATAGGTTTTTAAAATAGAATTTATTAAAATTAGCTCCTTACTATAAATATTACCTAAGCAGTCCATGCATTCCTTCAAGAAGGATTACAAAACAAGGGTAACGGGTGTTCCTTATAGCTGGAGGTCTATTTGCTCTTGCAATTAGAGAAGTGGGAAGGAATCTTTTTCATTGGGGGAAGGAAAAGATGAAAAATTTAAACATATCTCTTAACTTTGCTCTTCAGATGATGTTATAAGAACAATTAGCTATCTACAGACCATTATCATTAATCAATATTTCTGTATGAGCAGATGGCATTGGAGTGGGTAATGGAGGTAGAAATATCCAATGGAAACCACAAGGTAACACCTATAAACATTCACAGAAAGCTGGGGAAACATGGATGAATGGGCTTCCCCTTCCAGGGCAGTGGCACAGGCCAGCAAAGACCTCAAAACTGAAGACTATTATTTAGGTCTCAAGAAATCAGGCAGTTCATGAATAATTTCGATTACAATTGCCCCAGTAACAAACACATAGTCCATATAAGCAATGCAATGCATGTAAAATCATGCGGGCTGTTAGAAAGTTTATTTGGGTTTTTTGTTTGTTTGTTTGTTTCAAGAAGATAATGTAGCTCTATGCAAGGGTCTTCACAAGGGTACAACCTAGAAAAACAGGAAAACTAGTGGCTGCATAAAATAGCTTGCTTCTCTCTCTCCTGATTCTGTCTGAACCAATATTTGATTATATTTTATTCAGGGGCACCTCAGCTTCAAGTAAAGCCAAAACTCCTTTGCAGATTGAGATGGGGGCTGAAGAAATCTATTCATTGTTTCTGTTAGTCTATAGGAAATAGAAATTATTTGATTGTGACTTCAGGGCCAACCTGATTTTATCCACCACACCAACTCATTCCACACAGCGAGTTAGCTGGTTATTTCTGGAGATAAAATATTAGCATCATTGCATCAGCATCATTGTACCACACCTTTGACCAATTGCCACTTCTTATCTAAATGTCATATCATTCGTTTTTCATGATATGCCCTCAAGACCTGAGTCCTCTTTCCCCTAGTTCATTAGTGATTGATAATCCTCAGTGGGGAATTTGCAGGAGTCAGATATTGAAATATCTACACACATGCAACAGGTGTCAGATAAGTAGTGGTGCCTGAATCAGATTCTAGGTAAACCTAATATGATGTTAAAATCAAAACAGCTCAAATAATCTAAATCTCCAACTAATTTCCAGCATAGCCAAGCCCTGAAGTTTACTCAAAAACTGTAGTGTAGTCTAGATACTGTTTGGAATTATTATGGGAAGAAGAGAAGGGAGGAAACTTTTTTTTTTTTTTAGCTATTCCTGCTGCTCTCAGCTTTTATCTTATTCACTGATGCTGGAAAATCTGGATTAATTTATACCCTTGAGTATTATTAGAGGCACAGCCTCTATCCAGAGGAGCAGAACTAACATGACCTGCAGACATCCCCTGAGTTTGTATCTCTGTACCCGTAAAACTCACTGAGGAACATGGCTTTGAATGTGGGCCCAGGTATGAAGGTAAACAGGCTCTGCAAGTGTTTATGACAATGCAAGATTAACTTTAATATTTAAGGAAAAATTGACTTTAGGAAAAGCAAGCTAAGACAAAAATAGTAACACAAAATATTTTCTCCTGATATTAAAAAACAACCCTCAAGAGTTTTTAACATTTATCCATCTATGTAACTTTGCTACAACCTGTCTAAATTCATCCTTTGTCTCTAATATTGAAATTCCTCTGGTCAACAATTTTGTTGATTTTTAAAATATTATTTTATCCACAAATCTTCATTGTATCTTCTTCTTTAAATTGGTATGCACTTACAAAAATATCCACCAAAATATTATTATTATAAATATTTTGAACATGAAATTCATTCAGAACAATAACCAAACAAAACAAATCCCCCAGTGGCATAAAGCCCCAAATCTCCAGTTTCTCACATCTCCAGGAGAATTCCTGCAGTGAAAACAGCAATACTGGCACAGACAATATAAACTGTTACTCTGCTTGAAAAGTCACAAGGGACTACACAGGAAGAGCTGACTCTATATTGCTGTTTTCCTTTACAGTTCTAAATACAGGGACAACTTTCACTGTGGAGCTCTGACTTACATGAATGTTTTGTAATGGAAGCCAGTGCATTCAAACCACTTAAAAGCAAATTATGTGATCATCTTGCCATTGCAACATGATTTAAATTTTTGTGGACCATTTGTTGTAAAGATCCACTAAAGCATCAGAAGATATTAAGTCTCTCTCTAGGGTTTGTCTAACTTTCTTCTTAGTAGGAGATGGTTCTGAGCACTTAAGGGTCACACTTAGAAAAGCAACATCATTAAAACACATACTTAAAATCACAAGTGCACATGAACACCTAAATCTTTTAACTTATGAAAGTTAACAAAATCGCAATCGTGAATTTTAAATAAAATTTCTCATTTGGGGTATCTATCTAAGAAATAAGTGCTAATACTTTTGCAAAAACTGTGGGAACACAGTTATTTATTAAATATTTCAAGTCCAGAGGGATCACTTTTTTCTCATTTTTTTGTATAAAAACTGGTTCATTGTCCATATTTAGTTTATATATGTCATTTAGAATCCACTTACTGTTAGATGCTGGAACAGCCACGCCCTCATGATATTTGTGGCTACTTTGGGAAAGATGCCACGCTTTTTGTGACGCTTTTTGTCCTTATCAGGGTCATCATCGTCACCTGTGCTGGGGGAAGCTACACTGTTGTCCAAGCCATCACCTGCAAACATAGCGAATCAAATTTTGACTGATGCTACCTTGACATGCTTTATTCAAATAGAATGCCTTTGGATATAAACAAAACCAAAAGAGCAAATTTAAATGATTAATAGTTTCTTTGGTACTGTTTTTTTGTTGTGTTTTGTTTTCCAAGACAGAGAAAGAACAAGGCCTAGGCTCAAGAGCAGTCAGGTCTAAAGAACTTCTTCCAAAGAACATTGCCAAAAGTCAAAGGGAATGGAGGGAAATATCCAATCCCCTTGTGGCTTTGTTGCTATGGTAATTATTCCAATATGTATAGCTGAGACAGGTTAAGTGTAACTCCTACCGGGGAGTTAAACATGGTGGCAGTCATTAGCTGTGGCGCTATGGCTGCCTGGGCATTCAAATCCCACAGTCATTGACATTGACTTGTGAGAAGATTCATTTAAGATATCAACTATTTCCACAAGTGATCTATCTTAAGACTAGTTAAACTAGGATGGGGAAATGTAGGTAATCCATCATATAAGCAGTTTGACATAGGAATGCTTCAAATAAAATATAATTTTTCTTGTAATAGAGAGAAAGCATCAAGTTTAGTAAAGGAAAAACCCCTGACATAGTTTCTTAATTAAAAAACAATTACTGTGTAAATCAAATAAGGTAATGCTAAATTAATAGTAAATTAGAATTGTATTACACTAATAATTCAGGCAGTTTCTAAAATTCATGCTAGGTAAACCTAGCATTTTTCACACTGAAAAATCACCTGCTAACATATTCCTCTATATTGGATCCTATTTTTCTATTGATTTTTATTATAACATTTACACTCTTTATTCTAGAAAATATTTTGGCTCTGTGACATAATGAAATTTAAAAAGTTAGTATTTCTTTTTTAAAATGCCATGTTTAATAAGAAAAAATAAAAATTTAACCCATATAACTGTTCAAAATAAGTTACAAGGTACAAATGGAAAGTAGGTATTTTTTGCCTTGGCATCAAAGTCAAAAAGGAAAACAACAAAGGACAAGACCCATTACACTAAAAAGTAGCTTAGCTCGGTCAACCGTTCTCTTAGAAACCGACAGGTTGATCTGGGCCCAAACGGAAGAGCTATAGCAGCCAGGCTTAGAAATGAGGTAAAAAAAAAATACACCCAAGAGCACATTCACTGGGTTAAATAAGCCACTGGAGAGCCAACTACACGACCCAAAGAACCTGAAACTTTGGTAAGACAAGTTTCCTGCACATAGCCTCAGGTTCATTTCCATGGCTTCATGAATTTCTGTATTTCTCATTTCTGTTATTAGGTCCTACATAAAAAAATAATTCTCTAGTTCAATTTCAGTTATTTCTGTCTAATCTATAGTAGGTATGTTGCAACTAATCAACTGTTTTTAACAGCTCCCTCAGCAGACCCATCTCTCTCCTGTGAAAAAAAGAAAAGAAAAGCATTCCTCAATTTTTTTTTTTCAATTGCCTTAACTTGTACTGAGATGAAGTTTAGAAAGTTTGTTGGGTGAGGAACAAACTAATTCCAACATTTCTACTATTATTACAGAATATGCTATAAATGCAAAACTTTTGCAAAACTTTTCTGATTCTAAACTTTTATTCATTAAAAATCTGTAATTTTATTATATTTAAAATCTATCTGTTTCATTAAAAGTTTAACAGAAACATATCTTGTGTTCACTTGGAAAAGATCATGAAAACCCACCACTCCAAAGCCATTGTTGTATCAGTGAAGAAAATGCTATGTTCTCTGACTGGGCCAAGGTCATGTACCCTGGCATGGAACTACTGGGGTCTGTGCTGTTCCAGACCCCTACATCTGTAAATCAGCACTCCTTCCACCCAACCAAACTCTTTATTTGCATAACCAAGTATTTTATGAGAAGTCCCCTTGGATTTGCCTAATAAATTCTTTGAAAGTCCAGTATTTAAACAGCCTTTTTATTCAGAGAAGCAGTTTACCATATAAAATAACAATTCATTAAAGAAACATGAGAAAAGAAAACAACTCAACAGCATTTAAATTTTCAATGGGCTAATCCACTTTCAATATGCAAAAGGTAACCAAGGAAAAGACACATACGACCTGATCATTGATTAAAAATGAAAAGCTTATAACCTTACAATACTGTTTTCACCACCTCCCCATGATTATTTTCCACCTTTAAAAAAAATAGCCTTTTTATCCACCTCAAACCCCTTCAGATTAATTTAGCAAGCAATGCATAGTGCCTGCCTAGAAGAGAATTCATTGATAATTTATGGAAATATCTACTATAATCCAGCAGAGATGACTTTTTTCCAGCTTTGTGCATCAATAGATAATCAAGGCCTTAAAGCAACCTTAGCTTCCCATTACCTCAGGCAAAAGAATTCCTGAAAGCGTGCCTTGAGGGCACCTGAATTATATACTCCATTAGGAGAGGAAGGCTTTCTGCATTCCATGTGTAACACTCACCAGAACCTTTCCTGTTTATTTCTGCTGTATGAAAGCAGAAGCATTAGGAACAGAATTTTTTAAGTGAAGACTTATGTAGATACAATGGAGAAACCTTTCAAGCAGGAGCCAGATCACCCCCTTCAGTCCCTGGCAGTGACCTCTCCTGAATAAAAGGTTTCTATTACATCATTAGCTCAAGCCAAAAACAGCCTTGGCTTAATGCACAGTTTGTTCTTCCTACTGTTTTTAGGCAAATACAGCTACTTTACTCCCATCTGGGAGGGAAATTACACTGCTGGGTTGTAATCTAAGACAAGATTTTCATTGGAAGCAAATGCTTTCAATCCAGTGTAAATACTGGTGCATGTTCAGAAAAGCCTAAAACAATAAACCCTGCTCCTTTCCGACACAAGTTAGGGAAATGGAGAAGATGGGGAAGGAGAAGAGCATAATAAAACAGACTATTCTAAAAGCAAACACTTTCATAGATTTTAATAAATTGTTTAACCTCTTCCACTTTCTAAAATTGAAAATTGATCTGGAAATGTCTCAACCTCAGAGGAAAGTCTAAATGGTCAATTGTACCTTTAGCATTTCCATTCACTCCGCAATTTGATATAGTCACCTCAATGTGGTCTCTCGAGAATTTCTTTCCTTTTTTACTTTTGAGATCACTAAACAAACTTGGAGAACCGCCGGCCGACCACACGGCAGCAGGCAGCAGCTCTGAACCACATTTGTAAAATGTCAGCAGTGACTTCATTCCTGGAGCTGACTTCTCCTGCCGCCAAATGAAGGCAAACTGAAAAGGTGGAAATAATCATAAAAATGATGCTAGTCCATAAACAAGCTTACAGCCTCATTAGGATAGCAGTAGGCTCCAGTGGGTGATTTATGCTCGTTTTGCTGATGCTATGAGGAAATGCCATAGGGCGACTTTAGCCAACCGCTAATGGTTTCTGACAGCTTCTTAGCAACTAGTGCAAGCAACGTTGTGGCGTTTGCTAGTGACAGAAACTGAAAATGTCATATTATCTGCCCATGTGTCATGAAGTCCGTGTGGCAATTAACTAGCAGGCCAGTGACTGAGGGGCCAGAGGCTCCTGAAAATGGCCTTTGGCTATGCAGAGGCAGCGGCCGGGGCTGCGCACACACAGGCCGCACATATGCAACATTCTAATGCAGAAATCCTCTCCCTGCAACTTCCTGGGCTCTGATGAGACCGGGCCACTCCAGTCTCTTTTTTCCCCCTCATTGAAGTGAAACTCTGGGTTCCTCTCTCTCTAGGCACAGGCTCGGGCATTATAAGACTCTAAAGCAATCTGCTTTGATACGATTATCGGAATGGCTCCTTAATTGGCAATACCTGGTTCTGTGCCTCTTGGATGCTGGACTCAAAGGTGCTAGCTACAGTACTTTGCTACTCTCTCACAAATTAGTCTAAAAGGATTTAAGATCACTGGAGCAGACTCATTGCCTGTCAGATTTCAAGGAGCAGAGGAACTCTGCACAGCAACAAGACACTATTTAAAAAAACACCAGGTTTCTAACGAGCAGGGGGAGAATCTTGGCCACACTTTTCAGTTTCCGAGCTATCAAAACCATGCACTATATGTCAAACTGTCAAACCTTTCAGCGTGGGCCATTTGCCCTTTCAAATAATATTTAAGAATTGTTTTTACAAAATTTTATAGGCCATGGTCTAGTGAAAGAGGCCAACCAACAAAGAAAGGAATTTGTACTACAATTCGTCTACGGACAATTTCTTGTGAGACCTGGGCCTGTCCCTACGGAGCAAGGCAGGTGACCTGTGGCAGCTCCCAGGCTGTCAGAGAGCTCAGATTTCAAACACTCTCAACTCAAACATCCCGAGTCGCCTATTTAAGCATGCCCAGGCATTTAGACTGTGCTATCTCGTGCCTTTCAAGGCAGGATAAAGCGGCATTTATCGTATTCAGGCCATTCAATGGGTCAGACTGACCGTGTCAGCAGGGGCTCCTCTCCGGCAGGTCAAAGCCTTGCTTCCATTTTTTTTCTCTCCCTACTAACTCCTGTCCTCTCAGGACTGCTGTTCCCCTAAACCTACTCAGAGTGAAGCAACAACAAAACCCAAAACAGCTCCTAAGATTTACATCACAACTGATCAGAACTTCCTGTGTCAGTGGGCCATCAGGTAAAAATAAAATAGGTTTTCTATTAGAGGGCTCTTTATGTCATAGAAGCAAAACTCCTAATTAAGGAGATGAACTTTCAACTGCCAGGGCAAATGAACGTGTAAGGTTGTGGACCCCCTTGTTTTTCTAGAAGCCAAGCTGGAAGCCACAGTGACTTCAAGATCATTTTCATTTACAATTTTGTATTGAGACTCCACAGTTTTGGGCCATATCCTCTCTTTAAACTTTACTTTTCTCCTCTTCCAGTGTTTAGGAACAGTGTTTAATCCCAAAACGTACCTAGACTCAAAAATCAGGCCATTTATAGTTGTATCTCTTGATACTGCATAAATTCGATTGTGCCTAAAAAGTTTTCCAAATGGTCCATTCAAAAGTATGCTTATGAATGTATAGTTCCTGTTGTAAGATGGCTACATTTTCATGCAAATAGGATATTGTTGCATGATCTTATTGTCAGCAAAAAGAAAGCCCAACATGAAGGTTTCTTTTTTCTCTTGCATGTTTCTCCCATAGAGTATCTACATGAGGGAAAATGGCATCTCACCCCTTGAAAAGTGTGTAGAACATCCTGCCTTGCTAGTGGCTGCTGACACAAACACCCCATCAATATGGAAAGGCTGGGTTTCCTTTACAGTGGCCTCTCTGGGTGTGCCTGATGTCCAGGGTTATTAGGAAAAATGTAACAACTACCCCAAACCTATTTCTCCAGGTCATGGTTAAGTCTAGTTAGCCAGAATTCAGGTGGGATAATGTTTCTATGGTATGTTAAGAGGATATATGGCAAGAATTATAGACATCCCTTCTTCAGGAACCAGCTGGAATACTTCAGAGGTCTTAAGGAGATGTTTTATCTTCATTTAGAATATATAATAGCTGCCAGAATGATTTTTCTAAAGCATATATCTGATCATATCACCCTGGTACTTAAAATCCTTTGGTGGCTACCCTTTGCCTTCAGAATAAAGGTTATACTTCTTAGCCTGGCGTGGAAGGCCTTTCACGATCTCTCTCCTGGGTGTTTTTCCAGCCTAGTATTTGCCAAGTCCCCATACGCACTGGCACTCACAGCTCCACCTCCGGTCCTGAGCAGACTTGAAGTTCTCATGGCACCATGCACTGCTCTCTCTACCTCTTTGCATTTCCTTATCCTAGTCCCATTCCTTGCAGCAGTCTTCGCTTGCTTCCCCCAACAACATGACAAACTTCCTGGTGACCTTTACAGCTCAGCTCAATGGCCATCTCCTCTAAGAGGTATTTGCTGGACTGTAGCTGATTTAGTGACACACCAATCCCACCCACCAACCAGGTGATTTTTCTTTTACTGGCATTCCTCCATCCTAACACTCTGCTAAAACTGTTTATTTCCATATCTCTTTCCCTGATTTGACTACAGGGTCTGAGAAGGCAGGAACCAAGTCATGCACCTCTCTGCTCTCAAATCCTGGCGTTACTCCAGTGTACAGTGTACAAACTTGTTCATCGCTTATAAAATGAATAAATGAATGTATCTTTTTCGCTGTAGGAAGAAAACCATAGTTTGCATTTTCATCCCTTACATTTCTTTTTGAGACATATCTAAATTAAACTCTTGAAAAATATTCACCAATGAAAATCAATAAAAAACTATAAGAAAACATGGAAGAAATACATTTCTCAGAGCTGGGATATTTCTTCTAAACCTTTAAGATCATCTTGCACAAAAGATGGACTAAGAGTTAAGGTATCAGAATTCTTTATGATGTCTACCATAGCCTTTCAGAAATATATCACTACTTTCTGCAATTATAATTTAAAATCATTTACTTAACTAAAATTTCTTGCTGTTTGTGCATCTTTTCTGAGCAAAGGTTGTTTCTTTCTGCATTTTTTCCCAGTGAATTAATTAATTATATTCCCCCCTTTGCACATTTCCCAGGTTTACCATAGCTGAGAAACTCAGTTGTTTCTAAGCAGACAATTTGATCCTCAGCTCAAACTTCAGGCCGGCATTTTAAACATCAAATATCTGATGCTAAATATATAAAACTCTAGAACTCTGGCTTTCCTTGATTTTTTTTCAAGTAATCGTATCAGCTTTTCCCTGAAGACATAATACAGCCCCTTAAGTCTTTTCTTTTTTCCTTTTTTAAGAGACAGTGTTTCACTCTGTTACCCATACTGTACTGTAGTGGCATGATCATAGTTCACTGTAACCTCAAACTCCTGGGCTCAAGGGATCTTCAGGCCTCAGCCTCTAGAGTAGCTAGGACTACAGGTGCATGGCACCACACCAGCTAATTTTTGGTAGAGACAGGGGTCTCACTATGTTTCCCAGGCTGGTCTCAAACTCCTGGCCTCAAGCAACCTCCTGCCTCAGCCTTCCAAGTGCTTGGATTATCTGTCTTAGGCCCTGTGTCTGGCCAACCCCTTAGGTCTTATTACACATTTTCAAGAGAAACACACTATACTTCATATGTATATGAAGTATACAACTCTGCAGCCAATATACAAATAGGTAATGATCCAAGTTTATCTTTAATTAGGATTCTGTTAACTCCTTGGCCTCACTTTTGTATCTTCTCTTATCCATAGATATTTAAGGCTTCCTTGTTCTTAGCGCAAAGTGATTCCCAGTTAATCAAAGGAAAACAACAAAAGAAGGCATATTCTCATATATTTTACCACCCACAGCTTTCCTGGAAAATTTGAAGCGGTTCCTTTGGAAACCAAAATAAAGAGTTAGACGTGGGAACCTACTGTGGCAGAGCTAAGTTCTAGAAGAGGCTTAACAAGTGCCCTGTGGTACAGACATAGCAGTGGCAATGACGGAAAAGATGGAGCTAAGAATGGTGGGGCTGTAGATTAAGAATACACAAACTTTAAATAAACGTATTATTGGCACTTATAACAAGAAATGGCTCAATAAGCTTCCTAAAGTTGGCTCCACAGAGATCTGCCATCAAGCTTTTCCTTTCTAGCAGAATTTAGGTTTCTTAAATGGTGACAAGAAATTGTTAATAGGCCGGGCACAGTGGCTATTAACTATAATCCCAGCACTTTGGGAGACCGAGGCGGGTGGATCACCTGATGTCAGGAGTTCAAGAGCAGCCTGCCCAACATAGTGAAAGCCCATCTCCACTAAAAAAATACAAAAATTGGCCAGGCGCAGTGATGCACACCTGTAATCCCAGCTACTCGGGAGGCTGAGGCAGGAGAATCGCTTGAACCCAGGAGGCGGAGGCTGCAGTGAGCTGAGGTCGCGTCACTGCACTCTAGCCTGGGTGACAGAGCAAGACTCCATCTCAAAAAAAAGAAAGAAATTGTTAATTGTTAACCAGTGTGGAATGAGCTCACAGCCTTTTTCTGCCCTTTAGTGGACTCCTGACATCACAGAAACCTAAAGGAAGACATGGAGAGTCAGAGCCTGGAGAAAATACTTCTTCCTATGAATTTACTGCTCCCCCTCCTCCGCTAAAGGGTAAAATGTAGCATTTAAAAATATGCCTCATAGGGCTGGGCGCGGTGGCTCACACTTGTAATCCCAGCTCTTTGGGAGGCCGAGGCAGGTGGATCATGAGGTCAGGAGATCGAGACCATCCTGGCTAACAAGGTGAAACACCGTCTCTACCAAAAATACAAAAAAATTAGCCAGGCATGGTGGCAGGTGAGTGTAGTCCCAGCTACTTGGGAGGATGAGGCAGGAGAATGGCGCGAACCCGGGAGGCAGAGCTTGCAGTGAGCCAAGATCGCGCCATTGCACTCCAGCCTGGGCGACAGAGCTAGACCCCGTCTCAAAAAAAAAAAAAAAAAAAAAAAAAATGCCCCATATATGTAACCATCTTTTGCATAAAGTCATTCTTGTTATTCGTTCATTCATTTAACAACCTATTGATGTCCCAAACACTAGGCCAACACTTGGAGACATAAATGGTGAACAAAATCAGCAGTTTCTGTTTCTATCAAGCCTTCCAGTTAGAAGGCACTAAAGTTAAACAAAATAATTACAGTAATAAATGTACAACTGCAAACTGAAGCTCTTAATTGGAAAAAAGTACACATCTATGAGTGTGTGAAACAAGAAGACTTCACTTAGGCTGGAGTGATCTTGAGCCAAAATCTAAAGGGCGGAGAAAAGTCAACTACGTGTAGTGGGCAGCCTAAAAGGGCAGAGGCGAGCATTCCAGGCCAAAGGAACAGCATATACCAAGGCCTTGTGTGGCTGGAGGAACTGGAACCTGGGAAAGCAAAACAAGATGAGGCTGGAGAGGTAAGAGGAGCAGGTTGTGGGTGTTCATCCCTAGGGTTCTGAGAGTCATGACCTATTAGTGAGTCATAAGTATCTATGGGGTCATGAGTGTCCTCTCCATTGCGTGCCCTAATATGATGTAAATTTTGTCAAACAATGCCTCATTTCCCAGTCTCTTTCTAGTTCAACCTAACAAATCACCTGATTAAATCATGAAGATTAAAGAATGGGGGACAATGGAAAAGCAATGAGTCCATTCAGGTAGACCCCAATTTAGGCACAGATTACATTCTGACATGAATTGATAAGTTGTCCTCTTGGACATTTCAAATGTATTTTTGCATAGAAGCCAGTTGTGGATGCTGTCAGGTCCCAAAGCCAGCTCAGCAAAGTAAAACTAATTATTAAGTGAATAAAGCTCCAACTGATGTCTGAGCCCTGGGTGCAGGAAGAAAGTATAAGAATAAGGGGGAAGAAGAGTTTCTTCTCATATTCCTGTGCACAGAGCCAGTCTAGAAAAATGTTAAACTATGTGCAATTGCCCTGAGCACCTCCCTTTCTGTATCTTTTTTCCACTGCATAGTATCCCTCCCCTAGAGTTTCCACATGCTCCAGTGCTTTGAAGAGGCTCTTGCCCTCCCACTGTGGTTACTTCACCTGGACCCATTCTTCTCCTGCTCTGAACTGACCCTCTTCGTCTCCCAACAATCAAAATGTCCATCGTTTCAGGCTTGTTGATATAAGCCAGACTTCAGGTAAAAGCAATCTCAAAGAACTAATTTGGATGGGGGTGAAATGACTGATGGCCTCCTCACCTTCCCAGAAATGTTGGCATCTTTGAAAGATCTGTTATTGCAAATGAGTGAATCTTTAAATGGCAGAATTTTAGGTAAAGTAATAAGTAAAGGTTTTTAAAACATGCAGCTCCTATTGGGATTTGTTTTTTTAATCAACAGATGCCATTCTTATAAAAGAGTTCATGGTCAGTTTCCAAACTGATCATTATATTCTGCCTCCCCTCTATTCCCCTCTGTTTCCTCACAATCCCTGCCATTTACCCCTGCCTATATTTGGGAAGCCATGTGTTTCTGAACACGTCAAGTTTTTCCACAGGAATTGCAGTGACAGTAAATGAGTTCTGTGGATGTAACACAATGAGATACAAGTAAGAGATCTAGGCTGTATGTATATAAACATCTGTATGTATATCTAGGTCATTCACAATTTGAGTATTTATAAGTCAGGGATTTCCACCCTGTTGAAATAAATGTGGAATAACTTCTTTACTATAAATAATTCATTCAATTAAGCTTCTATCACTTCACTTTCAACATAAATAATGTATAAAACATAACTGGGTGAAAAACATGGAAAGAAATCAAATAACTGAGACCCAGAATGAAAATATTTACTAGGTTTTCATAGAATGAAAAAAAAAAATTGACAAAATGTGAATGTGCATTGGATGGGATTAAAGGAAGATAGCAGACTTTCTACATTCATAAAAATTAAGAATTGTCCGTTGGAGTTTGTCAGTGTTCAGATTTATAGTTTACTTAAGATTTATTTTATGTAAGTGTTCATAGAAGTAAAGTACCATGGACACATACAACATACACCAGGAAATTGGATAAATTTTCCAAGTTTTTTTTTTTTTCTGAATCATTTTACTTTGTTCTTTTGAGATAGGAATACCTTTTCCTAGTAATTCAATATTACTTTTTGACTTGAATTCCCCTCAGGGGAACAACAGCAAATTGGTTGCCTACACACAGAGGACAAACAGCAATGATGAATAGGAAAGAAAAAAAAAACACAGATTTTACTCATTTTTCATCTATTCAGCATTTTTTTTTTACAACTAAATGCCCTGAAAAAATCCCTGCAAAAACAGCATAACTTTTTAATGGAGTCTTAGAAACTTCAGGATGTGAGTACACTGCAAAATATACTGAAATCTATACATTTACATTATTGGTAAAATAAAATGGAAATCCCCCAATCTTTTTCTCAGGAAATAAAGAGTATTTTCTTTATTTTTATATTTGCACTTTCAAGTGCAAAGGTAAAACAGTACAAAAGTCATAAACTTTTATTTTGAATCAACAGCTTAGAAAGAATTTTCAGAACTAGTACCTTGCCTATTTTTTAAAATTATTTTAATAATGCTAGTTCATTACTCATAATATGCTCCCCAAAATACATATAAATGCTCTATTAATGAATGGTCATAAACTCCTACATAACCACAAAAATAGATCATTTTAGGAAAAAAAGTACCCCATATAGGATCTCACAGACAGGCAGACACACATACACACACATATGCTCACACAAACACAAATACACACACAAACACACAAAGACAACATTTATTTTTGTGATATCTGCAAAAGCTTGCTATGTAATTTAGTTTTAAACTTCTATATTACTCTGCATATGTATTTGCTATGCATGTATATATGTGTGTATATACAAACACTTTTACACAACAAGATAGCATTTATTTATCTGAGGTCACTTTTTCAACAAACTCAATTAAATAAAATACACTTGAAAAGCAGGATTTGAAAAATAAAAAAGCTGGCCGGGCACGGTGGCTCATGCCTGTAATCCCAGCACTTTTGGAGGCTGAGGCGAGCAGATCACTTGAGGTCAGGAGTTCTAGACCAGCCTGGCCAAGATGGTGAAACTCTGCCTCTACTAAAAATACAAAACTTAGCTGGACGTGGTGATGCATGCCTGTAATCCCAGCTACTCGGGAGGCTGAGGCAGGAGAATCCCTTGAACCTGAGAGGCGGAGCTTGCAGCAAGTGGAGATCGAGCCACTGCACTCCAGCCTGGGTAACAGAGCGAGACTCCATCTCAATAAAAAATAAATAAATAAATAAAAATTTAAAAAGCTTTCTGACATCCAGATTAGAAGGAGTGCTTTTCAACATGGGCTACATTTAAATCATGTGGTAGCTTTTACAAATCCTGATGCCTACACTGCACTCAAGACCAATTAAATCAGTTTGGGAGGTGGGGTAAGATTTCAGCATTAGTGACTGTTAAAGCTCCAAGTTGATTATAACATACAGCCAAGCTTAAGAACCAATAGATTACAATCATAGATTATATGTGGTAAAGCTCGTATACTTTCTACAGAGAAATGATCATAAGACCCTCAATTGAAGAACAGTTACATTTAATTTAGATGCAGTTCTCAAGTTTGCTCATCTAGCTTCTGGCCTCATAGTTTGTAGGCTGAGAGCTTTGTAAAAGTATAAGATGATAAAGAGGCAAAAGACAAGAACCTAAAAGGCATTGCACACAAGGCCCTTTTAGCATAGGAAAAAAAGCCATATAAATGCTTAACAGGCTGTGTAAATAAGGAAATATATAGCACAGTGCATAAACTCATATGTCCACTGACTTTAAATTATTTTTTAAGTGTTATAATCAGATATGAGAGAGTTATGTATAGAGTGGAAACATTTTCATCAAGAATGTCCCTAAAAGTTATAATATTTAAAAAGGTACAATTCTGTTCATCCGGACCACATCTTTCCTGATTGACACACCAGGATAACATGTCTGTATTCTGTAGAAGCTTTTTTTTTTTTTTTTTAACCTATGTACCCTCACTTCACTGGTCTGTGTGGCTAGACAGACCAGAGCCTCCACAGCAATGAGCACTATGATTCGGCTACATGGGTTGCAACCAGTCCACTGTCTGGCTCTCCCTGTCTTCCTGGGAATCTTCTCTCAAGGCACTCTCCTGTTCATCCCTCACTGATGCCTTTCTATTCTGCTTTCCTGTAAGAAGGTGTGGGGGAAGGTAAAGTGCAGGAAGGGCAGCCTGAGAGCTAATGATAGAGAATGAGGGATGAGAGAGTCCATCCTAGGATCAGGCAGAAGTTGGAGGGAGAGGAAATGCCAAGGGTCAGGGGGAAAAAAAGAGATGCTATTCTGTCCAGGTAGATTTCTTTGCAGACAAAGTGAAGTGGAAGAAGATTGTGAAATGTAGATTAGCAAGTGTGTGGGGAGAACAGATATTAAATATAGCTAGAAGAAAAATGTGCAAGAAAGAAGTTGGGATGAAAAAAATAAAGACTTGTTATTCTCTTACTGCAAATCTATCTGAAAATCCAATCGTTTCTGAAAACGAAGGTTTGAGAATTACTAGCATGCATCAGTGATTGCATCTGACCTTCTCTCCTTTGATTATCTGAGGCTACAGTTCTTTTGTGAATTTGTAGTGCCACTCACACCTTCCACTCGGTTAGTCAGGGACGTAGGCTTGTTTGAAAATAATCGTACTTCACAAAGTTTGATTACTTTGGTGGGCACAGTAAAGATAAAAGTAACTTTCTAGAGCAGTGCTGCTCAAACTTTCATGTGCATACGAAACAGCTGGGATCTTGTTAAAATGCAGCTTTAGATTCAGTAGGGAGGAGCTTGAGATTCTGCATTCCTAACAAGCTCCCAGGGACTGCCGAGGCCACACTGCCAGTCCAAGGACCACACTGTGCATCTTAACAAGGTTCTGGAGAATCTTCCCCTCCAGGCAAATAAAGCTAGAAAGTGTGCTGGGTGCACATGAATGCCTCACTGAAGTGGGACGTGGGGACAGCCTCCAGTCACTCCAGGCCAGGAAGACTGTAGCTGCGCCCACTGGACAAGAATGGGACAAGGCTACTCTGAGCCCCATTTTGAGTAGGTGACCTCATGGGTATCTCTAAGACTAACTGACCTATCAGAACAAGCCAGGATGAATCCCAGCTCCTCCTGTTAGCACTGCAGGCCTCTCTCCCCTTTATCTCCTCAACCTGTATAATACCTCACTTCTTGCCTCCTATGTTGGAGGTATTACAAGAGAATAGCTTAGCTTCTTGGGTTCTTTGTCTGGGCTCATGTAAATCCCAGCTTTACCACTTAATAGCTGTGTGACCCTGGGCAAGTTATTTAACCTCTCCAAAGCCCCGTTTCACCCCTCTGGAAACAATGAACCTAGTAATAGTACTTACACCTTAGAGTTGTGGGGCAGATGAAATAAAATCAGCTATATAAAAATGTTTCGCGCATCGTTTGGCAGCAGTGGCTTAGCTCAGCGAATGTGAGTTCTTATGTTTGTTTTGCTAGTGAGTACACCATTTGAACAGGGGAACATTAATCTGAATCCCCCACTCAAAGCTCCAAAATGACCATTGCTACTCTTGTCACCTCTCCCCATCCCATTCCCATTCCTAGAAGTCTTTTCCAAAATATCTATACCCACTCTCCTAACATGGCATACCATTTTTTTTCTATTGTTTTCTTTTTCTTCCCCCACAGCCCCCCAAAAAAAGCCTTGTAAAGTGACTTGGAACTTTGCAAGTGTGCTTCAGAGTAACAATGGGTGGCAGTGCTGCCTAAATAGTCCCATCACATTAAGCTGGCAGCCAATTGGTGGATGAGGATACATTGGAAAGCAATTTTTACTAGTACAAGTTTTCATTTCCCACACAAAATAGGTTAATTTATGATAACTCACCCTCTGCCTTCTAAATAATATTTCTGCAGCAGTTTTAATTTTTTATGTTATTCATCTTATTTTAGAGATGGAGTCTCACATGTTGCCTGGGCTGCTCTCGAAGTCCTAAGCTTAAGCAAATCTCCTGTCTCAGCCTCCTAAAGTGCTGGAATTACAGGCATGAGCCACCATGCCAAGCCTCTGCAGCAGTTTTTAACAGCAAAGATTTTTGTTTTACTGATAAGGAAAAAAGTTATATCATTTAAGAAAGTATCTTTCAGATCCAGGAAAAGTGAGACACACTACCGAAAAACAGGACTAACTTTCCATCTCTTCTCTAGACAATAAGAATAATAGAAACAGTACTAAAAACTAACATTTATTGAGCACTTACTAGATACCAGAAACTGAGATTGGCATTGATCTTTGATCAATTAATTCTCACAATCCTTGCTTTTCTGAAGTATCTCATTTAATCCTTTGAATGTCCCTAATGCACAGATAAGGAAATAGGCTGCTATACAGATAAGGAATACAAATCCTTGTGGATTCAACCCAGATCTGACTTGAGGCTAAACTCCTAACCATTCTACCACTACCCTTTCCATTTACTCCATTAGAGACAATGATAATGATCAAGGTGCATTTCTTTAACCTCTAGAAAGGTATCTGAGGGTAGAGACAGTCCTTTCTTATTGCTGTATGCTCTCCACAGCCAGCACATGTCTGACCCATAAAGTGAGTTCATAAACCTTCCCTGAATCTTATCCTTTTTACTGAAGGCAAAGAAAAAAGAGACACCGAAGCATGTACTCTCAGAGTAGCATGTGAGTGTATCTTAGTCAAAGTTAAATATAAAAACCACCCCTGAAATGTACAAGGAAGAAAACAAATACCAAGTATTTACAGATCCAGAGAAAGTTCACAAGAATGGGAGGATGCCAGTTCCAATGCTTTGTAAAGTCAAAAATAGCCACATTGCAAAACAAACAAAAAAAAACGAGAACGTTCCCGAGTGTGCCTCCAAAACATAAAGGAGAAAATCATACAGAAAAACCTCATGTAAGGGTTGGAACTTGAGCAACCAGCTATCCAAATACAGAGGGGAATCCTCGCTTAGCTAGGGCATGGCCTGAGAGAAGCCCCTTCCTGCTTTCAGAGCCTACAAGTAGTCCCCAGTGAAATGACAAAAATGCCCATGCCTAGGACATAAAGAAGGACAAAGCAAACATTTCCCAGCATCACGCAAATGGTTTTCAAGTATCGCTCCACGTCAGGAATCTGAAATTCTGCTAATAGAAAAGTTATGAGGCAATTGCCCTCTCCTGAGACCCCCGTGCACACTATGAAATTGGGCAATTCACACTGACCAGGCCTGGTCAGGCTGCTCGACCAGAGAAGAGCAAAAAAGAGACCAAGCTCACAGGAGAGTTACTTTTCACTCACCATTTATGTATCAAAGAAAAGCAAGTCTCCCCTGCAGGAGGCATACGGAAACACAAACAAGGCTGCCTCCTGAATCACCAGCCTGGAGTAAAGAACAGTCACACACTGCCCCCCACGCCCGAGGGGAGGGGAGAGGTTTTCAGTGATGACGTCACAGTGTGCTAACCTGAAATCTATCTTGGGTGAGAAAGAAGTCACAGAAACCAAGGAATTACTTCCTTCTCTGCTCTTGGTCCTCTTCTGGATCTAGTCTTCTCTCCAACATCAGCTGGCTGGGAATCTCTCTTCCCCTCCCCTGGCCCAGCCCTTTCTTTCCCCAGAACTGAATACTGCTCTCCTGTGCTGCCAGCTGGAGGGATGATCATCTCTTCCCAAACAGATCTCCGAATACCAATCGTAGGCCTGCCTGACTTCTGAATTGGCCTGTGGCCTAGAATTCCTTCTTGCTGGCCCCACCTACCAGACTGGTTATGCCGAAATGCCCAGGCCTGAACTTGCTACACTCTTTGGGTGCTAGATCTTGAACCACCCAGCTGCCTGCACAGCGGCCAATTTCTAGATCCAGATTAGGTGCTCCAAACCCTCATCACTCTTAACAGTGGGGGTGTTTCTGCCCTGTCTCAGCCTCCTCTTGCTGCTCAGTGGCTCTGTGTTGCTGAGGTTCTAGCACATCTTCAAAGCCTCAGCGTTTCCTGCATTTTCCTCATCTGCCATGCAAAACTGGGAAAGGGCCCCAGATCGCAGCCATTCAGATCCAGGTGGTCTATGAGAGTATAATTTACATGCTAGATACCAAAATATGGTGTGGGAAACACAACTGTCCCCTTGTTTCTCATTTATACCCAAAGAACTCTTTCTTCCAGAAACATCTCTGAAGTAACTCTCCATAAGTCAGGCATCTCTGTTATATTTGGGGCAATAAGTTCCCCCTCCTGTAATGGAGATAGCTTAAGGAAAGAGCAAGTACTAGCACAATCTAATATGATGAAAAAGACCGGAAGTTGAATGATGGATCACTGCAGACCCAAAGCTGGATGTCCGTCTTCTCTCTTGTCAAAAGACGTAAGTATGATCAGGGTAAAAAAAATACATAACCTTTAAGAATCACAGTGTGAGGAAGATGATCTCCAGCAGAAAAGCCTAAAAACTTTAAAAGTATGAAATGTGACTAGTTTGGATGAAAACCAAAATTATAAAAACTGGCCTGAGTGATCATGCTAATTGCCTGTCTTCTAGACTTGCTTCTTTTCCTTAGTTTAAAAAAAAAAAAAAAAAAAAAAAAAAAAGGTCAGAAGAGGGAAAGTGGGCATTCTGAATCTGTGCTTAGGCTATGTGAATGTGGAATGATTGTTCCATGTCTTCTGAAACCTGGCTGTGAACCAGGGGCAAATTTCCAGATGGTCAAACAGTAATTTCGCAACACCGGGCCACTATTTCTCGTCTTTCCAAGTTCCCCTACTTCCCCAAACATATGCATTCATGACTAACCTTAAGGTCAGAACCTGGGTCCTCAGTCTCAGGTCGGTCTGGGTACTCTTCATGAAGTGACTCAATTTGCTGAGCCTTCCTTCTTCTACCCACAAAGACGTGATGGTGATAAGGAACTGGCTAATTCAAAGGGGTGTTATGAGGAACAAGCGAGATCATATATGTGAAAGTTCTTGGGAAAACATGAAGTACTGTAAAACATTCCCTGACTATGGGAGAACTTCCTCCGGGATCCTCCAATACAGAGGTAGGTGCATTTTCCATGTGCGAATTATAGCTGATATTACACCACCTTTACACGGCCTGTTTATATGCAGCATTCCTACCAGACTATAAGCTCTTTGAGCATAGTAAATGAGTCTTGTTCAGTATTGTATTTCCTCAGGGCCTGGTACTAGCAGGCAGTTGGAGTTTGTTAGATGAATAGCAGATTGAGATAATAAATTTCTTTAGAGTAATACAGTGGTTTGTGGGAAGGGGAGGCAGTAGAAAAATACCTTTGCCTTTACAGCTTTCGTTTCTCTACAGAAAAAAAGTTAAGTGTCTTACCCTGAGTTTTTCCATATATGCGGAATAGACAGAATTCATTATAAGAAAACTTTAACAAAGAATTTGGTCTTGCATTCTAGAGGTTTGCTAACTCTTCATTTCTACACGGGGAGAGCTATTACATATGGAACAAGTGATCGATTTGTTGATTCAACTGATTGAAAGGAGTGAGAAGGCTGAGAACAACTTTGAGATCATGCCACTCTTTTTTTGTCACAAGTGAACTGATGAAGTATGATCTTCACTAGTCAGATTAAACTTATATTTCTATACAGCCCATCATACCACCACCTATATATGCTGAAGATAAGACTTTTTTTTCAGGAAACAATTAGATGGCTAAAGAATCATTCTTAGACTAAATTCTGCCCATATTGCCACCAAATGAAATACAGACAGATCACTCAGTTCTCATATTCTCTTTCTCTCTCTGTTTAAATGGGTCTGATTAAGTGATGCATGGGTCACTCAGAGTAAAAGCAATTCAAATGATCATTTTACATGTAATGAATAACATCTTTTTTTAAGCTGGCTTTATTTATTAGAAAGTACATTAGAGAACATACGATAGTGGGCTGTGTGGTTTACTTATAGGGGAGTCATAATGTGCAGGAAAAGGTGGAGTCAGACAGTTAGGAACATTTTGTTCCTGCTCATTTGTAATAAATGGAAATTAACATCATAATAAGTGGATATTCTATTTAAGCACATCACAGAGAATATAGGAAGAGTAATTACAACTTCTTAGCTAATTTTATTATTATTGATATGATGATGGAAGAAAACCAAGATCATTTTCTAAAGATATAGTTAGCTGAAAGGGATAATTCATTTATAAGGAAATAACACTAATAAAAATATTAATGAGTCTTAAATTCCTCAGTCCTTAAGACAACTCAGGGTCCAACACATAACTAAAAAATAAGGTGGAAATATTATAGTTAGGAAGCTAGCAAGGCTTCATGTTAAACTGGGAGAGGGTAAATAACTATAGATAGAATCATAATATGCGTCCTTATCCAAATGTTAACTATATTACTGGAAGAGTACCAGAGAAATGAGAAGGGGCTTGAACCCAGATTTAGTTCCAATTTATGCCTTCAAGATAAGACTATGGAAAAAGTAAATGCCAGCATTTCCGCAAATTACAGCTGCCTTAAAAACTTTACCGTATAGCAGCTGATATCTTAAGCAAACTAGTGTTATAGAATTTAAAGTTTGAATATCATGGGTCATATCTTTATGTGTTTGTTTTTGCTATATGTTATTTGTTGCCAAGCAACATGGTCCCAAAGTCCGCCCCTCAAATTTAAAGGCCACCTGAGTGGGGTATCAGCTTCCTCTGACTTCCCTTTATGAAGGTAGGAGGTCTACCTGTGTGGGCATGGGTGCTACAATTTATCTAAGAGTAAGGGTGCAGTAACAGGCCCCAGATGTGTTCAACAGCATAACTAAGAAGATGCAACTCTCATTAAAGCAATGAGACAAACTTCCAGTGTCCTGAATAAAACAACAAAAAAAGAGTTGTCCAACTGATTTATTCCAAATGACCCAGAGCCACTTTGTAACCACACTTTTTCCTAGCACCCATGTGGAATACCTGTGCATCAGAATGGAACAGCCAGATCTGCACAAACAACCAAGGACTTCTCAGGGGCCTCTGCTGTAGGAGTCTCCAAGAAAGAACAAGCTGAATACTCAACTCAGAATCAGCTGAAGACTTGCACAAAGAAACAAGCTTTTGCATACTCCTGACATCCTTCTCCTTCTGAAACCAGCCAGATGAGAGCAACAGCTTTCTTAGCTTAGTTGCCCAGGAGGCAGTTTCTCCAGTGCAGGGTAGAGAGGGCAGCCAAGTGAAAGAGTTATCGACCATGTGTGTGCTGAGTTCAGTGCAGCAAACCAAGCTGAACTGAGACTTGAGACCTCAGCATCCACCCAGAGTCTCAATCTAGCAATCTGCTAAGGAGGTTTGAATCCTGTACTCACAGGCCCAAACAATCTGCAGGCACATTCTATTTTCCAACTTCTACGGAACATGTGGAGTTGTGTCTATAAGCACGGTGACAGTTCACACAGACGGAAAGGTTCATGGCTGCCTGGTCAGCTGTCTGTCTCATCTGTTCTTGTAGGACTGCAAGGGTGTTCATGAAGACTCTCCAGTATGCATGTAATAGAGGAACCCCCTCTAGCCCCCCTCCACTAGGAATTCCTCGCTCACACCCACACATGCAAGCAGACACACACACACACACACACAAGTGAACGCTCACACTTTTCCTGTTTTAATTAGCTACTGTTCCATAAATTTTAATTCCCTGTACTACCAGTGATTGATAACAGATTCCTTATTAAATATCTACAATAAACTGTACTTTCACAATGCTGTGTGTATTTTAGCACAACAGAAGTTCCCTTTGAAAAGAATCATTTGGACGGTGCTAATAATTTTCTGGGTGCAGCTGTCCTTATATCATGCAATAAGCAGGGAAGAGGGACCCAAATCAACTGTCTCCATTGTGGAATTAAGGGAGTGTACGAAGCCCCACACACTCTGTGAATGTAGAGCCAGCATTTTAAATGGCTGTCAAGTCAGTTTTGAAAGCCAGAATTTGCTAACCCCCACCCATGTGTTCTTATGGCATTTCTTGGCCTCACTTGATAGATTGATTCTGAAAACATACACTAATTTTTTTAAATGCAAAACAGACCCACTTGTTTTAGGGCCTGTACAAACAGAGGATGAAGAGAGTGGAAACAGCGTAAACAATGTTGTTTATATCCAAGGCCTGAGAAAACTGCTGCACTTTCCTCTGAAATTGCAGGAAGTATCAGAGTAGCCCCCACCCATTAAGGTGGAATAAGAACCATATTTTCTATAGGAATGGATACCATTTTTCAGATATACTGACATTAAAGGATCTCAAAGCAAGAGCACAATTAATAAAGAATGGGATTTCCTTTAACCTGCAATTGAAAGGGCAGAAAATTCCATCCACAGACAACACTGCAAAGTGAAAACTAAGTGAAACCAAATACAGCCAAAGGGCCAATGTGAGAAACACTGGACATTTTCATGGTTCTGCTTCACTTTTGACCTATTGTGGGGGCATAGAGATGGTTCCTATAGGTTTATACCTAAAAGGGGACTATTATTGCATCAAGAGTACCCAGCAGTGTGTGCTTTGAGCCCTGAAGGTTTGTAGTTGCATTGGACTAGGCCTGTTTTATTCTCTTTTTTTTTTCCATTGGTTGGCTTCCTTAATACATTTCTCCATTTTTTTTTTCTTGTTGTTGTAACAAAACTATATTTAAAAGCAAGCAACAGGAAGCTTTTACTTGGGAAGTTGAGGTTTAAGCACTCAGTGGCAAACAATGAACCGGAGAGATAAAGATGCAACGCAAATGGTAGGGAACAGACCTTTGCTAGTTTCCTGCCAAAGTTGACTTGTGAGCATGTGCAAAGTCCCGATATGGACTAACAGTGCTATTTTGCTTTTATTTACTCCAATTTATTTGTTCCTGTGAGAATCCCCTATAAAAACAAAGTGTGGGGACAAACAATGGAAGCTTTGCCATCTCCTCCTTGCCAGGGCTTTTATTTTACACATTATCAAATGTTTTCATCAGTGGAGTTCAGCCCATTCATTCAACTCTGTGAATCACAACCCAGATCATATTGCAATGGGGGAAAAAACCTATGCATGGCTTGAATCATTGAAAGAAAGAAAAAAAGAAAGGTCTCCCTATCACCCTTTCCCTTTGACACTTACAAACAGATTTGTGGTCCTTTATAACACCCTAAAATGGCCACCATGTCCCCAAACAGTCAAGTTAACTAGAACTTTTTAAAAAGTAAGCTTGCAAGTCCATAACATAATTTTATCTCCATTCCCTTTTTTGGCCCCTTCCCCAAACAGGTATCCATGTCAAAGGAGAGCTCTTGAGTTGGGGGTTTGTTTGACCTAGGTCACGCAAAGGTCAAGCTTTTCACCAGTTGTTAACACAAAGCTTCCAGCCAACCCACCCTCCAAATCCGGCTACACAGTCTGTTTCCATCTGCAAATGCGCTATGCACATTGGATTTTTCTCAGTTTTGCAGGAACTAACAATCCCTTCACTGTGAAGTGGTCTCAGTGACAAATAAATAGGTCAAACACTCTTCGGTGAAACTGTAGACGCTGAATTTGCCAAATATGGAAATGTAATGGATTTTGACTTTTTCATTTTTAAAAAGGCTTTTTAAAGTGTTATTTTAAAACCAGTTGAACAGATTGCTTTATTCCTTTATTGAACTTCAAGGGATGCTGTCTTTTAAGCAGTTTTATGCAATCCAAACTATATTTTTGCCTCTCTGAAAGAGATCAATATTTATTCAGATTGATTTTTAAGATTTACATGTGAAAAATAGATAAAATTGAATCAAATATAAACCAAAACTAATTCTGTCAACTCCCATGAAAGTCAATAAAGCCAAAATAAATTTAGCAGATTTCATCTACCTGCATTTGAGAATTGTTTTACTTCATTATTTCTTATAAACTTACTGAGGAGAAATTTGCTTAACTCTTATCCAGGCTTCCCTTGCTGAAACAATAAGGCTCTCTATGGAATATTTTGCACTTGAATATTATCACCAGGATAGCATATGGCAAACTAGCAGTAGGCAGTTTATCTTCATCCTCTTTGTAAGCTAAAATTAGCACAATGCTTTTGCAGCACTGTGCACTTGACTCGGGCCAGGGTGATATTCTCCACAATGCCATGCTTATTCCACATCCTGAGAGCTTCCAATATTTAAGCAAGTTGATTGAAGTTTTATATTAACAATCACAGATACATTTTAATGCAATAAAATCCTAAAGTGTGGCCAACAATAAAATGTAAGTCTACTATATTAAGAATCAACCTGAAAAACTGTCCTTCATCTGCCTGTTGAAATATAGAGTGTTTCAACTACAAAGGAGTTCAAATATTTACAGAGGCTAATTGTACCAAGAGGGATATTTATAAGACTCCAAAAGCAAGACACAATTACCTTCTTAGACAACTAAGGCGTATTTTTCTACTTGTTTGCCATATTCAGTTTTTCTTGGTAATATGTCCTTGGTGCTAAAAATGCATTGTTGCTAAGAATTAAGTGTGCACTTTCAGAGGATTAAATGAAGGTGATCTGCCAATGGAAAGAGCTTACTCTTTAAACAGGAAAGCAGCTACTGGCTGGCTCTTTGAAAGGATTACAACACAAACAATGATTTTAAAAACAATGGAAGAGGTTCAAATAATACATCCCATTTAGTTGGCCTGTAGCAGTGTAATCTTCTCATCAAATAGTTAAAAACAAAAAACTTTAGGAAGAATTAACTTAGAAAACATAAGATTGACAGGTAAGCAGCAGTATATTTACATTTGGAAGAGAGAATGCCTCCATCCTCTTTACCTCCCCGCTTTTAATGCCATTTATTAAGGCAGATGTTATACTAAAAGGATTTTGCTGAAATTTTCACTAGCCAATATCAGACTGAAGTTTTCTCTTATCCTTGTGTGCTGGGACAGATATATTCACCTTGTTATCAACAGATTAAATCCAAGATAATAAACAAATGCTGATATTGTCAGCTGCTTTTTACCAATAGATTTTTTTCTTTTTTTGAGATGGAGTCTCGCTTTGTCGCCTAGGCTGGAGTGCAGTGGCGCGATCTCGGCTCACTGCAAGCTCTGCCTCCCGGGTTCATGCCATTCTCCTGCCTCAGCCTCCCGAGTAGCTGGGACTACAGGCGCCCACCACCATGCCCGGCTAATTTTTTGTATTTTTAGTAGAGACAGGGTTTCACTGTGTTGGCCAGGATGGTCTTGATCTCCTGACCTTGTGATCCGCCTGCCTCAGCCTCCCAAAGTGCTGGGATTACAGGCTTGAGCCACTGCACCTAGCCAGCTCATTGTTTATTTGATGTAGTCATATTATTCTCAGAAGTATATATTTCATCCAAGGAGAAAAACATGAAAACCCTTCACAAACCATGTAAGGTGACCTCATACATGATATAACTAAAATGGTCTTTCTTTTGATGGGACATATTAATCTGTTTATACCAGTAATTCCTGACCCACACTCTTCCATCAGCATAGATAAAGTATACTGGAGAAAAAAAGCAGAAGACAAATAGTTAAATACACAAATCACTGGGAAATTTTAGTAATAACCAAATAAAGCACTTACATATCCAAAGTCTAACAAAAAAGCTGATATGCATTTGGAACTTTTCAGCCATATTTGTATGCAAAAGAATCAAATCTGTAATACCACTTTGCACCCAGATATTCAGGAAACTCGGGTATTAAGGTTTTGTACTTTTTGATGGCTATTACTGACGCTAAGTCCTAGATTCAGAATTTCTTCTCATTGACCATGAAATTATGTGGAACTTAACTGACCTTCAGCATACTTCAATCTATATGTAAAATGTTTCTGAAAGGTTCTTCATTCTAGCTAGGTTTGTAAGCAAACTTTCAACTTGGTTCTTAGAATTTCAGTCGTTTAGAAGTGACGGGAAACATTCAATCACCTAGCTCAATTTACTTTATTTACAAGCTAGAGCACATGGCTTGTAAGTTACGAAGTAGGGATACAACCTGTATTTCAAGGACAGCAAGTCTTCAAAGTTGGCCACAGGTCCTCTTAGAAGGACACTCAGGAGTTCCCAGAATGAAATACACATAACCAATTACTTAAAATAGACACTGATCACCACGAGCTGATCTTTGCATAGAGTCAAACACAACTGTATTCTGAATGCAAATGTTTCAGTATTTGTTTCCAAGACACCAAAATAAGTGGTTAAACAGTTTGATGGGGAATATAGGTATAGCTGAAATATCTATCTCCTCAGAAATCCATGGATTCCTAAATATTCTTTTTTCACTGATGAAGAACACATGGTAATATATACATATATGTGTGTGTATCCATGTATATAGACAAAGAAACATGGCAAAATGTTAACAATTGTTGAAACGGAATGGTGAGTTACAGGTGTTTATTGTACAACTTGTTCTATTTTTCTGCGTGTATGAAAACATTCATAATAAAAAATTGCGGAAATGCTAAAAAATGATATGTAGAAAAGAATGTCAATGCAATGCTTCACAAATCTTGTCCTATTTTTCAAGGATGCCCTCTCTCACCACTCCTATTCAACACAGTATTGGAAGTTCTGGCCAGGACAATCAGGCAAGAGAAAGAAATAAAGGGTATTCAAATAGGAACAGAGGAAGTCAAATTATCTCTGTTTGCAGATGACATGATTGTATATTTAGAAAACCCCATCGTCTCAGCCTAAAAACTCCTTAAGCTGATAAGCAACTTCAGCAAAGTCTCAGGATACAAAGTCAATGTGCAAAATCATAAGCATTCATATACACCAATAATAGACAGAGACCCAAATCATGAGCAAACTCCCATTCACAACTGCTACAAAAAGAATAAAATACCTAGAAATACAACTTACAAGGGATGTGAAGGACCTCTTCAAGGAGAACTACAAACCACTGCTCAAGAAAATAAGAAAGGACACAAACAAATGGAAAAACATTCCATGCTCACGGATAGGAAGAATCAATATCGTGAATATGGCCATACTGCCCAAAGTAATTTATAGATTCAATGCTATTCCCATCAAGCTACCATTGACTTTCTTCACAGAATTAGAAGAAAACTATTTTAAATTTCATATGGAACCAAAAAAGAGCCTGTATAGCCAAGACAATCCTAGGCAAAAAGAACAAAGCTGGAGGCATCACACTACCTGACTTCAAACTATGCTACAAGGCTACAGTAACCAAAACAGCATGGTACTGGTACCAAAGCAGATATATAGACCAATGGAACAGAACAGAGGCCTCAGAAATAACACCACACCTCTACAACCATCTGATCTTTGACAAACCTGACAAAAACAAGCAGTGGGGAAAGAAGTCCCTATTTAATAAATGGTGTTGGGAAAACTGGCTACCCATATGCAGAAAACTGAAACTGGATCCCTTCCTTACACCTTATACAAAAATTTACTCCAGATGGATTAAAGATTTAAACATAGGACCTAAAACCATAAAAACCCTAGAAGAAAACCTAGGCGATAACATTCAGGACACTGGCATGGGCAAAGAGTTTCTGACTAAAACACCAAAAGCAATGGCAACAAAAGCCAAAATAGACAAATGGGATCTAATTAAACTGAAGAGCTTCTGTACAGCAAAAGAAACTATCCTCAGAGTGAAAAGACAACCTACAGAATGGGAGAAGATTTTTGCAATCTATCCATCTGACAAAGGGCTAATATCCAGAATCTAGAAGGAACTTAAACAAATTTACAAGAAAAAAACACAATCCCATGAAAAAGTGGGTGAAGGATATGAACAGACACTTTTCAAAAGAGGACATTTATGTGGCCAACAAACATATGAAAAAAGCTCATCATCACTGGTCATTAGAGGAATGCAAATCAAAACCACAGTGAGATACCACCTCACACCAGTTAGAATGCCAATCATTAAAAAGTCAGGAAACAACAGGTGCTGGAGAGGATGTAGAGAAATAGGAATGATTTTACACTGTTGGTAGGACTGTAAACTAATTCAACCATTGTGGAAGACAGTGTGGTGATTCCTCAAGGATCTAGAACTAGAAATACCATTTGATCCAGCAATCCCATTACTGGGTATATTCCCAAAGGATTATAAATCATTCTACTATAAAGACACATGCACACACATGTTTACTGCAGCACTATTCACAATAGCAAAGACTTGGAACCAACCCAAATGCCCATCAATGTAGGATAAAGAAAATGTGGCACATACACACCATGGAATACTATGCATCCATAAAAAAGGATGAGTTCATGTCCTTCGCAGGGACATGGATGAAGCTGGAAACCATCATTGTCAGCAAACTAACACAGGAACAGAAAACTAAACACCACATGTTCTCACTCATAAGTGGGAGGTGAACAATGAGAACATATGGGCACAGGGAGGGAAATATCACACAGTGGGGCCTGTCGGGGTGGGGTGCAAGGGGAGGGATAGTGTTAGGAGAAATACCTAATGTAGATGATGGGTTGATGGGTTGATGGGTGCAGCAAACCACCATGGGACATGTATACCTATGTAACAAACCCGCAGGTTCTGCACATGTATCCCAGAACTTAAAGTATATTAATAAAAAATCATATGTGTATATATATATAAGCCAACAATAAAGAAAAAATGGTTAAACAACAACAAAAAAATCATCTCACACCTGTATAGAGTAAGTTACATAAAACTTCCCCCCAAAAAAAATCTCGTCCTATATTTTAAATTTTCTATGTACCATCCTAGGCTGTAGTATGAGGATCTTTGGACATTTTCACTGTATGGTGCCCCAACAGAACAGAGTCATCACCACAAGTATTAGAAATTCCCTTTTTGGCCAGGCGCAGTGGCTCATGCCTGTAATCCCAGCACTTTGGCAGGCCAAGGCTGGTGGATCACCAGAGGTCAGGAGTTCGAGACCAGCCTAACCAACATGGCAAAATCTTGTCTCTACCAAAAATAAAAAAAATTAGCCAGGTGTGGTGGTGCATTCCTATAATCCCAGCTATTTGGGAGGCTGAGGCAGGAGAATTGCTTGAACCCAGGAGGGAGAGGTTGCAGTGAGCCAAAATTGTGCCATTGCACTCCAGCCTGGGCCACAAAAGTGAAACTCCATCTCAAAAAAAATAAATAAATAAAAGAAAGAAAGAAAGAAAGAAAATTCCTTTTGTAAAAAAGGAATGGGATCATGTTTGATTGTTAGAAAACCACCTATAATCCCTTGAGAAGGGATAAATGGGCTTGCAGCTAATATAAAAAATTTAAGCACTTTGCTATGTCATGAGAGAATGAATAGAAAAATAAAGGAAGATAGTCAAAATAGGAAATGGGCTCTCTGTGCTCTCATCATAACTATGCTACAACACTGTACACATAAAAAAGAGAAAAAGACATAACCAGATGAGGCAGAGAGGGTGAGCGGGTAGTCAGCACCTTCGAGTCATTTGGTAGATGAAAAAAGTGGTAAAGTTGATTTCTTATAAACAAATAAAACCCTCCCTATAAATCTAGTTTTGCTTCCCCATAACTTACCAGAATCAAACTTTTCTAGTCGCAATTAATAGGCAAGAGGTATTTTAAACCTTATTTTACCAACTGCAATTGTCACAAACCTAGTTCTCAAGATATCTGGAATACTTGGTAAAGTTTATCCATAATGCTAAGGATTATCTTTCCATATCTTAAGATTTACCAGTAACATTGATGTACTGAAATTCAAAGGCCAGACTACCCAATAGCTTCATCAAAAACCAAAGGTTATTGTGACCAGATGAGACCAGAGACACAAGAAGAAACTTTGTTAGTGGCCAAATATATTCCCCATCCTAACTTGGCTCCTGTGAGGAAATTCCACCTAGGACCCCCAAGGACACTCAACCTTAACCCAATCTGACCATCAAGAAGAGGTATGCCATTCAACCTGTAATCTTAACTGACACCACAAACTTCATTTTCTCACAGACACTTTAATGTGTGGTATAGAAGGAACATAAGCAGTTGTTTAAAAGGAATCCAGTAGACCCAAGGCCTTGTGGTAAGAATTTTATCAGTCTGCGTCCCTTCTCAACCATTCACTTCCTCATCACTGCCTCCTCAGGTAAAAGTAGCAGACCTGTGGAACATTTCAGAGTGATGGACAGTGGAAGGGAGTCCTATAAGAGTGAAAATCTTGATGGCCCACCAAGTTTACAATGCCCTCTGTCCTGACACAAAAGGGCAGCCAAACAGTCTTCGTTGTAAAATAAATATATATTTGGGAATAATACTAGATTCTCAATTTCTTGGAAGGCATCACTCACATTTAGAAATGGACACCAGTCCAGCCGGGCGCGGTGGCTCACGCCTGTAATCCCAGCTCTCAGGGAGGCAAGAGGCAGGAGGATAGCTTGAGCTCAGGAGTTCGAGACCTGCCTGGGCAATATAGCGAGACCCCGTTCTCCACAAAAAGACAAAAAAAAAAAAGACAAAAAAAAAAAAATAAGCATAACTCCCCTTAGAAATGGACACCAGTCCTAAGCAGAATCTCTTTTTCCACAGAGAAAAATTAATCAGCTGATAATGATGATGTGGTAATGACAGCAGCTAACACATACATAATGCTTACCATTGCCAGGTATGGTTCAAAATTCTATATATTAACTTGTTTAATGTTCTCAGCAGTCCTATAAGTAGGTACTAATACTACTTCCATTTTATGGGTGAGTTTAGGCTGTTCCTGTGTCCAAAAAAGTCAAACCATCTCACGTAGAAATCTGATTTATTAAAAGCCTGTTCTCCATGAGTAGAGACCAATATTGGGTTGCTTCCATTCTGATCCTACACTGAAGCCCCCTCATGCCTGAATATCACTAGATGGCATCAGGAATATTGAATGAGACAGCAGGTAACTCCTAAAGAGAGCAACATTGGGAAATATGTGTGTTCCAGACAGTTCTCAATTCAGGGGTAAAGGGAGAAACAAACACTGGACTACCAATTCCTTGAGGACAGGGATTGGTCTTACTCATTTCTGTCATCCCAGAGCTTAGCACAATGCCCTCTATACAGAAGGGTCTCCGTGAATGAATAAATGAATGCAAGAAATATAATGCTAAGCAGTGCCTGATCACTTTCTTCTAAAGATCCTTCCTCATATGTCATTCTGTATTCTCTCTTTCTAACGAGAGACAGAGAGAGAGAACTGGTAGACACATTTCAAAAATAAATGAACCAAAAAGATATCAGTTACTAGGTTACTTCTTAACCTGGTAAAAAAGAAAATTGTTGCAATTGAGAAACCTGACTGACTTAGGTCCTGTTGTTTTCTCACTCACACCCTGTCAGGCCTTAGGTTATTCTCACCTATGAAATAGAGACACCAATCTCTGCTCCACCATAAGGGTGGTGGTGTGAGGCTCACAAATGAACGAGGGTGGGCACATTTCAGAATCTGAATGCATGAAAAATGAGTTATTTGTTTGAAAAATTTCCCACCTAGCATTGTACCTGGCACATAGTAGATTTTCAGTAAATATATTTATTAAATAATGGAATATCACTGGGCATGGTGGCTCACACCTGCAATCCCACCACTTTGGGAGGCCGACGTAGGCAGATCACAAGGTCAAGAGATTGAGACCATCCTGGCCAACATGGTGAAACCCCGTCTCTACTAAAAACACAAAAATTAGCTGGGTGTGGTGTGTGGTGGTGTGCACCTGTAATCCCAGCTACTCGGGAGGCTGAGGCAGGAGAATCACTTGAAACTGGAAGGCGGAGGTTGCAGTAAGCCGAGATCACGCCACCGCACTCCGGCCTGGCAACAGAGCAAGACTCCGTCTCAAAAAAAAAAAAAAAAAAAAAAAGAAATATCAGACCTAAAGAGCCACAAGTCTCTGATCCTCTAAACTCCATTTCATAAGACTTCATTTAAGAGGCTCAAAATTGTCAGCGCCAACTTCAGTAGATGGAATAAAACCAATCTCAGGTAAATGCCACTTCAGGTCAGAGTTGGAAAAGTTACATCCAACTGCACATGAAAATAAATAATACTGTCAGCCTTATGGAGAGGCAAGACTCATGAGAATAAAGAGATGCTCAAGGTACCAGGATTGAAAAATCAAGCCAACAGGCCCCAACTCTTGCAACCCTCCTCTTTTTGCTCTTTCTCCCCAGCATCCTAGGTCACAAACCAAAAGAATGGCAGCGTCATTGCTGTCATTTTGCTCCTCTGAAATAGGAACCTGGATTAGCTTTAGCTGGCTGAAGCTCAACCCAGATAAGTCCAGAGCAATGCTGATAGGCAGCAGGAAGGAATTTGAGGAAGTGACAAGAAATGCCACGTCATCCATCACAAAGAAAGCTTTCCCACAAAGTGGCCTGGGAGCTGGCTACATAGCAATGGGGGCTTAGAAAGATGCAGATAAACACAGAAGTCTTTCCTAGCACCAGAATAGAGAGCCAACCACAAACAATTCATGCCCTTGCCACATCCTTCAGTGAGTAGTAGGAAGAATGTAGGATACCCTGCCTTCCACTTTCCCTGCTCATGCAGCCAAAAGGAACCTGAGCTTACATGTCCTGGGTGCCCTCCTGCTGCAGGGGATCAGGATGCCTGAGGCAGCAGACTTGCCTCTCTGCTCATTTCTACCACATCAACCAGAGAATCACCAGAAATCCTGAGGATGTGTTTTTTTGTTTTTTTGTTTTTTTTTTTAACAGAGATTCTAGGCTACAGTCTTTCTGTTGCAGGGAAGGGTATGTGCCATGTCAGAAATAAACTCTTCCTAATTTCATTCTCCAAGTAATGGACATCATAATAATCTGCAATGGCATCTGTCATTGCAAAGATTTCCACCATTCTTCACAAAAGTTTCATAGGAAAGTAGAAGTCAGCAAGCAGTTATTCTCCAAAGAAATGCACAAGTAGAGAAATGAGACTTAGCAAAGAAGACTGGAGAGAGTGGAACTCTTCTTTCCTATCGTTTTCTTAGACAGCAAGAAATTCCCTATTGATTATACATGTTATGACTTTCTGATGGTTTTAAAATTTCATTCAAAGGGTCTGTTCTCACAAAAACGTACCCAAGACTTGTCTATCTTCAGGAGGAAATTTGCACTTTGAAAAACAGACAAAAAGATCAAATCTTTTTACCAAAAATATATTCTGCATTATTAAATAATTCTAGTGACTACTTAAAAGGGCATATTGAGCTAGATCTCAGCCTGTACCTTCATTGGATAAATCACATAATATCCCAGTGTGCTAAATCTCCTTGAAAGAAACTCTGGCTTAGATTCTGCCATCTCAAATTGTCCCAAACTTCTATCTAAAGAGAAATTTTAGTCACTAGTATCCCAGAGGTTTCATTATGGCCACAGCTGTTAGTAGACCACATTTTCATCCTGAGTAGCCAGGGAAATATTTCAATGCAGTATATTTTTTGCTCAGAACTCTTTGAGAACACACCAAATAGGAAATAATTAGAATAACATTTACTTATCCTCACATATTAGCATTAAATTATTGGTTGTATTAGTGGCTTGCATTTACATTAAACTTGCAAATTATATAGACCCTTATTTCTATTCTATGAGCATTTGAATTTTTTCCCTGCATGCATATCTAATCATTTGCTTACCTCTTATCACTCCAGGAACCTAGAGTTCTTAATTCCATGGATTTCCACAGGGCAAGAATCTAGGCCACCGTTTATGCACAGAAATCAATTCAGCCATCACTACACTATGCATCAAAACAACATTTTAAGAGCAAAAGTTGAAGTCAGTGGCATTGAGCCAAAGCACCTCTCCTCTGAAGGAAAATGCAGTGAGATTTTTAAAGAGCAAATAGGGCAGGTTACCGAGCCTTACTGTCTCACCAAGAAATGGGGAATCCTTCATGGCCCGGGGCTTCTTGATTCAAATCTGGAGCTTAAGACTTTGTGCCTAAAGAAAAGTGCTGATTGCCTTATCCCCCAGTGCATTTCTGGAATGTCCCATGTAAATATTCACTGGATCAATTTTCTTTCTTTGCTCCTAGTGAGATCATATTAACCAATGACACTTTTATGTTTTTAATTAAAATCAAAAAGAGCATTTTGGCACCATAAGTCTATTGCATTTTTATAAGATCTTCATCTCTGAAACACAATCTTATACTAACATGACAGTTTCAAAAAAATCATATTATCATAAATCATAGAAACATCATTGGCTTCTTTTAAATTGTATTCAATATACTAACTACACCATTCACAAATTATAACAATCTATGCAAATGTACATTAAAGCCATAAAAAGCTTTTCCAGCATATCCTTTTCCCACAGCCCAAATAAAGGTAAATTAAGAAAATCTGGCAAAAGGCGTATATGTCTATTGCCATTTCCCACAGCAAATAGGGTGTTTTCCTCTGGGAATAAAACATTTTCTTTAAACTACTGTTTATAGCCCTTATCAGCTCAACTGCAATAGAGCCATCAAGTCCAATCTCTTGTGGAAAAAAGTCAAGGTCAACAAGTACTTGCATTTTTGTTTTTTCTTTAGCTGCAATTGCTACTGACATCCAATTGGGTAATAAACATGAGGTCTGTCAAATGTTCCCAAAGAACAGGTGATCCAAAAGCTATCTCAGCACAAGGCCATTGCCAGGTAATCAAACAATCTTGTTATAACAATTATGATTTGAGTACATTTATTTATAGATGCAAACATCTGTCAGTTCTGAATGAATATTGCCAGACAATTCCCACCATTGCGGTCATAAGAATGAGGAAGTACAAGAGGGCTCTTGCTAGAGTTACTCACCAACAATAATGTGTACCCTGATGAGCAGAGTACCATCCAAAGAAAAGGCTTTCTCCTCTTATCTTTTCTATTTAAAGGCAATTTTGTGTAGCTCAATACAACCATGTCCTTTACTATGCCAGCCAGGTTCCTGAGCCCAGTTGCCTTTCTCTGCCTGAAAACCAATTCTACGGTTATGTGTGCGTGTGTCTATTTGGAATTGTTGCATTATTCCTTTAAGCCAGCATGGTTGCTACATTCAAAAACACTCCATTTGAACTTGAAAAGTGCTAGAATTTGTTTAGCACGTTTAATCCTAAAAAGTCAGATAGATGTTTGGAACAAAGACCACATAGTTCTTTCCAATTCATCATGAAGCTCACTGATATCAACAGGAGTTATGCATTTGGATCTGGGCAGCACATGGCTCCATGCCATATGCAACTTACGGATTAAAAATAGAATCTGTTCCAGCTGCAAAGTAAGACATGTTAAACTTACAGCCTCCATTTGAAATATGAAAATTAAATCTACGGACTATGGCTAGTGTCTAAGATGATGACTCTGATCCACATAATGCAAACCTATTGCTTCCATTTCAGTTATGGAAAATGAGCCTAAGGTCTATTCTTGGGGCCTAAAAGCAATGCTTCCACTTCTCGCTATGTAACTTGTATTAAGATTCCATTATTTAGTGGAGCAATTAATGTTTTCCAAAGCTGATTCCTTCACTATCAAGAGCATCAGGAAAAATGGAAACAAAGTAAAGCTAATTCTTCTAAAAACACATAAACCCACATCTTGGGGAAGAAAGTAAAAACTAAAAACAAAACAAGAAATTCTAGACACACAAAATGAAGTACGCTACTTTGAAAGACAGCTTTCAATGTAGACACACTAAGTACCAGGTGACAGTGTTTTTAGCCAAATAAATACTGTTTCAGTGTAAAAAGGTATCCTTCATTCTTTAACATTCTGGCAAAAAGTCAACGTAACCAGAGTTGTATCAGCAGGCATAACGGTATACTGTTTCTAATCCTGCATTCTATTAAGTCTTGGGCAGGTAATCTGAAGACTCTACATAGAAAGAAAAATTAGCAGCTGAGAAGTGGGAAAGGCTGAAGCACACCAGGATTAGAATCCACTGGGAGCACATAAACATGAAGGCCCATGAGGCAAAACATCTATTCTGCAAATACTCAGGAAATGTTCATCAATCAGTTGTCAAGCAAAGGGGGAAGTCACCTCATTTTCAGAGCAGTAAACTGATGAAATGAGTCACCAAATTCCCATGACAGCTTGGCTGGCCTCTTCCTTTCCACCCAGCCCCTGGTCTCCACGGAGCCGGAGCCTTCTTTGAGGGAAAGCAGTGCAGCAGAGAGAATTAGCAGGATTTCTGCAAGCCATCCTCAGGAACAGGTGGGAAAAGCATCACCTCTGCCCAGCAAGGGTGTAGGAGAAAAGCCACAGCCATCAATGACCAGCTGCATTTTCTCCCATCTAGAGTGGCAAAGCTACATTCAAAAGAAGACAAAGAAAGAGCATGCCAGTGGGACCTGTAGTCTGTGTAGTCAGTCTTCTGAAACCTTGGCATCATCCCAGAGCCTTTGCACTCCACTACCCTCTGCGTCCACTGTTTCTCTGTCCAGTCCAGTCTTCCTCCTCAAAGCTACTCTCTCTAGCCTCCTCCCTCTGCCTAAGTAAAGTTCTGCAACATTTCTGAATAACTATCATGCTGACTCCAGCCTCCCCCTGCTCCAATTCCTCCTTCACTTCCATCCAACCACGCCACAACCCTCACATTTCCAATGACTCCCTACTGCCTGCTAAACCAATGCCAGAATGACAAATATGGGCTTAAGATGACAAATATGACCCTCTGTGGTCTTGCCCCTGTTACCTCTTGGGCCTTACCTCAGACTCTTCCTCTCTCACACCCACTCTCTACTCATGCTGAAGCACACACAAAGTCCCCAAAGTGGCATGCTCTCTCTCCTTCCTACCTTTACACAAGCTAATTTTTTTTTTCCTTACATGCCCCTCTTCTCCATCTCTCCCAAGTTTCCATCATAGACTTGCTCTCTTAGGAGACTGAGTGGGAGATCAGAAATAGAAAACCAATTTCTTCTAGGGCTAACTCCGGGGGACGAGGTAGTGGTTGCTGGAGCACTGTGTGGAGAAGGACCTGCATCTGCACTCCTTTCAGGCCCCGTGACAAGGGTGCTGTGATCCATTAAAAATGGCCACCATGGAAAGGCTAGAGAGAGGCCCATCCGATGCCAGGCAGGTGCTGCCCCTGTGCCAGTTTGTTAGGTACCATTCCTCTACTTCCAAATTACTCAGAACCTGCTCACTAGGGAGACTTAACCTATGATATACTAAACTGTCTGTTCCTCCACCAGACTGTCAGTTTCTTGATTCCAGAAATGACCTCTTTCACTCTGAATTCCCACATTTAGCAGAGGACCGGTATGCAGTGGACATTTAATTAATTCAGTTAATAAATGGGAATATTTCTCTTTTCACTTCTATCTTTGGGAGTAATCCTCTCATATGCTTAAAATGTACATCAAGCAATACTTTTATTTGTAGTAAATGTATTCCTTTTACCTGAGGGGATGTTTTTGGTGCCAGGATGAGGTAAGCCAAATATTCATAACACTCAGCCCCCTCCAGCTTTATAGGCTGAAGTCATATTCCCTCAGAACTTTCATTTTTAAGGACTGCAGCATCAGAACCTTCCATTCTGGCATCCCATCTTAGCCTCTCAGCATCTCCATTCTAACCATTGTTTACCTGAATCTCTCTGGTTCCATTAACCCTGTTCCTGGGGATAATAACCAGAGTAACAACAGCATCCTCAACCCCATTCCTGACTTCAGATGGAGGGAGAAAAGACTGGAGAATGAGGCGAACCCACCAGAGAATGGTCAGAAGAAGGAGACAGACAAGAGAAGAAAGGCCTCATGGCATCACCAAATACTCAGCACCTTGGCTCACATCAAAATAGGCTGTCATTCATTTCAACCATGAAAATCAAGACTCAGATTCCAATGAGTTAAAGAAACAAAAGGATGAATATGATTACAGATACCTAGTCCAATCAATCAAATATGTATCAACAATTATTATAACTGCAGCATTGTTCTAGGAGCTGGGGAATGTAAGAGGAGTCCTACAGATGCTGTCAAGGATGCCAGCCTCTGCCATCTCCCTGGACTCCCTGTGTGAGGATACGAGGAGAATTTCTTTCAGATCTTAATGCTGGTCAAATCGATTCTTCTGAGCAACTTCCATGGATGTTGTAAATCTTGTAATTAATTATATTTCAGTCTTTGTTTTAGCTGCTAGGAAGCTCAGGGCCAAATTAATACCTATTTCTAGTCATTGTACATGATCTTATAATTTATATTGCTTGGTACTACCCTTATTTCTTGGCTTTTTGTTTATTTTGCTTTCATTCTAATTCGTTCATCTACACATTTTTTATCCTATTGTATACTATAAACTTTTATTAATTTCCTTAAATCCTTTCTTAGAATGAGAGGGAGAATATATATACATATTTATATTTATGCATATATAAATATATACAATATATAAATATGTTATTTATTAAATAAATATATAAATTTATTTTATATTTTTATATATAATATATTATATATTTATTTTATAAATAACATATTTATAAATATTTTTATAAATATACATATTTATTTATATAGGTGTGCATATTTATATTTTATATTTATAAATGATATTTATATTCATATATTTATATATATATATGTGTATATATATATGCATTTTAAAATCAATATATCCTTTTCTCCCAAGGTATTAAAGTATAAAAGGGTGTCAAGGTGCTAGCTGTCCTGGCTGTCATAAGTAGTAGGGGCACTCAAGGAAAGAGTCAAACTACAACAGTAAATGCTAATAACCTAGCAACAAGCCCATTGGCAAATTCAATATTTTCTGCATTCACTCTGTAGTTCTCTTTTTCTTAAAAATATACATTTTTTAAAAATGTAAGCTTTGCTACGTAAGGTCATATTCTCCTTTTCTTCTAATATGGAAATAAGTAACAGGAAGTTCTGCTGTCTTCATTCTTTGTTACAAAATAAAGTGAGCAACGTTAGGAGGGAATGCATATGAATTGATATTGGTAAGAGGGAGAAAGCCAAACTAATTGTACTAATCAAATAGAATGCTTTTAGGTTAAGCAATTATGGAAAACTATATGCAAGACTGAGCTAATCCACAAAGCCAGACACTTGAGCAAAACCCAACTTTACCAACTACATTTCTGGGACTAATCAATACAACAGGTAGACCATGCCTACATTTTTTTTTTCCTGAGGAAAATGCTTGGCATAAATTTACTGTTTGGGTTAGTTTTTGCTAGGCCAACAGCCAAAGCCTCTACTACTATTCTTAATTAGTGCTATCACCCATGATAAAGAGAAATAACATCAGGGGGAGAGCTAAATATCACAGCCCAGGGCAGGTAGAATCATGGCTGCTACTGGGAAGGGCATAGGACATAAAAACATCCTCCCAGGGTAGCATAGTTACCCTTGCTACAGGGTCCTGTCTCAGAATTCAGTCTCACCTCAGCCCTATAATCCCTCAAAAGATCCTCAGATGCTGCTCCTGGCATCCACCCATCTTCTGTTAGATGCTCACTGCGGGGCAGAGGGTGATGTCCCAGGGTAGGAGTACGGAGAACAAGTGATTAGGTGGATGGCATGATTTAAGGTCAAGACCTCCATATGCATGTGTTCTACATCCACGTATTCAACCAACTGAGGATAGAAGGTATTTGAAAAAAAAAATGGATGATTGCATATGTACTGAACATGTACAGACTTTTTTCTTGTCATTATTTTCTAAACAATACAGTATAACAACTATTTGCAAAGCATGTACATTGTACCAGGTATTATAAGTAATCTAGAGATTATTTAAAGTATATGGGAGGATGTGCATAGGTTATATGCAAATACTATGCCATTTAATAGCAGGGAATTGAGCATCTGAAGATTTTGTTGTCTGCGGGGTTGAGGGGAGAGGGTCCTGGAACCAATCCCTGGGGGATACCAAGGGATGGCTATACATCCCCAAACCCATTTATTTAACTTCTGACACTTAAGTTTAGAAGTTGTTAACCTGGGCTATATAGACACCTCCTCAAGGGAGATCCATGGTTAGAATTCAGGGGATATATGTACTTGAGAAGGGGAAAAAATTACATTTTTATTATCAATAACTTCAATTAGAATTAGCATTTCCTTCATGCTTGTATGTAAGTAAGTAACAAACCACAGAACTATTAGCAGGACCTGTAACTTTGTTCCCAACGGAAATCATATTTGCATATCACAATATAGTTGTTATAAATATCTTAAAACATGACTTACATTTATCACTACTTCAAAAATTCAGCAGACAACAGAATTACTAGTAGATCTTGTTATTTAAGCCTATTTAACAGAGCACTTATATTACTATATATATATATATATATATTTTTTTTTTTTTTTTTTTTGACATGGAGTCTCACTCTTGTTACCCAGGCTGGAGTGCAATGGCACAATCTCGGCTCACCGCAACCTCTGCCTTCCAGATTCAAGCGATTCTCCTGCCTCAGCCTCCCAACTAGCTGGGATTACAGGCACGCACCACTATACCCGGCTAATTTTGTATTTTTAGTAGAGATGGGGTTTCTCAATGTTGGTCAGGCTGGTTTTGAACTCCTGACCTCAGGTGATCCGCCCACCTTGGCGTCCCAAAGTGCTGGGATTACAGGCATGAGCCACCGCGCCCGGCCTTATATTACTATATTACAACTTGGCTTTAAAAAATATTTAGAAGATTGAATTTTAATACAATTCACTGCCCTTGTAGTCCTGTGGGTTTTATTTGATACATTAATAAATATATTACTCTGATAAGGTATCCATTGGCTTCACCAGACTGCCAAAGGGGTCCTCTCCTCCTCAAAATGTCAAGATTCCCTTGAAGAAGATCAATCTGAGTCAGCAGCCAGGTGACTAATGGCGGTGAACACAATGATGACCCCAATGGTTCAGACAGCAGAGGCACTGGCTGGCTCATGGCAGTGTGGAAGGACTGGACCAAGTTTCCAAGAGTGGGCTCTGGAGCCAAGTCCACCTAACAGGGCCCCATAGATGCTGAACGTCTACACCTACCAAGGTAGTGCTGTCCCTCTGCAATTTGAACCTAATACCCACCACGCTGTGTTTCATCCAGCAGGCCTGACCACGGAGTTCACCATGTCTGGGTCATTGGCATGTTGTGAAATAAATACACTCACGGCTCCCTAAGAATATCCAATATTTAGCAAATATTTTACTTTGATATGCTTGATGTTCTTGGTAGCACACAGGAACTTCCTAAGGGCAAATACTATGACCTACTCATTTTTATAGCTCACACAGAGTACCTGGCACACAGTAAGTGCTTAATCTATTTTTGATGACTTGACTAGAATGTATAAATTTACATTCCCATCCCCCGCTTAAACACAACTCATGATAATATTTTGGCTCATCTGCAGGAGAGATTATAATTCTAAACTCTTTTTATCTCCTTGGGCTACATTAAATGGATGCTTCCCTAAAATTAACTTCCTCACTTCTGCCTTGCCAAGAATGACACCATGTGAAGAATCTACCACCTGAAACAATGAATTCTCTCCTTATTTATTTCCTTGGGTAGAAACTGAAACACATGTTTGAGCTGTGCCAGGCTGTGTGTGGTGGCCCTGGAATGCCTGGGAGATCTGGCCTGAAAAACAAGTTATTGCTTATAGTTTAAAACCCAATGCAGACTCAAGAGAAGAAGGGAAGGTGAGAAAGGATAAGAGAATGAAAAGGCCTTACATAAAAACTGAATTAAATAATTACAGATTAAGACCTGGGTTTTTAAAGCTAATATCTCCATTTTCATCGTTTACATAAAACAATACAATGCATGGTATTAATATGATGTGGAACATATTTCTCTATATGTGATGTATTTTTGGAAAATATTTACAGTTTTGAAAAGAAAGAACTGAATATTATGAACAATTAACTTCCAGGTCCATGAAAACAGAAAATATATTCCACTATCACTGAAAAGCGAATGCCCTTCTAGCTAGGGGAGCTTTCTCTAATTTACAGCCAACTGAGTGAAACTGAAAAGAAGATACTTTTTAAAAAGTTTTCATGCCTCTGGCTGCAGAGCTAAATGATGAACTGACACAACATCATTATTCATATACTTCCTTACTACTTATTTCTTATTTTAAAATATTGCATGAGTCTTGGGAGACAAAAGTAGTCAATTCTAGGAAAATAAAAGAATTGGTGTATAATTTTAGATGTGCTACAAGTCACACCGGAGTTGGTATTTCTTAAAAAATGACAGCAACAACAAAATTTTAATCCATCACTTGCAACAAAACTCCAGTACCTGCACAGGTAACAGTGGCCAGTAGACAGACGTCATTGACATCACAAATCAAGTGTGCAAACCAAAGGGAAAGCAGAATTGTGACTTACAGGTCACACAATAAATATCGCACCTTTTAAATTTCAAAAATGAGAGTTCAAAATTTGATAAGAAATCCAGACCATGAATTCACACATAAATAAAAATGAGCAATCAACAGAAAATATAAGAAATGACTCTGTTGACTAATGCCCTGTCTTTTCCAATTGAGGGTCAGAACTATTCAAACCCAATCACATGAGGATGGAATCAGTAAAGGTCAATCAAAGACAAGCTGAAACTCCAACTGTCTAGCTGACCTTCAGAGCTTGTGACAAATTGCTATCAGTCAATGTCAACTAATGACAGGAGCTCTTTGGCTAATCAATTGTTCTAAAAGTGATCAAGAAAACTACTCACAGGACAGCTCATTTTCACATCAATGCCTGTGAACTATGAAAAGCTCATTTTTTGAGTTTTTAATAAGCTCATAAGTAAAGCAGTTACTTGGTAACAGAGGTCACCTTACAGAAAAAGACAGAACATTTGTCTGTCTTTTACATATTCTTTTATTACCATATTACAGTAAAAATATGCCACAGATATGCTAGAGGGCTACATAATAAAGTAGATAACACTTCATCCACTTTTCAGATAAATACTTCTGTGTTCGAAGAATATCTCTACTCGGCTGTAAATAATTTCAAATGCACTTTTCGGTTGTTTAAGATGAAAAACAATGACCTCAAGTTTACTGGTGATGTTGCCTAATAATGAGAAGAGGCACTTTCTATGAAAATGCTTATGGCCAAGTTCGTGCCCCTAAATATAGTTACTACTTTTAGATGATGAAGTTATTTTTCTTTAAGATGACCTGATTTCATGATGCTAGAAGTCAAGCAGGTGGAAACCAGAACACTGTTACTCACATTTGATGAGTCAATAAAAGGAAAGGTGAGTATATTACAGGGTGTTCTTGGGAAAACAGTTCTCTGTCTCTACATCTCATTCAACATGTTTGATAAGTTAATAATATAGACTTTTTGATAACGGCCATTTGTGGAGCATAATAACTTCCTCTTTCTTTTTTACACCTGACTTTTCCCACCAGGAAATCATTTTCCTATTCTGCCTGCCACTGCATGCAAAGGCCACACTTTAATTTGCAGGTCAACATTAAATATAACCAAAGGAACACACAGGGCTGCGATGCTCTAAGGCCTGTGGTCACAATTATATTTTACTTTTCTCTCCTCCCAAAAGTGTATTAGTCAAAATCATTACAGTGCCATTGAAATACCAGAAGTCCCTGGAGAGGTACAGGCTTAAGAAGCAAGTGTGAACAAATAGAGATCATTCAAGTCACTGTGACCAACAGACAAATGAAACAACAAAAAATAAAAATTACCGTTTGTAACCATTTTCCTTCATTTTCAAGGTTCTTAGGTTATCATTTCGTTTGTAAAATATGTTAGATTTTTTCGTGTTTTTTTTTTAAAGAAAATTGTCTAGAAACAAGCAGTATTAACTTTGTGTTTTCAGCTGAAAAGCTGCAGTGACAGCAGTTTCAGATTACATCCTGAACCTGAGTCGCTACGGTAGTTTTTCAAATTAAAATATCTTCTGTGGCCTCAACCACTCTCAAGTTGTCCATAGGAAAGAAATAAAGGAGGGAGGGCAACACTTAAGCCGAGCCATAATTGGAAGTATGTGAAAAATGAAGTGTCAGTTTGGTCAATAAAGGGCAAAGGTCAAGGGGAACTGCAGCCCAAACTCTGTGCGAAATGTGCTCATTAAGACATCCAATCAGAGCGCTCCTTCCCACCTATCCCATTATTCATCGGACAGCTGACTGTTTCAAATGCCTGGGTTTGGGCTGTTATTACTTTTCTTCTTCATGTAAAAAAGGCGAGTGATATATAAATCGTTACTCAGTCATCTGGAACATAATGTGGCCCTTCCCCACCTCCCTCGCCCGGTGCTCCCCACCCCCTCTCAGGCCGCTCTGCCTGCTGGCTTCACAGGTCTGGAACAACTGCCTGGAGAGTCCCCTCAATAATAAATGGAATTGCCTTCTGCCTATAGGTTGCCTGGACTCACACAAAAGCTGGTGTGGAGGGGGATGGGGCAGTGGGAGGCACTGCAACTATTGATACATTATGATAGAGAAATGCAGTGCTTAGCATTAATCTTCTTTAAAGAAACATCCTGGCATGCTGGTTTTGCTTTTTTTTTTTTAAGTGGTACTATTGTTATTCTGAGTCCTGCCTCCTAAAGGAGAAGTTCATAAGTGGGTTTTAGAGATTCCAGCAATCATTAAAAGCCTTTAGGGTTGAAATGTATTACATCAAATTTCCATGTAGAAATAATACTTTTTCTTTATCCTCACAAAAGAGGAAAATATGATGAGCTTTCAGTGGAAAATGTTCTGCAAGAGCAATATCTTTACTTGTTCCCATGCTTCTATTCTTAATTCACTAAGTCTTTGAATGAGTGAAATGATATAGGCTCTTAATACATAATACCAATGAATCATATCAGTCATCATGCTCCCTTTGTAAATACTTCATTCATCATTCTACTTAGCATGCAAAACTAGGTTCTCCCTCCCCAACAGAACATTACCCCTCTGAGTTTAAGGTGATTCTATCTTATTCACAGCTAGGTCACCATTACGGAGCACAGCGCCAGGTTCAGTACAGACAACTGGGGAAAGAGTTGTCAAATTGCTAACAGAAAGAATGTCTGTCAAATGATCTGTTTCTCCAGTAAAACAGTGTATCAAATAGGATGTCATAGTTAGGAGCTTGGGCTCTAGAGTCAGACTGCGTGGGTTCAAGTCCCGGCTTGAGCACCAGCCGGTGTGTGGCCTTGGACAAGTCTCCTTATCGCTCTGAGCCTCCGTGACCTCACTTGAAAAGTGAGGGGATGGAAATACCTACACTGACTGACAGCCCTTCATGTTCTATTTTATTATCTTTTTACCATCATTTATTTAGCTCTCTTAACTTTAAAGCAAAAACAGAGACCTGTCCAGACTCAAAAATGTGGTCAATCGTAGCTGAAGCTGCTTAAGAGGCATAGAGTGGCTGTGGCAGGCCTTTGGGGAAACAGTAAAAATCTAGGGGAAGAGGCACCCAATTTGCTTGAAGTTCTCCCACTCCAAAACACACAGTTCCTAGAGTAGGCTCTGATTATGGTTAGGCGGGCAGCCATGCACAGTAGGATGCAAAAGACACACGAAAGCCACACGTCTCTGCCATCATGTACCTCCCGTACCTATGAGACACTACTTGGCAGCCCTGGAAACAGACACCCCATCCTAAAGCAGCTACAAAGCCAAGAGACCAAGATCCTGAAGCTGACTTTGAGAGTTACTCTTCAATATTTCTGAGCTATTACTTCTATCTCCTGTGAAATGGGAAAATAAAGCAAGTAATTGCCAGGGATAAAATAAGGATTCAATCTGGTATCTTTGGAAGTACTTTGAGGAAGTTATGGAGTAAACAAAAATCAATGTTGTAGCAACAGCAACAGAATCCCCAACCAAACACAGATGTGAGGCCCTCCCTCTTAAATGCCAATTGAAAAGGACTTTACTATTAAAGAATCAATCTCCTGCAAGGGGCCACAAGTATTAATATTGAATGGAAGTAGATATCATAAAAAGGGTCATCATGATAAATAATTTGAATTGAGGGAAAGATATATTGTGTAAATCGCGAATAAACATTAAATCCCTGAATAATAGTACCTTGATATTTTTGTAATTACACATCTTATGTACATTCTCTTTAGAATGCCCACGATTGGATTTTTTTTTTTCTTTTCCTAGATGGGAGTCTTGCTCTGTCACCCAGGCTGGAGTGCTGTGGCATGATCTCGGCTCACTGCAACCTCCGCCTCCTGGGTTCAAGCGATTCTCCTGGCTCAGCCTCCCGAGTAGCTGGGATTATAGGCGCCCACCACCACGTCTGGCTAACTTTTGTATTTTTAGTAGAGATGGGATTTCACCATGTGGGCCAGGCTGGTCTTGAACTCCTGACCTTGTGACCCCCCCCTACCTCGGCCTCCTAAACTGCTGGGATTACAGGCGTGAGCCACTGCTCCCAGCCATGGATTTTGTATTTCTTTTTTTAATGTTTAGGTAAAAATGTGTACTAAAACTCTTTCACTGATCACAACAGCTACTAATTCAGCAAATTATCAGTCATTCAAAATTCCCCAAATTGCTGAAGCTCTAACCAGAAACTCTTACTGTATTTTGAAATCTTAGAACATTTAAAATCTCCTGCATAACTTATTTCATTTTATCTACTTTGGAAGTTCAAAAGAATAGGACTCAGTTGAGATGTATATATATATAGCCTGTTACATGCCTCCACTGTGTAGCAGATAAGGTTATTTAACAGAGGGCTAAAGCCTAGGGGATTTCTTTTTTGTTTTCTTTTCTTTCCTTTCTTTCTTTCTTTTCTTTTTTTTTTTTTTAACCACAGGTGCCATAATGAAGTGGTAAAAATGGAAAAGGAATGAGGAAAAAAGAAATGCAGTAAAAATAATATGTCAGAGAAAGTTTTAAAATATGTATTACTCCTGTCTGTGGGGGAAACACCTCTTTGGATATGTTCTTGACAGATTGAGTTATTTCTGTCTATTGGGTATGTATAAAGACATATTTATGGATTTATAAATCTTTTGAAGAGGGCTGTTATTTACCCAGTTGACTAAAATGGACTCAAACTGTGTAAATAACTATTTAGGACATGTACTACAGGCCAAATGCTGGCACAGCTTACACATCCATGCCTGCCAGAAAAGGCAAACAGGGAAAACATGGAAAAGCCACTGTGCACAGTTAATCCGAAGGCTGCACAAAGACCAAGCTCTGCAGTTCTCAGGGATGAAAAAAAGGTTTAGAAGGGTGACGGTTGGCATGGAAGTGTGCATAAGTTGTTGCAGCAACACTTTCAGGCATCATTCTGCATTTAGCAGGAATAAATTCAACTGCCAAAGAAAACCCACAAGGAAGGACAAATAAGACTGAAGGTGGGGCTCCCAACAGCTTCTGTTATCAAGCACAGAAAGGTGGGGTAGGGGAAACCAGCACAGAAAGTTTCTATTTGATGACAGTGGAAGTTATTCACTGTAGTTTTTTAGTAGAGAGATGAGGAAAGAGGGTCTGATGAGAAGAACCTTATTTAAGTAATTGGGAAACTGGAAGTTTAGGTCTGACACTCCACTGGGACCTCAACAAATCACTCAGCTTCTTTGTACCTTATTCTTCTCCTCTGTCAAGTGGGGATAGACCCACTTACTCTGCTACCCAGGATTGTTTTTAAATGATTCAGCTGAGATCATTCAAATAAGATAATTTATGTGAAACTGCCCTAAAAACAACTAGGTATTGGACTCAAATATAAAACATAAAAAGAAAAAATATAGGAAGAAACATTATAAGTAGAAAGTAATGTGAATAATATGTAGTTCCTAGTTACAATCAAATTATTAAATAGGCCTTTGGAGAACACTTGTTGAAGGAAGAAGCAGCATACAACACTCCTAATTCCTTGTTACAGCATGTCAGAGGGGAAGAACTGGTATTGGGCATTTGCTATCTGAAAATCCTCTTATCATACTATGTTTGAGAAAACAGATGCATTACAATTTTAAATTCAAGTGCATTTCAGCAGTTTGCAAGCCTTCAATGCAGCAGCTGAACTATCTACCTATTCTCAGATGATATAAGTTTTGAAAAGCAAGAAATGAAAAAGAAAAAGAAACAAGCCAAACACTAGGCTGCGACCCCATGTAGCAATTTTGGGCTACAGGAAAAAGAATTTATATTCCATTTACACCTTTTTGAAAACTCATAGTGTAAGTAGAGTTATGAAAGTAGGGCTTTATATTGAAAGTGCTGACACCACCTTAACTATAGCACTCTGAACAGCAACGCCATAACACATACATACACACACTTGAAAGAAAAAAGGCCCCTTGGATTTATGCTGCATATCATTTTCCAGTAAAAGTCAGAGGTCAGAGGTTACCTCTCAGCTCTGAACCAGTTTACTATTCTGGGCTCCGTTTTTACTAGGCTTATAGTTGTGATGAAGTCAGCAACTTTTCTTTGAACAATAAAATGTCTCAAATGTTTAAAATTATATTTGTTGAAGTTATTCCCAGTACAAACAGCATATATGTGCCTCAAAAAAATTAACTTTCCTGTTTTTGTTTTCAAATTAATCACACTAAATTCATTGTAGACTTTGCAATTTTAATTGGTAGAGCCCAACTAAGTTAGACAACAAAATTCCTTTGTTGTCTAACAGCACTCCAGTGAAACATGATCATAAAACCAGATTTTAAAGTATGTACCTACTGTGGGCTCAGAGTCAACTTCAATAAAACAGCCTTTTTATATTCAGATAAAGAATTCTCTTTTAAACTTTAATTGCATTAATGGAACACAAAATCCACACAGCGGGCTCTCATGAAAAGCAGTACAGACATTTGAATACTCAATTCGCCCTTTTGCTGAAGACTAGCTTGATGTTTAAACTTTATTTCCTACTAGTTATAGTCAAACATGCATAATCCATGGACACTCACATACACATAGGTATGTGCATTCACAGGACAACACAAATTAACCTGTTATCTTTCCATGTCTTCCTAAATTTTATTTAGTCTGGCTTTGCAATGAAGTCAAGCACTTAGGAGATTCAGATAAGTAAAACCAGAAAAAAATGACTTCAACCCAGTGGAGAGGGAAGCCGAGCATGTGCTACTAAAGGGCTCACAGCCTTATAAGCATCCTAAGACATCATTAACTTGGAATCCTAGTGGATGTTTCTTCATGAGCTCTTGAAAAGCCTCTGAGGGCAAGTAGTAATAATACTTTTTATTTGTATAGCAGGGTATGAATGGCATACTATTTATTCACATTCAAACTTCTAAGCTACTTCTCTAATCTTGCCCTGAGTCAATTCACTACCCTGTTTTATGAAGCTGGCCAGGTGACAGACAGTTAAGCAGCTGGAATAGCACAGAAGAGCAGGGTCAGAGAATAAAATAAGATGAGCTGATTCTCAAGTTAAAGGGGGTTTATCTTCTAGGAAAAACTGTATACTTAGTAACTCACTAGACATTTCTGATTTTTCAATCCTTAAAAATGAAACAAGTAGCAAAAGAGAATAACATCTCTCCTACCTTGCTCACTGCTGTTGTCCCCACTGTGTGACGTGTGGCCACCGCTGGAAGGGCCTGGGGTTCCTCCTGAACGAGTAGATGCCGTGTCATCATGATCTCTGTTCCAAGAGGGCTGTGGGGGCACAAATCAGAAACCCAAATAAGAGGCATCTGTGAACCCTTATTGGTAGGATCCCATGGCATAATGACAAAGCCATGGAGGGCTGGAGCACATAACCATGCCACCTTTCCCATCCCCCTTCAACCATGGTTCCAGCTCAGAGCTGCATTGGCACATTTATAATTTGCCAGTTTCTGCTTCCAAGCTAAAATAATATCTACAAATAGTTATTCTGTAAGTAATTGCATGCTTTATTACTAAGGAAAACAAAAACATTCCAGGCAAAGAGGAAAACAAAATGCCGCCACTGATTCTGACTATATTTTCAACATCAACAAACCCTCTGGCACAACAGTCTGCTACTCTGGAAATGCAAAATGAGAGTGGTGGTCTATAACACTGTGGTTTATAGGGGCCTCTGATTCATCCTAGAAGACAAACATGGCAGAGCTTTTAAGACCTCACAATTAGGCCTGGGTCCATAATAGCTAGTATGTGTCAGCTGTTTGCCGGATGGTACATGGCAAATGGACCAGGCATAGGCACAAAAAAGGAATGAGAATAACAATAGATTCACATGGACTGTGTACACTCAGCCCCATGCAGAGCCTTCTTGTACTATTGAACGGAAAACAGATGTTGCTTCTTATCACTGGGTGCATTTGAAAGTAACATTCAGATAGGAAAAATTGGCTGTAAAATAAATTCTTGAGGAAAACAATCATGGCGACACCTCTCCCAAATCTCTCTTTATCACCAGAAAAGATTTTAATTAGCTTTTAGTGCTAGCTTTCAAAAACAGCCTCATGAGTCACTGGTCATCCTGCACAGTAGGAATGATGCAAAATACAAAGCTGGTCCTTCACTAGGAAGTGATATTTATCTTCAAGATTATTAGTGGGAAAACAGGATCATCTCGTATGTAAAATATGTATACATCATTTCAATCATATAAGGTCAGGCTTCATGACTATATAGTAGTAGAGTTTGCTGACCCTTCCAATATCATTAAGTATGCCTAGCGAAATCAAAGAGCTCTTTGCTTATTTCTAGAAAACTATGTTCCTACCCTGGAGAAGATAAGAAGGGCTGAGGAGATCAAAATGTCTCAGACACCCAGGGAGAGAAAAGTAAAGATCCCATCTAAGAGGCATGCTGTATAGGAATCAAAGGGAAAGAGTCACTGTTTCTGAACAAGATGCATCACTGTCACTTATTCTATAATCTTGGCCAGAAGATTAATGCAGCCTGAAAAATGAAAATAAAGTCATAGAAAGATATGCCATTTGTATGTTTGACTCATGTATAATATGACCCATTATGCATATTCTCAAAAACAGTGCTAATTGATCTGCTGATTCTGAGATTGAAAGATATGTGAACTGTGAAAGAAGTGCTTTTTGCACACACGCATTCTGCAGCATACCAGAAGAATGCTGTAAGACGTAATCTGGAACACACGCTCAGAATGCAAACAGTTAATGCATAAATTTTCAGTTTGTACAACTGCAGCTCTAAAAGGGGGACTTGTTTATTCAGAGCTCTGCAGAAAGAATGGTACAGCACCCAGGGGACAGACAATGCCAGGCACAAAACCCCGGTGCCTCGACATGTAAAAGGATGTTTTTCTATGTGCTACAAATCCCACTTGAAAATATAATTAGAAAGAGAAAATGGCAAACTATTGCATTAACTGTAATTGAACAAAAGACCAGCAAGACATGTGGGAGGCTGCAGGAACCCGTGGGAGTTTCAGGATGCATGAGATCCTGCGAGTGACATCTCCTGGGCACTCTCATTTTATTTATGTTGTCCCTCACTACTATTGTTGACTGGTGATCTGACTGGTAATTAATAGAAAAGCTAGCGATAACAAGCTAAAATACAGAGCCACAGACCAACCTCATCAGAAGCATGTTTGTTAATCTGATTAAGACTAGGACTCCAAAAAGGTGACTTAGAACCAAAGAATTATTCCTTGTTATACAGGAAGCTGTCCTCCTTTATGCTACAACAGACCTGATATATTCACTATCTTTTAATGAGCTCCACTGATTTATTCAGCTCTGCTCTGCTCCCTCCCCCACTTTTCTACTGTGCAGGATGTAGATTAATTCAATGCTTAATTGTTTAGTAAATTCAATTTTCCACATTCTATTCTGCATAGCTTTAGCTAAGGTTCTTAAATCTTCAGCAGTGAGCCCTGAGCCCAGTGTTTGTGATCTGTGCCTACCTTTTTTCATCACCATTTTTCTTCATCCACCACTTAATTCACCATGAAAAGATTTTCCTTGCTGGAAATTCTGATTCCGCTATGATCTGTGAGGCATTCCGATTCATTGCATTTTCATTGTGTTGGGCCTTAGATGCTGGGCTCCTCTTTTCTCACAGCTATCGCCACATTATACAGGAATTCATGCAAGAAATGTTGGATTCCACCTCAGTTTATCCAAATTTTGTGCAACCTATATGTTTAAATTTGTGTGTTCACCAAAGGTAGGAGCCAATATTTTTCACCTAATATCATTCTTCTCACAGCCTTGCTCCTCCAGAAGGCCTATGAATACTGAATGCACTTCTCTGAAGTGAAATCTAACTTTTGTGCTCCTTTCTTGAATTAGCATTTTTGTGTATTAGCATTTAAGAATGAGTAGTCACATGAAACTGAGCATTAGAAGAAATCCACAAAGTTACAAAAACAGAACAAGAATTATGCTTAGTTCAGTTCATTAAGCATGATTAAAGTCTAAGTATCAGAAATAGCTCATGAACTCTTCTAGTATAAATATGTAAGACAGCCCTAATCAGAACGAACTCCCCCCAAATCCATGGACAGAGAAGTTCAGTTACAATAACCTATCTCTGTGACTATATGCGGTTACACCAAACAACATCATTATTATTTTTAAAATAAAATATGTGCATCTGATTATGCATACATATCTGTGAAGTTGTGAGTTGCTTGGGGCCACTTGTAATGTAAGGCTGACAGAATAAAATCAAGAATGCATGGCATTAGATAAATAAAAAACCTTAGTCATGGTTTTAAATTAAGTCCCAAAGAGGCTTTTTTCTTCAATGTATATAATTTCAGAGTAAGCAATGGCTGCGTTCTCATTTATTGGAAATCCAGTAAGACAAGAGGTCTTAACCTGAGGTCCAGAATCACCTATGGAAGATTTTAGGGTGGTCTTGTTGGAATAATATTTGGGTTTATGTGGATACTTGCATATTTTTCCCAAAGGATAGGGTTCAAAACTTTTTATCAGATTCTCAAACAGGTATACAGTGCTCTCAAAATTTGAGAACCACTGCTCTAGGAGATGTTCACAGGGCTAGACAAAACAACAAGAACAACAACAACAACAACAACAACAACAAAGAAGTTGTTGGGAAAAAAAAATCTTTTGCTGGAAAGACCTGAAAGATCACTGAATGTACACTCTAACTTGTTATTGACAGCCAGTGTCCTCCAGACACTATTTCTATTGTCATAAATGGAGGCAGGCAGCTAGAAACTGCACTCCATCAGTAAGTTCTTCTTGATCGATATATAATATATAAACTAACTTAATTTTTGCTCATGTTTTTTCTAGTTCTAGGGCCCCAAGAGACAGCCATTTAAAATATTTGAAGCAAGCTATGATTCTCCTCATATCTTCTCTCTTTGACAGCTAGAACACTCCCATTTTCTTCTATCGTTTCTTAAGAACACTTCAAAATAAGTTGTTTGGGGTTTTTTCTGATTCCATGTATGGTATTTTCAATCTCTAAGGCAATCTTACTGGCATCTGGTAGTAAAATAGAAAGAATGAGCTCCCCTGACTCCTCCATGAGTGAGAATGGTATCTTAATCTTCTCTGTCTTCTCCTTTCCTAGCTCAGCACAATGCATGGCTCATGTTCAGCAGGCACCAAGTGCTTAGGGAATGAATCTGAATTGTTCATTAGTCACTATGCCACCAACATCCCAACAAACAAACTGCAACTTCAAAAACTATCTTGGCTTCCTGAATAAAGTTACCACTGGTGACTTTTTTTTCTTCTACCATTCACTCTTTTTCAATCTATGCCTTAAATTTGGACAGAGGTCAGGACCTCTTATCACTTTCCAGGTATTCCTTGGATAATTCCCTCCTCCACAGTGGTTTGATTTCCTATATGCTACCAGACGTGTGTGTCTGAATTTCTTCTTTGGTCTTTAGACTTGTATGTCCAACTACCTGCGAAACCATCTCCATGCAAAGACATCCACCTCAAGAAGTCCGAAAGTGGACTTGTTTCAACTCAGCAAGTCCAAAGCTAAACTCTTTGTCTCCACCAAACTTCCTACTCATTCCTTTTTATTCCGTGTCCTAGTAGGTATCACATCCTCCACCTGTGGTATAAACCTGAGAGCCATTCATACGCTCTCTCTCTATCTCTCTCTCTCCACCTCCCCATTCAATCAGTCACCAAATCTTGTCTATTTTTGACCCCCAAATAGTTCTGAAATAAATCTCCCCCATTCCATATTCATGACTGCTGTTCTTGTTAAGGCCCTCATCACTCCCAACCTTTAAAAGAGTTCCATTCCACCAGATCATACGCTCTGTGAGGTCAGACATGGTGTCAGTTTTGCTCACCATTGCATCCTGACTATCAATCACAGTGCCCAACAGTTGGCTGGCACACAGGAAACATTTGTTGAATGAATGGACTGCTCCTCACTGCCTACAGAATACAATCTGAGGTCCTTACCCTGGTATACAAAGCCCTTCATAATCTCCCCAAGGGACCATTCCTCTCCTTGTTTCTTTTGCTCCTGCAACATCCCATTGCACATGATTTCTCACAAATACTCTGCTGCTTATTGCTCCAGGCCCATGCTCATCCTTCTCCTCTGCCTGCAGTGCCTTGCTCTGCCCTGCCTGACCCCAGCCCCTGATTATCTCCTTCTTGCTATTTAAGGCACAGCCCAGATACCACCTTACCTAGAAAACCTTCCCTGATACACATCAACCCCTGGATGAGTGAGGCTCTGCTGCTCTGAGAGCTCAGACCATCTCATGCACACTTCTAGCCTTTCACTCTTTGCTTTGTGATGACCTGCTGTGCCTGTCTACAATTCTACACTATGAATGTTTTGAAATCCTGGCCTACATCTTATTTATGCTTATATCCTCCATCCTAGGAAAATGTTGATATTATATTAGATACAAATATATTTTTGAATGAATAACTTAAGTAATACATATGGAATCTTTGTTAAATTGTCACCTGGCATTGTGTTCTCCCATATGAGAGACATCACAAAATATCTAAAAAAGAGTAGTACAATTTAAATATACCTCACATACTTGCACTTACACAAACACACACCACTATAAAAATAGATTAATACTCAGTTGTAGCATAACAGTCAAAAGAAAGAAAATTTAAAGCTAGTCCTGTTGGAAACTTGATTGGGCCACTTACATGGTCTTAAGTAAGTCATAACCTCTTGAAACCTTAATGTCCTCATCTGTAAATGAGGATAAAAAGTACTCCCTTGCAGACATAACATATGTAAATTGTCAAGCATGCAGCAAGCACTCAATAAATGGCAGCTTCTATAGTTCTTAATGTAACAACATAAGTTGACCTAAGCCAACCTTGGGGTATCTACATACAGGTATATTCAGTGTATAGACCTTCTGGAAAGAATGGTTAACCTGAGCTGGCTTCGTGCACAGCTTGGTATGCTTTGTGCTATCTCCCAGCTGCTGTGTGCTCAGGGAATGCAAACTGATCTTATTTTCACCTTGGAATAACATGATTTTTACAGGTGGTTTGTTCCTCCCCACCTCATCAAGTTTAATTCGATGCCTAATATTTATAAATCACTTTACAGTATACAAAGCATCTTGACACATCTTCCCAGTCAGTCATTCACCACATCAGTATGATGCCAGAATCATTTTTTTCGAACCAAAAATAGAGTTTTTTTTTCTTCAAAACTTCTACACTACTGGTCCCATTCAAAAAGGTGGATAATTGAGAGTCTGATGATCTTTACTGTGAAGGTGTCAGTTAGCAGCTACGTAGAAACTGATGAAATAATCAGTGTACAAAATTCGAAGTCAGTCTGCACCTGTCAATAGGCGGCTTTCTCTTTGGGGAGGTACATTTACTCTCTCAAATCACCAGGGTCTCTTTAGTAAGTAATCTCTAGTGGCCTGAAAGAGCTGGCTTGTCTCCAAAAGTGAACAATTTATTATCTCCAGGTGAGGACAGTCTCCAGGTCCGCATGGAGAAGGCACCAGTGTGCATGGTACTCAGGCATACACACGCACACTCACACTGGCAGGCTTGCCCATGTCCGTATGTATGTGCCCATGTGCACACCTGTGCTCTTCCATGAAGCACAGTGAATGGGATCGCTGTATGTCAGCATCCCACACTGTCTGGGGGGGTGCATCTAATTAGCCCGGCTCCCCTTGACTTTTCCCCTCTGTCTAAACAGTGTTTTTCGGGATCCTTAAAGGTGCATGACTTCAGCAAATATCATTTCTTATACACTCCTCAATCAATGATACCATCTGAGGAAAGGGATCAGAGAGAGATCCATATGCAGAGAAATGAGGAGAAGAGAAGGGGCACAGGAGCTGCTGTGAGAAACAATACACATTTACCTGTGTGTACCTGAAGCTGGGGAATGGGGATGCTGAGAAGGCTTTTTATGTCTGAGTATTTAAAGTCTTGTCATACTGAAACTCGTACTGAAATGCTTGGTGGCTCACATTTGTATCTGCTTGATAACCAAAACATAGCATATAATCATTCAACCCACTCAACTACCATGTATTGAGCACCTATAATTTGCTAGATACAGCCTGCTCCTCTCAAAACATACTCCTTTGGGGCTACATCTACTCAATTTCAAATTCAGGTAATTCTGGAAAAAAAGTTATGTGGATTTCTAAAAAAAAAAAAAAAAAATCCCTAGAAATCACTAAGCAAAATTCATTTAACCACAACAAGTTTAGGCAGTATGTTTTGTTTTGCCTTTTTTTTTTCTTAACACAGGAAAACTGCTCTTACCTTTTGAGCATTTAGATGTTTTGAAATGCCATAAACATTCACAAATGAATATTTCACTGTGCACACGTGCTGTGGATTCAGGGGCCACATTAAAGTGTTGTGAGGAATGATATGGACGTGAAATAGCATACTTTAGAGAAACCTTTTCTAAGTCCACACTGTGCACTGCTGAAAAGTGGATAAAATGCAGAGAGGCAATTGCTGGTTCTGGGAAAATAGTGGTAGGTGCCTGAGGCACTCCCTGATGGAGGCCCACACTCATCTTTGGCAGAGAGGCCAACTTTTTAAAAGGCTACCTCCCTCACACACTTTATCCACTTTCTCCACCAACTCTCCTTTTGCTCATTTCCTTCTCTGCCCCTCCCTCACTCGCTTACCTTTGCCAAGTCTGTAAGCCCTGCCAGGGTTCTTGTTGAACCCTTTTTTAATGCTGTGATAAAATGTGCTTATGACTCCACTTAATAGAGGCCTGAAGGGTAATTCTGGTGACTCAGGGCAGATGGTAAATTAGCGGTAAGACAATGGAAATCCAGCATCCCTCTTCAGAATCTGTGGCTTTCACCAACACACCACACTGCCTCTTCTCACAGTTCCAGCCCTGTCATATTTGCCATTGTGAACTTTTAATCTAGAAATGCATCTTGGTTATGTAATCATCTCTTACGTCTTGCACTCACTACATTGGTGCCAGCCAGTATTTTTATACACAGCATAAGTGTGTACACTTCAGCATCAAATGAGGCAGATTTCTAAGACCTTAACAGCTAAGCGACTCTGGTGAATTGCTTGCAAATAAACGTGTGTGTGTGTGTGTGTGTGTGTGTATAAAAATCATATGATAGTCACTGTGGGTAGTTTGTATAGGTAGACATAGCATCTGTTAAATAGAGTTCCATATTTCCCAGTTCTCACGTACCACAAATAAAACCTACAAAAATGATAATTTTTCAAACATTGAATCCTCTATCTCTGTGTAATGAGGCATGTAGAGAGGAGGAAAAGAATTTTTGTGCTTTCTTGCCTTTGGTGAAAATTCTCCAAGGAGTAATTTCATCTTTAAGTGAAAAGTTTTCTACCAGGTGATTCTTCAAGCTTCAGAAATCACTAAAGCCTGGGTTCAGACATGAGTGTGCACATGGGTTCACATGCACACACCGCAACACACACCTATCACATACGTAAGGCATAAGGCAAAAGAATGTTAAAAAATGAATCTAATGGTTTTTTAATTACATTGTAATGGAATTTAAAGCAGCCTGGCTGTAAGATATATTTTTAAAATCTGCTATCCCTTAAAGATTTTGCCCACTGTCCTGCAATCAGCATGCTTCATTCTCCTCTCAATACTCAGGCGCTGGGCTGCTATGGCAGGCAGTGAGGGTGGGGACCTTAGGAAGCCAGGACTGAATACCACAGAACACTTTCCCAATGCTGCTTAAAACCCTAGTTTTCAACAGCCTGGTGTCTTTTAGGTCTCCACTCTAACATTTTCAGGAATTTATTAACCTGCACAGTTGAATTAATTTACCCAATAAATTACAAGTGAATCAACTATGCTAAGCAGAGGTCTACAGATGTAAAACAACACTCAGAATATTCCAAAGGCTTTCCTGATGAAATCAAGACAGCACTGATACTTTTTGCCCAATTCTTTAACTTTGACAATCAATGCTAACATCATCCCATGGTGACCCTACTGTGGTCTAAGAAGATAATATAGATTTCTACATGTGGTACATTCAGCCAAATTACAAAGAAAAGGAATAATTACAACCAAAGGGCAATTGACCATAAATGCCAATTTCTCAAAACTGGTAAGTAATAGAAATTATTCAAGTGCCCTGAATGTTCAAATTCTACTTACCAGTTTCTTGTAGAGAAAAATCTTAAGAAGAGAGAAGATAAAGCCTCAATATGCTAAAATTCTTAGTAAAAGTATCTATGTTTTGATAACCTTTTCTTTTTCTATGCCATTGTATTATAACTGGCATGCTATTAATAAAAATAAATTCTTATATTTACTGACTTTAATGACTCCAGGTGCTTCTTGAAATCATACCTATAAATTGTAGTTCATAGAGTTAAATGTTTGGCTGAAAAAAACCCTAATCCACTGATACCACTATATTTCCAAATAAGTATACCTAAATACTTCAATCTGTTTTATTCATTTATCTTTTGAGAGTTTTCTGCTGAACTCTGATCATTTTCTATTATTTCTACTTAGCAGTGGGAGAAGAATCAGTAAATTACATGCCAGTATACCTGATGTTATAAAATCCTCTTTATAAGACTGTTTGCTTCCCAGTGTTTTATTTTACATCCGTAACTTAGTATCAGTGCTCCTTGTTCTGCAAACAAATTAAGATAAAATAAACTTAAAAGTGTTTTATATAAAACAACTTCAACCACAAACTTTCTAGGCAAGGCTCCTAGCAAAAAAAATTTAAAAAATGAAAAATCCAATAATGCAGAAAACATTGTATAATGAGTAAAAGTAGATAATAACATCCCGAAAGCAACAAGACCTCAGCATGAAGTATTTGTATTCAGAAATGTGGGGAAAAAGTACTTAGCACAGGGTCCTTACATAACTGTTATTTGAATTTTACCCTAGGAGTGAGTCTGCAGTGATTCACTATACTATCTCAGTAAAATATCTGAGTTCAGTCTCCTTTTACACTATGCTGAAATCAGAATAAAATTGACCCCTCATAATAAGAATTAAGATATTTTTCTTAAACTCTACGATGATAAAATACTCTATAAAACAACAGCCCCATCAACCAGCACCCAATCCTTCCTCCATAAACCCAATTCCTGTTTTTGAAGGTTAGGCAGAATACAAGCAAGAAGATAAAATATAATGTAATGAAGTGCTCATTGGGGATTTACTACTCTAAATGTTTTAGATGCACTTTTATTTAGTTCTTACAGTAACTCAATAAAGTGGGTACTGTTACTATCCCCATTTTACAGATTATTAAACTAAGGCCCGTCAAGGTGCAGTGACTTGCCCTCTCAGAGCAAAGTCTAGATTCAAATATAAGTGCTCTGGCTCTAAATTGTATATTGTTCATTAGAACACCACCTTCCTGAAAGGATGTGTAACTAAAAATGACAAGCAATACACTTAACTGTTTAGTCTCAAGTGTTTCTGAAGTTTTCTCTTTTCTACTTCTAAACTCTCGAGCCAGAGAACACACAATTGAGACATAAGAAGAAAAAAAAATTCAGCCAAGATATAGTCTTGTTTTGTTCTACTACCTCATAGCATTATACTTTGAATAACAGAATCACAGAAATTTATATTTACCGCTGATTTCCACTAATAATTATTAATAGGGTATCTTCTAATTTCCCTATGGTTTCTTTAGAAGCACTTCTGATTTTTTATATTTTTTACAACATTTTGTGTTTTAAGTGTCTCTCATTCCTCAAGAATGTCTGCATCTTTAAGCCCACTGACAACGTTAAATTTGGAGTTGGGAAAAGATTATTCCCTTCCTTCATTATTTATCTTGGGTAAAATAATCAGGGAGGCCTTTCTCAAAGCATCTTGAGATTTAATTTGAGTTTCTGGTTCCTACAACGGTCAAGTTTTCTATATTTCAAGATACTTAACTAAGAGATCAGCCAAAGCAACTGTGAATTCCAGAAGTAAGATGCTGAGTTGCACTGTGCACTTTTTAAGGAATTCCAGTTAATCAGAATGTCATTCTTCAGCCATACCCAAGGCTATTATTCTAGAGATTATTCATACTATTTAACAGTTACAGAGTATTTGGATTATTGAAAGTATACCACGAGCAAAGAAAAGCCACATAATTGATTTGTCAATGTTTTGTTCTCCTATTTTTCTATTGGCATGTTCTTTACATGCCCTCAATAAATATTAAACACTCAAACAATTCACTATTAGGATGGCAAGCAAACCTTTAGAATGTCGCAACAGTAGAGTGAAGAACAATGCACCTAATTGAAATGGCAGGGTAATTTGGAAAATAAAATTGAGTTGCTGCAAATTCCAAATTCCAGAATAAAAATGTTTATACTCACTTAAATGCAGATTGTTACTGCCTTTGAATAATTATTAGAATAAAAAAATTGAACACTAGCAATACACTTCATATGCACAGAACAAGCATATTCTGTATCTCTCTGTTATTTTGTGCAAAGAAGTACGGGACATAATAACTCAGATGTTTTTCTTGCTTATTTTGTTATTAAACACAGCTTTTAAAAACCCAAAATATAATGAAACAATAGGCCAAGCCACCAAATACACAAACAGTGCTACAAACTTTATGAACAACATTCTTCAGAAAATTTTGGAACACATTAAGGACAGGGAAAGCAGGCTGAAAGAAAGGAAGGGGGTTAAATAATTCTGCAACTGAATATCTTTCTTTTTCTTGAACATATTAATTTATCATCAAGATCAATTCCAAATGTAAAATTCCTGTTTCTCTTTGTTAGAAGCTAGAGCCAAGAAAACTATGACAATTAAAATGAAAATGGCAAACTACATTTGCATCTGGAGCTATGAAATATAAACATGTAATGACTCTATAAGAGATAATATTTATCTGTAGTCTGAGGGTAATCCTTAATTATCTACTTAGGGCTATACCACATTGGCAGAGATGCCACCCTTATCTCATGAAGATGAATTCCATATGCTCTGTAGAGTTATAGTATAATTCCCATAAATAATGTATATGATAGAATGTAAATAAATAATACATTTATATGTTCAAGAGTGAAGGGCAGGGTGGTTACTCCTGACACTACATCTCTTAGGAAGGAGCAATTTGAAATAAAAGTAATGTTCAATGGTGATTTATCACAAATTTTTTACACTAAAATATTCTCAAGCGTGGATTATAAAACAACTCCAGATCTGGTGGGAACTTTCAAGTAAATGTTGCAACTAAACCCAAAATGCCTAATTAATTGTACTGCTAAAGTTTCTGTTCTGATTGTAGCATAATAGCAAATAGCATCTTACCTATTTGCTGCTATTTCAAATTTTCTATATATATATTGGCTGGATTTTATGATCAATGAAATGTGAAGGTTTAAAATGTCATATACGAGTTTCTGTATGAAACACAGAGCTTTTTTTTTCCTTCAGGAAGAAAAATTTTAATATTGCAGTAAATATATAGGAAGGCTATATATTGAAAAGTTTCCAAAAATAGCCCACCTGCACTAGCTAGTTTGCCAAGACTTTGTATGTAAAAATTGTTCCTCCACCTCTAAAGTATCTCCATTTTGAAGCTCTGTAGACAAACACTCCACTTCACGTAAATAGTGTAAGTATGCCTTTAGAATTTCAGAAATTATACATCATGTAGTTTGAAATTAAGTTTTCAAATTGCTAAGGAATAATCTCTGAATACCAGAAAACACTATAGGTCACAGTTAATTATATCTTGTCTATCAAATTAAGTTAATATTCGAAAACACATCCAAATAGTTTTGGAGACATTAAGAGGAGGTTTATTGTCAAAGAAATTCTTATTCATTCAGCTTCTAATATTTTTAAAAGAAGAGAAATAAGCCTTTTACAAGTTGAGATGGGATAAGGAAACTCTGGATGTACAGTCAAATTGCTCTCTTCACTGTCCTTTTGACGGCTGTGTCAATTTCATTATAAACTTCATTTTCCAGAGTTTCATAATAGTCATAAACACACTTCACTTTAAAGAGTTTCTATGGGATGTGATATGAATGCAAATTCAGAATAAAATGTAAATTATGGAGGTCTGGGACCAAGTATGGACAATCAGTTAAGAATACAGTTGCTGAAAATAAACATTTAGGCTTTTAGAGGAAGAACACAAAGGGGCTAATATTAATCTTTATACCAAGTGTTCACAGCTCTAGGGAAGACAAATAAGAATCACAGTTTTCAGTTTTTCACCTAATTGTAAAGCACAGGTTGGGAATATTTGATGACTTTGGCCTCTATTCATTCCTGTTTTGAAGTGAGTAACATTCTTCATTTTCTCACGAAAACAAACCCACATATGGGTAATAACCCACAAGGCACTACAATAGGAAAATGAGACCTAGCAAACTAGCTCAAGTTCAAATCTCAGGCATAGAAGGTTTCCAAAGGGCAGAAAAAAAAGTGATCAGAAAAAGAAAGAGATATAGTTCTATCTTTCTAAATAATAACCAACAACCCAGAAATTTAAAGTTAATGGATAATAAACATGCTACCATATTGTAAAGTGTAAGGAAAATTCTATAGAAATGGAAATTCACAAGCAACAATTCATTCTAAGCTAGCTTATGTGGCCAGGTATTGATACTAGAATGTTGTCATATATTGATATTAGAGTAATTCTAATATCACTCAAAAATCTTATTTACTGATATCTTCTAAATGAGTTAAAATAATGTATATTTAAGTCCATTGTAAAATGTAAGACTTTGTATTTGGTTAAAACGTAAAAGCAGCAGCACAACTATAACAGTTGCTAATATTTGTTAAACTCATAAGGTTGTGGCCATTTTTAAAATTTCACTTCGTAAACTTATTAATAATAACAGGCATTTTATTTTTTTTGAATAATATGATTTCATTTAAGGATTTTTTGGTCTTGTTTTTGAGACAGGGTCTTGTTATATTGCCCAAGCTGGCAGCTCCTCAGCACAAGTGATCCTCCTGCCTCAGCCTCTGGATTAGCTGAGACTATAAGTGCATGCCAGGATTTTATTTGAGTTTTTTAAAGAAGCATAACATTACACACTCAAGGTTGTTTACTTCGTGAGTATAAATTCTATTAATTGTAAATAGAATTATGAAGTACAAGGGAAGAATCCACTGTAGAAATGTATTTTTGAGAATTACAAATAAGGTAAAACTTCTTTGCTCAACTTATTTGTCCTCCATTAGCGTATGCCACATAAATTGGTCCATATGTCATGGAAAAACCATAATATGGTTACTTTATATCTTAAAACATATATAGCTATAATTTGTGTCAATTTCATTATAAACTTCAATTGTATTGATATACAGCTATACAACTCCAGCTGTAATTTGTATTTGATTGTATATACTCATGACACCAATAAACAACAGGTGTATAATTCAATATGTGTATAAATAAGCCCTTTTTCCATCAGAGAATCAACCCTTGATAGTATGTTTTAGTCAGTTTTAGAAACTCTGAACCAAGAAGTCAAGAATATAAAATAATTGGAAAATATTTGCACTCTTGTATTTTCCTTTAACAAGAACATATTTTCTAGATTAAGAAATGCTATTTAGCAAGAGTGTTTGAAGAAAGTCTAGTAAATTGTTGCCAATTGCTTTAATTCTGTGCACTTGAATGCATTACATTGATCATAATTGGATTCTAGTGACAAATATTTTAGTGAATATATTCTCACTTATTTCACATAGTATCCTTTATACCATTTATTCAAATGTCCAATTTACAAGTGTAGGGATTCCAGCAATTGGCCAATGTAGGTATACTTCCTGGAGAGTCTGTTTAAGACTCCAAAAAGCTTCTCTAAATTCCTATAATCTTGAAATCATGGCATGTTAAATTAAAGATACAGTGAAGATGTTCTTTTATCTTTTACACTACATGGACACACTCATTTGCTTGAACTTTTCAAAATTGATTTTAGACACCCATGGTTTATTCGTATACATTAAGGATGGCAAAATATTCAAAATTCTACAGGATGCCAAAAATCAAATTTTGTAATTATTATTAAAACTTAAATTGGGAGACTGTATTTTATATGTTTTAGCCCAGAACTTTTTATACAGGTATTACATTCTGATATTTCCTGCTTAGTAAGAAGAGCAAGCCCAACGGGATTTAGAGCAGTGTTGTTTTACTTGGGATCTGGAAAATCTTTAAATCTATAATAACATCCGCACAACTGTCAGATAAACTGTGTCACATGCATTCTATTTTTCTTCATTTGTAAAAGAATACTTTCCCATAATTTTTATTTAATTCTTAAATTTTTTTGCACTCAGGAGAAATGGCAAAAAATTTTGTTTCGATTATGTCATAAATTAAAGTAGTACTTTGATTCAAATATGACAGATATCATAATCCACAAAAGGCCATGTAAAATGCTACAGTTGCAAACATTTAAGACTGTGTAACAAAAATGACTGAGAGCTGTATCAGTTTACTATCCTTCAACTATTTCCCTGACAGTGGAGTCAAATAATTTTGAATTATAGACCTTCTTACAGGAAGTCTTATTTCATGTTCATTTTTTGATCATTTCCCTGCTAGTCCCTATAGCAATTTGGCTGTATGCCGACTTTCCTTTAAAAGTTTTTGTATACATACTTGGGTTTTGTTTGATGATTAAATGATCATTTATTAAAACTTTAGCATTTCACATTTGTTTGACATATTTATGTTTCATAAGAAAATATTGTTGTTGCAATGGAAAGCATAACATTACCAATATGAGAATACTTCATTTAAATTCATGTTGACAGTATTTTCATTTATGGCAAGTGTCTTAATATAATTTGTTATGCATTATTCACAGTTTCTCCAACTCCACCTGTGAGGTACGCTAGGGAAGGTAAGCTAGTTTTAGGACAGTAGGCCTCATGGTAATACTTTAGTCTATCTACTTGGCCTTAATAAACATAAGTTTCTACTATGGGAGCACAAATAGTCTTTGTTTTTTAAGAGTATAGAATTTTACTGGATATTTTCTTTTCTTGTCACCCAGCCACAGCTGTGTTTTAAATCTTTTGGGACTATGACAAACATTTAAAAACTTAAACATATGAGTGTTTGAAAACATAATGATTTAAAATTTATATATTTTCAAAGTTGGACAATTCTAGCATGATATTTCAGTTACTTTTTTGAAAGCCCGGCCCACATTTTAATACATTTTTCTCCCTTCTCTTCTCTTCTTCCTCTATTATTTAAGATTCTCCATGTTTTCTAATACAAGTCTCTAAGTTAGGACCAATAGCTATATAAAACAACTACTCTATATATTTCAGAATGGTGAGCAATGGAGTCATTCTGGTGGGGGAAGAATTGCTATTTGAATGACCTACTGCCATGGAGCTAGTTAAATCACTGAACAATAGTTACTGTTATGAGGCTTTACTTTGTACAAAGTAGCATTAGTATCATTGCTTTCCATTATTCATGCAACTTGCACTGGGGACTTCCACTGAGAGAGAGATTGAAAGAGAAAGAGGGAGACAGAGAGAGAGGGAAGCTACGCAAAGGATTTTTTGTAGTATTAGCGTTTAGACTTAGAGACATTTACCAATGTAAGTGATCTCAACCTATCTGCATCTATGGTGTACTTTTTTCCCCTTGTTTTTTCTAGAATGTTTTAAAAGTGTCCCTATTAAGAATCAATACATCCCTACTCTGAAACTCACACATAAATACACACTAAAAGCCAATCAGAAAGTAACAATAAAAATATACCCAGTAAACAACTAACTTTTAATTCAAAGGGTGCTATGTAATAAAGGGCCTAGAATGAACATCCCAATTAGCCAGTGTAGTGACAAGCAGTCAACACCTTATTATTTAATCATTAAAGAGAATCTTGCCATAATTTCCATTTGACATATATTTTAAAAGGAATTAAGACTATATCACATGACCCACAACACAATCAAATGTAAAGTTAGGTGATGCTAAGACTTTATCACTTGCAAGTCCTGTGGACTGAGAGGTTTCAGGATTAAGGCATTAAGTGGGAACCTACGAAGCATTTATAATTTAAATAAGATGTATACAAATGGAAGCATTTAAAAACAAACTACCTGACAAAGGGACCATTTTTCTGCCTCCCGCTGTTTGTGTCCACTTTTCTTATTGGATGACAAGGAATTGCGGACATTTCTAGTATTCGTAAATATTCGCTGGCCCTATCTATTTGCTTCTAAAGCAGCAGATCCCATCCATGCAGGACATTAGGTTGTTTCTTGCCCTCCCTGCCTCATCCCTGACTGTGACACCTCCCTTAAAGAGAAAGCTTAAATCTCCCTTGCAAGAATTTCCCCCGCTTCTTCGGAGGAGGGCGTTTTCTGTCAAAGTTCTACCTCAGTTTAAAGGATTTTAAGCCAAACTCTGCTTCAGAAACAACATTGTGAACTTTTGAAATAAAACAATCGCCATCAGAGTTCCCAGGACCACTTGGGAACCAAAGCGCACCGGGCCCGGCCTGCCCCAGATCCCAGAGGCCTGGCGGCCCTGCGCTCTCCAGTCTGGGCTGCACAGCCCCGGCGGCCGTCCCCCGGGAGCTCGGCAGCACTTGGCATTTAACCTGCCTGGCGAGCGTGGCTCTCTGGTTCCATAACTGCAAGCCATATTACTTCTCCCCAGACGTCAGAGACAAATCTGGATTAACATGCAACAGGGCGTCCTGTGCAGCCCGACAGCCTTCGCCCAGGAGCTGCTAAATGCAGATTCAGACGAGGACCCCCCGGAGAGCTGCTGTTGAATAAAAACTGTAATCCAAAGGGACCATTTCTCTGCCTCCCGCTGCTTATGGGAAGAGCCAGGGCCACCGCTGAGGCCCGAGCACAGACCTAGCTAATCTCGGCTCGCTACCGGCAGGCGTGGCCACCCCGGGAGGCGGCCCTGGGGGCCTAGAGACTCTGCTCCGCTCTCCCCTCTCTCCCAACGCGTTCTTGGAGTGGAAAATGCTTAGATTCAAGGAGTGGCGCGCAATAGAAGCGGCCTAGGAAGGAAGCCGACTGCTCCTTCCTGGAGTGCGGCCTAAAGTCTAGCAACTGGGTGGCCAGGCCTCTCCTCGCCTAACCCCTCTTGGCGCCCCCTAATCCACCCAAGGGCCCCTAGAACACGCGCCCCGCTTCCGGTCGAACCCGCATCGTTCTCTGAAGCCAAACAGGCTCAACCCTCGCCTCGACGCCTAGCATCATGGCCCCCCTCTCCCTCTGCTCCGGGGTCGCAGCCGGGACCTCGCCCCACGCTGAGGCCGGGAAGCCCCTGGCGCCCCTCGCTTCCCCTAGCCTCTGGGAGCCCGGAACAGCCAAGCCGAGCCGAGAGCGCGGCGGTCAGGAGAGGGCGCCCAGGAGGCTTGCGCCCGCCAAAGTGGCTCTCTCCGGCAGGGACCTCCAGGCGGCCCGGAAGACTGGGAGTGGGGGAAGGAACGGGATTACAGCTTCTACTGGTGTCTTAATCCTATTTTTAAAATAAATAAATAAATAGGAAAGAGAGAAGAAAGAAAAAGGAAAGGAAAGGAAAAGAAAGGACTAACGCTACAAGGTCAAGTGGATTTCCGCCGACTTAGCCCTCCGGGATACCGCCTAGTATCAAAGTCGTCGATCCCAGGTCCCCGCGCGGGTGGCAGTCTTCGCGCCCTCCGAGGAAAACAGGTAAAATAAAATAAACCGTGCCGCCAACGGGCCCTAGAGACAGAGGGGTTAATGAGCTAACAAGGCCCAGCGTTCTCACAGCACGAGAAGCGCCCAGTCCCGGAGCGCACCCTCTGCGGAGGCTCAAACTGGCTGGGCTGCATTCGCAGACAGGTGGAGAGGCCATCCTTCCTGCCCGGCCCCCAGGACGCCGCACTAGGGGTTCAGCGCCCCGGAGGGACAGGCCAGCAGGCTCCAGACCGGAGAACTGGCGCCCACCAGGCGCCCTGGTGCTTCATTCGTCGCGCCTCAGCTCCCCAGGGCAGTGGAGCCCACCGGCGGCCGTGGCACTGTACCGCATGCGTCCAGCGCTTTGCGCTCCCCTCTCCAAACCGGACCTTGGGTTTGCTGTCCTCCGACCAGCTGAAACTTGGGTGAGCCCCAGGGGGTCACACAAGCGAGCCCAGGCGCATAGGCCAACAGCGCCACGAGCTCAGCCAAAGCTTCGAAGCCCACTCTTAACCAGCGGGGACCAGAAGTCAGATTCTCATTTTAGAGGTAGAAGACAATAAAATGAGAAGTTTTATCCGATACAATTGCATACCAATATTTGCATATCTGAAGGGAATTGGGTAACAAAAGTTTAGGGAAGGAGAAGGGGGGAGCTCCATGATATTATATTAATTTTTGTATTCTCTCTCCCCCCTCCAAAAAATTCCCATAACTTTGGTCTTTTATCTTTGACTTTAATAAAATAATGATTCCTTGAGAAAATGGGGTATAAATCTTCATTTTGGAGGCAATTAAAGTGTTGATTTCATTCATGCCCCTAAGCGATTCTTGTAATTTGCTCAAATAGCTTTATGTACCCAGCACTCCGGAGCTTTTAGAATCCCATTTTCCAGTTAGGCTTGTTGGATTGCAATTTTTATTCCACAGCAGCTACTCGAGGGTTCCTCAGCAGAATCGGCACTCAACAGCTCCCGGGCCAGGGCTGGCGGGCTGAACCAGACGTGAGGCCCGGGCCGCCCGCGGGGGCCAAGGCTGGGAGCCGCCTGCAGTTTTCCCACTTCTGTGGGGCCGCACTGGGATTGCGCACGCTGCGTGTTCTGTGCAATGGACTACACTGCCGAAAGTTTCCAACTCTCCAGATCACAGTGCGGACCCGGCGCATTGGCACTTTTAAATCTCTGCTCTGCCTGTTTCTCGCTCCCCATGGGCAAAAGAGGAATTCAGCCCATGTCGCGGGGATTGCCCAGAGAAAATCAAGCTGAGAATGTATTTTAAGAGGATGATGTTGAGAGAAGAAAACCATAAGATGACACTAAGAACCAGGCGTCAGGCGCTCGACAAGGACTGTACAAGACAGCCACTGGCCAACAGAGATCATGGCAGAGCTTGCAGAGTAGCTGGCCTTTGGCTTAACAAAGGCAGGCTGATCTCTTCCCCCAAATCTGGACTCACGTGCCGAGTCAGAAAGAGAAACAACACTGGGACTTCACTTATATAGGGGGGAAGGGTGGGAGGGTGCAGAGCAGGCCAGCTACCCAAATCTCTAGACGCCTTGCAACAATTCGCAACGGAACTGTTCTGAGCCCTGTTTCATCTCACTCACTCTACACGTTTTCACTTTCATTGCATTTTTGCAACTCCTTTGGACCAATCCAGAGATACAGCCACAGGAGAGAGAGAGGCACCCTGGGAGCAAACGGTGGTGTTGGGGTGACAGAGAGAGAGAAATCCCCACAGCAATTCCAAATAAAAGTCGTCCCCACTTAGTAACGCATCGGAAGAAGGGCCTGGAGGGAAGACAGGAGAGGAGAGGGTGCAGCAAGCCAAGGCCCTCAGTTGAGAGCAAAGGCGGTGCGAGGTCCCCCACACTCCTTACCCAGGGAGCCGCCGGGGTGCCCCTGATGCTGATATGTCCACAAGCTGCCAACCCAGAGGGCCCAGAGCACATACCAGCTGGAGGATGAGTGGAAAGAAGGAGGAGAAAAGTCCATATTTATCTGTTTTTATAACCTCGGCCTGGTCTTATTTTTTCTATTAAGTACAATAAAATGGGTGAGCTTGCAGTGAACACCACACAAAGCAATGTTCAGTGAGGTCTAGAAGCGTTCGGCCGAGGAAAACTGACAAGACAGGCTAATGAACCGTACAGACAGGGAGAAAATAGCCAGCATTTGCTAGATTTCAAACTCTCGCTGTCTTTCTTAGACCACCTATCTTGGATTTATTCCTAATAAAATAAGAAATAAGCAGACCCTACACTTGTCTTTTCTTGAAGATAGAAGGGGGAAAAATGCTCCGGAACAAAGCCCCTACAATCAGAGGCGGTCACTGGCAGTTAACACTCCCATTATTATAGAGGGTAAATAAAATAAAGACAAAAATTAAAAGCGACAAGAAACAGGTCAAGTTTGCTAGCAAAGCTTTTACAAGCTCATCTCTTCAGGTCGAATCCCAGAGCCAGCCTTAATGAAGCAATAATAGCCACATTATTCAAAAATTTTCATTTCGATGGAAATGTATCTAAAAGGGACTTAATCATATGCAAATAATAAAAGGAGGTGGTAGTGACCCAGCAAGCAATATGCATACAGATTTTTTTTTTTCCCAGGGATGTTGAAATTGAAAAGCGCATACCTGGTCAGTTAGATTTGCTGATCTTGTTATATCTTCACTGTCTGATTTTGATCCTCCTTCTCTATCGTCTATCACCAAATCGATAGGCATTTTCCCTTTCAAACAGCTAATATACCGGTGGCAGAAATTGTCACATAATTCGTGTACCTACATTATGACAGAAATAAAAAAATGGGAATATAATCAGGAGTGCATAAATGACATTGACAAGTGCAATCCACCCCCCTTGTGAGATCCAAACTTCCAAATAGGGGAAACACAGGGCAATTGTCCTCCAGAGACCCCCAGACGCATCCAGAATTAGGAATAACTTTCTTTTCTTGCAAAATAGAGATATCCCAGAAAATTGACAGTGACAAGATGATTCACAGGCTACAACATATTCAACACCCGTGTTAAATTCATCTGCTCCTGGGGCTGTGGTCATTAGAGAGGTGACCTGCGTAGGTGACATTTAAGGTAAACTATTTAATTTCATCCAGTGACTTTATCATAAATCCCTTTCTAATGTGTCTAAGAAAAAAATGTATACGTGTGTATATATGCACATATATATTCTCCAAAGAACCTGTACTGTGGTGGCATAGGATAAATGCCTGACAACCCAAGTCCTTATTATATTTGTAATGAAGGTTTTTATCTCTAAGGGGTATATTTTAGAAAACTTTCTTTGAAAAAAAAATGGAAGGAAATCAAGTTGCCAGTACTCCTGATATGGGAAAACATACAGCCACACAAAAACATATCAAATTGATTTTTTTTTTTTTTTTTTTTTTTTACAAAAAGGAGAAGGAATGCCTCAAAATATTTAAGTGTAAGTGCAGAGGTTTCCTAGAGGTCCCAGGCATCACTGACATGCAAAAATTCACAAGAAACCCCAGTGTGCTTGCAATTTAATGTTAGTTTGAATTACAATGCATTAAGTTTTTATTGCTGAGATTTATAGAACAGCTAGCAAAATCATGTTATCCCACACCCTTTCTTGAGTGTGAAGGTGGAGTGTGTGCAGGATTCACAGATTCAAGAAATTGACACAACTATCAACTCTGCTTTGTCTCTGCAAAACGTTTAATGTGCCTCCCCACCACCTCCTCCAGACTCCTTCCCGCTCCTCCTCCTTCTCCCCTTCTGCCTCTCCCCTGTGTCTGATCTGCCCTTGCTCTCAAGACTGTCTTCCAGAAACTCACTACAACTGAATAAAACTTTTTTCTCCCTCAGAGGTAGCAAAGAAGAGAAGGAAGAGGATGAGAAGAGACAACAGAGGTATGAACTTGTGAAACAACCTCAGAGCAGCATTCGAAACATCAGCTGGGATGCACAGAATTGCAACTATTTACACAAAGCCAGCAAGTTATTAAGAATGAACACAAGGCTAGGGCGTTTGTGATCCCAGTTTTAGTGGCTGAAATTGTAATTAAACTGCGAAGAGAAATGGACGCTAAGATTGGCCTTGACACTAATTACCAGAAAGAAAGACATTTATGCAAATGTATCAGAAGGCTGAACTTCAGCCATTCGGAACCCTCCCCCCTGTGTGTTTGGGGGTAAGGGGTAAGTAAAAGGAAAAGAGGCTAGAGAAATTACCTTCTCTAATTCCAATAGATGAAACCTTAATACTTGTATGGCTTGAATCATCTGCAAAGATACAAAAACAATAAGCACCCCATTCCTGGCTTGCAGAAAACTGGCTGCCACAGCTCTACCATCTCCAGCCCACCCCCTCCCACCAGTAAATAGAGTTATTTTGATTTATGGCAATAACACTAAAACTTAATAGCAGCAACTGGGTACCATCTAGAGGTTTATATTTCTTAAGAAAAAAAAAACTAGCTAAAACAACAACACAGCATCTAAGTGAGGATCATAAACACTCTCCTCCCCCATGGCTCTCCCCTTTCTCAGTCCCACTGGCCCCACCCCACCCCAAAAGGGCCACAACACTGGACTACATGTGTCCTTGGAAGGAGTGGACAGAAAAATATTCCAAATGGCCCTCAAACTGTGGCTTTTCCCATTGCAAAGTTTCTGCTGCCTTCCTTACACCTTTCAGGCAAACTGGTTGTTTGGGGGCTCTTGTCCGGTGGCTGCCCTCGTGATGGGACTTAGAGGGCTAGGAAGTCCGCAAAGTTTAAGCACACATGCTGACAGGCCGGGAGATAAATCCCCGCGCTGATTAGAGCTGCGCAGCCCGGCTGTCATAAAAAACAAAAGCTCGCGTTTCCCCGCGCTGGCTCGCCCGGCCCCTCTCGAGATGAATTTATTTCCCCGGGATCTTGTCCCGGACCAGTTGTCCGTGTACAGAAACATTTGCAGCCAACCTGCAGGCACGGGAAGACCGGTCTAGAAATCTCAGGGCTCTCAAAGCAAAGCTGAGGGCGTTGGAGGTGGGAGGTAGGGGGTCGGGGGCGGGGGAGGGAAATAGGGGTCCGCTCTTACCAAGTTATCCAGTTCTGGATTAGAAGAAAATAGAGGTTTTTCTGCGCGAATCTAAATACAAGTGAGAAGGAGAGGGGAGAGGGAGGGGAGAGAAAAAAGAAAGAAAAATTTGAAATCTGGTCGCCTTCCTAGTTTCTTGCCTCATTACACTGTCGGGGGCAGGAAGTAACCCTCCGGGAGGGACCCGGTGACACCGAGTTCGTCCCGCGCAGAAACATTTCAGTGTGAATTAAATAAGCTGAAAACAAGCCCAGAGCTCAATCTTACTTCTACTAGCAACTACGGCTCTCGGGGAGGCTGCTCAGACCGCCGAGTCCACAGCAGCTACAACCGTGGTGTTCTTGATTTTATTCTGCAGAGTGAGCTCTCCACGTTTGCTTTCTGGAGGGTGAGTGGGGATGCAGATGGGTGATTTTAAGTTATCTGCAAACAGACACTCAGACAGAGAGAAAATCTGAGGTTGGAGGTAACATGCATGGCTTAAGGCCGACTACGTGCTGGCTACTTTTGAAAGTGTGCCGTGTGTGTGTGTGTGTGTGTGTGTTCGCGCGCGCGCGCGCGCGTGTGTGTTGGCGAAGGGGGGGCTCTCTTTTTGTTTCTTTTACTTTTTAACATCTATTTTGCTGACCTGTTTGGCGAACACGGCTATATCTTCATTGAATGACTCTGACGAGCAGACGTCCCCGCCCGCCACCCCCGGCTCGCGGGGGGTACAAGTAGCTAATTCACATTTCTCAAAAATCAGTGCTAAGAGAGGGAAGAGGGGGTGTCTGCAAGAAAATACAACAGTCACAAACAACATAATGGTTAGTCCCCAGTCAATGGAAAAAGGTGCCCAAGAAAAACAGCTGGAGGAGCAAGAGGAACAGACCCCCTCTCCGATTGTGTCATCTACTTTTTTCCTTTTCCTCCCCCTCCCCCAGACCCAGGTGACCGCTCACCTCCCCTTCCTCCTGGAGCCCTGAAGTCGGAGGCCCTGAGCCATGGACGGTATCTGAGGATCGGTTTAGCGTATCTGGCCGGAGAAATTGGCAACATTTGCTACGAATAAAACCCAAGCGTTTCCAGCAGCCATTTTGAATTAAGTTTCCCACCCGACAAGCCCTCGTCCCCTCCACTGCACATCCAGGATCCGGTGGAGGAGAAAGGCGCCGGGCGGAGAGTTGGGGAGGGCTGGTTCCTGCGGGTTCCTCCTAGGCGGCCGCGCGAAGCCCAGGCTCGGGGGATCTCGGTGGCAGGCGCTCAGCTAACTTGGGGAAAGGACGTCCATGGCCGTGGGGCCGACTGTCAACGGGCTGCACCTAGGGATCCCAACCCCAAGGCCCTCGGAGAGCCGGGAGGCTCCTCCTCAGCTCCACGCACATTCCCCTCCCTTCGCTGATAGCCCCCACCGCCCCCCAAAGAAAGTTCCTTCAAATGTTCCTGCAGTAGAGCCTTTCATTTTGTCTCTGCGAAGTGGCAAAGCAGCTAGTATTGCGAGGGGCCTAGATGTCGCTTGTCTCAGCCCATAAAAAAGAAAAAAAAAAAAAAAAGAAGAAGAAGAAGAAAGAAAGAAAAGCTTCTTCTAATGCCCAAGGAGGTATCTCAAGTCTTTTATTAGCTCTCACAGCTCAGCTGGGAATTTAACAGTTTGGGGTCCTTTACAAAGCTTCCCCAAATGTTCTGTCCCAGAGCCTAAACCACTTGTAGTTAACTCTGCGGACAGAACGGTGGGAATTAAACAAGCCCATCGCACAAGGGATCAGAAAATAAAATAAAAAGATTATATATATTTTTTTTTCCAGCGAGGGAGGGTCAGTGTGTCCTGATTTTTTAAAAATAAATAAATAGAAATAAAAGTTTCTGCAAAGTAAAAAGAGGTTCCCAAATTCATCGGCACACAGTAGGCACAAGTGAGTTTCAAAGGATTCTACTAGCCCAGGGTCTAATCGAATGGCGGAGGAGAAAGCAGTATAAACCGCAGCCAGAAAACAACCTCCGAGGAAGAGCACCCCGAATTTACTTATTTCTAAATCCTGCAGGTTTCGCCTTTGAGCACAAAGTGCTAAAACATCTAGAAGTTTCTTAATGTGTGTAACAATTCAGAGCAAGCTCCTCTCCTTGACTTCAGTGGTCAAACTCCCTAAATGCAAAACATGTTCCCCCTTGCTTGACCTGCAACTGTCCTGCTTTGGTTTTATTGTGCAGTGGCAGAGCCAGCATAAGGCTGCTGAGTAAACTCAGCAAGTCAGAACAATCAGTGGCTTAAAAGAGATTTTCCCTTAAACTAAAAGTTTCGTTACAACACAAAGGCGCCTGCATTTAGAAACCCCTAACGCTCTCGGGCGAAATCGAGCGAGGGAGGACTCCAGCCCGCTGAAGGAGTCTGAGAGGGGACAAGGGCCCTTTAGCCAGCTTCTTCTCATCTGGGACCCCCTTGCGGGCACTGCCATGGTGGAGCAGGGCACTGGATGTGCACAGAGTGTGTATGGGGATGTAGGGCTTCAGGGATGGCAGGCCACCTCCCCAAATTATCCATGAAATGTGAATGAAAAGTCACCAAAGATGTACCTCCAATCCAGAGAACTCTGACTTTCCTCTTACCAAGGGCACAGAGAAAGAGGGAAGCGTTGAGTCTCAACTACTTAACCTGCTGCCCATTGTACCTACCCATAAATGGCATCTTTATCTCTCTTTAAAGCGTCATTGACAGAGGAGCCCATGCTGGGGGCCATGGCGTTGGTATGAGCTGTGTGCGGGTACTGATGCGAGTGCAGAGGAGGCCCGTGGTTCAGGTGGTGGACCGGCTGCATGGACCTGGCTGCATGCGGGTCCCCATACATCGTGGAGGGGATGCCTACTCCATCCATGCCCCCGTAATGGGGTAGATCGTCGTACTGCATGACAAACAGGAGAGAAAGAAGGTTCAGGAGGCCAGGCGGGCAAATGGGAGAACGGCAAGGCACCGAGCTTATATAAGGTCAATACAGCTGGGTCCTTCCACCCGGAATTCGGTGGCCTTGCATCTATAAAGCTGAGTTTTTCTTATTTTAAAATTAAAGCTTTAAGTAAAAAATACAGAATTCTCAGCGAGACTCGTCTGGGATGAATGATCTTGCCCTAACTTGTGTCCCTATCAACTAGTTTAGAAATTCAGGCTCCTTTGGCAAGAAGGAAAGAAGAAAGAAAGAGAGAAAGAGAAGCATTCTCCCGAGGGTAGAAGGTGAAACGGGCATGTCTCTGGAGGAAGAAATTCAAAATCACAATAATAAAACGTGCCAGGACACTGCAGCAAACCCGCCTAGTTTCACAGCCCCTTCACATCAGGGGGAATTAAAAAAAAAAAAAAAAGTTACGATGGGAACAGCTACGCAAAGCACGTGAATTTAGACAGGCTTCTCATTTTATTTCCCTGCCAGCGTGAGGTTAGGCAGTCCTACAAGACACTGCATTTCTTTTGCTTTCCAAGACAAACTCTGCTAAATTATACAAAACTAACTGACCCCTTATAAGTGAAACTCAAAGGAGGGTAGCTTTTCCTGAACATCAGAGCTGAATTTAGAATTGGGCAATTCCCCACCCCCAAAGTTAAAGAAAATCTATAGTTGAAGCAGCTAATATTCTATTTTCTTATTTACTCTTATGAACTTTGTTTCCAGACTAGAAGTCAAGGAGGCAAATGTTACTCACCAGGTTTAAAGCAAATTCAAAAGCAAATGCACAACTTTCCATCTTCCTCTTCCAGAAAAAAAAAAAAAAAACTACTTTCATATTGATTGTCATTATTTTGTGTGTGTGAAATTTAGCTATTTAGGTTTTTCTAATTGGTTCATTCCAGGCAGTTATTTTCCCAAGATTTGGAGGCGCTGAGAGTGAAATGATTTTCAAAGAAAGGAGGAATTGCCACTTTCATCTCCTTAAAGCCAGAGGTGTGAAAAGAGTTTGGAAGAACGCTGACATTTGCCTGAACCAAAGGAGTAAAGAAAACTGTGTCAGCCTAGTAACTTTCTTTTGCAAACAGGGCTTTGAGGGCCAGGACACAAATTATGCAAGGAAGGCTTTTTGTAGACCCCCTTTCTTTTAAGAAACTACCTCAGTTGGGTTGTCATTGTCTCACTTTACTCTCACTGCATTTCCATTGAAAAAGGAATATGGGGAAATTAGTATTGCATTTTTAAAGTGAGTAACTGTGTGCTTAGTATTCAATTAGTAGAGGGCTTATCTAAGAGAAACTTGCAAAATATTGCCTTGTATACAAGTCTATACAAATTGAAATTACTATAAAAAGATGAATGTTTTCTGACCAAAAAATTGGCTATACTATGACAAAGTTATTTCCTTTAAAAAGCTGAATACTTCTAGTGATATTAAAGATGAGCATAATCAATAACATATCAGAAGTTTCCAGCTGCATATTTTAGTTTAAACATAACTTTAAACTTCTGATCTCTGAATGTTCAAATTACAGCTTTAGGTATCTAGCTTTTTTAAAAAAAAACCCAGATGATTGTTTGAGCTTGCATTTTTATTTATATAGCTGCTGGTTAGGAATCTATAGATAAATAGATTCCTTTAATTAACAACTCCAAGTAACATACATAAGTCTACAAATGCATTGAATAAATCCTCTCGCTTAGGCCACGGCTTTAGGAGCCTCATTTTTTAAAAGAGAGAGAGAAAAAAAGGAAACTTTTTAGCAGTGTCTTTCGGCCACGTTTCAATTTAATCTCACATTTGAGTTCCACAATTGTTTTTTAATACGTACCCTTTGCGCCATCGGCCTCTCTGGCTCCCTTCCTACTTCAACTTCTAATATATCCTCTTTAAGGCCAGTGTGAAAAGAAACAAATATTCAAACTCCCCCGGAAAAAAAAAAAAAAAAAAAAAAAAGCACGACGAAAAATCCCTTAACGTCTCCAGCAACGTGAGCTACTGGTCCCAGATCTTCGGTCTACGGGACCTGAAGCAAAGCGCCCGAGTCACTGAGCATAAAAGCGCTCCGTTTCCAAGACAGCAGCGGGGGCAAAAAAAAGCAGATCTTCTCTCCCCCAAAAATCAGTTTAAAAAAAAAAAAAGAAAGAAAGAAAGAAAAGGAAAAAAAAGAGCGCCCCTCAGACCCAACTACCAAATCTCATGGCTTTCTGCCACTCCAGCTGTCAATCACAGGCGAGGTTGTCAACGTGGTGAATGAATGATCATCCGCTCTGTCTTCTTCTGGTCAGAACACCTCAAATGTTAATATTCAAATGCACAAAGCCCTAGCGCTCGCTTCCCTTGAATCAGTCCTAATTCCTAATCAGTTTCTCTCTTCTCTCTCTCTCTTTCTTTCTCTCCCTCTCTCTCCCTCTTTGCAAGTGCTGCACTGGAAGGAGATTAGAGAAGGAGGGTTAAAAAAAATGTCTGTCTGAGTTTGTCTTAAAGGAGCCACGATCGATGCTGCCCGCTTGCAGTCCCCGTGCGTGTGTAAAGTGTGTGTTGCACAGGCGGAGAGGTGGATTCCGACCAGAATGCTAGAACCCGGAAGTAGTGGTGGCCATAACAGGTCGCGTCTTACACAATGCATTGGGCTGCAGCAAGTAGGCTCCTCGGCAGGGGTGGGTGCGCGAAGCGAGCTCTGGCCGCACTGGAGAGGCAGAGAGGCGCTCCATTAAATCGCACGCCCAGGCACAAACACCACACACCCAGGGCACACGCACACAAACGCAGGCAGTAGCCCGCGGCCGCCAGCTTTATTTTCAGTATTCTTTTCTCTCCCTCCCCCTGCAGACTCTCTCCCCAAAGCCGACTCTCTTGAAATAAATTGGGAATCAACGCCGGGCAGGCAGCAGCGGGAGTTATTTTGCACAGGGCTCCGCGCATAGACTTCATGACTTTCCTCGAAATTATTGGGGTCTGCCAGTGTTTTTCGGGGCAGGGGGTGATGCGCAAAGTACTGAATTCTCAGAACTAAACACTGCAAGGAGAAAAGTCAAAGCGGGATCGTGGAGGAAAAGGAGGGAGAAGCCAGGTTGGGAAAGCCTCTGCTAAGGAGTCCTGAGAACATGGGGTTGAGGTGGCTCGGGCTTTCTGCAGACCCAGCTTAGAGGTTTCTTTGCTGTTAGAGGTGGACGCCCGGCCGGGGGAAAGAAAATGCTAGCATTTTGTCACTTCGGGTCTGGACTCCCCCACCTCCTAGCCCCGGCGGCTCCCAGCCCCAGCCCAGGCGTCCTGCGCGAAGTAGAGAGGAAGGGAGGGAACAATGAGCTGAGCGCGGGGAATGTGCCCCCAGCGCCTGTTTACAAACACCAAGCTATTTATGATCGTCGGAAAGCGAAACCCGGCGCGGGCTCGCAGCAGCCCAGACCTCGCGGGCGGAGCCGGGGCCGGGGAGCCGCTGGGAGGGAGGCTCTTTCTCCGACCCGCTCGGGGTGAGGCGGCCGTGCGCCCAGGGCGCGGCGCGGCGCGGCGCGACGCTGCCGGAGTGCTAGGCTCCGGCTGCAGCCACCGCTGCCTTTGTCTTAGAGGCGCCGAGGGGCTCCAGCCTCGACCTCTCCCGGGCCTGTAAGAACCTCGCGCCCCACTAGCTCTTTCTCCAGCGAAGCCCTGCCCTCACCACCCCAGACATCCTTCCCCGCGCTCCTCTTTCCCGTCCCCAACCCGGCTCGGCGAAACCTCCCAGTGCCAGAGAAAAAGAAATCCGCTTCGGAAGCTGAGATTTCAGACAAAAGCTGCCTGTACCTACAACTCGGAGGCTCCAACCAACCACTGTTTTTTGTTTTGTTTTGTTTTTAACTTTAACACCTATTGCCTGGGCTTTAATTCCCCCTCACCCCTTCTCTTTATTCTCCCGCTCTAAGCTTCTCCCTTGTGATTATATTTAGTGGCGTTATTTTCGTATTTATATTTCTGTCCGCTGGGCTCTGATCTGCCGAGATGGCTCAGCCGCAGCAGCTCTACCAGTGGCTGGAAACCTCACATCCACAAGCAGGGCTCGCAGCTCGCTCGGCTCCGAGAGGATTTTTCCCCCTCCCTCCAGCTGAAACCTCGCAGAAAACTCCCCCTGCGGTCGACTGGAAAATGAGCTCACCCAAATCTCGGTAGGCAGCCGTGGAGGAGTGCTCGGCCAATCAGGAGGCGCCCCCGCCCAGGCCGCCGCGCATTGGCTGCGGGGAAAATCAATTATCAAATAATCGATCAGCAGGGAGCTTCGATCTGCGGGGAATGCGAACTGCCAGTCCCTATTCCCGCCCTGAAGGTGGCCAAAAGGCTGACTCCCTCCAAGCAGCCCGCCCGCGCCTCCATCGCCCCCACCCACGTCCCACTCGCCAGCTGCGGACTGAACCCTCACCCTCAAGGGGGTGTAGGTAGGGAAAGAGTTTTGAGCAAGATTGGGGGTATCCCTTCATCCGAAGATTGTTTGGGAAAGGTTAGGAGCTCTAAAATGTATTGAAGCCAACTCTTAAGCGCAAAGTAAAAGATAATTTGCGTCCGTCTGCGAGGTAGGACTGAAGATTCTATAGAGTGGGCTTCCGAGGAGCAGGAGACACAGGGCGAGCATGAGAACATAGGTCTGGAATGAGGTTCCACCGAGCGTCCGTAGTCTCCTTAGGCGACATCTATCGCTTCCTTTAGCACTTCGCAGGAGTCAACGCGGGGTTGGTTGCCCCCAACAGTGGAGCGTTTCCATAAAGCCGAGCAGATGAGCCTTCCCAGCCGCCTGCACTGCACCCTTCCCCGCCCCCAACTCCGTACTGGCACCCTGTGTGCCTGAAGGGCTGACACACGTTCTCCCAAAACCTTCAGAAGCGCTTTGCCTTGAAAGAGCTCTCCCTCGTGTGTGTGTGTGTGTGTGTGTGTGTGTGTGTGTGTGTGTGTGTGTGTGTGTGTTTAAACCATCTCCAGGATCCCTTATCATTTGCTTCCTCTCTCCTTTTTCTCTCTGTTTCTCCCTGTCTTTTTTCTGACGCTTAAGTTTCAGGATCTTTTAGTTTTTTTCCATCACATACATGTGTAGGTTTTCTGGTACAAACGCCCTGAAACATCACTTGGGAGGTTAAGACAGGCCCGCGAGTAAAAGCTGGGGACGGAGTGGGTGGGCAGCCAGGTGCATTACCAGCGCCTTTATGCCTCTGCCTACACTTCCCGGCCTCCCCCCATCCCCCCACCCCCCCACCCCACGCCTCACCGTCGCTCCCCGGCCCCACAACATGAACTTGGAAGCAGAATTTCAGGCCAAGATGGAACCTCCCCGTCTCAGGAAGGCGATTTCTGTTTAATCCTTGGGAGGCTGCGCTGGCTGGGCCAGGCAGCACGCTCCTTTTCCGATTAGGGAAAGGACTAAGCTGGGCCGGCAGTCTGCGACCCCTTCCCGGAACCCCAGCCGACTTCGGGGTATACCTGAGCGCCTTCCGATGGCTGCTCGCGGGGGTGTGATCATCGTCCCCGCATCAGGCCCGCCAGGCATCTGCGCGACTCGGGGGTAGGAGGGAGATGCGTGGGTGGGAGGTGGGGGTCAAACCAAACACCGACAGGGCACACCTACGTTTATGATCCTTAAATGAACTGCGAGGGAAATTGTGTAAGTATAATTTAACTGAGAGAAATTTATTGCGAAATACGCTTAGAGGACTGTGGTCTTTAACAGCCTCAGGGGTTCTTCGGCAAAGAGGTAACGGGGCTTGGATTTACCACAACTCTGCGGCCACGTTTTCAAATTTGGAAAAGGTCAGTATATATATATATATATATATTTGACAACAGGATTTATTTTGTATTGTTGCTTTCCGGTAATCTTTTTCTTTTGTTTTCTAGCACAGATGAGAAAAGAAGGTTCAGGTAAGTCACCCTTTGCAAACATAACCAAAATCTTCAAAGCAGGAGGAAGACTAGACGACTGCATGCTTTAACCATGATGTGCCAGATTACCTTAAAAATGTACTTTAAATTACCTACACACAAATTTTCCTTAAAGAATGAGATAGTTTGAGTTTGCGGACTTAAAATCAACTCAGTAGTTTTGAAAAGTGCCCCTCCCCCCCCCCACAGTCTTTCCATTTTAAACTGTGAACCTAATATAACTTCTAGGCCTTTATACAATTAATTCTGAACAATCAAGGGACTAAACACTTTTACAATGTAATTACAGTAGTACAAATTGTTTGCCCAAACCTCATTCTGGATAAGGATTTTACAATTAGCAAACAGTTATTACAGTTGGGGCTTGCTGAGAGAAATTGCACAGAGGATGTCTAGAGTTGCAATATAGTAGCCATAAAAAAAAAAAAAACTCCTTTAGCAGGGCAGCAATTAATCATCTATTAAAAGGAAACAAATGAAGGGACAGGTCTAGGTATCTTAGTAAACTACTGTCAATATTTATGCCCATTTTTTGACAGCCCCTATTCCTAACTTATTTCAGATACTTGCTTTTTTAAGGCAATAGCACTTTTATTTTGCAAAAACTTGGCCTGGTGAAAACTTCTGGCACTTGGCCCTAGCTCTTGCGATTCAGGCCTTCCGTTCTCTTCTCATCCTTCTTATCTCAGAGCATCTTTCCAGAGATAGAGAACGGTGACAAAAGGAGGCAGACTGGGCCCTTGGTCTCTATTGTTTACACCCTCCTGTATGGAGGCATTTCAAGCCCTCAGTGCTCCTCTGAGCTGCTGGTAAAGTCGTCTCGGAGAACTCCCCTGACTTTATGTTCTATAAGGAATTGTGCTTCTGGAAAGATCTATATCCTAAATTAGGCTTTTGTCCCAAAAGGTCACACTGATGAGTCAGCTCCAAAACCCTTAGAAACTAAAGAGGCACCTCTTAAGGTAAAACGTGTGTGTATTTGCCAGCCCAGAATAAACAAAAGCCTGTTAATCAATCGAGTTTGGCAGCTGTGTTCACAAAATGATAAGGGTTTATCATTTGCCACCAAACTTTAAGATGTCCCTTAAAATGCTGTGATTGGTTTTTAGGTTGTCCTGTGGTGTGGAGGCTTGGCGTTTGTATTTCAAAAACATTCATCCTCTGCATCTCTCCCCCTCACTAGCATTGACATTTCAAAAAAACAGAAATAAGAGGAGGGAGGGAAAGATAGTTTAAAGAAAATAGATTCGAAATCTAGTACAGATAATAGAGGAATGCTGGAGATAAGAGCCTGGAGGTGATATGAGAAAGGCACCAAGAAGTCAAAGCTAATGAATGGCTGTGAGAAAAGTGAAATAAACTATTGAGAGATCTATTAAAGGGGGAAACCTGGTTAGGTGATATCAAAGGGGGTTAACTGAGAGGATTAGGGAGGATGTTAATCAAGTGCTCTAAAGCATTACAGGCTATAAGGACTGAAAGATTTGTTTACTGCATTTTGCTTCAGAAAACAAAGAATGTCTGGGTCCAGTTCAGAAGTCAATTAGAGGTCAGCTTAGGCTCTCCAAGGGTTGCAGGGAAAATACCTAAGTTACTATATTCTGACTGGATGATGCAAAAATTAGGGAAAAAAAATGGGGGGTGAGAGGGAGGTGCTTTCCTTACTATTCTATTTCAAATCATTAAAATGCTTTGGTCTCTAGGGGGGAAAAAACTACACTGGTTAACATAATTACTAGCTCTGACATTTTCAGAAGTTATAGAGGTCTTTTATTAATTAAATGGAGGGCTTAATAAAGTATTCCTAATAAAATTTATGGTTGTCTTAAAACTTTCTAAACAGTGCTATAAATTCTTAATAAAATTAACTGGGAAATGAGTTATTAGCCCACACTTTACCCTCCCCCCCAAACTGCTACATAAGGAGTGTCTGCAGAATGAAAAGGAAATAGAAGCCTTTTAGTAAAATATAAATATTAGCCAAAGTCATGCATTGCTCTGAAAGAGGCAAAGTCCCAACTGTTGTTTCTACTGGCCTCATTCTCCAATATCCCCCAAAAGCTATCCCACAAAACTTCATCAAGAGAATTTATTCCCCTTCCCAAGTACCTATTATATATGCATTTATGTGTAAGTGCATTTGAAATACAACCTTCAATTTTGTGGACTGAGTTGTATGTTAAATGTAGTAAAAAACATAGATGCATCATGCAAAGTTCCGCTATAGAATCTTCAAGTCTCACGGTGCAAATACTTTCTTTATTTTTAATTAAAAATAAAATGCCCTGTAATTTCTCTCACTTTAATTTCTATAAAGATAACTTTTAAATGATAAATTTCTAAATAACATTTTTCTCTGAAGTTATTTAAAAGTGTATTTTCTGAAGCAACATTTTGTTGACATATGCAAAACCTTTTTATATCATTACGTTTCAAAACTTTTAGTGAGTTATCTTAAGTTTTCAGGTACTTCACTGCTTCACAGATACAATGCTGGCTGGTTAGCTATTTTAAAGAAGATCACACACATACACTTCAAACCACAGCAGCCTTGGTGAATTGTTTAGCATTTGAAGGCTTGATCTTTTGTGCCGTCTACTGGACAATAGAAAAACTGCAGCCTTGATGACAAACTTTAATCTTGTTTTACGGGGGTGGGAGGTGGTGGTTGGGGGTATGATTTGGTGCTGGTAACTAACAAGAGAAAACCACAGTACCCAACTTAGACTCATAGGACAGGTCTTGGGGTCTAACCATGTTTTTCAAATCCAAAGATAGGATATGATATCAATCATAGGTGTATAGCTCAAACACTTGATTAAGGCACAAGGCTAAAACCTACATTGAATACAGCTGTGCATGTGTGTGTACCCATATGCCTAAACTTGGGAAGACAGCCTGGGAAAAGAAAGGAAGATAGGACAGATTCAACAACTCTGAAAACAAAAACAAAAACAAAAAACAAAAAACAGTAGTGGTTGCTTGACACTGAGGATGAATTTGCTTGACAGTCAAGTTAAATCTATCTACTGCCTCGATAATCTAGCATGTACAAATCAGTTCTTGGAATTTGGAAAGTGACATTGGTAATCAAGAAAAAAAACCCTTTAGGAGAGGGGAAATGACACTGGTAATTATAAAAGTTTTAGTGCAGTTCCCTTTTGGCAATTTGGGATGAAAATGTAAAACTTCAGTGTTTTCACTTGGAGAGCACAAGTGTTAGAAAGTGTGGGTGAAATTCACAGTCAGACAACTTCATATGGCAGAGACCATTTGATGTTCTCTTAAACATTAAGAAACATTGTGCACATTTTGGTTGTGATTTAAAAAAGAAAACATTTATAGATCTCTAGCATTGTGGAAGCTTTGTAAAAAAAAAAAAAAAAAAGCATGAAGCTAACTTTGACCTCTGTTCGACAGTGACAGTTTCTGAAGTAATCACTGTTACCATAGAGAAGTGATTTTGTGATTTAAGAAACAAATAAGCCCAATGCCCCCCAAATATATATCTGTATATGTATCTATGTGTGTATAGACACACACACACACACATACACATACATGGAGAAGTCAAGCTGATTTTGTCCAAGAGACATAGACTTTGGTGCAAGCACTTTTAAAATTGTTCATGTGCTTTTCTGAAGTTAAAACTCCTTATCGCATTTTAATAAAACTTGCCAGCACTTGACTAGGTATTAGGGCGTCTTTTAATAAAAACCTAATAGTGAAAAGGAGACAGCTTTAGGACATTTTATTGTGCATAAATATATTTCAATGATCTACTTCAATATACATTTCGATGTGGCACTATGTCAGAATGACTTTAAAATATTGGATTAAATATAGATACATCAAGAGAATCTGAACTGACATTGGCTACTTAAAGCAGCGAGATTGCTTGCACTGCTGTATTAGAGCCTCAGTTGTTCTATATAAATGGAGGTGTTGGTGGTGGGTGTCTTTTAAACTTTAGTATAAACCACTGAACTGTGAAAGGTTATTATTTTATGAGATGCTGTTTGGAGTCATTTTTTGAGATGCTGTTTGGTCTAGATCAGAAAACCAACCAAAAAGAAAAAAAAATCCTCATAACAATAGCTTGAAAATGTAGAAAATTCTTCCAGGAACTAATCACAAGTGCATACACGTTTGATATATTCTAAACTAATAGTTGAAGTACTGAGTGCTGGAAGAGGTCTGGCGAACGTGCTCTAGTCACTAATAGCAAACATTTACCTTTGAAGCAACAGGATGAGTCACACTGGCCATGCTTAGCATCCATGTTCGACTGGATAAAGGGGCATATTTTGTGAAAACCTTCAGGCAAAAATCTTACTGATTATTCAAAAATAAATATTTTAACATTTCATTGAGCTATCTAATGAATAAGGAAAACATCGAAGGCTTCCTGCGGCGCAGAAAGAATTCTAGCAGCGTCAAAAACATAAAGGAGCAAAGAACAAGAGGAAGCTGAAGGACGCCTGCTGAGTAGTTATTCACTTGTGAATATCTGAAAACGTGCTTTTCTGTGCCCTTATTTAAAAATGAAAAACAAATATCATCTTTCTTTGTCCTTTTAAAAAAATTAACGTCAGAATATGGCTATGCTAGCTAAACATCATTTTTTTTTTTCCAGGCGATTTATGCGAGAAAGGGCCAATTTGAACACTGGTAACTAGTGGGAGAAATAAACTTATAAGCCACAAACACATCGGTTCGCAACCGAGCCCACAGCCCCGCGAGGCGCCCCTTCTTCCCAGCTCCCGGAGGATAACTTCATTGACTGGCAGGTCGGCGGCCACTTCTGGGAGGGCCACTGTTTACCGAATGAGAACCTCTCATGGCACAGTCCTTACAGCAGGGCTGCCCTGTCGCCCTTGCGCGTCCGGGTGCCGGGTCCCGGCGGTGTTCTGCAGCGCGATCCGGTCCCCGTGCCCTGAGCCACCCAGAGCCCTGGGCCTGCCTGCACCCTGGGGCGCGCTGACTCCCTGGGTCGGGTGGGGGTCCCGGCAGGATGCACTTCCAGCTGCGGGGTCCGCGGAGTTTGCTCGCACCTGGTTTGGCGCAGGGACGTAGGTTTGGGGGACTGTGTCCCCTGGGAAGAGCAAAAGGTGAAAAGGTCCCCTCTCCCACCAGTGTGCCCCATCCCCGCCAGTTTTGACTGCGATCCTATTTTTCTCTTTGGGGGTCGCCTCAGCCTGTGCCGGAGGGAGTTGGGAGTTGGTCAGGCTTGGGCAGCGGTGGGTGGCAGCCCGGGAGCCGGAGCAGGAGCGCGAGGACCCGCGGACTGGGGCGCAGCGACGATGGCGCACCGGCTTCTGTCTTCTGCTGCTTTGGGGCTGAGCATCCGAGGGCGCCTTTCTCCCCAGCTGGACTCGGGGACGCCGGATCACCCCGCCACCTGCCTCTTGGCCTAATTCTGGAAGCTTCTCGCCTCCGTTCCTGGACGGCTCTTCCTCAGGGGCAGCAATGAGCCCCGGGGTGCGCTCATCTCCTCCGAGATCAATTGCTCTACGATTCCTTTTAGGACTTGCAGGGGGGAGAGGTTGGGGACCCCGGCCCCAGAGTGGCTCCTGCGGCACGGCGGCCCACTCGGAGGGGTCGCAACAAGCGCGCATTTGTGGCCAAGGTTGTGATTTCAGGTGCGCTAATGGGATCAGACGTCCTGGGAGAAGCGTGAGGGGATTGGTGCCGTTCCTTCTCCCGGCTTCCAGCGGCCGCCGGGTGGAAGTGGGGACACAGGAGGGCCGCGCTACGGGCGCCCAGCGCGGGCGCTCACACCTCTTGAGGAGGCGTGGAACCCAGCGCCCCAGGTGGGGGTAGGGCGCGGGGGTATAGGTAGTGAGGGGTGACGCTGGGAGAGGACCGGGAGACGGAGGAAAGGAGACAGCCGGGGACACTACTGAGAGAGGGAGTAAGAGAGTGCGCTGCAGAACCGGGGACAGAGCGGCAGAACCGACCGAGAGCTGGAATTGGATTGCGTCCTGTCCCAGCACCAGGACACAGATAAACAGCCTCCCAGCACTGGTACTCGCCAGAGAAGGGGAAACCCGCGTCCCGCGCTGCTGCTTTCTGCTTCGGAGAACCTTATCTAGACTTTTGCATAATTGCGTGTTGGCTTTCCTAAATAATTCGGAAGAGCGATTTCTGCTTCCACTTGTTCACATAGGCAAACAATCCCTGTGGGGAAAATGTGTGTGTGTGTGTGTGTGTGTGCGCGCGCGCGCGCGCGCGTTCCGGTGACAATTGAGGCCAGAGGCAAACACATCCTCTTTCAAAATGTCCCTTAGGTGATCCCGTAAATGACTGTCCTGCTCTAGGCAGTGGGAGTCATCATCCACTGGGTAGGGGGCTGTGATTACTCTGCCTAGGGACCACTTTTCACAGCTCCTTCCCCACCGTAGATAAGGGTGTTAAATCAAGGCATTTAGTTCTACTTTTCCATTGCACAGATAAGCAAGCTGAGACCCAGATAGGTTAAGTGAAGTATCCAATTTCTTCTCTCCTTTTCTTTTCTGTATGCCTCAAGATGGTTTTATACACACACACACACACACACATACATACACACACACACACACCCTGAACTACGAAAAACATCACAACTACGGAAGAAACATTTTTTACTCTTCTTATTTCCTAAGAAGACCAAAAGTCAGAGCTTGTCTTCTGTCAGAAGCAGATGGGTGTGTGATGGCAGTGTGTGAGTGTGCAAGTGTGGGGGGGCTGGGCGTTGGCGCCATCCTTCCTCCTTCCCTGCTCCATCCCTGACTCCATCACCGAGCCCCTTCAGGGAAACACAAGGCAGGAGGTTGTACCGCTATGCAGAAGACCCCTCCAGGTAGGGAGCTTGAAGAAATGAAACAGCAGGGAGAACCTGTATTTGGTGGTGAAAGTGCTGGAATCTTCTAGGCCTTGCTCATCTCCAACCAGCTACTTCTCCAAAATAAAGCAAAACAAAACAAAACAAAACAAGGCAAACAACAACCACCACAGGCCTTTTGCATCAACTTCCTGTGACTAAGTGACCCTAAGCAGAGAACTGGCTCAGGTCACTTAGGGCAGGGGTAGGACATTGAAGGCCTTATTTACTCCAGGATTAAAAACAGCATCCCCTCTAACCCTGTCTCTCTTGGGCAGCCTGTCTTTTAAGGATGTGAAAAGCAGCTTCTTGGAGTCTAAACAGGCACAATACCCCACTGGGATGTTTAGGTATCAGGTTCACAAAAACAGCATTTTACTCCTGCTTCCCCGAACCCCTTTGCAACCCAGGCTACCATACTCTTTGCAAGAATATCCGGTATCTTTTCCGGGCAAAATGAATTGAGTTGGCACTTCCTGAAATATTTTTATTTTTAGCTTCAAATAATTTTGCTCCTAAAACAAATTAGTTACTTATCCTCTTCTCACCATGCCCTAATTATTTTTAGCTTTATTCTAATTTTTTTTGTTACCTTGAATTTTGTCTTGATTTGAGAGTTTGGTATAGAATACTTGTTTGCAGACTGGTAATCTGCAGTTTATTTTGTTTTTAAAAAACTCTGTGAAGTTTACTGTTGTTTTAAAACTCATGGAATATTAACAAAAAATAACCTAATAATATTCTTCGAGGCTTAAACTTTGGTTATAGTCTATGTCCTAGCCTAGCTTTTATGATAAGCCTGTTGCATTTTAAAGGTGCTTATTGATTCACATGTCTTTCAGTAAAAAATCTTTTGAGGAACCCAGACTTTTGAAAGCTATTTAATTTGCATGTATTTGGTCATTACAGGCTAAAACTGAAGAATGAGTTTGGAAATTGGTTCTATTAGAAAACACTGTTTGCACATCCAAATGTTCCCAGTCAAGATTTCCCAATAGTGGCAGTGAGAAAGAGAGGCAGAGAGAATTAGGATACTTGGGTTCAAATTTTAGCTTAGTCACTGATGGGCTGATTGAGTGAGAAGAACTTAATCACCTGCAAAATGAATTGCTTACAGTATTTTGATCTCTAAATACACTTTTGATTCTGATATTTAATGATTTTGTATTACAAAATTGGGCAGAAAACGCATAGCTTCATAACAAGCAAAAAATTTTACTGTTAACACATCATACTTATTTTAGAGTAAATTTGAAGGAGGTTGATGTTTTGGAATTTGGTTGGAGAGTTATCCAAAAGCAATGTTTCCCTGACTCAACTACAACCAATTACACACAGTGGCCAGTAGGAAAAGGATTAAGTTGTCCAGACAAAATATAATGGTAACAAAAAATAATCTTGTGCTTTTGACATCTTTCTGTTTACTTGTTTTTGTCTTGTTCTAATGCCCCCTGAATTACTATTTTCTAAAAAACAGTCTCATCTAAAATAAAACATAGTAATGTGTTTTCAAATGAGACATTTTATTGTAGTTACGATTTCTTTTGTATATTTTCCTAATGCAGACTACAATAAATACACTAAAATATTTCAAATGGTTTGCTTGTGTATATGCTCTTAAGTCGTCTTTATCCCACTTTGGGAAGCATATGCTGTGTTCTGAACAGTTTTAACTTTATATATCAGCATGACTAAGTCCTTTCAACAACTATCACGCAAAGACCACGGAGAGCAGAACTATTCAGGATATCAAGAAATGAACACTAATGAATAGGAAACAATGAACCCTAATTTTAGGAAGAAATTAGTTTTGCAATTCAGCATTGTCATTTAAAGTGGAATTGTGTCTCGTAAAACTTCTGTAACTGCCATACTTGTTGCTATCAGTAAATTCTATGAAGTCTCTATTTTACACGACAGCATTTTGAAATGTAATTGCTACAGTTTTAGATATTTCTAAGGCCTGAATTTATTATAACAGGCAATTTTTGAAAAATATACCAGATTCAATTAAAAAATGGCAATAATTTCTCATAAAAACCTTCAAAACATTGAAATCTGTGTTTTATATTCCAGGGAATAAAAACATAAAAACTTTACTTTGGACTTAAAAAAAAAATTCATTCACTCTCAATTCCCCGCTTCTTTGAGATCCTCCCGACAGGGAAATTGTCAGAAGAATTCCTTAATACCTTCAGGCACTGTAAACTCCACATATGGATCTTTAAGTCTGAAAATGACAACTTAGATTTTCGTTGAAAGATATACCTGAAAGAACTAAAGTAAACAGAAAGATGTCAAAAGCACAGGATTTTTTTTGGTACCATTAAATTTTGTCTGGATATTTGTTGGTGTTTTAGAAGTTAAAACACTTAGTCCCGTCTCCACTGGCCAGACAACAAAAGTTGTCTAACTTTTGGAGGCACTTTCCCTACTGCCTAAGCATGCTAAGGCATTGCTTAGCATGACCAGGATGCTTAAGAACTTGAAATTCACAAAGTTGAAAATAGAGAGTTATGGCTCTTTTAATAACTGTCACTTTATCCTGATTCTCAGTCAATATCCAAGCACAATGTAGAGTGTGGATGAACTTCAAATGCTCTGGAACCAGCTACTGCTTTGAAGGTCAAACTCAGTCATATTTAAAATTTCAGCAATATCACACTACTGGCAATTGTTGGCTCAATGAGACCAACTGCTCTCCTGACCTGGTAAGAACCAAGTGCCCACAGCCGCTTTCCTGACTTATGATTCTGTATCTGGTAGCTACCTTTTTTCTCCTTGAGTATTTAACGCTCTTTAATTTTGCACTTTTGCATTTCTTTGACAGTTGGCTAGCATCCTTTAAAAATTCTAGCCTAATTTAGACCAAAAAGTACTATATATTTTTGGATATTCTTAACCCGTTAGGTGCTTAGGGCTTATTTGTTCAGGAGTTCAACCAATAAGCCTTCCTCAGTGCTTTTAGCTTTTTACTCCAGGAAGGAATTAGTTTGAATTGCTCCAAAATTGTCTTCTTTTTATTTTCTCTTTCCTTTCCTATGAGTCTGTAATTTAGTTCTGCTGACACAGTTGATTAACCCCATACTGGGGAGTTGATTAAAAACACTTTCTAAAAATGTATACTCCTATTGCTGGTATTAGTCAGCATTTTTTTTGGCCTATCACTTTTTAAGTTTCAGTTTATCAAAATCTTTCCACTCCAATAATTCTAAATGGGCACACTTTAAAAGCTACATACCTAGTTCTTTTTAATATAGGCTATTCTTACGGCACTCTCTCTAATGTACCTCCTATATTAGAATCATTCCAGGGAGCAGCAAGTGGTCTTAAAGACATCTATAAAGCCATATATGAGCCAGGAGCTGATGTGAACAATAATCACAAATCTATGAGCCAAGTTTGTTCTTCTCTTTGTGCTTAGGGGACCATTCAGTTGTGCGACAGATTCCCTCTTGAAGAACACTTCCTCAAAAAAATTCTTAACCATTGTCATAGACTGAAGGAAGCTGCTCGGGGTCATTACGTACTTTGTACTCTCCAGTTAACCTAGACACCAAAGCCATTCCCACCATCCTACTTCTGTCTTCTTGGAAACTTTCAAGAAGACGTGAGCTTTAAAGACTGTTTCAGAGTTTACATGCCTCTTTCATTGTCACTGACATTTTTCGGATCGTGATTAAAAAGGCCAGTCTGTTGCAAATTTCATAAATTAGTCTTTTCTCTCTGTTCTGCTGTCAGGTTGCCCTTCTCACTAATGTCACCACATGTCACTGCTGCCCTAGCCAATCTCAATTTGACTGAAAGGGTTTGACTAACTTTTGGGTCCTGTTTCCTATAATTGGTAACTTTGCCAACTTTTTGGTTTTACACTGTTTCACTCAGAATATTATTATTCAGGCAAAGTTAATTTTCTGTTCTAAACAAGTCTTTGATACTCAGGGATATGATTGAGAATTCAATTTTTGTCTTTAACAAAACATCACAGTTTGCAAAACATCCCCCTTCCCCTCTTCAGGTCTACTATCTTAGTTTACTCCTCCAAACCCTGTAAGAACATACCATCAGCCCTATTTCACAGATGAGGGCCACACAATTGTTTAGAATCAAAGACTGTGTACCGGAACTCAGCCTCCTGAGTCCTGTTTTCAATTTGGAAAAAATCTCTCTGTAACTGTATCATTGTATTAAGTAAACATTTGGAGGGTTATGAGAAAAAAAATGAGAAAATACTTATTTTTGCTTAATTTTTTTAGTTCTTTTCTCTTTCTTTCCTTAAGATCTACTATAAGATTAAAAATATTTAAACTTCTCCAGAAACTTCCACTTATATCCCGAGAAAGTTTCACTGTTGTCATTGTCCAGGTACTTTGAACTGATTATCCATATTCAATGTGAAATGTTTGCTTCTCTGTATTTCAAGGGCATTTTTGTGGTGCAAATAATGTTCATTTTTCAAAGAGCACACTCAAAATTATACATATGACACAAAGCCATTGTATAGATTGATTATAGTTCTTTTATTCTACAAACATGTTTGTTTTGTCCTTATAGTTGATATGTCTTTTTGCATTTTAAAAACTATAATATAGACACAAATCAATTTATGACATTTTATAACATGGTTTTCAAGAAGACAGTGATTCAAACTTTGTATTTAAAAAGAGAGAAGAAAACTGCTTTCAGGAAATATTAGTTAACCGGCAGGAGTCCTTTTCAAAGTGCAGTTACCATGGGATTGAGAACTATTTGCTAATTATAACAGTGCACTAATTATGCGCTTTTATATTTCATCTTTCTATCTTTCTGTCTAAATTCACTTCTAATTATATGGTACATTTTGCATGTGACATATCTAAAAGTATTGCTTTTATCAGATATGAATTATTTTCCTTGGAAATATTAAAGACATAGTTTTACTTCCAAAATATTTTCTCCTGCAATATAGTGAAATCATTTGATTGTGGGTTGAATAACCCGTCATGTGGTGGGCGGGGGCGGGGGAGGAGGCAAGGTGAAAGGATCAAGATTTAAATATTAGATATTTTGTGTCTTCTAAAAGAGAATAGCAAAAATGATTAGCCTTGTCATAGTTTCTATGTTTAAAAGGCAATTTAGCAGATATAGCCACATTGCCCGTTCTTCGTCGTTATCATCATCGTCATCATATTTTTATTACTTTAAAGAATTCCTGAAATTATGGAAAAGGTATTTTAAACATAGTGGAATAAAGGAAAGGTCACTGGGTCATCAGAACCTATCTTTGTGTGGCTAATTTGTCAACTGAATTGTGTAGAAGGAAGCTTAACAACAACAACAACAAATGTTCAATTTCTATGTTTTGATTTCCTCTGGGCTTGTTGAGCAAAGAGAAATCGGAATTCACTTTCTGTGTAAAGATAGCGAGTCTTGCTCACCTTCCCAAAGCAGGAGGTTTGGCCAGGAGGAGCACTTGTAGAATTGAGGGTCTACAACTTCTTTGAGAGGTTTTGAGGCTTTTGTCCCAAACACAGACTCACGTGACAGCTACTAGTCTGACTAATTTGTAGATATACAACTTTCTGTAACTCCACTCCTGATCATACTTTATTGATTATGAACTTTAATGCAAGCATATTCATTTTAATGTTTATTTGTTTTTAAAGAAAGCTTAGAGAATAATTTATAAGCTTTTAAAGAAACATCTGATAGAGTAGTTGAAGCTTCTGCAAATACAAACAAAATCTGCTCTGCAGTATTTAAGGCATATATAGATATGTGGATCAAGCAATTTTAGATCTCAGGCTCTGGGAAGGCTAGAGGAGGTGGGGAGGGCTAGATGAAGCAAAAGAGGAGATGCTGATTGAGAGCTTCTTCTATGCCAGGCACTGGAATAGAAGTTTTGATACACATTATTTCATTTTGGTAGCATCCAAGTCTATTGAGGTTGCTATAACAATGAAATTAGAACTTTAGAATTTGATATCTTTTTTTATGTTGGATTGCACTGAACTGAAAACGTGCCCTCCTGCCATTAGTTTCACTTTTATGCTAGGCCACAGAATTATTTACACCTATTCAACTCAAGAATTATTTACACCTATTCAATTGCCCAGCAAAGTAAGCAGTCAGGGCCTTAAAAGCCATGTGGGGGCATTCTTTGTAACCAGAGGCATTTCAACAATGGTAGAGCCTCTTTATTATTTACACTGAGACCCCTTTTTATCCTTCACTCCCACTTGGGCACTAGATTCCTCATCTGGAAATCAAAAAGACTTGACCGTATTTTTTTTTTTTTTTTTCTGAGACGGAGTTTCGCCCTTGTTGCCCAGGCTGTAGTGCAATGGAGCGATCTCGGCTCACTGCGGCCTCCGCTCCCCCGCCCCCCTCCGGTTCGTGCGATTCTCTTGCCTCAGCCTCCTGTGTAGCTGGGATTGCAGGAACCCTCAAACCACGCCCGACTAATTTTTTGTGTATTTTTAGTAGAGACGAGGTTTCACCATGTTGGCCAGGCTGGTCTCGAATTCCCGGCCTTAGGTGATCCGCCCTTCTCGGCCTTCCAAATGCTGGGATTACAGGCATGAGCCACCGCGCCTGGCCGACCCTGTTTTTGATATTCCTCCTAGTTCCAGTGATTTGTGAATTTCATATTTGATTCTGATACCAAATGTTTAACAGCTGAACATGGGCAAACTAATTATAAAAAGAACTTTTCCAACTAAAATCTTAGGAGATCAAGAAAAGCGATTCACGTATTTTCCAACTCTGATGATCAGAAATGCATTTATTTGCGGCTATTATAAGATACACTGGGAAACATAAAACTTTTTTTTTTTTTTTGCCTCTTTAGTTATAATATGTTATGGAAGTGAGATGCTCCCAAAGCTCCATAATCTTACTTAACAACAGTCCTAACATCAAGTCAGTGCAGATTGGGCTATTTTTTGACTGTTAGCTGTGTGCTTTGGAATAGGAAACCATCCTTCTCTGGGCTCAGTAAAATACTATTACTATTGCCTCCCTCAAAATGGTGTGCTGATGTTTAATCAATGTTCATAAATCTCTTCAAGATCCTCCAGTGATAATTATGACATAAAGTATAAAGTATTATTCTTGGAAAGGGGTAATTTTATCCAATTAAATCCCCTCTGAGCTATCGCCTGGGTAGGAAACATTGTTATTACTTTGTAAATTACTTTGTACTTAGCTTTCCTCATGTTTCCTAACCATGAGCTGAAGTCCCATCACAACGAATAGAATATTTGCAACATTGACTTTGATGGGAGATTGCAATGAGGAAGAATGTACTCTTGTTAAGGGAAGGGCAGAAGGACCTAAATCTCTCTGAGGATGCATCTTTATGCCATGCCATTAGCCATTCTAGTAGCAGCTGTATAATTAATAACTGGACACAGCATGCCATTACTTTGAATGAGATCGTAGGAAACTTTGAGTTTGAAGGTATGGATCAAGTCGGTCTATGAGATTTGTCCCAGTTTCTAGAGACTGGAGTCTCATAGTCCATCAGTGGTGTATGCTGTTTTAAATGTAGCCGACCCTTCAAAACAAATATCAAAACATGAAATTGATATTCAGTGTATACTAGCAAGCACTAGAAATTGCCAGTCATCTTTTAAATGAACCAGTCCAGACATTGTTTTTAATTGTTTTTAATTAATTAATGCATGTATACATTTATTAATTACCTATGTAAAGAGATCTGATGACTTAGGGAATACCTAGAAAGACATGGGAGGACGGTGATCCAGTGGAAGTGTGTGATCAAAGGTGATTGTCTTCATAGCCAGTTCATGTGCATGAAATATCATTTTATGTTCATAAAACATTATTTTAGCTGTTGATTCTTTTTGTGAGACAAGGTCTCACTCTGTTGCCCAGACTGGGCTTGATACAGTGTATAGTGGCTTGATCATAGCTCACTGCAGCCTTGAACTCCTGGACTCAAGTGATCATCCTGTCTCAGCCTCTCAAGTAGCTGGGACTATAGGTGTGAGCCACCATGCCGGGCTAATTTTTTTTTTGTTTGTCTCAGTGGAGATGGGAATCTCTCCATGCTGCCCAAGCTGGTGTTGAACTCCTGACCTCAAGCAACCCTCTTACCTTGGCCTCCCAAAATGTTGGGATTACAGGCATAAGCCACCATGCTCAGCCAGCTGTGGTTTTATGTTGGAAGTTGTTCTAGAGAGCTATATTATGACATTGAATGAAAATAACTCCCTACCCTCATCTCAGTCCACAGCTGGGGTCAATTCATCAGGCATTTCATGAATGTTTACTACATTCAAGGATAAAAGATGCATTTGTGATAATTAATATTGAAAATAAAAAAATGGCTCATAATTTTGGCCGTAAATTTTTGACGTTTGTATGGTAAGTAAAATGAGAGAATTTAATCATTTTTAGTGTATGCAACTACTTATTTAGTAATAATTGTCTCCTTTCCTTTCCTCCACTCCTTCTGCTCTTGTCACAGTTGTAGTCACTATTAAAGATTGGATAAGTAGCTAGGCACAGTAGCTTGCACCTGTAATCCCAGCTAGTTGGGAGACTGAGGCAGGAGGATCACTTGAGGCCAGGAGTTCAAAGCTGCAGTGAGCTATGATTGCGCCACTGCTGTCCAGCCCGGGTGACAGAGCAAGACCCCATCTCTAAAGACAAAAAAATAAAAAAAAAAAAAGAAAAGGTTGGATAAGTACACCAGAAAGTTAAATAATAAATTTTCAAAACGGGACAGGAAAAGAGAAATATAGAAGGAAAAAAATCTAGAATCTCACACCTAAATGCAGCTAGTGGCGATATCTGTCTTCAGATGTAAGTTTTTACACAATAACATGTTTTGTTTTCCCGTGTATCCTGTCTCTTTTTAAATTATTACATAAATCTCTTTTTAAATTATTACATAAAGTTTATATCATTTTTAATGTCTGCCTAACATTACCAAGCTTAGTTATGGCATAATGTAGTCATGTACACTCTATTTTTGAATAGTTTGTCTCAAGTTTTATTTTTTTACAATTGCAAATTAAGCTATAGGGCATATTGTGTGTGTGTGTGTGTGTGTGTGTGTGTGTAGATTATATGGATCTCCTTATATTACCTATATTATTAGATAAATATCTGGAAGTTAGAATTCCTTTTAATATCTTTAGTAGATGTTAAAATGTTTATGGCTTTAAAGATATTCCACTGAGTTACCTGTCAGCATTGTATACAATGATTTAAATACTGCCTTCCTCAAATTTGTAGGTAAAAAATTAACCCTAATCTTAAAAATTGCATTTTTATTACATGCATATTTTAACATATCACTGTTTAATAATTCTTGCCGCTTTTTTGAGTTAACTGTTCATCTTTTTTGTAAATTTGTTAGGAACATCATGGCTTTGAAAATGTAGAATCCTCTTTGTTATATAAAGGAATATATGATGCTAATATACATCATGTTTTTGAAGAAATAATAAGAAACTTAAAATGATTGTATAAATAAGAAGATAAAACCTAAAACATATTTGTCATAATTATGTGTACGTTTGAGTATACCTGGGGGTAAAAATCAATGGAAAAACATAAATCTATTAATTGTGATTATAAGATAATGAATAATTTTTTTTAATGTTTACTTTTTTAAATCAGAAAAGCACTTATTTTGAGAAATGCTTTTCTTTTCTCATAATGTAACTTCTTTTTTACCTGGACATTTTCAAGTCCCAGGTTTTATTGAAACTGGTGAAAATATGCAAGTTTGAAAGGTAAGAGCAAGTGGAAAAGCACCCTCTGGAGGATTCTTTCCTTTGTGAAACCAAAAATTCCTAAAATGGTAATTGGGAAGAGAGGAGACCAGATCCTTTCCTCTAAGTAGGTGGAAGGATATTCAAAGAGGCTTTTCCTGTGGCTGATCCATTGACAAAATACCTCTCAGGTGTTGCTGGTGTCAGTTTCCAGGCCATGCTGAGGTTTTGCATAGTGGGTTTTCTGTGTCATCTTCTGCCTGAGTTTTCACGGTGATAAGTTATCATGGGCAAGAAGGGAATACAAATATATACCTAAATGTTCATTTGTAAAAGTTTGCTCTTAATTTAAAACATCCTTTTTTTGCATACAGTGAATCTTATAATTTTTATATTTCCTCATTTAAATCAAGAGATCTATTGTGTTTGTATGGGTGGGAGGGGGAAGCAAGTAGAAATGCTTTTGGATTGATCTCTTGGTTAGTTAGAATAGCAGCTAAAGTCTGATTGTCCCGGCCCCTCAACTCTCATCAGGTACCACACCTTACCTGATGCTGCTGTGCTGTGGTCGCAGGTGAATAACAGAGAGTAATAAAAACAACTTACTAGGATATTGAACTTTAAAAAATCTCTGTAGAGACTGATTTCCAGAAATGTTGCAGGGGCATATAATTTAGAAATTCCTTTAAATCTCCAGGGTAGACAAGATAAGAAATTTCAGAAGAATTTCACAAAAATAATAAATTTATTATTTCTCAGTAATATAGGTATTTGGTTCTCTATATTTTAGTAGCTAGTTCTCCACTATATATTTTTAAAATCAGAATGTGTCTTCATCTTCAGGATCACATTCCTGGATTATGCCAAGGGAAAGAACACTTTTTCTTCTTTGGATATGCAGATTATACAACCCTACAAATATAGGGCATGTTGGGGCTTATGGGACTGAGGAATAATACTCTTGCTCACCCCCAAGCCCCTGGGTTAGGTACCAGTTGAGTGACACACGTGGAGTGTGACAAATGGAGAAATATCGGCATTCGAAGAAAAAAAAAAGGGCAGGCTCAGGGGCTCACGTCTGTAACCCCAGCGCTTTGGGAGACCAAGGCAGGTGTATCACTGGAGGTCAGGAGTTCGACACCAGTCTGGCCAACATGATGAAATTCTGACTCCACTAAAAAAAAAAAAAAAAAAAAAAATTAGCCAGGGTTGGTGGCAGGCGCCAGTAATCCCAGCTACTCGGGAGGTTGAGGAACTAGAATGGCTTGAACTCTGGAGGTGAAGGTTGCAGTGAGCTGAGATCATGCCACTGCACTCCAACCTGGGTGACAGAGCCAGACTCTGTCTCAAAAAAAAAAAAAAGTACTGATTGCCAAACAAGGCTTAGATCTAGGCTGGCTAATACTCGAATCTTCTGTTTAATTAACAACCTACCCAGTAGAGGCCTCCCAATCCAGAGCTGATAACAGGCTGCCAGAAATAGCAACTCTGCGAAGGCTGAGCCTCCGTGCTTCATTTTCTTTTCTTGTTTCTCCCAATTTCAACAATCAAGAAAACTTAGCTTCCTCTTTCAGATAAATGTAAAGGGTGGGACAGAGAGAAAGACCTTGGAAGACATTCTCTCATACTTCTACCCAATGGGAATAAGTACTCCCCCTTCTACAGAAATGAGAAGGGACAAGCTTCCCCTCATCACAACTAACTGTAGTGAAAACATGGTTGAAAAGTGAAGATTACATGGCTCCAAGGCATGAGGGGTAGCCTCCTTCGGGTGGGCCTAAGCTGGCATCATTAGGACTTCCAGAGGAAATGGCAGGGTATTTGCAGGATGATAATTCTTTGTTAGTCCTAAAACTTCAAAATAAACAGCAGCAAAGAAGTCTCTGCAGTGCTCATTAAATAATGCTTGATAAAGTTTGTGACGATAGGAGATACTGGGAATCTTGATCTACAGATCCTATCTCAGTCTTTTGGATCGGTATTATAGGAAACATGAATGGATGCATTCCCAAAGACCCCCCCTTGGCCTCCTTAATTTGCAGGGAAGTGTATTGAGAGGATGTGTGGGCAGTCAAGGGGAGACAAATCCAAAGAGCTCCTTCTAGAACATAAGTCCTCCCTTGTTTTCATAGAGAGTGAGTGACTCATCATAAAAGGGAAGAACCACCAGGACTCAGTTTTGTTTTTCTCTGTTTGGGAAGAAGATGGGAAAAAGCCAGAGGTAGTAGGTTCCAACCATAAGCTGAGACTTTACAGAAGGAAAAGAGAAGAAATAAGACAAAGATGCTGGAGAAAAAAAATTTAGTGGTGTCTTCTTTCTGAAGAAAGCAGGTGTCTGCTAATCCCTGAATTGGGAGAAAGAATCTGAAATTCATAACTATGCCCCATAGGTAGAGGGTAAATTTCTAACTGGGAGAGTGAACCAAGTGGGGAGATTTAGAACATCATTACAGAAGAAGAAAACAGAACCAATCCAGTAATCATGATTGATTCAGCCTCCAACCAGCTTGCTGTCTCCCTTAGATGATAGAATGCAGAGTCTAGTCGAGAATAACTTAGCATATAGTTTGTTTTGTTTGTTTGTTTGTTTGCTTGCTTGTTTTTGAGACAGAGTCTCACCCTGTTGCCCAGGCTGGAGTGCAGTGGCTCAATCTTGGCTCACTGCAAACTCCACCTCCCGGGTTCAAGCAATTATCTTGCCTCAGTCTCCTGAGTAGCTGGGATTACAGGCACGCGCCACCATACCCGGCTAATTTTTGTATTTTTAGTTGAGACGGGGTTTCACCATGTTGATCAGGCTGGTCTTGAACTCCTGACCTCGTGATCCACCCGCCTGAGCCTCCCAAAGTGCTGAGATTACAGGCATGAGCCACCATGCCCGGCCTAGCATATAGATTTTAAACCAAATGGAGTCTATAAATATGGCCCAGATGAAGGGGCACAGAGAGCCACTGAGAATCCACATACACCATATCTAGACCCAAAGAAAGTCTGTATAGATCTGTCCCCATCAAATAGCAATCCAAAAAGGAACTTGGAAAAACATTTTGAGGTCAATCCAGCAACATCTGTCAAAATTTTAAGTGTTCACATCTTTGAACTCTATTTCAAGGAGGTTATCCTGCAGACATCCTTGCACAAGTAAGCAAAGGTAACTGTAAAGGTATTGCCTTGTTTGTAGCAGAAATTATTTAAATAAGTAATAGTATATCCATAAAACAGAATGTTATCAACCATAAGACACGTTAAGCAAATCTCTATGTAGAAAAAGCAAGGAGAAATATTGTATATTCTCAAGTGAGAAAAATCAAGTGGCATGAGTATTCTATGATTTCATTTAAGCAAAACTATATACGACTGTTCGTAGAGAACATCTAGAAAGCTTCTTTCACGCAGCTCTGTGCTTTTTGATTACTTTTTTAAAAATGTAAAAAACTTATTACCTTTATTAAAAGATATTTTAAGTGGACTGTATCAATATATTAAAAAACTCTAAAACTATAAGTAATACTCATATTTTTAATTTAATTTTTCATAAATATAGCATTTATTCTAATTTTACTATTAATTTAACTTTTGAACTATGACTTACAATTGTGCTATTAGCTCATTCCAACCTAGTTCTCATTTAGTATCTTCTGGTTTATAGCATATTCCTTGTTTCTTCACATTGTTTTCTTATTTTAAGAATTACTTTTGTAAAGGCAGTATATTCAGCTCTTTTAATCATTTGTGTTTGATTTGGGAAGTGATTAATTCCCGACTTTTTATATATAAAAGAGATTAATATCTTCAGTATGGTTTCAAGATTTTGTAACTTCCACATAAATAATAAAGTTTAATTCATTTAATAAACATTTAAAGTCTATGTGATGTAATTTTAATGTTGAAATTTCAACACAAAAATGTCAGTAACACAGAATGTAAATCTCTTATGTTTTCAGAAAAGGAATTAAAATTACTTTAAACAAGAAAAAAAGATTATATTTGAGCCCACTCCCTTTTTTCAAATCTTGGTCTCCTGGGTAATGTGAATATCACATATCTTTCTATGAAGTTTTTTGTACTCTTCTAAGGGAAATTTGAATTAATAAAATTATATTTCTCTGCTCTATTGGATATTCTTTGTTTTGCAAGAAAGAAAAATCAGGAGTTAAAGGCATCTCGAAGCACATTCAAATTCAGTCTCTAATTATTATTATCACTAAAGTTATTTTTTTCTTTTGATGAACTTTTTATATAACTGGAAATCTAAGAATATAATTTCTGTTGTTAAAGCTCTAAAAGAAATCCCAGCCAGGTGTGGTGTCTCATGCCTGTAATACTAGCACTTTGGGAGGCCAAGGGGGGAGAATTGCTTGAGCCCAGGAGTTTGAGACCAGCCTGGGCAATACAGGGAGACTCCATCTCTACAAAAAATAATTAACTGGGCATGATGATGTGCACCTGTAATCCCAGCTTCTCCTGAGGCTGTGGTGGGAGGATCACTTGAGCTCAGGAGGTTGAGGCTACAGTGATCTGTGATTATGTCATTGCACTCCAGCTGGGCAACAAAGCAAGACCCTGACTCAAAAAAAAAAAAAAAAAAAAAGAAAAAGAAAAGAAAAAAACTCAACAGTATTACCTATGTGGAAAAATCTTAATTTTTTTGACACTTATTCAGATACATTTATTTAGATTTAAAATTATATATCAAATAGGGCAGTTTTTGAGGAGTTTAGACATCTGTGGGCTGGAACTATTCTGTGGTGGTGGAAAAGCAATATGAAAAATTCCTCCTCTTTATGTGAAGTTTTCTAACTAAAGGCATAGACTTTTTTTCTCTCTTGAACGTCTTGCTTTTGTGCCCTGGAAGTGAGTGATTCCTCTCTGCTCTTCTCCACACCATTGGCAGTTTCCCTCTCTGCTTCCTTTCGTTTATCTGTGAGCAGCCCTTCAATCTTGATTCCCTCAGACCCAGGGCAACCAGGAGCTATTAGAATTCTTTTTCCAGAACATAGGATATGTTACAAAATTTAGAGGAAGAGTAGCAAAAGGAGACACATAATGAGAGAAAGAAGAATCCTTCCCACCAGAAATAACAAAAAGAACATGGGATTTTAAAATTCCTATACACAAACCAGATAGGAAAGAAACATGAGATCATAGAATTTTAAAGCTAGAATAGCATCTCAGAGGCCATCTAGCACAGATTAACTCTCTTATATGTGGATAAGAAAACTGGGCCTCTGAAAAGTTGACTTGCTCAAGGTCCCACTTATTTGGATTGCAAAACCAGAAGGACTGTTTTTTTTTTTTTTTTAAAGTTGGCTCTCCGGTTTTGTAAAGAATAAGAATGAGTTTGAAAGAAGTAAAGTTTTTTGCTAAATAATTAGAGAAGATGGAGAAATAGAATTCTGGAGCCATTGAAATGATCCATCTCTTTTTATTTAAATGGTAACTCTCTGAAGGCCATGGTGCCAGTCAAATAGAAATATAACTTAGCAAAACGGAAACAGGAGAAGGGTGATGATGCTTGGGAAGTGCTGGCCTCCTCCTTCCTCTACCCTCTTCTTTTTGGGCATATTCTCTTGCAACTATCAACCTTCCCTCTGCCTCTCTCCAACAATGGGGAGGCTTGTGCTGGGAGCAGGCCCTTAGTCATATAATCAGATGGATTTCTACTCTTTCCAATCCAATTTATGGCTTTCTGATCTATTTAAAGTACAATTAATCTGGGGATGTCTTAATTTACATATATTACATTAAATGAATTATTAGGGGCATAGGATGAAGCTGTGAAGTTACACAGTCTGAGTTCTCATCTCAACATTTCCACTCAAGAACGATGTGACTTTGCTGAAGCTACTAAAATTCTGTGCCTCAGTTTCCTCATCTGTCAATTGGAGAGGATCATAGTTGTAGCCACCTTATAGGCTTTTGGTAAGTATGTAATAGAGCATTAAACAACAATTCAGTAAATAACCCAATAAATGTTAACTATCATTAATTATCATTCTGTTTAATTCTAGGAGCCCAGAACAAACAATAAGAATGATTCATGCTGTCCATGGTAATAATGTTAAACAACTGCACCGAGCTTGTGAAATGACATCTGAGAAGATTAGTGGGCTCCCAGTAGCGGAAGCAATGGGAAGGCTTAACAAAGACTCTGCTTAGCCTTCCTTCCTTGAATTCTAGTTCATTTATTGATTCATAACTGACCATTTGATTAAGGAGACAACCTGACTTACACAGCAGCCAGTGTCCTGGAAAGTACTTAACCAAGACACATTACTTTTAGTCCTAAGTAAGTTGCTGCATAACTGCAAACTTCTTGAACTTTCTCATTTTTTCCTCCATTTGCCTTCACTTGTCAAATGGCCGGGTACACCTTGTCTACATTACACATAGAAAGGCGCAAATTGGATTACATATGTGCATATGCATTGGCAAGTGTATGGTGATTTATAGAAATGGAGCTAAGTTGGCCAGGCACAGTGGCTCACGCCTGTAATCCCAGCACTTTGGGAGGCCGAGGCGGGCAGATCACCTGAGGTCAGGAGTTTGAGACCAGCCTGACAAACATGGAGAAACCCTGTCTCTAATAAAAATACAAAATTAGCCAAATATGGTGGCTCATGCCTGTAATGCCAGCTACTTGGGAGGCTGAGGCAGGAGAACCGCTTGAACCAACCTGGGAGGCAGAGGTTGTGGTGAGCCGAGATTGCACCGTTGCACTCCAGCCTGGGCAACAAGAGTGAAACTCTGTCTCAAAAAAAAAAAAAAAAAAGAAAAAAGAAATGGAGCTAAGTTATTATTGTCCTATGGCATAGTTAACTGAGTAACCAATGGAAACAAAAAGACCTTGATCCTGAAGGCCTTGAAAATGGTCTGTGACAGAAGAGCCTTTCCTGAAGCTACCTGATAATAGCCAGTTGTTTGGTGTAGAAGAAAGGTTAGAGAAGGATGTCATGGCCATCCTCAAATGCCCAATCCATATAACTGCATTTATCCTTCCAAATCACCCTTTTTAAAACAACTACTTTAGGCTGAGAGTGGTAGTCCATGCCTGTAATCCCAACACATTGGGAGGCTGAGGCAGGAGGATTGCTTGAGCCCAGGACATTGAGACTAGCCTGGGCAGCATAGTGAGACCCTGTCTCTACAAAAAATAGAATGATTAGCTGAACATAGTGGTGTGCACCTGTAGTCCCAGCTACCCAGCAGGCTGAGGTGGTCAAGGCTACAATGAACTGTGATCATGCCACTGTCTTCCAACATTCCAGCTTGAGTGACAGAGCAAGAGCCTGTCAAAAAAAAAAAAAACAAAAAACAGAAAACAAAACAAAAAAAAAACAGACCAAGCAACTTTATTGAGATATACTTGACATATAGTAAAGAGCATATATTTAAGGTGTACAATTTGATAATTATTGATGTATGTATAAACTCATGAAACTATTCTGCTGATCAATGTACTAAATATATCCATTATCCTCAGACATTTCTTTATGCCCTTTTGTAATACTTCTTTGGCCCCAGGAAACTGCCGATCCACTTTCTGTTGCATCTATTGGTTTACAATGTCTAAGATTTTATATAAATGGAATCATATGTTGTGTACTCCTTTTTTGCCTGGCTTATTTCACACAGCATAATTGTTTTGAGGCTCATTCATGCTGTTGTATCTATCAGTAGTTTATTGCTTTTTATTATCTAGTATTATAATATCCGTATACAACATTTTGCTTATCCATTCACCTGTTGATAGACATTTCAGTTGTTTCCAGTTTCTTGCTATTATGAATGAAGCAACTATGAACAGTCATGTACATGTCTTTGTATGGACATGTGCCTTCATTTCTCTTGGGTAAATATCAAGGAGTGGAACTATTGAATCATAAGATTAGTGTATGTTTAACTTTTTCGGAAACAGCCAAACTGTTTTCCTAAGAGTTTGTACCATTTTACATTTCCACTAGAAAAGCATGAAAGCTCAGACTCCCCCACATCCTAGCCAACACTTGGTATTGTCAGTTATTCTAATTGACGTGCAGTAATAGCTCATTGCAGGTTTTAATTTGGATAATCACTAAAGATACTGATCATAATCTTATGTGCTTATTGACCAATTGTATATCTTTATTGAAGAAATGTCTATGCAAGTCTTTTGCCCATTTTTAAATTGACTTGTTTTTAGTTGTTTTTACCATTTCTTCTTTATATATCTACATATACATTCCTTATCAGATACATGATTTACAAATATTTGTTCCCATTCTGTGGTTTTTTTTTTTTCCCACTATCTTGATAATGTCCTTCGAAGCACAAACTTTTTTGGTGAAATCCAATTTATCTTTTTTTTTCTTTTGGTGCTTGTGTTTTAGTGTCATAGTTAAGAAGCTATTGCCTAATCCAAGGTTGCAAAGATGTTTATTCCAAGAGTTTTATAGTTTTAGCTCTTACATTTAGGCTTATGATCTGTTTTGAGTTAATTTTTACATCTGGAGGGAGGTGTAGGTTAAAGTTCATTTTTTTGTGTATGAGTATTCAATTGCTCCAGCACAATTTGTTCAAAAGATTATTCTTTCTTCATTGAGTTGCCTTTGTAACTTGTCAAAAATCACTTGTCCATGTATGTGTGGGTCTATTTGTGAATTCTTTATTTCATTGATCTATTTGTCTATCTACACATGACTGTCATATTGTCTTAATTTCTGTAGTTTTATAAGAAGTCTTGAAATGAGATAGTGTTGGTCTTGCAACTTTCCCCCACAATTGTTTTCGCTATTCTAGGTCTTTTGTATTCTCACAGGAATTTTACAATCAGTTTGTCAGTGTATACCAAAAAAAAAAAAACTTTAGAGATTTTGATTAGAATTTGTGTTGAATCTATAGATTAACTTGGGGAGAACTGACATCTTGACAATACTGAGTTTTCTGAACCATGAACAAAGCATATCTTTTAATTTTTTTCAGGTCTTTAGTTTCCCTCAGCAATGTTTTATAGTTTTCAGTGACAGCTCTGACATCTTTTGTTAGATTTATCCCCAATACTTTATATTTTTTTGTTTTTAAAAAATAGACTTTGTATTTTAAAACTGTTTTTGGGTAACAGAAAAATTTAGAAGATAGTACAGACTTACCATATGCCTCACACCAGTTTCTCCTATATTTAACATCTTACACTAGTACACTACCTTTGTTAGAATTAGTGAATCAATTTTGATACATTATTATTAACTAAAGATCATGCTTTATTGATATTACGTTAATTTAAAAAAATCTAATGTTCTTTTTCTGTTCCAGAATTCCATCCAGGATACCACATTATACTAATTGTCTTGTCCCCTTAGGCTCTTCTTGACTGTGATAGTTTCTCGAACTTTTTTGTTTTCTATCATCTTGACAGTTTTGAGGCATACTGGCCAGATATTTTGTAGAATGCCCTTCTACTGGAATTCGTCGGATGTTTTTCTCATGATTAGGTTGGGGCTATGTGTTTTTGGGGAGGAAAACCACAGAGATAAAGTGCCCTTTCATCACGTCATATCAAGGATACACTCTGTCAACATGATTTATGACCCTGATTGCTGGGTGAGGTAGGGTCTATCAGGTTTCTCCACTGTAAAGTTACTCTTTAAAAAAAAAAAAAAGCTCTCTTTCTCTACTATATTCTTTGGAAGGAAGATGCTATGCACAATCCACACTTAAGGAGGGAAGAGTTATGGGACCCCTCCATGAGAGCTGAGTATTGACATAAATTATTTGGAATTCTTCTGCAAGGGAGATTTGTTTTTTCTTTCCCATTTATTTATTTACTTGAACATTTCTTTATATAAGTATGAACTCAAGGATATTTATTTTACACTTTGGATTAAAATCCAGTGCTTTATTTTATTGCTCAAAATGTTCTGGCTTTCGCCACTGGGGAGTGCATTCAGTTGGCCATTGGCCACTGTATCTCTTTTTTATACTTCCATCAATGCGTGTGTGTGTGTGTGTGTGTGTGTGTCCCACACCTCCTTGCTTTCTGGCACTACAAATGCTCAAGGCCCATCTTGTATATGTCCTGCTCATGTCCTGTTTATGTCATTTCTCCAAGGAGCCCTTGTTTCTAAAAGTATTAGAAACAAAGAGTTGGGTGCTCAGTGTGCTCATTGTTACTGGGAAGTTTTGCTGTTGCTTCCAGGTCCTCTCAGTTGACAAAGCAAGGATATGTGTGCCTGTGTATATATAAAGCCATCTGTGTCTATGTCAAGGTAAAGACGAGTTCTTACTGATATTTCCAACTCCAATCCACTGTCACATGGATTGGATTCCAGCCTCCTCCCTTGCTCATTTGTAAACTCTTACTTCGACAGTAAGAAACCTGGATCCTACCATCTTCCATACGTGTACTTGGTTAATTCCAGTATACATATATAGCAGTATCAGAATTTCCAACCTGTACCCCTACTGGAAACATCTTTATCAACTACAATGTGCTGTTTCTGTGCAGTTTTCTGTTTTTTGTTTTTTGGTTTTTTTTTGCCTTTAGTCTTACAGAGTGCACTCTTCTGAAAAGTTATTTAGGTCAGTCCATCCCCTGCCACCCATCTCCTTTAGTGAGATTGTTTCATACATTTGTTGCACAATTTTTTTTTTTTTTTTTGAGACAGAGCCTCACTCTGTTGCCCAGGATGGAGTCCAGTGGTGTGGTCTCAGCTCACTGAAACCTCCGCCTTTCGGGTTCAAGCGATTCTCCTGCCTCAGCCTCCCGAGTGGCTGGGATTATAGGCGCCTGCCACCACGCCCGGCTTTTTTTTTTTTTTTTTTTTTTTTTTTGTATTTTTAGTAGAGACAGGATTTCACCGTGTTGGCCAGGCTGGTCTGGAACTCCTGACCTCGTGATTGGCCCGCCTCAGCCTCCCAAAGTGCTGGGATTACAGGTGTGAGCCACCGCACTGGACATCAGTTATTTTATCATTGTCTACATCCCTTTCTGAGATGCAGGACCTTCCAAATAATTTTTTTAATTTGAAATACATTAAGGTTTTTACTCTTTGTGTTGTAAATTTCTATGTTTTTTGAAAAATACATAATATCCGTCTCCACCATTATAGTATCATATAAAATAGTTTCACCACCCTGAACAAAACCCATGCTTCACCTATTAAACCCTCTCTCCCTGGAAACCATGGATCTTTTTGCCACCTCTATAATTTTGCCCCCTAAATATTATATAGTTGGAATGATAGAGTACATAACTTTTTCAGAATGGCATCTTTTACTTAGCAATATTCATTCAAGTTTCCTCCATATCTTTTTGTGGCTTGATAGATCATTTCTTTTTATCACTAAATAAAATTACATTGCATAAATATAGCACAGTTTATTTATCCATTCACCTGTTGAAAGATACCTTGGTTGTTTCCAATTTGGGGAAATTATAAATAAAGATGCTGTAAACATTTATGTACAGGTTTTTCCATGGACATATATTTTCAAAATGCTTGGGTAAATACCTAGGAGTGCAATTTCTGAATCATAAAGTAAGAGTATATTTAGCTTTGGAAGAAGCTGCCAAACTATCTAAGTGGTCATACCATTTTGCAGTCCCACGAGTAATGAATGAGATCTCCTGTTGCTCTATATCTTCAGCATTTGGAATTGTCCATTGTTTCAATTTCAGTCATTCTAAAAGGTGTGTAGTGGTATCACATTGTTGTTTTAATTTGCAATTCACTAATGCAAAAATCATCTTTTCATATACTTATTTGCCACTTATGTATCTTCTTTAGTAAGGTGTCTGTTACATCTTTGCCCACTTTTTAATTGGAGTGTATTTTCTTATTGTTGAGTTTCAGGAGTTCTTTGTATATTTTAGATACAAGCCTTTTATCAGATATGTGGTTTTTCCCCCGTCTGTGGCTTGTCTTTTCATTGTAACAGTGTCTTTCACAAGGCAGAAAATTTTAATTTTAATGTATCTATGTCAAGGTAAACATGAGTTCATGTTGATATTTCCAACTCAAAATATTTTAATTAAAATGTTAACTTTTAAAATATTAAATTTTAATTTTTAGTTTTAATAAAGTCCAATTTAACAAATTTTCTTTATAGCTTTTTTTTATGTTGTAGCTAAAAACTGATCTCTAAACCCATAGTCATCCACCAAGATTTTCTCCTGTGTTTTCTTCTGGAAGTTTTCTAGTTTCACATTTGATATTTAGGTCTTATCAATTTCAACTTAATTTTTGTGAAAGGTATAAGGTCTGTCTAGATTCATTTTTTGGATATGGACATCCAGTTGTTCCATCATCATTTTTTGAAAAGACTATTCTTTTTTCTAATGAATTCCCTTTGCTTCTTTTTCAAAGATCTGTTTAGGTGGGTCTATTTCTGGGTTTTCTATTCTGTTGTGTTTTTATCTATTTGTATATTCTTTGGACAATACCACACTGTTTTGGTTATTATAGCTTTATGACAAATCTTGAAATTAGGTAGTGTGAGTCTTCTAACTTTATTCTTCAGTATTGTGTTGGCTATACTAGGCTTTTTCCCTTTCCAAATAAACTTTAGAATCATTTCAATATCTACAAAACAACTTTCTGGGATTTTGATTTTGGTTGCGTTGATTTTACAGATTAAGTTGGGAAGAATTCACATTTTTACAATATTGAGTTTTATAACCCATGAACATAGAATATTTCTTCATTTATTTTGAACTTCTCAAATTAATTAGCTTTGTAATCTTTGGCATATAGATCTTTTTTTAAGACAGAGTCTCATTCTGTCACTCAGGCTGGAGTGCAGAGGTGTGATCATAGCTCATTGTAACACTGAGCTGAGGTCAAGTGATCCTCTCACCTCAGCCTTCCAAGTAGTTAGGATTACAGGCATGTACCACCATGCCTGGCGACTTAATTTTTTTGTTGTTGTTGTTGAGACTGGGTTTTGCTATGTTACCCAGGCAGGTCTCAAACTCCTGGCCTCAAGCAATCTTCCTGCCTTGGGGTGAGCTACCGTGCCTGGAAAATAGATCTTACATGTATTTTGTTTGATTTATACTTAAGTATTTCATCTTTGAGGTATTATTGTAAATGATATTCTTTATTTCAGTTGTTTATTGCTGGTATGACTTTTGCATATTAACTTTGTCTCCTGTGATCTTGCTATACTGACTTATATCTAGGAGGTTTTGTTTGCTATTTCTTTGGGATTTTCTACATAGGCAATCACATTATCTATGAAGAAAGACCGTGTTATTTTCTCCCTCCCAATCTGTACATCATTTATTTCAAATTTTTGTTTTTAGTCTTACTGCAGTAGCTAGGATTTCCAGTGCTATGGTGACTAGAAATCGTGAAAGGGAACATCCTTGCCTTGTTTCCAGTTTTAGGAGTTAAGTATGTATTTTCTCACTGCTACGTACGATGTTAGTTATAGGATTTTGTAGATGTTCTTTGTGAAGTTGAGTAAATTTTTCTCTACTCCTAGTTTTCTGAGAGTATTTATCACGAAAGGGTGCTGGATTTTGTAAAAAAAAAATTTTTTTTTGTATGAATTGACAAAGCAGACTTCAGAACAAGGAAAATTATCAGGTATAAAGAAAAGCATTACATCATGATAAAGAGGTCAGTTCTTCCAGAAACTATTCCAATTTTTTTCTGTGTATTCAACTGACAACTGAGAATTAAAATACATAAGGCAAAAACTGATAGAACTGCAAAGAGAACTAGACAAATCCACTATTAAAGTTGGAGACTATAGCTATCTTTCAGTAATTGATCAAACAGTGTTTTAGTGGGCCTGTGCCTCTGGGCTGTAACCTTCAGAAGTGTTTCTTAGGGTTTTTTCCCCCTTCTTAGATGAAACTGGAAAGCTAGAGGGTGCTAGAGTTGGGTAAATGTCTTTATCCCAGGTGAAGGCTCTGGTAAAATCCTCTGGGTGTATTTCAAAATGGTTACTTTCTTCTTCCTTCTGCCCAAGATACAGGGAATCTTTTCTGGCTCTTCCCTGTAAGAATTTGGTGAGATTTCTGAAGGTAAAACCCACAAATGTGTGTGGTGGACATCCTAAGACTGTGGCCTCTGGGGTTTCTCACTGTGATACTCATCCACACTCAGCCTCCAGTAATTCATCAAAATTACCACAGAGGTGGTCTTACCAGTTTATGGCTCTAGTTGCTTCTGTTCCAGGTAAGCAGATATCAGCTGTGGTTCTCTTCATTTGCCTGTCTCTCCAGATACTGGGTGGCATTTTGTTCTGTGACCTCAATTCTCTGATGGATCCTGGAAGAGTTGTTGATTTTCAGTTGTTTTTTTTTTTTTTTTTAGCTTTTTTTCTTGTTGTAAGGATGTGAATTCTTCCCAACTTAATCTGTAAAATCAGTCCAAGCTCTTTATATGTTGGATCTAAAACCAGATGTCTTGTAAGTAATATCTTTTGATGTTGTTGTAATAGTATTTTAAAACATTTCAATTTCTAATTGTTGCTAGCATATAGAAATGCAACTGAATTTTGTATTCTGACGCTATATCTCTTAACTTTGCCAAACTCGCTTATTAGTGTTACTAGTTTTTACATAAATTACATCAATTTTATGCACAGACAATCATGTTTTATGTAAATAAAGATAATTATACTTCTTTTCTAATCTGGATGGGTTTTATTTCTTTTTCCTGTCAGATTGCACTGGCTACATCCTCCAGTACAATGTTGAACAGAGTGGTAAAAGCAGACATCCTTATCTTATTCCTGTTCTTAGGAGAAAAGCATTCAGTCTTTCATTGTTAATATGATGTGAGTTGTAGGTTTTTCACAGATGTCCTTTATCAGGACTAGGAAGTTTCTGTGTTAGTTTCCTAAGGCTCCTGTAACAAGGCACTAAATACTGAGCTTAAAACCATACAAATGTATTACTTCTCAGTTCTGGAGGCTAGAAGTCTGAAATCAAGGTGTCAATGGGACCATGCTTCTTTTGAGATTTTGGGTAGAATCCTTCCTTGCCCCTTCCTTGTCCCCTTCTTATAAGGACACAGTCATTTTTGATTAAGGGCCCATCCTACTCCAGTATGATTTCATCATTAATTATGTTTGCAATGTTCTTATTTTCAAATAAGGTCGTATTCTGAAGTACTAGAGGTTAGGACTCAACATATATTTTGGGGGAACAAAATTTAATTCATAGCATTTCCTATTCCTTGTTTGATGACTTTTAAAAAAATCAAGAATGGATATTGGATTTTGCCACATACTCTTACTGAATTTATTGAAATGGTTATATATACATATATATTTTTATTTATTAGTTTATATTTGGGTGATTTACATCAATTGATCTTTTACTATTAAGCCAACCTTGCATTCTTGGGATGAAACCTACTTGGTCATGTGTTGTGCCCAACCCCTGTTAATCTCAATAGGGAAGGCACCAGGTTTAAGAGGCCAAAGAAGACGTGCAGAGCCAACAAACAAGATGTGGATTTTTATCAGGGGCTTACATACAGGGGAGAGGGTCCAGTGGTGGTGGGCTGGGCAATATATCTGCCTACTGCAGCCCAGTGGTGGCAGGCTAGACAACATATCCACCTGGCCCAGTGGCAACAGGCTAGACAAACCTGCCTTTCTATGGTCACAGTGGTGGCAGCCTGGACGATAACTGCATGGCCCAGGGGTGGCAGGCTGGTCAGGAAAACTGTAATCACCTGCAAACATCATGCAGTTTATATAACATTTTCACTTACCCTTCCTGTAACAACATTCACCTGGCAACCTTCATTTAACCCAAAATTCAGGGCCTCAATCTCCTGTAGGGCTGTGTTCTGCAGGGCAAACTGAGGGCTCAGTGTTTATCATAGATAAGGAAGGAACCTCCAGGTTGGCCACTCCCAGATTCCCTAGCTCAGAACACACATTCAGGTGCATCCGCCATACAGGGTCATTCTAATGGTATGCTCAAATTATTGCTGTCAGGTGCATGTACTCTACGTCACTGTGTATTATCCTTTTAACATATCGTCTGCCCTTTGTATCCAGTTCTGCAATATAAGTTTGGATTCAGCCAAACTTATATCAAAAATATTATTTTTTTGTATCAAAAATATTCAAAAACAATATTCTGCCTGTACTAAACATGAACAGACCTTTTTCTTGTCATTATTCCCCAAACAATACAATATAATAACAAATATTTGTGTAGCATTTGCATTGTATTAGGTATTATAGATAATCTAGGGGTGATTAAAAGTATATAAGAGGATATACATAGGTTATATGCATATACTATGCCATTTTTTATCAACATCCACAGATTTTGGTATCTGTGGGAAGTCCTGGAACCAATCTCCCAGAGATACTGAGGCAGTGGCTATTGCAAGATTTGCTAAAATTTTGTTCACAAACTTTCCATCTGTATTCAGGAAAAATATTAGTCTATCGTTTCCCTTTCTTATAAAGTCTTGGCTGGTTTTGGTATCATGTTAATTTAGGCCTCAGAATAAATCGGGATGAATTTCTTTCCTTTCAATGGTATTGTATGGTTTGAGTAGAATTTGTATTATTTCTTCCTTAAATGTTTGCTTAAATTCACAAATGAAACCATTCCGGCCTGTTGCTATTATTTATTTTTTGTTTGTTTTTTGGTGGGAAGGTTTTTGATAGATATCAGTTTATTTTACAGATATAGGGATATTCAGATGATACATTTCTTTTTGATTAAGCTGTGGTAATTTTGTCTTTCAAAGAACTGCCTATTTAATCTTTCAAATAATTTGCCTGTTGAATCAAGTTGTTGAATTTGTTGGCATAAAGATGTACAGAATTTTCCCTTATCCTCTGTAATGTGGGCACCTGTCTTATTATCCCCTCTCCAGTACTCTCTTCTATGATCCCATGAGCTCTGGCTGCCTTGGTATTCCTAGAGTCTCAGCTCCATCTCTTCAACTCAAGGAGTCTTCTGAGCTCTGCCTGCATTCCTTCTCTTTGCAAAAAATCGTATGGCCCATCTCATTTTTTCTTCTCATCTGGGGACCACCCTCCTTCACTGCTCTACATTCAGTGCTTTGAAAACTATTGTTTCATTTTTTCTTGCTGTGCTTTGGTTGTTTTAGGTAGGAGGATAAATCTGGTTCTTGTTTCTCCGTCTTAGCCACAAGCTGGAGTCTCACTTGGTTTTTAATGCCTTAAAAAAATAGACCCTGCTTTAACATCACGTGCTTATATTTTCCCCGGATAAACCTGGCTTTTTCAAGAGTCTCTGCCTATAGTTTTTAAAAGCCAGTACTTTTCAGAATCACCAGGGAAGCACAATAGAAATGCATATTCCTATGTCTGACTCCAGGGAACTCTGGGTGTGTTATTCTGGGGTGAGCTGAGTCATGGGCCCCTGAGTATTCCGATAGAGGTAGTCTGAGGGCCACACTTTGAGAAACACTGCAGTTATTTTACACAGTATTTCCTCTGCCTAGAATCCTATCTTACTTTAAAGTTAGCCTGTCTTCTGTAAAGCCTTCACCAGCTCCTCCAGGCTGAGTCAGTTACTGTTTACACCTCACTTTTTATTTTGCATAATTTTGTATCTATACTTTCTCCATGTGTATAATTATTTGTGCATTTATCTCTATCACTAGATTGTGAACTCCTTAAGCTCTGAAAAAGTGCCTGGCACATAGGTGATGCTTGGTAAACTTTTGTGTTTGGAATATGTAAATAAATGATTGGACCAGAGGGACAAAGGCTTCCAATAAACGTTCAAGTTTGCAACCCTGGATCCATCTCTTCAGTGTTCACATAGTAAAGTCTTCAAGATACTCACAACAGATGCTTATTAAAATACAGATTTCAGGGCCCTATCTGGACCTATTCAACTGGCTCTATGGCCAATGTTGGGACTTATCTGGGGTGTGATATTAAGTTGTGGCTCCAAAATCTGGCTGATAATCAGAATTGTATCTGGGGTCCCACTTCCAAAGGTCCCAACTCAGTGTAGGATAGAGACCAAAAATCCATGTTATTTAAGCTGCTAGGTAATTCTTTTTTTTTTTTTTTCTAACATCAAATTTCTTTTTTTTTTCTTTTTCCATGGTTTTCTTTCTTTTTTTTTAATTATACTTTAAGTTTTAGGGTACATGTGCACATTGTGCAGGTTAGTTACATATGTATACATGTGCCATGCTGGTGCGCTGCACCCACTAATTCGTCATCTAGCATTAGGTATATCTCCCAATGCTATCCCTCCCCCCTCCCCCCACCCCACCACAGTCCGCAGAGTGTGATATTCCCTTTCCTGTGTCCATGTGATCTCATTGTTCAGTTCCCACCTATGAGTGAGAATATGCAGTGTTTGGTTTTTTGTTCTTGCGATAGTTTACTGACAATGATGATTTCCAATTTCATCCATGTCCCTACAAAGGACATGAACTCATCATTTTTTATGGCTGCATAGTATTCCATGGTGTATATGTGCCACATTTTCTTAATCCAGTCTATCATTGTTGGACATTTGGGTTGGTTCCAAGTCTTTGCTATTGTGAATAATGCCACAATAAACATACGTGTGCATCTGTCTTTATAGCAGCATGATTTATAGTCCTTTGGGTGTATACCCAGTAATGGGATGGCTGGGTCAAATGGTATTTCTAGTTCTAGATCCCTGAGGAATGGCCACACTGACTTCCACAAGGGTTGAACTAGTTTACAGTCCCACCAACAGTGTAAAAGTGTTCCTATTTCTCCACATCCTCTCCAGCACCTGTTGTTTCCTGACTTTTTAATGATTGCCATTCTAACTGGTGTGAGATGGTATCTCATTGTGGTTTTGATTTGCATTTCTCTGATGGCCAGTGATGATGAGCATTTTTTCATGTGTTTTCTGGCTGCATAAATGTCTTCTTTTGAGAAGTGTCTGTTCATGTCCTTTGCCCACTTTTTGATGGGGTTGTTTGTTTTTTTCTTGTAAATTTGTTGGAGTTCTTTGTAGATTCTGGATATTAGCCCTTTATCAAATGAGTAGGTTGCGAAAATTCTCTCCCATTTTGTAGGTTGCCTGTTCACTCTGATGGTAGTTTCTTTTGCTGTGCAGAAGCTCTTTAGTTTAATTAGATCCCATTTGTCAATTTTGGCTTTTGTTGCCATTGCTTTTGGTGTTTTAGACATGAAGTCCTTGCCCATGCCTATGTCCTGAATGGTAATGCCTAGGTTTTCTTCTAGGGTTTTTATGGTTTCAGGTCTAACGTTTAAGTCTTTAATCCATCTTGAATTGATTTTTGTATAAGGTGTAAGGAAGGGATCCAGTTTCAGCTTTCTACATATGGCTAGCCAGTTTTCCCAGCACCATTTATTAAATAGGGAATCCTTTCCCCATTGCTTGTTTTTCTCAGGTTTGTCAAAGATCAGATAGTTGTAGATATGTGGCGTTATTTCTGAGGGCTCTGTTCTGTTCCATTGATCTATATCTCTGTTTTGGTACCAGTACCATGCTGTTTTGCTTACTGTAGCCTTGTATTATAGTTTGAAGTCAGGTAGTGTGATGCCTCCAGCTTTGTTCTTTTGGCTTAGGATTGACTTAGTGATGCGGGCTCTTTTTTGGTTCCATATGAACTTTAAAGTAGTTTTTTCCAATTCTGTGAAGAAAGTCACTGGTAGCTTGATGGGGATGGCATTGAATCTGTAAATTACCTTAGGCAGTATGGCCATTTTCATGATATTGATTCTTCCTACCCATGAGCATGGAATGTTCTTCCATTTGTTTGTATCCTCTTTTATTTCCTTGAGCAGTGGTTTGTAGTTCTCCTTGAAGAGGTCCTTCACATCCCTTGTAAGTTGGATTCCTAAGTATTTTATTCTCTTTGAAGCAATTGTGAATCGGAGTTCACTCAGATTTGGCTCTCTGTTTGTCTGTTGTTGGTGTATAAGAATGCTTGTGATTTTTGTACATTGATTTTGTGTCCTGAGACTTTGCTGAAGTTGCTTATCAGCTTAAGGAGATTTTGGGCTGAGACAATGGGGTTTTCGAGATATACAAGCATGTCGTCTGCAAACAGGGATAATTTGACTTCTTCTTTTCCTAATTGAATACCCTTTATTTCCTTCTCCTGCCTAATTGCCCTGGCCAAAACTTCCAACACTATGTTGAATAGGAGTGGTGAGAGAGGGCATCCCTGTCTTGTGCCAGTTTTCAAAGGGAATGCTTCCAGTTTTTGCCCATTCAGTATGATATTGGCTGTGGGTTTGTCATAGATAGCTCTTATTATTTTGAAATACGTCCCATCAATGCCTAATTTATTGAGAGTTTTTAGCATGAAGGGTTGTTGAATTTTGTCAAAGGCTTTTTCTGCATCTATTGAGATAATCATGTGGTTTTTGTCTTTGGCTGTGTTTATATGCTGGATTACATTTATTGATTTGCGTATATTGAACCAGCCTTGCATCCCAGGGATGAAGCCCACTTGATCATGGTGGATAAACTTTTTGATGCGCTGCTGGATTCGTCTTGCCAGTATTTTATTGAGGATTTTTGCATCAATGTTCATCAAGGATATTGGTCGAAAATTCTCTTTTTTTGTTGTGTCTCTGCCCGGCTTTGGTATCAGAATGATGCTGGCCTCATAAAATGAGTTAGGGAGGATTCCCTCTTTTTCGATTGATTGGAATAGTTTCAGAAGGAATGGTACCAGTTCCTCCTTGTACCTCTGGTAGAATTCGGCTGTGAATCCATCTGGTCCTGGACTCTTTTTGGTTGGTAAGCTATTGATTATTGCCACAATTTCAGATCCTGTTATTGGTCTATTCAGAGATGCAACTTCTTCCTGGTTTAATCTTGGGAGGATGTGTGTGTCGAGGAATTTATCCATTTCTTCTAGATTTTCTAGTTTATTTGCGTAGAGGTGTTTGTAGTATTGTCTGATGGTAGTTTGTATTTATGTGGGATCGGTGGTGATATCCCCTTTATCATTTTTTATTGTGTCTATTTGATTCTTCTCTCTTTTTTTCTTTATTAGTCTTGCTATTGGTCTATCAATTTTGTTGATCCTTTCAAAAAACCAGCTCCTGGATTCATTAATTTTTTGAAGGGTTTTTTGTGTCTCTATTTCCTTCAGTTCTGCTCTGATTTTAGTTATTTCTTGCCTTCTGCTAGCTTTTGGATGTGTTTGCTCTTGCTTTTCTAGTTCTTTTAACTGTCATGTTAGGGTGTCAATTTTGGATCTTTCCTGCTTTCTCTTGTGGGCATTTAGTGCTATAAATTTCCCTCTACACACTGCTTTGAATGTGTCCCAGAGATTCTGGTATGTTGTGTCTTTGTTCTCATTGGTTTCAAAGAACATGTTTATTTCTGCCTTCATTTTGTTATGTACCCAGTAGTCATTGAGGAGCAGGTTGTTCAGTTTACATGTAGTTGAGAGGTTTTGAGTGAGATTCTTAATCCTGAGTTCTAGTTTGATTGCACTGTGATCTGAGAGATAGTTTGTTATAATCTCTGTTCTTTTACATTTGCTGAGGAGAGCTTTACTTCCAAGTATGTGGTCAATTTTGGAATAGGTGTGGTGTGGTGCTGAAAAAAATGTATATTCTGTTGATTTGGGGTGGAGAGTTCTGTAGATGTCTATTAGGTCCGCTTGGTGCAGAGCTGAGTTCAATTCCTGGGTATCCTTGTTGACTTTCTGTCTCGTTGATCTGTCTAATGTTGACAGTGGAGTGTTAAAGTCTCCCATTATTAATGTGGGGGAGTCTAAGTCTCTCTGTAGGTCACTCAGGACTTGCTTTATGAATCTGGGTGCTCCTGTATTGGGTGCATGTATATTTAGGATAGTTAGCTCTTCTTGTTGAATTGATCCCTTTACCATTATGTAATGGCCTTCTTTGTCTCTTTTGATCTTTGTTGGTTTAAAGCCTGTTTTATCAGAGACTAGGATTGCAACCCCTGCCTTTTTTTGTTTTCCATTTGCTTGGTAGATCTTCCTCCATCCTTCTACTTTGAGCCTATGTGTGTCTCTGCACGTGAGATGGGTTTCCTGAATACAGCACACTGATGGGTCTTGACTCTTTATCCAATTTGCCAGTCTGTGTCTTTTAATTGGAGCATTTAGTCCATTTACATTTAAAGTTAATATTGTTATGTGTGAATTTGATCCTGTCATTATGATGTTAGCTGGTGATTTTGCTTGTTAGTTGATGCAGTTGCTTCCTAGTCTCGATGGTCTTTACATTTTGGCATGATTTTGCAGCGGCTGGTACCAGTTGTTCCTTTCCATGTTTAGCGCTTCCTTCAGGAGCTCTTTTAGGGCAGGCCTGGTGGTGACAAAATCTCTCAGCATTTGCTTGTCTGTAAAGTATTTTATTTCTCCTTCACTTATGAAGCTTAGTTTGGCTGGATATGAAATTCTGGGTTGAAAATTCTTTTCTTTAAGAATGTTGAATATTGGCCCCCACTCCCTTCTGGCTTGCAGGGTTTCTGCTGAGAGATCCGCTGTTAGTCTGATGGGCTTCCCTTTGAGGGTAACCTGACCTTTCTCTCTGGCTGCCCTTAACATTTTTTCCTTCATTTCAACTTCGGTGAATCTGACAATTATGTGTCTTGGAGTTGCTCTTCTCGAGGAGTATCTTTGTGGCGTTCTCTGTATTTCCTGAATCTGAACGTTGGCCTGCCTTGCTAGATTGGGGAAGTTCTCCTGGATAATATCCTGCAGAGTGTTTTCCAACTTGGTTCCATTCTCTCCATCACTTTCAGACGTAGATTTGGTCTTTTCACATAGTCCCATATTTCTTGGAGGTTTTGCTCATTTCTTTTTATTCTTTTTTCTCTAAACTTCCCTTCTCGCTTCATTTCATTCATTTCATCTTCCATCGCTGATACCCTTTCTTCCAGTTGATTGCATCGGCTCTTGAGGCTTCTGCATTCTTCACGTAGTTCTCGAGCCTTGGTTTTCAGCTCCATCAGCTCCTTTAAGCACTTCTCTGTATTGGTTATTCTAGTTATACATTCTTCTAAAGTTTTTTCAAAGTTTTCAACTTCTTTGCCTTTGGTTTGAATGTCCTCCCGTAGCTCAGAGTAATTTGATCGTCTGAAGCCTTCTTCTCTCAGCTCGTCAAAGTCATTCTCCATCCAGCTTTGTTCCGTTGCTGGTGAGGAACTGCGTTCCTTTGGAGGAGGAGAGGCGCTCTGCGTTTTAGAGTTTCCAGTTTTTCTGTTCTGTTTTTTCCCCATCTTTGTGGTTTTATCTACTTTTGGTCTTTGATGATGGTGATGTACAGATGGGTTTTTGGTGTGGATGTCCTTTCTGTTTGTTAGTTTTCCTTCTAACAGACAGAACCCTCAGCTGCAGGTCTGTTGGAATACCCTGCCGTGTGAGGTGTCAGTGTGCCCCTGCTGGGGGGTGCCTCCCAGTTAGGCTGCTCGGGGGTCAGGGGTCAGGGACCCACTTGAGGAGGCAGTCTGCCCATTCTCAGATATCCAGCTGCGTGCTGGGAGAACCACTGCTCTCTTCAAAGCTGTCAGACAGGGACATTTAAGTGTGCAGAGGTTACTACTGCTGTCTTTTTGTTTGTCTGTGCCCTGCCCCCAGAGGTGGAGCCTACAGAGGCAGGCAGGCCTCCTTGAGCTGTGGTGGGCTCCACCCAGTTCGAGCTTCCAGGCTGCTTTGTTTACCTAAGCAAGCCTGGGCAATGGCGGGCGCCCCTCCCCCAGCCTGGCTGCCGCCTTGCAGTTTGATCTCAGACTGCTGTGCTAGCAATCAGCGAGACTCCGCGGGCGTAGGATCCTCCGAGCCAGGTGTGGGATATAATCTTGTGGTGCACCGTTTTTTAAGCCGGTCCGAAAAGCGCAATATTCGAGTGGGAGTGACCCGATTTTCCAGGTGTGTCCGTCACCCCTTTCTTTGACTCGGAAAGGGAACTCCCTGACCCCTTGCACTTCCCAAGTGAGGCAATGCCTCGCCCTGCTTCGGCTCGTGCACGGTGCATGCACCCAATGACCTGCGCTCACTGTCTGGCACTCCCTAGTGAGATGAACCCGGTACCTCAGATGGAAATGCAGAAATCACCCGTCTTCTGCGTCGCTCACGCTGGGAGCTGTAGACCGGAGCTGTTCCTATTCGGCCATCTTGGCTCCTCCCCTAGGTAATTCTTATAATTACTCATCTAGGTTTAAGAACTATAGGTCTAGAACTATCCTTACTCAGGCTGGAGGCCAAAATTACTCAGAAGAAATGTTAAAGTCCACATTCTCCAGGGTGTGTGATCCAGAAGACACCCTGGCTGACTAGTTCCCAGCCCCAGGGTGTCTGATTCAGAAGTTTCGGCATGAATCCCCAGGTATACGATTATGCTATTTACTCCTGGTTAAGAAAAACTTTTTTAAAGTTTGGTGAATGTTGGTAAGGTTTGGTTCCCCTCCCTTCCTTCCAGATTAATCTTACGCAAATCACTTAATTCTAAGATTGGTTTCCCCCACCCCACTTCTGTTTAAGGGTATCCTGGCAGAGTTGATTCAAAAGCTTTATTCTCCTTTTCTCACACCTTGATGCTTTTTTGCTGTCTGCTCTTTCATTTAGTGGCCTTTGTATAGGAATTTCTCGATGAATGTTTTGAATTAAACTGTCATTATTTGGCTATACTGGGAAAAGGAGCTGCTGGTGCAAAAATGAGTTCTGTTTTTTTTTTTTTCCCCTCACCACTGTTAAGTAAGCTCTTCCAAATTTCAACTATCACCTTCTTTAAAGCATTCTGAGAATCCATAGCAGGGTAGAAAGAGGGGGGCTGGTGGTCTTGAGAGTGGCAGGGCAGGGGGGAAAGTGGTAGGAAAACCTGAGGTATGCATGTGAACTTCAGGAAAGCTCATTCAGCCTGAATTACAGACATGTTCAGGTCTGCCCAGTCCTAACACAAGCCCGTGTAATCAGGTTTGGTCTGGATGTCAAGGAATCGAGATAAAATGGAGCAGAAAATTGTTTGATTTCTTCTTTCCCTTTTGTTCGGAGACTTCCTGGCCTCTGCCATCTGGGCACCCCCCATGCTGTGGTGTCCCACCTTTGCTTTGCTCTGACGTCCAGGTCAAAGTCATGTTTTACTTCAGCAGAATGATTCCCCTTCAGTCCACACCAATAGGCTTGGTGGCTGAGCCGCTAATGACTGTCTAACTCTTTGTGAGAGGTCATCACTCTGAGGAGTTTGCCAACTACTTTGAGAAAGGGAAGAAGCGGCCTCCCTCTGCAGTTATAAGAAGTTGGGCTATGACTCATTATGTGAACTCAGGGTGGGGCTGGTAAAATCTATGGCCTGATGGCCGGGTCAGTTTCCCCTCCTTGAGTCAAGTAGACCTTAAATATGTGAAGCATACTCACTTGGCTTAGGCAGATTTTAATCTTTTTGCCCTCTCCTTGACCAATCAAAATCAAGACACTTGGGAACAGGCAAGTTGCTAGTGGTGAGCTTCTCAAAGCTAACAGGTTTTGAGCTGTTTGCATGTCACAGAACAATTCATCATCTGAGGTTTTTAAAGGACTCCTACTCATAACACTGAAGTGAGTGGAAAAGTGTTCAGACAGGGACATTTACAAATGAGTTTTCTGTGTAGTTTCATCTATAAGAAAGCCCTTTTTCAAAAAATCTGAAAAATAACTCTTTGCAGTGAAAGACATGACTCTCCACTGATAGGAAGAAAAGAATAGTCATACTAACTGGCTCTTTCTCCAGCACATCTCCTTCCTGTGGGGCTGTATTATTGGAAAGTGGCAGTTTTCAAGAGGATACTTTTGTCAATTTTAGTGGATCAGATGCTCAGCTTCAAATTAACAGAGGGCTTTCTTCCTCTTCTTTTTTCATTTAAATGTCCTTGCTTCTTGAAACACTAATAGAAGAAAAAGGACAGTAAGTGATTGCATATGGAAAATGAAAATGCTCACTAATTTCAGTATGAAAGGTCGGGGGTTCAAATAATTATGCCTGTGTAAGTGGTTTCTAGCCTTTCACTTTGAGTTTAGGTTACATTTCTTTACACTTCAGAGTGTTATTTCAGATTACATGCCTACTTTGTATCAAGTTGATATTGTCCATATTGCTAAAGGAAATATTTTCTTGGAAAATGCAAAAGTACACAGTTAAAACCAGCAGGGTTTTTATTCTTTTGAAAAAAATATAAATTATACTGTGAAACAGTATTCTTATGAAAAGCCAAATCAAATTTCCTATTAGAGTCTTCAAATTGGCTATTAAATTGGAAAATTGCAGGGATAAAAGACATCTTTGTTTATGTGGTTTTTTGTTTTGTTTTGTTTTGTTTTTGTTTCGGATCAGAAAACATGGCTTTCCATGCTGAGATCTTGAGTGTATTTGACTGACTAGAGGTATCAAAGACTTTGCCGGCACTATATGTAACTTTGGCTTGGGGCTGAGCATATACCTTTTCACGTCAAAGTGTTTACATTTCTGAGGAACCATTTTAATTTTAGGATGTCACGAATTGTAGTCCCAAAGTACAGCTTCATGTCTAAATATGCTATTGAAACTACAAATTCTGCTTTCACAAATTATGACTTCTGTTTTATTTTTCTTTTTAAACAAACATAGCGGCTAAACCAAAGTTTAATACTTTTCATTCTTTCCTATAAAACAACAAAGTGTTGGCATCTCCTGGATATACACGTCTCTAAATGTTTATCAACTACCTGATCCATCAGTCCTCAGTGACAAATGCTGATATCCCCACAATAGTGACAAACAGGATTAAATAACATCTCTCCAAGGACTGATCAGAAGAGTCAAAACTGCATGATATTAATATTTTTTCTTTACCTATAATTTTATTGAATATAAGCACTGAAAAGTGATACAAGTAATGGTAATTTTTAGTATTTAATATGGCATTTTTCCATCCGTAAAATGTTTTATCACCATCGGGTAGTTAACCTTCTAACATCATCATGAATTAATTAGTTCAGTTAGGTTCATATCTCATATTACTCAGAAGGAATTTTCCTTTTGTATCTATGGCTGGAAAATGTACTGAAATGTTGCTTTTAATACAAAGGTAATACTTAACTCTTCAGCTTTCATGTGATCTTCTTCATTGAATAGCCTGGGAAACGGAAGATTGTGTACTATTTGGGGCAGAAAGCCTCATTTTGAGGGCTTAATATTTCTCTCAGAATTTGTAACTGTGTGACTTTTAGTGAACTGCCTGAGCCTTCTGATCCTCAGTTTCCCCATCTGTAAAGTGGTGATAATAATACATCATATCTACTTTGATATTGCCATAAAGAGATCAAATTAAAAATTTACTATAAAATTCTGTAATTATAAAAATCTAGCTGAAAGGGAGAGTGGTCACTTTCTCCCCACAATCGCTTTAGCGTTCTTTGATTCAGTGTGGTCTCATCTTCAGCTATTCACAAATCATTTTCATGATTATTGCCATGTCTTTGCTTCCTTATGCTATTAGTTGCATAACTTTAGTTGCATAGAAGACTTCTCTAAATCTTCTTTAAAGTATAAATAAATCTATTTTAAAAGGGAATTTTATGTCATTATTGTAAATAGAATTGCAATATTACAGCTATGAATAGAAGGTAACAGCAAAAATAAATAAAATAAAAACAAAGTAATAACCACTGCTCTGAATAACACGGTGTTGTGGTGTGCACTACATTTTCACAAATGCTGATTCAGCTGACAGTGATGGCCATCAGTGGGGCTTTGCTCATCGAAGTGACAATTCTGGGTAGGGCAAGGAACTGGCCCTGAATCTGGTGCTTAGCCTTGCCTGCCTTGTCATCTTCTTAGTCCAGATTGCCCAGCCCTAGGGGTGACAAATTGGAAGCCACTGGGTTATGACACCAGGGAAGCTGGAAGGAAGAGGTCGATGGCCAATTAGGATTTTTCTTTTTCCATATACATAAGGGATATTTTTGTGGCGTCTGCTTACTCGGAATGTGTGACTAACTGCCAAGGAGGGTCACAGGAGGAAAATAAGAGACACTGTTAATGCTTAGCCAATAAATAGAGCATTTTATTGGATCTCTGTGAGGCAGACTGCACTCTATTTTGAAAAACAGCAGCAGCTTTGCTGTTCTCTGTGTTGTAAAAAGTAAAAGATTTGCCCAACTTCCAAAGTGCAGCCTTAAAAATGGACAGAGCGCGGATACTTCTGTAAGCCTCGCAGCCACTGTGTGTCTGTTTCTATAAACTTAAGACGTAAAGTTTCCAATGAGGTTTCCATTTAGAACATGATAGGGAAAAAATCAAGCTTTCCTCCACTGCTGGAGAAAGTTTCTTGTCCTCCTCTTCTCAGTAGTTTGTTGAAGCATGCACAGGGAATATAAATTTATTATCACAATTGAACATACTTAAAAAAGGAAATTTGCCATAAAAACCATATAAGAATTTCAGATATGTAAAAACATGTGCATACACTATCAATATGTATTTAGTCTGTACTTACTTCCTTATCTACTTTCACAAATTGGAAAAATCAAGTTACTTGAATCTCAGGTCTATATGATACAATTGTTTCAAAGAGTTAAAAATGCTTTCGTATGTTATCTCATTGTGTTTCTACAGTTCAACAGAGGAGGGTGGAAAAAGATGCTGTAATTCTCGCTAAAAATAGGTAGCTCTAGTCCACTTTAAGCACAGATAAAACTAAGATTCAGAGACATAAAATCATATTTCCCATAGTTAGTGTGGATTAGAACATGTGGTTTGATCCATCAGAAATTAAACTTCTATGTTTTAAAATTATCCATCCCTAAATAGGGCCAGCTGCTTTTCTGTTGATAATCACAGGTTCTCTGAGAGCTCTTGATATCCCTCCCACCTCTCTTGTGATTTTCGTAGATTTTAGTTCAGCCAGACAAGAATTTTGTCAATTTCTACACCTATATAATTTTGTACTCTTTGAAGGACTTTTTGGAAATAGTCCCAATGACACTAAAGACTTCAATATCAGTGCTAGCAATATCAGATATTTGAAACTTTGAGATGTGTAATATTTTGCAATTTGCCATCCTAAAGCTCATGTGATATTTCTTCAAAATGCACGGAGACCTCTAGGGAGTATACAGGCTCCTTTGCGGGGGGGTGGTGGGAGAAGTGATGCGAATGTAAATATAGCTCTAGTAGTAAACAGGGATCCTTCTGCAAATGTTCATATACTGGATATGTGTATTTGAAAGACCATTGATTCTTTCAAATTTTCTTTATTAACTCTCAAAAATATGACTGACTCAAATAATTGTATTCATGAGTAGTTTGATGCAGTTATATATTATAAAAAAGGGAAGTCTTTCATTTCCAACACTTTATTACTTTCTCCAAGCCATTTTTAAAGGAAAATAATATTATGCTTAAAGTTCTGTTTCACTATGCATAGGCTACAAACCCATGAGAGTCCATTATTAGTATGCATTAAAAATTCATTGATGAAAGTTTAAAATTCCTTAAAATCATTTGAAATGCCAACAGGCAATTCTCCATTACATTGCCATCAATTATAAGAATTCTAAAAGTTATTTTCTTGACATCTGCCTGCCTAAAATTACATCTGTTGGGCTCAAGAAGCACAAATTAATTATTCTGTTTTCAGGGCTGGAGCTGCAAATGCTTTGAAAGAAATTGGCCCAATGTACTAGGCACATTACTAATTCAGAAGTGTAATAAAAATCAGGCTCCACATTATGAAAAACAAATCCATAAGCACAGGGAACATCAATTTCAGGCTTTCTTTGCTAGTTATATTTAGCTCCATTTCTTTTTTGCTGTTATGACACACAAGCATATCCTGGATTGTCTGAAATCTATTTTGCTTTCCTAATGAACTTACATAACATCTCTCCATAAGATATTATTTCTCCTGTATTCAGACATGTCTCAGAGGCCACATAAAACCACAAGACAATGGAAATGATGTACTTTGACTGTAAGGTCTGATTGTTGTTGCTCATTATTAAAACTGAGAAATACACAGGAGTTAATATCACATATAACAATTCATAAAGAAATGTTTAGATAAAGGTGAACAAAACACAAATTATTATAAAAATTATGAAGCTTATTAGTAATACCATTTCAATCTTGATAAATAATGCAAACAAAGAATTAAAGCAATAATATCGATGAAGAGCACTAGCTATATTTTAAGAATGTAGATTTTGTAGAATTGTTTCTCTTTAATCAAAAAGCTTGAAATGATTCTCAATTCATTCTACAAATTTTGTAAAGATAGGATTAATTTAGTTGTTTAAATTCAGGTTTATTGCATCACAAAAATTCTCATAAATGATCCTGTATAATCATTTCCTTTTAAAGTAATATACTAATTAATTTCAATTAAATATATGTAAAAGAAGATATATTTTGAAAAATGTGTCTCCCTTGCCATTTGTTAATATATTTAAAAAGTGTAAACCTTGAAACATTTAGCATTGAAAATATTCATTTTTGGTAATTTCTCAAGGGGGCAATTTATTAAGCGAAAGGCTTTTAACATTAGCTAAAAGCAGCCCTGTAAATCATGGGTGTCATCAAACTGCTTCATCACTTCATTAATTTAAAAGATTATTATATGCGTAACTGACATAATTTTGAACAATGTTACATGGTTAATTTATTAATGTAGAAAAGCAGAAATGACACACTGGCTTGATTTATTTTTGTAATTGTAGAATTTTAGAACTTTTGCCTATGACTTTCACTAACAGAAGAAATGATTCAGTGTCTCACTGGTGATTTTATAGAGGGCTCTTCTCTGCTAATGCTGCTAGTAGTAATGTCTTCTGATCACTTAATTTTAAAATACATTTCTGAGAGTGTAACACAAAGCTGTTAAAAAAAATAAATAAAAACCTACCTCTTTGTTAAAGTCTGGTGGTCACATATAGGATACCTACCTTTCTATAATGATTATTATGAGGTGCTAATTTTTAAAAATGTGTTTTGAGCTTTTTGGAGAATACCATGTTATTAAAGTATTATGGTTCTAATTACATATGTTATCTCTGCTTTGTCTTTCATAATAATATCTTTTCTAAACAGCTATGTATTTATGAAAATCATCTCAGAGACTATACATTATAATGATCTGATCGTATATTTTTCTTTTGTATCTGTATTTCGTGATCTTCCTGGGTATTGTGTGAAGGGCTAATGAAGTAAGAGAAGTCATTGGGTCAAATTTTATTAAGGTCTATTTTTGATCTTGCCTGAGAAAAGGATTTTTTTCCCTCTATTAGTTCAAAATCTGGGACAAATAATATATATGCACCTTTTTTCTATTTTTTAAGTTATGAAATAACAACTGAGATAATTTATGTTAAATTTATTTATTGATTGTAATAAGAACTTTTTTGAACTATGAACTTGCAAAAACGTTTGAGTAAATTCTTCTTGCTTAAAAATCTTAGTCACAAAGCAGCATCAAGCCTCAGAGAATCTTTTCCTAGTGTTGAATGTCTAAAGGTCTTTTTAGTAACAAAATAGAGATCGGTACATAGGTCATAAAACCTGTATTTCAACTTCAGAGCACTGAATTTCCTGAGTGAAATGCACCCATCAACTTAATTCGTAGACAGAGATATAATCAAATTAGTGACCGTATGGAATGTTCTACATCTCTTATTGTTATAAGTGCGCATACAAAACTGGAAAAAAAGAAAAGCTATGAAAATAGTAGGCACAGTTTCTACATTCTGTTACTTATGTACAGAAAATAAATTCTATCTTGAAGTCTTTTGACAAATCACTAAAATTATAGTGTAATTTCATTGCTGTGTTATAAGATCTCAAATTTTTACTACATGCTCTAAAGGATTATATATAATGTTTTAGATAGAAATTTATAAGAGTATATGATTAAAAATAAAAGTTCTAGGTAGTATTTAAAGCAGTCTAATGTAACTACTTACCCCAGTGTTTGGTCTACTGATGTCGAAGCTGAAGTGTACTTTATAGTATCTTCCTTAAATTGAAATTGCTAATTATCCAGAGAGGCAGCCTCCGTGGATGGTAACAATTTATTCAATGATTCATTGTAAACACTATAGTCAGCACAGCACTAGCATCGTCTACTGTGAAGGTTCTCAAGTTATCCCGAAGAAATATCTGTTAACAAGTTTGCATGACCCAGGAGAGCCTTCTAATATAGAAGGATTTTCTGCATTTATTTTTCTCATTAATTGTGATGCTTTTCAGTATGTACAAAGGTAAAACAACTTTAAAAATACTCCTCCCAGCACTTTGGGAGGGCAAGGCTGGTGGATCACGAGGTCAGAAGATCGAGACCACTCTGGCTAACACGGTGAAACCTGGTTTCTACTAAAAAAAATACAAAAAAAAAAAAAATTAGCTGGGTGTGGTGATGCGTGCCTTTAATCCCAGCTACTAGGGAGGCTGAGGCAGGAGAATCACTTGAACCCGGGAGACGGAGGTTGCAGTGAGCTGAGATCATGCCACTTCACTCCAGCCTGGGTGACAGAGTGAGACTTCATCTCAAAAAAGAAAAAAAAAAATCCAGCAAACATTTCTGTGAATTGACATCAATGGTGAATTCTTAACTTACTGATTATTATATGTATTTTTGACAAATAGGGTGAGAAGGTAGGAAATGAACAGGTTTAAAATATAGTAGGAATAGTAAAATATCCTATCCGTTGTTAAGAAGCATTGGTGGTCTTTGAAAAGCTATATCCTACCCAAATAAGAAAGAAAGACTATCTTTCGTTTCACTGTAATCAATATGACCCTTTCCCTCCCTCCCCGGTTCCTGGATCTTTTTCTTTCTTCTTTCCTCTTGCTATATTCTAAGGAATAGATCCCAAGTGAATAATCAAAATTTAGAAAATTCCTACTACTACAATAGTTCAGTTAAAGGACACTGATCTACAAGCATTGAAATTAGGGAGCCAGACAAACTAAAAGTTAGCAGAAGAATGACAAAGGAAGATCTATTGCTGTTTAAGATTTACTGAACTTGTCAGCATAATACTGCTCTGAAGAAAACACTGTAAAATACACAGTATCTGCCTTGAGGGGTTAAGATTTAAATTGGACAGATGAGACAAGCTGGACAGGAAATCACCATAAGAAAGCATATGTTAACAGAGTAAAATATTTTTAAGGTCTATACAATTTCTGAATTCGACAAACTTAAAGTGGAATTTGGCTGAAAGGAAATAAAAATAAATGGCTTCATTCTCCTTACATAAATTTTCTTCTATACAAGCATCTTAGAAAATATCTTTTGGTGTCAACAAATATGTGTCTCTGTTCCACTCCTTATGGTGAGTTTGAGAAAATAAAATTTCTGTTTTAATATACAGGATCAAGAATATATTTCTTCAAAATGCCTCTCTGAAAGCATAAACCTTGGATCCCCAATTGGGGTGATCATTCTCTTTGTGGAAAGAGGTTAGTAGGTAAAACAACTGAGTTGTATGCATTTGCTCAGGAAAGATTGGCAATTATGCCAAATTATGTCTAATAGTTTTAGAATGTGGAATAGTGTTTATTAATGTCTGAAGGGAGGCCCTTAAATCTCCCTTTCCCCCCAAACTTCAGCTTTTACTTTACCTGTCATTTTAAAAGATGAAAGAACTAGCTTCATTAAGCAAAGGAGCCTTGAATTTCATTTTTAAATTTAAAACACACACACACACACACACACACACCACCCATTTCTATTTGACAAGACTAGTTATCTTTTTAAGTTTTCATATCATTTTTTCATGATATTTTATTCGATGTGAAACATGAATATCATTCTATAGTTGAAATCAGTTTTTCTCTTTCTTCTTTGCTAACTTGCACTTCTTGGCTACTGTGGAGTTTTTCAGTCTTCTTGGGCTTATACATTAACATCAAATATGTCTGAAATTCGTTATTAATTTTAGGTGTTGAATTTATTCTCACGAATAGTGAACATTAAACTCTGGAAGGAGAGAAGGAAGCACAAATACATCAATCAACAAAGTAAAAAGAATTCATGCCCTTCTGGCTTTCTTGTCTGTGGTTTTTTGAATTTGAAAGTATTTATTAGATGTTTCATTATGGCAAGGCTGTATATAGAGCAGTTTAACACAAGGTTCCTACTCTGTCTGGAAAATTAGACAAACATAAAGTTAAACAATAAGCAAAGATTTAAATAGCTGAAGAAAGCAAGAGGTGGGATGTCACCGGGCAGTCTCTTGCCAGTTTAACAGAGTAAGCATGAATGACTGGGTTAGAGGAGGAGCTTACTTTAAGCTGAGCTGGTCAGGGAAGTTTTAAAGCTAGTGGATTTACAGATGGATATTGATGCATAGGATGAGTTTGCTGGGAGAAGAGGAGAAGAAGGGCCAATGTCTTAAGGAACATTATCTTTTTGTACAAATTTAACACCACTAAGGATTCTGGCACATTCATTTAATGATTGCTTATCGAGAAACCCCTGATATGTATTCCTCTTGATTTGATTTGCCCCACACACGGGATGGAAAGGGATGCTGGAAAGTTGCGCTGGATGAGCTATGTAGTTCCTACAACTTTTGTTGGGAAAAAGGCACTGGTCTGAGTATGACACTGCAGGGAGACTGCTGGTGTTTGCAGTGTGTATGCACAGTTCTGTCCAGACCTAGTTGTAAGAAGGTGTGTAAGTCTTAGGAGCTGGTGTGTATAGGAAACATTCTCTGCCATCTCTCTAGTTGGCTATCTTGATGTGTTTGTGGGAAGGTACAGAAAGTTAGCCAGTTTCCCACAGCACCTCTCAGCACAGGTATGGATGTCTTAGTCCGTAAGGACTTTAATGAATACCAGTGGCAGGGAGTGAGAAAGCTCTTTCCCCATCTGGAGACTCTAAACAACATCAACAAATAAGGTGGCAGAAAACTAAATTGCAAGAGAAATACATGTTTATAAAAAATGGAGGCCAGATGCGGTGGCTCACGCCTATAATCCCAGCACTTTGGGAGGCCAAGGCGGGCAGATGATGAGGTCAGGAGATAGAGACCATCGTGGCCAACATGGTGAAACCCCACTAAAAATACAAAAATTAGCCGGGCATGGTGGTGCGTGCTTGTAGTCCCAATTACTGAGGAGGCTGAGGCAGGAGAATCGCTTGAACCTGGGAGGCAGAGGTTGCAGTGAGCCGAGATCGCACCACTATACGCCAGCCTGGTGACAGAGCGAGTCCGTCTCAAAAAAAAAAAAAAGAAAGAAAGAAAAGGAAACAATCCTGAAGCATATATAGTAAAAAGCGAAGGTCCCCACTGTTATATGCCCCCATATTACTTCCCTCCCAGACGTAGCCATTATGAAAATCTTAACATTTATTTAAAACTAAATAAAGCACAAATGAGATCTTATTATACATTTAAAAAATTGGTGATATACCTGAGCTTTCCAAATCAACACATGCAGATCTAGTGAACTCTTTCAATGGCTACATACTTGTCCATACTTTGGTTGAACAGTGACTTATTTCATGATTTTCCTGCTGGTGAATATTTAGGTTGTATTCCAATTTTCACTATAATGAACAATACTACTGGAACATCTGATAATATATTATTATTCACCTGTTTGTTCATCTGTATATTTAGTTCCTAAGAATGCTAAGTCATCAGATAATCACATTTAAAATATTAATAAGTATTGCTAAATTGACTTCAAAGGATTGTACCAATTCAGGCTCTCACAAAGAATTTATAAGAGTATTCATTTTCTCACATTCTTGCCAACATTGAATATGATGAATTTTTCTAAATTTTCTAAATGTTTAGGCTATGCTGGGGAAAAAGAACATCTTTTCAGTTTATATTATACTTTCCTTACATTATATATTGTTTATATATTAATTGGTCATTTCTTTTTCTTCTTCCATGAATTGGCAATTCATGGTTTTTACAAAGCTTTTCTACTAGATCCTTTGTTTTACTGTTTTTTTTTAAACACAATCATGACTACATATGTTTTACTGATTTTAAGTATTCATTTTCATAAATTTATTTTATATGCTCTTTCAAGACGGCTTTTGGTCTCAGGATATCTGATTATCTAAATAAGGAGGCGGTTTTCAAAGTTAGCTTTTCTTTAGCACCTTCTGAAATGCGTACAAAAAGTGCTGGGCCTGGAGACCAAGAGCCTCAGGTTTTCTTCCTACTACTGTTATCAACTAACAGTGTGACTGGAGTGTGCCACATAGACCTCTTATGTTATAGTTTTCCTATCAATTACATAAGGGGGCATAACTGTGTGATCTATGATGTCGCGTAAATGAGTAAGTCCCAGATTCATAGTCTATCAATCATTCATTCATTTATTCTGCAAATATCCATTGGATGCCCTTTGTGAAGCGCAGCGCTAAGTGCTGAGCATGCAATGGAATATGGGTATGGTCTCTATTCTTACGGACTGAGAACTTACATTTTCTGGAGAGTAGAGAGCCCATTCTCAACCACACAGGTAAATCTGTTACTATGTGCTAGGAAGGGCTCTGTGAGGAAGCAGTAGGGTTCAGTAAGAGCTTATGACAGAGAGACCTCGCCTAAACTGAGAGCACAGGGAACATCTGGGAATGTCTACATGAGGAAATGGTATTACAGATGAAACCGGAAAGGTAAGTAGCAGTTGGTAGCTAAGGAGAGAGGGAGAGCAGAATGGTCCAGGTAGAGAATAGCTTATGCAAAGCCCTGAAGTCAAAGAAGTTAGATAGACCAGGAGTCCCCCAAGTGGGCTGTGTAAGGGGATCCAATATGGCAGGTGTAGGAAGAAAGTCTAAAACACTGTTTAAGTATTTCTAATAAAATAAGAAATCAGTTAAGCTCTGAAGTATTAAATGTATGGACTGAAACCGGTAGTCTCATTCATTTATTACCGTAATTTCATGTGGTAAGTAAGCTTCCCAAGAAAGAATGGAAATTCCAAAACCCTCTGGATCATCCACAGCATCCCTAGTTGTTCACTTAGCATATAGACATGTTGCAGTTTACAGCTATGCAATTATGCTGACAGTAATAATTTAAATGAATTCTCACAAAATGGACAAGTGGCTCCAAAAGAGTTCATCAAGAAAACAGAATCTGAAGACAATGTTGTATGAATAATGCACACACAAATGAGCAAAAACCACATGGCTGACCTGGCCTTCTGCGCCTTGGAAAAACTCTTCATTTTGAGAAAAGTCTTTTTACAGTGGAAAAAGCAATGATGACATAGCCAGATCAGATCAGATGTTAGAAAAAAAAAAAAAAAAGGCCGGGGGTTGCGGGGGCGGGAATCAGAGGGATCAGAAAGGTTACTTGAAATATGTATTTACATTCATTCTGAGCCTTTCCTTAAGCTAATGACGCTTTTAACATTAAGGAAGAAGAAACTGCCTTTGGAAACAAACTTCGTTCTCTAAGGAGAACATTTTGAAAATTGCTTCTTAAAATATTTACAACTTTATGTAATTTTTATTTCTGAAAATCATATATGTTCCCTATAAAGCTCCTTGTAGCTCTATAGTTTAAGAACTTGGAAAGTAAAATCTTCTCATCTTTTTAAAATTCCTCAAAATAAAGAATTTTAGTGAGTTTTGAATCAGTGCATCAAAAATATTAACACATCACACCTTCTGATTCATTTCTAACAGGGAACATGAAAATTCACCTGCCAAATTTCAACAAAAGCTATTTGATAATAGTAGAATGAGACTGAAAATTAAACATAAACTTTGTTTTTAATTTTAGACTGAGTCTCGCTCTGTCACCCAGGCACCCAAGCTGGAGTGCAGTGACATGATCTCGGCTCACTGCAGTCTCCGCCTCCCGGGTTCACGCGATTCTCCTGCCTCAGCCTCCCCAGTAGCTGGGACTACAGGCACCTGCCACCACGCCCGGCTAAATTTGTTTTGTATTTTTAGTAGAGACGGGGTTTCACCGTGTTAGCCAGGATGGTCTCGATCTCCTGACCTCGTGATCCACCCGCCTCGGGCTCTCAAAGTGCTGGGTTTACAGGCGTGAGCCTCCGCGCCTGGCCAACTCGGCCAACATAATTCTTTGGTACATGTAACCAACGATATGATATGCCTCTTTCATTCAGACTGACGCATCTTTGTAAAGTAACTTTTTAAGTTTTTAACAGACAATAAAACCAAGCATTTTCAAATAAAACCAAGATTTTGAATGTTGATAAGAAATATCCAGGAAGAAACTATACACATTAACATTTTAGGTGAGAGCAAAAAGATTTTTTGCATTGTTAATAAATAAAATAAAAATATCTTAAATATTTATTTCCTCTTAGCTCACTCTTTTCTAATTCCTATTCAATGTCTTTCATAATGTGCAATTTTTAATTTATAAATTAACAACTATATAACTGTTGATGGTGCATGCTTACTTTTAAACTGATTCTAATCATTGAAAATGATTGAAGACTACTGGTACCGGCATTAGTGCTAAGAGCTTCTAGGGGAGAGATGCCACTGCGGATTCAGTGGTTCCGGATGAGGGATTTGATCTGTTCAGAAAGCATGGAGCAGCTGAATCAATTGTTCAATGATCTGGTCATGCTGTGGTACCGTTTATAGCTACATATAGATTCCTAATTCATAATTCACTCCATGCAGGACAATGAACCAACTGTCTGATGATGGCTGATGATAATAATTTACTAATATTTGTCATTTCAGCACTCAGGCAAGGTTCACACTCCACCAGGCAAATGGAACATTGATCAAACATTGGTTTGTTCAGGTGACAACTATATTATAGGGTCTGTTTATCTCACTGGCACTTAGGAAATTCAGCCCCTAAATGGATCCAGATGATCTAGCTGTTTCTTTCTCTCTCTCTCATGGGGTGTGTGTGTGTGTGTGTGTGTGTGTGTGTGTGTGTTGGGAGATATGCCCCGCAAGCTAAGAGGCAAAGATAGCAGAAAAAATAGCAGTATGGAGGAATGAATACATTGTGAATATTTTGCTTGTGTGTTGGAGGGCAGGGGTGGTTTCTCATCCCCTCTCAATCCCGGCCCTTCTTTTCTGTATAGCATTTCCCACTATTTTCTCAGACGATACATTTCAGGAAGCTCGAAGTCATACTCTTCTATATGTGAACATCACACTGGGGGGTTAATCAGTGTTAAAAATGGTCATGAGTCACCTCCCATTTTAAAGATATATAGTCTCAGGCTGACAGAGAAAAGTTGTCTTCCTAATTCGAGGTACTTTTTGAGGAAATTTAACATCAGTCACTCACAGGGCAGCAGGAATGAGTCATAAATAACTGCATTTCCTACCTGTAACAGTTTTTTCCTGGTTCTCTTCTCAGTTCTTCAGTTGTTAGGACTGATGACTTACTCTGGAGATTCCATATCATCCCTCTCAGAGATCAGTGCCTTATACGTGACATCTCATCAAAATGATCTTGCATCCTTTAGCTTTCAAGCTGAATTGTATCTCATTACAAAGAGTTGTTGTGGGATATTCTAGGACATTTTTATTACAAGTTTCATAAAGACAAGGTAATGCAAAGAAAGATTTTTAAATCAGTCTTCCAGAAAAGAGATACTTTGACTTACTGCTCATTTACAATTAGTTGCTTCCGAATAGATTGTTTCTCCCCACCCCATTGCCCCTACAAAACAAGACCACCAAAAGAGCGTTGCTGTGCTTTGAAATGAATGCTCTTATACACGTGTTTGGGTTGTGCATGAAGATCAGAGAAACATTAGATTAAAATTATCTAACATGTTAGAATCAAAATTAAAGTAGGAACAAACCAAATGAGTAGTTAAGTTATAAGTAAACATTTTGCCAAATAAACAGCTCATTAAAATGCCACAGAGTCAACATTAAGAGGCCAGAGCAATATTCAAAAGGTAAAATTGCTGGGCTGCTAGTGAATAAATACATGCAAATACAACTTTAACGTAAATAGGTAATTTCTCTGTAATCTTTCTTCTTCCTCCTATTTCCCTAAAACATCATTATTGGTAAGCCTGTTAATAGTCTATCCTGTTCTATATATAATAAAATAAAGAAGAGAAACAGATAATGCTAAACACAGTAAACAGAGGCTCAACTAAACTCTAATAATCATAATAAAAATAGCTAACTTGTGGAAAGCACTAATTAAATGCTAGGAGCCATGCTAAGAACTTTACTTTCATTATTTTAGATAGACCAAGGAGCAAAGAGGTTAAGGAATGACCAGTTAATGCAGCTGGTCAATAGCGCTCTAGACATTGCTAGCCCCTTGACCCAGAGCTCATATGTTTTATCACTATACCGTTTTACCCCATCCACATATTTTTCCCAGTGAAAAATACTAAATGAGCAACAGTTACCCCACTGCAATATTTCTCCTCCTATAAGTGATTGATTGGCATTCATGAATGTTTATAACTTTTCCTTCTTGTCTGGCTCACATTGAATAATAACCCACTTTCCAAATATGTTTTTTTTTTCTTTTGGTATCCATGTGGTTAATGTATCTGCCTCATCAGAATTCTCAGCACTGTACCTTTCACATAACAGACATTAAATTAGAAGCTTGTTGAATGAATGAATGAATACTTAGTGACAATATTTCCAAACAAAGCCTTCCCTCTTATATGTCAAAGAAAATCATATGTTTTGACCACTTCACATTTTTCAACTCCAGTTCTCTTTGTTGATCTATTTCCACCTATGAAAACACTTGATATCCTATAATCTATTGTAAAAATTAGTTTTTGCATCTAGCACTGTATACACACACAGACAAACATATATCTATATTTCAATTTTCTTTTTGCAAAAATAGTGCTGGCATTTTGCAATGGGTGTTTGAAGTCATTACTGGCTTCTTACTCTTTAGCTCTGTAGGCTGACTATGTAAAGTCCTCTAATTCTTCCCCAGGAAGGGGGTAACTCTATAAAGCAGATGTTTTTCCAATTCTTCTTCAGTTTACTAAAACTCAGTTTTATACCAATTCATGGATATATAACACCCGCTAAGTAGCAAGCATTTGGGAAACTATCAGAACTTGTCAGGATTCCTGGCAGTTTTGAGTGAGCAACTGATTGAGAAGTTCTGAGTATTTCTGAGACTCAGTTTGAAAAGAAGTATCTCCGGATTTATGTCATCTGTGGAGTTCGCAGTGATTAGTTCGTGGGTATTGTTTAAAAACTCTTTCAGGAGGAGTGGTGTTTGTATATTGATTTGAGGAAATATGTATATATTATTTGTTACCATATCATTTGCATGATGAGTTAGTTTGTTTTCTTCTACTGAGTACTCTTCATTTCCTGAGAATTCTGAAGAACAGTATCATTCAGAGTGGAAAGACAAAATCAGTGGAGGGGCTGCTGATGCATTTCCAATGCTATTTTAGTACCCTTCATTCCAAGTGACTATCTGAAAATATTCAACCGTATGATAGAATCTTAGAATTTTATTTTTTTGTCTTTTTATTTGAGACAGGAGCTCCCTCTGTCACCCAGGCTGGAGTGTAATGGTGTGATCAGGGCTCACAGACTCCTAGGCTCAAGCCATCTTGCCACCCCAGCCTTTCTAGTAGCTGGAACTACAGGCACACGACCACCATACTCAGCTAATTTTAAAATTTATTAAAAGATGTGTCTCACTATGTTTCCCTAGCTTATCTCAAACTCCTGGACTCAAGTGATCCTCCTGCCTTGGTCTTCCAAAATGCTGGGATTGCAGGCAGGAGCCACTGTGCCCAGCCAGAACTTGGGTTTTTAAAATTATATTATTTTTCCCCCCATGGGTACTTTCATTTATATGCATATGAATGAATGTGTGTGAGGTTAAAATTATTGTTAGAAACACTTTATACATATATAAGTGTGTTAGTCCATTTGTGCTGCTATAAAATAATTCTTGAAGCTTGGTAATTTATAAAGAAAGGAGGTTTATTTGTCTCATGGTTCTGCAGGTCGTACAAGAAGCATGGTGCCAGCATATGCTTCTGGTGAGGCCTCAGGAAGCTTCAACTCATAGTAGAAGGGGAAGAGAGAGGGAACAATGGAGAGGAGGAAGGCACCAGACTTTTTTTTTTAAACAACCAGATGTCACGTGAACTAATAGAGCCAGAACTCACTCATTACCACGGGGAAAGCACCAAGCCATTCATGAGGAATTCACTCCCATGACCCAAACCTCCCACCAAGCCTCACCTCCAACATTCTAGATCATATTTGCACATGAAATTTGGAGGGAACAATCATCCAAATTATATCAATAGGCATGATTTTGTACATGCATGGTCACATATTTTGCTCACACTCCTATATCTTGCCTTTTGCATTTAACAAAGTATCTTAGAAGTAATTTCATAGTCTCATGCTATGATGGACAGTTGATGGATGCCTGACTGATGTCCATTCTCTCCTTCTCCTTCCCTGAAATACAGTACGTGCTCACTTAACATGGTTCATAGGTTATTAGAAACTGCAACTTTAAGCAAAATGACATATAACAAAACGAGTTTTACCACAGGGTAATTGATATAAACAAGAGTTAAGCTCCTACAGCATATTTCTGGTCACAGAAACATCACCAAACTTCTAAATAAAGACCCCAAACACTTCTAATCAATCTTAAACATTGAAATAAATGCGAGCTATACATTTATTTAAGAAAGATTAATAGAAACAAGTAATAATTACTCAATTTTGGTGAATCGGTGAGTGATGGTGATTGTAGTGGTGGTGGGTTAAATTAAGGAATAAATGCTTGCAAAGCAAAAATTTTAAGGAGCACCTTCTATTACCACACAGTTCAAAAACAATCACAAACCTGGCAGGTTTGCTGAGTGCTTTGGAACCACATCATTTATTGTGTGCATTTGTATGATTATTGTATACTTTACAAATGTTTATTTTATAATCATTTACATTCATTCATTTTCTAAACCACTTATTCAGTTCAAGGTCACGGGCAGCCAGAGCCTGGGTGCAAGGCGGAAACCAGCCCTGGCCAGGACGCCATTCCTTCACAGGGCACACTCACATACACACCCTCACTCACACACTGGGACCATGCAGACACGCAGATTCAAGCTGCACATCTTTGGGATGTGGGAGGAATCTGGAGTACCAGGGGAGAAATCCAACGCAGATGTGGGGAGAACATACGAACTCCACACAGATAGTGGCCTAGGAATGGATTTTTTTCTCATCCAAGTTATAAGGAAACAGCGTTTTTCAAACACCTGCCGTACTCAGGTTTTCATTTCCGTGTCTTTGCTCCCCTGCAAGGTTTCCAGGAAGCGCATCATCCTGGACTGACTGGCCAAAACCAATCAATGCTTTCCATTTTCCTGGCGCAGGATCTAGGCTTATACAATCAAGGTAATCTTCAGGGTCTTTGCTTGGAATTCTGAGGCAGAATCACTTTCTCCTCCATTGGAATGAAGCAAGAAACACGTAGCCCTAATTATGGTTGATTAGTCTCTTATAACCATGAGAGAACCAGTTTGGGGATGAAGCTATCATCCTTGACAGCAGAGCAGAGAGATGACAAGAAACAAAGTCCTTGAGAATTTCCCATTTATGTGACCCAATACATCTCCTTCAATATTTAAATCAGTTTGTAGTGGATTTTCTGTTATTTACAACAGAAAGACTCCTAACTGGGTCAGGTTTAAACTGGGTAGCTATAAAGCTACCTCTTTCTTTTTAATGGCCTTAGTATGAACAAATCACAATATACTTAACGAAGGTTCAGATTACTCCATTCATTGCTTTTATTAACCACACTGCAACAAGTGCCCTTACTATGTATCTTCACAAGCAAGTTTAAGTCTATCAGTAGGATAAATTCTTAGAAATCAAATTAAAGATTTTGAGATTAAATTTCAGGATATATGTAATTATAATTTGATGGACTATATTTGGAAATACAAGGAACTAATCAAGTAGTTGCCTCTAGGGTGGGAAATTAGATGAATGAATATTCTTCATATATTCTTATTAAATGGATATTTAAGTGAAATATTTATGAATGAATAAGGAATACCATTTTTCCCAGGAAAGGAAGAAAGTGCACTTAGAAACACTGTACTGTGTATCTTAAAGGCATTTTAAAAATAATCAGATCCAAAACAAACTATCCCATTAAAAAGCGGGCAAATGACATGAACAAACACTTCTCAAAAGAAGACATACAAATGGCCAGCAAACATGAGAAAATGTTTGACATTACTCATCATCAGGGAGATGCAAATCAAAACCACAATGAGATACCATCTCATATCAGTCAGAATGGCTACTTAATAAAAAGTGAAAAAGAAAAAAAACAGATGTTGGCAAGGTTGTGGAGAAGAAGGAACGCTTATACACTGCTGGGGGAATGCAAATTAGTTCAGCCACTATAGAAAGCAGTCTGGAGGTTTCTCAAATAACTAAAAATAGAATTACCATTCAATCCACTAATCCCATTACTGGGTATAAACCCAAAGGAAAAGAATCATTCTGCCAAAAAGACACCTGCACTCATATGTTTAATGTAGCACTATTCACAGTAGCAAAGAAATCAACAAGGTGAATTAGATAAAGATAAAGTGGTACACAAACACCATGGAATACTACACAGACATAAAAAAGAAAAAAATCATATCCTTTGCAGCAACATGGATGCAGGTTGAGGCCATTATCCTGAATGAATTTTTGCAGAAACAAAAAACCAAATACTGCATGTTCTCATTTATGAATAAGTGGGAGCTAAACATTGGGAATACACAGACACAAAGATCGGAGCAATAGACGCAGATTCCTGAAAGGGGGAGGGAGAGATGAGGACAAAGGTTGAAAAAATATAGTACCTATTGGGTACTATGTTTGCTACTTGGGCAGTGGAATCATTAGCAACCCAAATCTCAACATCACACAATACGCCTATTTAACAAATGTGCACATGTACCCCCTGAATCTAAAATAAAACATAATTTTTTTTAAAAAAAGAAATAATTAGCCAGGTGCAGTGGCTCATGCCTGTAATCCCAGCACTTTGGGAGGCCAAGGCAGGTGGATCATATGAGGTCAGGAGTTCGAGACCAGCCTGACCAACATGGTGAAACGTCTCTACTAAATAATACAAAAATTAACCAGGCATGGTGGCAGGTGCCTGTAATCCCAGCTACTCGGGAGGCTGAGGCAAGAGAATAGCTTGGACCCGGGAGGCAGAAGTTGCAGTGAACCGAGATCACCCCGTTTCACTCCAGCCTGGGTGACAGAGCAAGACTTCATCTCAAAAAAACAAAAAAAGAGAGAAAGAAAAAGAAGAAATAATTAGGTCCAGGTGTTCCATTTTATAAGCTGTGAAACTGAGACCCTGGGAAGTTCAGGGACTTGCCCACATAGCAGTTTATAGCAGAGAAGGAATGAGAATCCATGTTGTCAGACTTCTTATCAAGGTTATTCCATAATTAGAGAGGCTGGAAGCAGATTTCATCTGAGCTGGTGGAGAGTGTGCATGTGGACAGAGACAGCATGTGTCTAGTGCAAGCTTATTCTTGCTAGTACTCAAGCTAGTGTTGCAGCTTTATTTTGGTAAAGAATGAAACAAACATATGGATCAAGTCTAAAACAATACATTTTTGTCATGCTGCCTGCAGGGAAAGACTTAGTTCTATTTTGGGTGTAGGATAACTGAAGAATTGGAATCAGTGCCCTACCAGTGGGTGCATAACAGCCAGGCTCCCAGACAGTGGTGCCTCAAGCTGGAATTGAATCTGACATTTTCTAAGGTCGTCTCCTATTGAGAAAAGTGGTGCAGAAGACCACTCAACTTTGTGATGTAAATGCAGGGATGGGGCCCTGGCCAAACACTTCTGTGTATTAAACTGGGTGTCAGAGAGCTCCCTGGATAGGTTCTTGCCAAAAGGAGACTGCCTTGTGACAGGACAAAATAATTACAAGAATCAAACAGCCAGGGGGCTACGCAAAGACTGGGAAAAGTTAAAATACAGAAACGCATCCCTGGGAGATAGACAGTTGTTCAAGAGTTACTTTGGTTAAACAAAAGGTCACACGTGTGTTTATTTATTGGTCAAATTAGAAAAATCTTTCAATATCTCCTCTCTCAAATTCTCGAATTTCAAGTTTTCCTTAATGTTATAGCTCCTATTAGTTCCTTGGTGGTGTTCTCACCCTAAAATTTCTTTTTAAAAAAAATTTGTATTTTTTTTACTTTTATTTTAGGTCCAGGGATACATATGCAGGTTTGTTACATAGGTAAACTTGTGTCATGGGAGTTTGTTGTACAGACTATTTTGTCACGCAAGTACTAAGCCTAGTACCCAATAGTTATTTTTTCTGCTCCTCTCTCTCCTCCCACCCTCAACTCCCTAAAATTTCTTTAATTTTGAAAATGTACTTGTTTCTTTCTTTGCCCCCAAAGAAAATATGATTTTTAAAACTGGAAAGTGTCATTTAGCTCAATCCTTTCATTTTACAAATGAGAAGAGGGGACCTCATAGGCTTCATAGATGTGTAGCAAGTCTACACATAGCCTAGTCTAAAAGCTAGGTTTCCTGACTCCTGCCTCATGATATCTCTAAATATGGTATCATTTAAAAAATTATCTTTACCTAAGAATAGAAGAGTTCATACTTACAAATAGTTATTACTTAATAATATAAAATATTGTTAGCTACACTTAAGTAAGGAAGTACTCTTATTTTTAGAAATTCTCTGAAAGCTTATAGGTATGAAATTTCATGATTAGAATTTATTTTAAAATACTACAAGAAAAAAGATGAAGCAAATGGCAAAATGTAAAAAATTGTTAAATCTAGATGATGAAAAAAGGGTAGTCCTAGTACTGTTTTCTCTAATTTTCTGTATATTTGAAGGCTTTTTATAAGAAAGGAAGAAAAATCACACTAACATGTAAGTATGTCTTGAAATTTAAAAATTGGATTTTTTAAAAGTAATATATGTTTATTGGTGAAAATCTTGGAAGTACTGGTCTACAAAAGGAAAAAAAAAAAAGAGTAACTGTAACTTGTCCACACCCCCATTTAAGAAAATCTGTTATCAAACATTTTTAGGGTACGTTCTTCTAGTCACTGTTTTATTTACAAATTCACACATACTTATAAACGTGGATCACACTCAATGGGCCATTTCATAATCATTTTTAAAACTTAACACACAATAAACATTTTTCCATGTTAGTAAATTATTTTCTATATCTTCTCAGGGATACATATTGATATGTTATTATTTATTTAGCCAATGTCCTATTTTAGGACACTGGGAGATGTCCCCCAATATGTAACAATTAATAACAGATCTTTGCTCTGTATTCTTGGAGTGCAAACTGCACACATACATGATTATTTCTGCAGTAGTATTAGAGAATCTTTCTTATGTGCCAAGTATTATAGTCAATAAAGGCTTTTTGTGCATTATCTTATTTAACCTCCTAACCTGGGAGGTACATATTTTTACTACCCTCAATTTATAGAAAAAACTTAAGGCTGACAGGTAAGCACATACACTTAAACTTGGTCTAGCAGTCTCCTAAGTCCACATGCTGAGACACCAAGACCCTCTGCTTATGTGTCCTGGATGTGCACTTGCTATGAAGCTTTCAGAGATTTTTACATACATATTACCATATTGCCTTACAGAAAAGCTGTAGCCCCTTTCTTGCCAAGCTGCTGATGAAAACAAAAATAGATTAGCTGGATGTGGTGGTGCACGCCTGTAATCCTAGCTACTTGGGAGGCTGAGGCAGGAGAATCGCTTGAACCCAGGAGGCGGAGGTTGCAGTGAGCCGAGATCCGGCCACTTCACTCCAGCCTGGGTGAAAGAATGAGACTGTGTCTCAAAATAAAATAAAATAAAATAAAAAATAAAATAGATGCCAGTTTGATAGTTTGATTTGATTTTGAGTGTTCTACTGTTTAACAGTTGACCTTATTTTTTTTATGACTTTTTCCTTTATAAATGCTCTGTTTCATAGCTGAAACTAAGTTCATAGATGCAGCTTTCTCCTCTTTACCTCCATTTTCTTCTTTATCTTTCTTGAATTTTAAAAAAACAACTAAGTAGTGTTCATTGGTTCGAACACACGTGCAAGTGGCCCCGGTGTCTCCCATGTCTAACTGATAATGTCATTGTAACAGGATTGCAGTAGAGGCTGCTAGCTGCTGATTAAAATCTGTGTTTTCTCCTTTTTCTGAGCACACAGCTGGACTCCATTCCCCAGGCTTTCCTGTAGTTTGGTGTAGCCCTCTGACTGAGTTCTAGCCAACAGGATAGGAGTGGATCTGGCCAGTAGGAACCTATACGTTTTCCTCCATCACCTTCTCCCTTCCAAATGATGGAATAGAGACAAGCTCTTGAGGAACCTTGTTTGAGAGATAGCACAGCACCTTTTAGCTGTGGCATAGAGCCCACCTATCAGTTAGTTACACCAGCATTGGACTATTCCATGAGCAAAAACCAAAATTATGTTGTGCTGAGTCATTGAAATTTTGTTACAGTACCTAACATTATCCTGCCTGATAGAAGGATTTTTGCTTTATATGTGTCAATTACCATTGACACATCTGCCGGATTCTTTCCCTTAGGTCAAGGGAAATCTGATGCCCTTGCACTTAGGCTCATTTAAATCAATGTTGTATAAATTTAATAATTGCTCAGAGATGCCATTTTGTTGGGGTAGGAGTAAAATGACAGTCTAGTTTATCTCTGCTTTATTTATTTATTTTTAAAAATATATTTCCTTCTTTTGGACTTCAGGGGCAGAAATTTTCATCAGTTCCTGGCACACTTCCATTATTGGTCTCTGAAAAATCTCCACTTGTTATAATTATATTTTTCCTCTATTCTTAATACTCCCACTTCTTTCTCTCTGGTAGATACACATTCTAAGTTGTTCAGTATATTTACTTGGATTCCTATATATTCATATTGCATTGGTTTGCGTGTTTATGCATTTTTAATTTACTTATATGAAATTTTGCTGTAGATCTTATTCAGTTTCTTCCTGTTTTCACTCACAAACTGTTCTCAATATCTATCTATGTTGTATATTTGTCCCATTTGTTAATCCTATCTGTTGGGCAAATTCTCACCTCATTTTCTTTTAGAGTTGAACTTCTAGATTGCCTTCCGCTCACCACCTCAATGAGCAATACAGTGGTGAATGGTATGTGCCCTTTAACGGGCATGTGTGAGAATTTCTCTGGGAGACACATGGGTTTTCAGGGTCATAGGACATAAATACTGGCAGGTTGCTTTTCTGAATGGTTCATCAACTTACACTCAGTGTATGAGGGGTCTCATTCACCAATCAGTAGTATCCTCCCTTCCAACTTTTTCTCGTCCTGATGGGTACAGAATAAAATTTCATGTTTGCTTTAATTCATATATATGTTATTAACAACCAGTGTGTGAGCATCTCTTAAGTAAGATCTTAGCCATTCAACTTTCCCTTCTGTGAATTGCCTTTGTTTCAAAGACAAAAAAAGCAGATCATTCAATTTTCCCATAAGCTATATGGGAAATCCTGTAGGAACTGTGAAAAAAATGTATCTCACCTCTTTCTGTTGTCCAACTTACACTTCTCTTTAAATAATGTTACAGGCTGTCGATAAGCTGATAGATTTGTTCATTCCTTTTAGAAATATGTTCAGGCAATATATAATATGTTCAGGATGTAGAGGGGGGTATAAGTCACATGATACCTGCCCTCATGGTTTTCCTGAATTGATGGAAGAGATGGGCCAGTGTTTTGTTGTCTTACTTTCTGGAGGAGTAAACGTCAAGGCGTGAGCTATTCATACTTCGATAAATGATGAACTTCCTCTGCCACATTTCCTTTTCTCAGTTGAATTTGCAGTGTCCCTGGTAACTTTGAAGTATGAATTGCTGGTAACAACTAACAAAAGGACACATTTACTGCTTCCAATGTTTATTAACTCAAAAACTCACTGAGGCATCCTTTCTTAAAAAAAAAGGAAGAACAACTTAAGTACCAAAATACTTTGCCAGTATATGCCCTCCTTAGAAAGAAAGAAGAGAGAGAGAGCTGTAATCTAATCCTCCCTCCACTCATTCTGTAGTTGAGGGAATGAAGTTCAGAGGGATATAAATAATCCTCAGTTTAGAGCCTTCTGGAAATCTTCCCAATACACCACCGTGGTTCTATTTTTTTAATGTTGTTTTCATTTGAAACTAGATTCATGCAGCTTGCTCATGTGAAATGAGAATGAAAAAAAAAAAAAGTTAGGGTCTGGAAAGGAAGAGAAGGATTAAATAAGGAGTTCTGCTAGGATGTAGCCATCATAATCTAATACACCACAGGCAGCCCTGCTCCAGGGAATCCTGACTTTCAAGGACTGGAGCTCTTGAGGACAGCTGGCACTCAGCTGGTCATATTGCCGGCCTCACATAGCCTCACTGTCTCCCATAAACTCAACTGATGCTATTTAGACTTTTTAAAAAAAATTGCGGCACAGGAAATTTTTCCTCAATGCATGTGAGAGCTGTTTGATTCCCCAAAGAAAAAGACTTGGCAAGTCAGTTGTGAGGAAAGGAGAAAGACTGAACACATGAGCACATTTTAACAATGTCCAAGTGTAAGTTTTATTGCCAACGGTAGACATGCACTGGAATTTGAATCCCAGCCCAAATGCTAAATGCGGTTGTTTTTATCTATGTGGAGAACATTGCGGTTTTCTTCTGAGGTGAGTCACTTCGTTGTGATTTATGCAGTTAGTAAATGTATCTGATTTGTTTTTGTTAGTGAGTTCAAAGTTTGTTTTTGCTTTTTATTTGTTTTTGTTTCATTTTGTTTTTTTTCCCAGTGAAGAAACTATCAGGTCTGGTAAGAATAAGAGGAAACAAAATGTTATTGGCATGCTCAATAATGATAAAGCCAAGATGTCACCTGCCAGTACAATGAAGAGGGACTGGGGTCTTGGCACTAAAAGGTAAACTTGGAATTTCAGCAGCCTAGGACTTTGTGTCAGTATCTGACAGCATCTTTACAAGGCCATTCTGGGTTGTCCCATCAGAAATACTAAGCCTTTTGTGCTGTGTGATCTTAATTTTGTTTAATGTGTTACATGATTTCATGATAAGGCCTAGGTGACATTTAAACATTTATTACCAAACTCGAGGTTTCTCTGTAGGACTAGATCAGTTGGCCCAATAAATCAGATTAATTTGCAAACCTGATATAAAATATTTAGGAGTGCCTTGAACTTTAGGAGTTTTTTGGGTCAGTTGATTCTGTGACTGCTGGCATATAGGCACTGTGACCAAATAATTCAGACACAGTTATATTAATTGTTGTCAGTAGTTTTTCTATGCCTTTATACCAAATAAGTTGTGATCACTAGGATGACATTTTTTTCTATTAACTTGTTTTTCTTCTTATTCTTTAACTTAAAGCAATAATGCATGATAATGTATATATTTGCAAGACCAAGATCATCTATTAATTTGGCTAATTTTATCATACAAATAATTTCATCATATAATAAATAGATTATATCATATAGATATACAATATAGATTTCAGCATATAATAAATATTCTCACTGAAGGAGAAGCAGCACTGAGCTATCCATGGAGTGGCTCAACATATTTTAAAACATAAAGTGAACAAGTGTCATTCAGAGTTTTCATTTAAATTTGCATTGTTGGAGGGGATATTAGATCCAAGCTCACATTAACTGTTGAGACTGTAAACAACTTTACTCAAATAGAACAAAAAAGGGGGGTGGACAGAACTACCTTGCAAACATTTTTTTCCGTCATTTATTTCTTCCCCGTGTTTATTTTTCCAGTCTCCCTGAATTGCCATCATGTCATGAAAAATACTTTGTTTTAAACTTAATGGAATGGATTGTCATTTTGGTGGATTTTTGCCAGTGAAGAATTTATCAGACTCAATAGCCTCCATCACTTGGCAGGACAGAAAGGCCTCGAAAGCCTCTTTCAGTATCTCTGAGCATACCTAACATTTAGAAAGGTAGGCCTGTGTAGCAAGTGTGAAAGTGTTCCTCTCCATGCCCTTACGGCTTTACTCAACCATGTTTCCTCTTTTATCATTTATTGGAAAAACCTTTTACTATCTCTTCTTACTTCCTTTCCTTTGTTAGCTACAAAGGGAAGATTTTCTTTTGCAAATCCTTAGTAATTAAATGAGCACTTCAGTGGCTGTAGCCCTCAATGGCCTGTTTCCTAGGTTTTGCCTTTGACAGTCATATTTTGCAAAGGCCCCTGAGATGACTCTGCATCTTCCCCTACTCAACGCTAAACCAACTGAAGCCCGTGCTCACTGCATGAAGGAGGAAAAGATTCATTAAGGGCACTTCATTAAGAGGCTGAAATGGGAAGCTCTAAATGCGCCTGAACCAACTACAATCCAGAGAAGCTGTCTATTAGGAGTGCCACAAAGACAGTTTCGGAAGCTAAACTCCAGCTCCAGTGCATCGGATTAGGAAGAGTGATGGGATTAGTGTTTAATGACTTGGGGCAGGAGACAAAGGGAATTTCGACAAAGAGGCTTAGATATGGAAGAATTAACACTCTGTATTCCAACCAGGCCTCTGATGACTTCCAGCATTCTTTTCAGACTCAAAAGCCAAGGGAAGGGAATAAAAAAAAAAAAAAGATGTGCAAAGCTTTAATACTTTTCTAACTTTTTTTATTGCAACAACAATACAGAGGAAATAAAAGAACCCTATTCACTCCTTTGGACTTGAAACCTCTTTTAAAAATAAGCATCTACAATTGTATAATTAGCCCCAAGGTGAGCTTGCCCAGGGCCTCAAACATGTGCCAGAATGCTTCTCTGCTTCCTAATGCTAGGGCAAGTCACAAACTGATGTGGACACTAAAGCAAAACCTATGGTAGCAGAGGCCCAGCTAAGTGGCTGTACAAGATTTTTTTCTCTCCATGGCTGTTTATGTTACAGGTGCAACTGAAGGAACAGAGAAACTGTGTAATTGTAAAACCTCCTTGTGGCCCCACATGGCTCATACTCAAATGATTCCAGTGTCTATGGCCTGAGAAGTGCTTCATGAAATGAGGTGATTATCTTGACTACATGAGGGGATAACTTTGGAAATGTGCTTAAAGTTCAAAAGTGCTCTTGAAAAGGCATCAAGTCAACTCAGAGGCAATGTTGGAGCTTATCTGTAGCATTTCCCCCGGCTTGGACAAGAATACGGCATCATTATCTAAACACAAAGCCAAATGTAAGTGGCTGACCCTGGAGTGGAGTATTATTCCTGGGGCTGTTAAGTAAATAGACCCTGAGCACCAAATGCCTGAGAGCAGTAAGTGTGTGATTATGCCCTGCTGCTGCGAATGGCAAAATGCAGGTGCAAATGTTACTGTAGGCAACAGTACAATCCAAATAGGGCTGTAAATGATCTTGCACTGTAAACCAATTCAATGTGTCCTTATTTTTAACCAAACTAAATTCCTTGCAGAAAAGCTGGGTATTCATTTCATGTATTAGCCAGTATGAAATGGTTCTGAAGCAGTTCTAGACACCAAGGTATTATTTAACCCGTGTGGTTTAGTGGGACAATGGCAGTCCCCTGCTGTAATCCATTCAGGGGCAATACCGGCAGTCAGTGTGAAATGAAATACATTACAGGGAAAGAGCTTAATGTGCTTTATAGGCAGTTGTTCATCCACATCAAACTTTAGTTTTTAAAATCCTAACATTTGATCCCACAACAGGAACAGTGCCTCAAGTCAGAGATTGGCATGGTGAGTCGCCGGGAGGTGGAAAAGAGGCACAGCTTCATTGAAGCTACAGTTGGCTGCAAGGAACCATTTCAAATCATCTTAGTTCTACGGGGCCATTCAGGTGGCAAAGGCCCAGGTAACATTTGATCAAGTTGCTACAGGGCTTGGACCTACTTTTATTGCCCCTTACTTTTCCCACTAACATTTTTGCTTGAAATATCGATGTTTTTTTGGTGCAGCAAAACTCTTTTCCCACAGCTAAATTGAAGTAGGGCATATGTGCTTCCCTCACCTCGCTCCCAGTCCCTCTTGACCCCGAAATGGTCTAGCAGCCTGTGCTTTGTTAAACTGAAAATGTGTAGAAATTTTTATAGAGATATTCAGCTATATAAATAGCTTTGAAATTTGTCATAACTTTAAAAACAGGTCAAAAAGGAAATTGAACAGCTAGTGAGTTTCTGTCTTAGTCCGTTTTGTGCTGCTATAACAGAATACCATAAACTAGGTAATTTATAAACAATAGAAGTTTATTTGTCTCAATGGCCAACAAGCATATGGAAAAATGTTCAACATCACTAATTATCAGGGAAATACAAATCAAAACCACAGTGCGATACCACGTAACTTCTGCAATAATGGTCATAATCAAAAAATAATAATAAATAAATAGATGTTGGCATGGATATGGTGAAAAGGGAACACTTTTACTGGGTTGGTGGGAATGTAAACTAGCACAACCACTATAGAAAACAGTATGGAGACTCCTTAAAGAACTAAAAGTAGACCTACCATTTGACCTAGCAACCCCACTGCTATGTATCTGCTCAGAAGTAAAGAAGTCATTATACAAAAAAGACACTTGTTACATGCATGTATATAGCAGTACAATTGCCCAAATGCCCATCAATCAATGAGTGGATAAAAAATGTTATATACATACATATATGTGTGTGTATATATACATATACATATACACACACACACACATACACACACACACACACACACACACACATATACCATGGAATACTGCTCAGCCAAAGAAAGGAATGAAATAATGGGATTTGCAGCAACCTGGATGGAATTGGAGGCTATTATTCTAAGTGAAGTAACTCAGGAATAGATAACCAAACATACATGTTCTCACTCATATGTGGGAACTAAGCTATGAGAATGCAAAGGCATAAGAATGATATATTGGAGTTTGGAGACTCAAAGGAAAGAGTGGGGGAGAGGGAGGGATAAAAGACTACACATTGGGTACAGTATACAATGCTTGAGTGATGGGTGCAACAAAATCTCAGAAATCCCCACTAATGAGCATATTCATGTAACAAAATACCATCTGTTCCCCAAAACTTATTGAAATAAAAAATAAAAAATTAATGATAATAACAATAAAAAGAAGTTTATTTGTCTTATGTTTCTGGAGGCCAGGAAGTCCAAGATCAAGGGGTTGCATCTAGTGGGGGTCTTCTTGCTGAGTCATAACCTGGCAGAAGACATCACATGAAGAGAGAATGGATGAGAGCCAGCAAGCAAGAGAGGGCCAAACTTGCTTTTATAACAAACCCATTCCTGACATCATGAACTTACCCCTGCCATAATGACATTAATCCATTCCAGGGGGCAAAGCTCTCATGACCTAATCACCTCTCAAAAGTGCCACCTCTCGATGCTGTTGCATTGGGGATTAAGTTTCCAACACATGAACTCTGGGGAGATGCATTCAAACCTTAGCAGTTTAATACAATCCAGTCAGCTTTTTGAAGGGCTTCATTGGTCTTCCCGGGAAATAGTTGCTTTTATTTTTGGTTTTCTACCATTTTCTTTTCCCCTCAGTTGCTTTTAGTAGAAAAGGGAGCTTTGGTAAAATTTTCTGATACAGTGTCAAACATATCAGTAACGGCTCACTAATGGCATTGCATTCAAACCTCAGAAACAGTTTTTGTCTTGTGTGTGACCTATATGCCACTGCACTGCTGAGCATCCAATTCTCCATGAATATCAATGATTTCCTCTGGTGGTGACCCTGATGAACTTCCCAGGCAAGTTTCCAAACTTTCATGGCTCATAGGTGGCTCCTGTGTCCTCACAGGTGGTGGCCTTGTGTCCCTGGAGTCTTCGAAGCAAACTGCTTCTTTGTTTCTTTGGATATAAAAGCTTATCAAATGGCTTTTTCAATATCATCCTCTTTTCAAAAGTGGATGAAGGGTTTATAGTCTTCAAAATATGATAACACTCAGAAGTGCATTTTTCTCAGTATTGTTTTGAAAGCATAAGCACTTATAAACAATGATTTTTAACCTTGGATGGGGGGACCAATAAGTTATTGTTAGGTGTCTATTAATCTACTTGTTGTGCAAGCATTCTCTAGAGTCTGAGTAAATAATATTTTAAAAGCTTTACTGAGATTATTGGCCATTTTTGTCAGTATGTTTTCTTAAGTCATACTAAAAGTTCAACTCATATCACTAAGGGGGTATGAAATTATTTTTTTCTTGGGGCGGGGAAGTATGAGATATAAAATTCTCAACTTCCAAGTGATATGATTTGGCTCTGTGTCCCCACCCAAATCTCATGTTGAATTGTAACCCCCAGTGTTGGGGGAGGGACCCGGTAAGAGGTGATTGGATTATGGGGGTAGATTTTTCCCATGCTGTTCTTGTGATAGTGAGTTATCATGAGATCTGGTTGTTTAAGAGTGTGTAGCACTTCCCTCTTTGCTCTCTCTCTCCTGCTGCCATGTAAAGATGTGCTTGCTTCCCATTTGCCCTGCCTCCATGATTGTAAGTTTCCTGAGGCCTCCCCTGCCATGTCTTCTATACAACCTGTGGAGCTGTGAGTCAATTAAATCCCTCTTTATAAACTACCCATACTCAGGTAGTTCTTTATAGCAGTGTGAGAACAGACTAATACACCAAGTAATAAAACCTCAACTTAAAGTAGCTGAAGTCAAAAGGAGAAGTTGTTGGCTCAGATTGTTCAGAGGTATGTTGAGCTCCATTTGCCTTTGTTCAGCTTCAGGCAAGCTTTTTCCATAAGGTGGTGAGAGCATCCTGGTGCTTGCCACATGAATACATGATCCTGAAGCTTTGTGAACTCAAGAGAGACTTTATCCCAACAATCAAACTCCAAAGCAGTGTTTGGATTGGTTATCCCTACTTCATGTATTTCTCTCTGGACTAATCACAGGCATTAAGACATATAAGGTAAACTGACTGGTCAGTGTAAATCACATGTCCAATTCTGTAAAGGAAGAAGAGGTAAGAAGAAGTGAAGCCCTCTTCTTCCTTTGCAGAGTTGAATATGTGGCTTATAGTCCTTCTAGAGTCAACATGGAGAGAGAGAGGAGACACTTTCCAAACAAAAAAAGGATGTGATGAATAGACAAGCAATTCTTGTCCACTGAAAAAAGGGTTCTTATATTTGCTTCATATTTATAAGTCTTAGGGATATTATTCTAGAATTACATTATTATTTTCTTGATGTTTGCACTACAGTTCTCCTCTAGGTATTAGAGGTCAGCTAAGCACAAATGAGATGAATGGGAATACTCTGGGAGGCACTGTTTCTGCAGCCAATCCCAAAGAGGTTTGTATGCCTGTGTGTGTTTGGGTGCGAGAAGAAGAAGAATGAAGTGTCAGAAGGAGAGCTGTCAAAATGAAATATCAAAATTCCCTTAAAATCCAAATCTCAATTCTGTTCTGTAAGTTTAAAACAAAACAAAATGAACTTGCACACATACACACACCACTAGGACCACCACTACAATCACCACTACCAAACAGATGCAAGCTATAAGGTTTTAATTCCAAAAAGACCCAGAATATTTCTATTCCTTATTTGTCTTTAATTATTGTGTTCTTTTTGTATGGGCACCCTAGATTGGGAGATTCAGCCCTAGGATTAGAGCTCGGAGTAGCATGGATCTCATTCCCAGGTCTCCATTTCTTGGCTAGCTTCTTTTCCCTGGACAATCCATTCCTTCACAGGAGTCAGTAATTCTGCAACTAATCTAATGCCCATTTACTTTCCTTATCTGACTCTGTCTGTCAGTCTTTTCACTTTCATCTCTTCTGGCATTACTCCTCATTTCCTTAATTTTCCCTACATTTTCCCATTATGTGAAATAAAAACACTTCAAATCCTTATTTCACTTTTCTCAGCTATAGGTATTACAGACAACTGGCATACCATGAAGATAAGCTGACTCTTACAAGAGTAATACAATGATGATGAAAATGAACATTGAGTCCTTATTATTTCCTAGACACTCTATCTATTATTATCTATTTAATCCTCACGCCAACCTAATGGGATGGAGTAGTAGATCCATGTTAGTTTTATTTGAGAGGTTTCAGCCTTTGAATGGCTGAGTTCAGCCTTTGAACCCATTTCTTACATTTGAGAAATTTCTAATAATATGAATTTTGCTTGAATTTCCCAGTATGGAAGTCAAAAAAATTCTTGTCCCAGGCTACCCTGCAGCTAAGGTATGAACACATCACCTATACTCAGCCAAACAGAGGTACCTGCCTCAGACTTTAAATTTGCATTGAGAGATGCAAAAATCAGGAAAGCAGAGAATTTATTTCTCCTTTAATGGTTGCAGAGGTGGCTTCAACATCAGCTTCCAGGGTTTACAGAGGCTGTGGTGGTGACATTAAATGTTTAAGTTCAGTAGCAATAACAGATAAGCCTCAGTATTCAGTGTCAGCAACAGTCAGGTGGAGTGATAGAGTCTCCACCTCACTCACATTGTGGCATCATTTTGGCTGTGGCTCAGGCTGTTACCTGCACCCCTTCTTTATGCCATTTCTGAGTCTGGTAGTTCAGCCTTCCCAATGTTTTCATAAACATAAAATACAGTGTTGTGGAGTTGAGCCACAAAGAAGCCTTTTCTACGTGCTTTCTCATACCCTTGCAATAAATTCCCTACTGTCTAATCAGCCATAGTTAGTTTATATCACTTGAAACAAAGAAATTTGATGGGAACAGAGATCATATTTTAAATTTCCTTCTATAGATTTGTAAACTCAGGCTTTTTTTTATTATTGTTATTTTTGGACAGAGTTTGGCTCTTGTCACCCAGGCTGGAGTGCAGTGGTGTGATCTCGGCTCACTGCAACCTCCGCCTCCTGGGTTCAAGCAATTCTCCTGCCTCAGCCTCCTGAGTAGCTGGGGTTACAGGCATGCACCACCATACCAGGCTAATTTTTTGTATTTTTAGTAGAGATGGGGTTTTGCCATGTTGGGCAGGCTGGTCTTGAACTCCTGACCTCAGGTGATCCACTCACCTTGGCCTCCCAAAGTGCTGGGATTACAGGCATGAGCCACCGTGCCCAGCCAATCCAGGCTTAAAGAAACAAATCTATTGCACAAGGTCAAACACAGAGTCTGGGGTCTGGCTGTTTGGAGAGCCAAGATTTGTCTCCCACCCTCATGCAAGCAGGGAAGAAAGTACTACCAATAAATGAGATTGGTCTGAAAGTAACTTAGAAAAATTAGGCATCCTTGATTAATGTCTCAGTTCTGGCTCTAACTAGCTTGATGTGGCTTGTCTCTGTGTCCCCACCCAAATCTCATATTGTAGTTCCATAATTTCCACGTGTTGTGGGAGGGACCCAGTGGAAGATGATTGAATCATGGGGGCAGGTCTTTCCCATGTTGTTCTCGTGATAGTGAATAGGTCTCACGAGATCTGATGATTTTAAAAACCAGAATTTCTCTGCATAAGCTCTCTCTTTGCCTGCTGCCATCCACGTAAGATGTGACTTGCACCTCCTTGCCTTCTGCCACGATTGTGAGGCCTCCCCAGCCGTGGGGGCTGTAAGTCCAATAAACCTCTTTCTTTTGTGAATTGGTTATGTCTTTATCAGCAATGTGAAAACAGACTAATACACTGGCCCTATGCTTTGCATAAGTCATAGTTTATTGGGATAATCTTTCTTTGTCTAGAAAGTAAAAAGTTTGGTCAGCATTGGTGCTTTCTAACTCTTAAGGATGGGGGCATATAGCCATACAAAAACATTTGAAAGGTACTGAACTTCTGTTTAGCAAAATTCACATTCAAATGTGTTATGTCCAACTTCACCCAAGCCCATCCTGGGATGTCAATGAACCCTAGGATGAGAACCTTGAATTAGATGACCTCTTGTTTTGGAGTTTTCCAAGTAAAACTTTGTGTGATTTCATTGTCTGGGTGAATTTGCTATAATTAGAGACCACAATATGTATCTACTTCCCTACCCCCACCTTCTCTTTGTCTTTCTTTCTCTCTCTCTCACTCACACACAGTCTTAGGGCAGAGGTTTGAATTAATCATACTCCTCAGTTCATAGCACACTATCATAATTGAGACAAAAAAAATTTGAGAGAATTTGAGTTCACATGATACCCTGTATGAAATACCTAGAGTAGCTGAAGTTGTTCCACCTTAAGAAAAGAAGACTTAGGCATGATGACTTGTATCAGCTACTACAGGTGCCAGTTGCTGCAAATAACTGGAAACCCAATTGAAAGAGTCTTAAGCAACAATAACATTTACAATATCATGTTACAAGAAATGTGAAGATGAGAGATACCAGGGTTGGTAAATTTGTTAAAGATCCAGGTTCCTTTCTTCTTTCTGCTCTGCCATCTTCTCTGGGGATGTTGGCTTGTTCTTAACTCCTCAAATATGGGGTGGTAGAGTTCTAGTCAAGATATGCAGAAAATAACATCAATAATTTTTTTTAAGAAAGCATGTTGACTCCTGCTTTTGACTATGAGCAAGTAACTGGTATCAAACTTGCCCTCTGTTGAAAACAACTATAAACCCGAACAAATATATGAGACAGTTATTTTCAAGCATTGAATAGGAGGCATGGGACTATGATCTTTGAGAGATGGGAAACACACAAGATGAGCCACACTTTTGTGTTTGGGGACAGAGCTGCAGCACAAGGAGGTGGAACCCAATGGAACAATGGTCTTGCTGAGCTGAAGAAGCAGGGATCAGAGTTCCAGGCTCCTGAAATAGCTGAAATTTCCTAGGTAGGGTAGTGGATAAGTAGGGGCTGTGCAGTGGGGGGTCTCTGAAAGTCTGCATATTGACTTATGAGAATTCCTTGGCTAAAGGATTGGCTGTGCAGGTAAAGGTTGAGACTCCATGAGACATGGCATAGATAGACGTCATGGAGATGAAAGCTGAACACTGATAACAGAGGCCTTGCAGGTTAGGGTGATGCTGGAGTTCTCGCCCACAGAAGAAAGAAAAATCTGGGGCATTCATGTGAACCCTAGGAAGGTCATGCTTTGTAAAGGAATAATAACTATGCCTTAATGTAAGCATCCTGCCCTGAAACTAGGTAAAAAAACAAAAACAAAAAACAAAATAGATCATTCTTCTAAGAATAAAATCAAATATAAGAGGATGAAAAGAATCTACCAGTAATTTGATTAATTCATATGAATTATATCCTCTTTCCTTAAAGGGTATTGAGTTTGTCCTGCCAGACAGATATTCTACAATGTATTGTTCACAATATCTAGCATATAATTTAACATTCTTAAACATTTCAAGAAGGAAAATATGATGCGCAATCAAGAGGAAAAAGCAATAGGAAGTGACCACAAAGTGACTTGTGTTGGAATAAACAGAAAAGGATTGTAAAGAAGCTATTATTTGAGGGCTTAAAGGAAAAGATGGTTGAACTGTGCTTTCTGGTCCCACTGTGTCCTTTTGTTGTTGGATCCCTACTGTACCAATACTTTCCTGGGGAGCAGCAACTTCAGAGTGGGATGAATCAGGTCATCGCAGAGCAGAGCTGGATTTCCCTCAGACCATATTGCTAGATGTACCAGCCACAAACACCTGGAGAGTTTATCCTCTCCTGTGCTCCTAGATTATTACAGCCATGTACCTGAAAGCTCATGAAAATTGTGTGGACAGATTTGAGTATAGCCACAGGACTCCAAGCAGACTTTCGTGTAATATCTTCCTTATGTGTCTTTTCTCCAGTGTGAATTCTTGGAGGATGGGAACCAGGCCCACACATCTCCACATTGGCAGCACCCAGTATGAAGCCTGGTTCATAGAAGATGCTAAGTAAATAATTCTTAAGTGAGTGAACGAATAGTAACCACGTATTTGGTCTGAGCTTGCAAAAAAGCATCCTACTGCCCCCAGCAGCCTCCAATATTTACTAACACACCCCTCCATTCTCTCCCCTCCCCAAAAGAGTGAGGAAGTTAATGTAGGACCGCTGTTAGTCTTTCCATCTTGAGTTTGAGACCCTTTTCAAAAGTTCATAAAGAGATATTAATGTAGAGCAAAATCAAGGAAGACTCTTGTTTAGAATTTTAACTCAAATTATAAAAAAGTGATATTTTTCTCAATTTTTTCTTTATATCTCAAGGGCATAGAGAATATCTTATATCTTTACTATATCTCAAACAGTGAAGAAATGGCAGCAAGACTGCTACCTCTTCTCCACGTCACTTCTGTTAAAATTACCTGATTGTCGGTGGTACTAAAAGATCAAGACTAGAGAGGAGGTGGTTCCAAGATGGCCAAATAGGAACAGCTCCAGTCTACAGTTCCCAGCGTGAGTGATGCAGAAGATGGGTGATTTCTGCATTTCCAACTGAGGTACTGGGTTCATCTCACTGGGACTCGTCGGACAGTGGGTGCAAGACAGTGGGTGCAGCCCACCAAGCGTGAGCTGAAGCAGGGCAAGGCATCGCCTCACCTGGGAAGTGCTAGCAATTAGGAAATTCCCTTTCCTAGCCAAGGGAAGCTGTGACAGACGGCACCTGGAAAATCAGGTCACTCCCACCCTAATACTGCGCTTTTCCAATGGTCTTAGCAAACAGCACACCAGGAGATTATATCCCGTGCATGGCTCGGAAGGTCCCACGCCCATGGAGCCTCGCTTATTGCTAGCACAGCAGTCTGAGATGGAACTGCAAGGCGGCAGCGAAGCTGAGGGAGGAGCGCCTGCCATTGCTGAGGCTTGAGTAGGTAAACAAAGCAGCCAGGAAGCTCGAACTAGGTGGAGCCCACCGCAGCTCAAGGAGGCCTGCCTGCCTCTGTAGACTCCACCTCTGAGGGCAGGGCATAGCTGAACAAAAGGCAGCAGAAAACTCTGCAGACTCAAATGTACCTGTCTGACAGCTTTGAAGAGAGTAGTGGTTCTCTCAGCATGGAGTTTGAGATCTGAGAATGGACAAACTGCTGCTCAAGTGGGTCCCTGACCCCTGAGTAGCCTAACTGGGAGGTACCCCCCAGTAGGGGCAGACTGAAACCTTACATGGCCGGGTAGCCCTCTGAGATGAAGCTTCCAGAGGAACAATTAGGCAGCAACATTTGCTGTTCAGCAATATTTGCTGTTCGGCAGCCTCCGCTGCTGATACCCAGGCAAACAGGGTCTGGAGTGGGCCTCCAGCAAACTCCAACAGACTTGCAGCTGAGGGTCCTGACTGTTAGAAGGAAAACTAACAAGCAGAAAGGACATCCACACCAAAACTCCATCTGTAGGTCACCATCATCAAAGACCTAAGGTAGTTAAAACCACAAAGACGGGGAAAAAACAGAGCAGAAAAGCGGAAAATTCTAAAAATCAGAGCGCCTCTCCCCCTCCAAAGAACCAGCTCCTCACCAGCAATGGAACAAAGCTGGAAGGAGAATGACTTTGATGAGTTGAGAGAAGAAGGCTTCAGATGATCAAACTTCCCTGAGCTAAGGCAGGAAGCTCAAACCCATTGCAAAGAAGCTAAAAACCTTGAAAAAAGATTAGAAGAATAGCTATCTAGTATAACCAGTGTAGAGAAGTCCTTAAATGACCTGATGGAGCTGAAAACCATGGCATGAGAACTACGTGACGCATGCACAAGCTTCAGTAGCTAATTCGATAAATTGGAAGAAAGAGTATCAGTGATTGAACATCAAATGAATGAAATGAAGTGAGAAGAGAAGTTTAGAGAAAAAAGAGTAAAAAGAAATGAACAAAGCCTCCAAGAAATATGGGACTATGTGAAAAGACCAAATCTACGTCTGATTGGTATACCTGAAAGTGACGAGGAGAATGGAATCAAGTTGGAAAACACTTTGCAGGATATTATCCAGGAGAACTTCCCCAATCCAGCAAGGCAGGCCAACATTCAAATTCAGGAAATACGCAGAATGCCACAAAGATACTCCTTGAGAAGAGTAACTCCAAGACACATCATTCTCCGATTCACCAAAGTTGAAATGAAAGAAAAAATGTTAAGGGCAGCTAGAGAGAAAGGTCAGGTTACCCACAAAGGGAAACCCATCAGACTAACAGCTGATCTTTCAGCAGAAACTCTACAAGCCAGAAGAGAGTGGGGCCAATATTCAACATTCTTAAAGAAAAGAATTTTCAACCCAGAATTTCATATCCAGCCAAACTAAGCTTCATAAGTGAAGGAGAAATAAAATCCTTTACAGACAAGCAAATGCTGAGAGATTTTGTCACCACCAGGCCTGCCCTAAAAGAGCTCCTGAAGGAAGCACTAAACATGGAAAGGAACAACCGGTACCAGCCACTGCAAAAACATGGCAAATTGTAAAGACCATCAATGTTAGGAAGAAACAGCATCAACTAACAAGCAAAATAACCAGCTAACATCATAATGACAGGATCAAATTCACACATAACAATATTAACATTAAATGAAAATGGGCTAAATGCTCCAATTAAAAGACACAGACTGGCAAATTGGATAGAGTCAAGACCCATCAGTGTGCTGTATTCAGGAAACCCATCTCACATGCAGAGACACACATAGGCTCAAAGTAAAAGGATGGAGGAAGATCTACCAAGCAAATGGAAAACAAAAAAAGGCAGGGGTTGCAATCCTAGTCTCTGATAAAACAGACTTTAAACCAACAAAGATCAAAAGAGACAAAGAAGGCCATTACATAATGGTAAAGGGATCAATTCAACAAGAAGAGCTAACAATCCTAAATATATATGCACCCAATACAGGAGCACCCAGATTCATAAAGCAAGTCCTTAGAGACCTACAAAGAGACTTAGGCTCCCACACAATAATAATGGGAGACTTTAACACCCCACATCAACATTAGACAGATTGACGAGACAGAAAGTTAACAAGGATATCCAGGAATTGAACTCAGCTCTGCACCAAGCGGACCTAATAGACATCTACAGAACTCTCCACTCCAAATCAACAGAATATACATTCTTCTCAGCACCACATTGCACTTATTCCAAAATTGACCACATAGTTGGAAGTAAAGCTCTCCTCAGCAAATGTAAAAGAACAGAAATTATAACAAACTGTCTCTCAGACCACAGTGCAATCAAACTAGAACTCAGGATTAAGAAACTCACTCAAAACCGCTCAACTACATGGAAACTGAACAACCTGCTCCTGAATGACTACTGGGTATGTAACGAAATGAAGGCAGAAATAAAGATGTTCTTTGAAACCAATGAGAACAAACACACAACATACCAGAATCTCTGGGACACATTTAAAGCAGTGTGTAGAGGGAAATTTATAGCACTAAATGCCCACAAGAGAAAGCAGGAAAGATCTAAAATTGACACCCTAACATCACAATTAAAAGAACTAGAGAAGCAAGAGCAAACAAATTCAAAAGCTAGTAGAAAACAAGAAATAACTAAGATGAGAGCAGAAATGGAGGAGATAGAGACACAAAAAACCCTTCAAAAAATCAATGAATCCAGGAGCTGGTTTTTTGAAAAGATCAACAAAATTGATAGACTGCTAGCAGGACTAATAGAGAAGAAAAGAGAGAAGAATCAAATAGATGCAATAAAAAATGATAAAGGGGATATCACCACCAAGCCCACAGAAATACAAACTACCATCAGAGAATATTATAAACACCTTTACGCAAATAAACTAGAAAATCTACAAGGAATGGATAAATTCCTGGACACATACACTCTCCCAAGACTAAACCAGGAAGAAGTTGAATCCCTGAATAGACCAATAACAGGCTCTGAAATTGAGGCAATAATTAATAGCCTACCAACAAAAAAAGTCCAGGACCAGAGAGATTCACAGCCAAATTCTACCAGAGGTACAAAGGGGAGCTGGTACCATTCCTTCTGAAACTATTCTAATCAACAGAAAAAAGAGGGAATCCTCCCTAACTCATTTTATGAGGCCAGCATCATCCTGATACCAAAGCCTGGCAGAGACACAACAAAAAAAGAGAGTTTTAGACCAATATCCCTGATGAACATTGACGCAAAAATCCTCAATAAAATACTGGCAAACTGAACCCAGCAGCACATCAAAAAGCTTATCCACCGTGAACAAGTGGGCTTCATCCCTGGGATGCAAGGCTGGTTCAACATACGCAAATCAATAAACGTAATCTAGCATATAAACAAAAAGGAAGACAAAAACCACATGTTTATCTCAATAGATGCAGAAAAGGCCTTTCACAAAATTCAACAGCCCTTCCTGCTAAAAACTCTCAATAAATGAGGTATTCATGGGACGTATCTCAAAATAATAATATCTATTTATGACAAACCCACAGCCAATATCATACTCAATGGGCAAAAACTGGAAGCATTCCCTTTGAAAACTGGCACAAGACAGGGATGCCCTCTCTCACCACTCCTATTAAATATAGTGTTGGAAGTTCTGGCCAGGGCAATCAGGCAGGAGAAAGAAACAAAGGGTATTCAATTAGGAAAAAAGGAAGTCAAATTGTCCCTCTTTGCAGATGACGTGATTGTATATTTAGAAAATCCCATCATCTCAGCCCAAAATCTCCTTAAGCTGATAAGCAACTTCAGCATAGTCTCAGGATACAAACTCAATGTGCAAAAATCACAAGCATTCTTATACACCAATAACAGACAAACAGCCCAATCATGAGTGAACTCCCATTTGCAACTGCTTCTAAGAGAATAAAATACCTAGGAATCCAACTTACAAGGGATGTGAAGGACCTCTTCAAGGAGAACTACAAAACACTGCTCAAGGAAATAAAAGAGGACACAAACAAATGGAAGAACATTCCATGCTCATGGATAGGAAGAATCAATATCGTGAAAATGGCCATACTGCCCACGGTAATTTATAGATTCAATGCCATCCCCATCAAACTACCAGTGACTTTCTTCACAGAATTGAAAAAAACTACTTTAAAGTTCATATGGAACCAAAAAAGAGCCCGCATCACCAAGTCAATCCTAAGCCAAAAGAACAAAGCTGGAGGCATCACGGTACCTGACTTCAAACTATACTACAAGGCTACAGTAACCAAAACAGCATGGTACTGGTACCAAAACAGAGATATAGACCAATGGAACAGAACGGAGCCCTCAGAAATAATTCCTCACATCTACAACAATCTAATCTTTGACAAACCTGACAAAAACAAGCAATGGGGAAAGGATTCCCTATTTAATAAATGGTGCTGGGAAAACTGGCTAGCCATATGTAGAAAACTAAAACTGGATCCCTTCGTTACACCTTATAAAAAAATAAATTCAAGATGGATTAAAGACTTACATGTTAGACCTGAAACCATAAAAACCCTAGAAGAAAACCTAGGCAATACCATTCAGGACATAGGCATAGGCAAAGACTTCATGTCTAAAACACCAAAACCAATGGCAACAAAAGCCAAAATTGACAAATGGGATCTAATTAAACTAAAGAGCTTCTGCACAGCAAAAGAAACTATCATCAGAGTGAAAAGGCAACCTACAGAATGGGAGAAAATTTTTGCAATCTACTCATCTGACAAAGCGCTAATATCCAGAATCTACAAAGAACTCCAACAAATTTACAAGAAAAAAACAAACAACCCCATCAAAAAGTGGGCAAAGGACATGAACAGACACTTCTCAAAAGAAGACATTTATGCAGCCAGAAAACACATGAAAAAATGCTCATCATCACTGGCCATCAGAGAAATGCAAATCAAAACCACAATGAGATACCATCTCACACCAGTTAGAATGGCAATCATTAAAAAGTCAGGAAAAAACAGGTGCTGGACAGGATGTGGAGAAATAGGAACACTTTTACACTGTTGATGGGACTGTAAACTAGTTCAACCATTGTGGAAGACAGTGTGGTGATTCCTCAAGGATCTAGAACTAGAAATACCATTTGACCCACCCATCCCATTACTGGGTATATACCCAAAGGACTATAAATCATGCTGCTATAAAGACACATGCACACATATGTTTATTGCGGCACTATTCACAATAGCAAAGACTTGGAACCAACCCAAATGTCCATCAATGATAGACTGGATTAAGAAAATGAGGCATATATACACCATGGAATACTATGCAGCCATAAAAAATGATGAGTTCATGTCCTTTGTAGGGACATGGATGAAGCTGGAAACCATCATTCTCAGCAAACTATCACAAGGACAAAAAACCAAACACCGCATGTTCTCACTCATAGGTGGGAATTGAACAATGAGAACACTTGGACACAGGGTGGGGAACATCACACACCAGGGCCTGTCATGGGGTGAGGGGAGGGGGAAGGGATAGCATTAGGAGATATACCTAATGTAAATGACGAGTTAATGGGTGCAGCACACCAACATGGCACATGCATACGTGTGTAACAAACCTGCACATTGTGCACATGTACCCTAGAACTTAAAGTATAATAATAAGAAAAAAAATGATCAAGACCAAAACATGCTCTCCTTCCATCTTCAGTGTAGAAAAAGCAATCCAGGGACTGCTGTAGGAGAGAGATGGAGACCCCTCACCTCCTGCTACCTCTCACCTGACTTTCCCCTCTTTGCTGCCTCTCACAGGCTTTTTCTCTTCTTTTCTTTTTCTTTTTCCTTTTTCTTTCCCCAAGCCCTACTCAGGGCTTATAGTAGCTGTCAGAGCTGGGCATGCCCCTTAGCTGCAGGCAAATCTTGTTTTCAAGCAGGAAGCTGTAGGAATTCTCCCCTAGTGGTGTTTTCACTCTTTATGTGCGCTTAATCCAGGGGATTAACAAACGGATCAGCTGGAGACCTCCTCTTACTGTGAAAGAATGGACAAGTTGAAGCAAGAATGGTCCTTGAAATGTCTGGTTCTGCTGGGAGCTAAGAGCACAACACCTGCCAGACACTGGGCAGGGTGTGTCCCCAAGGAGGCCCAGGGTCATGGAGGAAATAGCTCTGCTGACGGGATGCTTCTGATGCTGCTGACTTCATGTCCCCTCCTTCTTTACTCACTGTTGTCTTTGCCTTGCAGCCTTACTCAACAACGCTCCCTGACCCTGTCTGGCCCCTGAGTTTCCCTTATCATCTGCCACTGATAAGCCTCATGGTTCCTCTTCCTCCTTGCCTGTGCCCTACAGACCCTCCAGGGAATCTATTCACTTCCTGCTGTGTCCTGTGTTTTATGGTATCTTAAGGTGGGTTGCCTAGAGGCAGAACTTGAAACAGGGGTTCTTGGGCAGGTGATTTTAGTGGGACAGTGCTTTCAGGAGAAAGGGTGTGAGACAAGCAAAGAAGAAAGTGAAACAAGGAGAGGGTCTGAACTGGAGGATAGCTTTATTCTGGCCCCATGGGCAGATCTAGAGGATGAATTTTCCCACGAATTGTCTTGAGGCAAAGGGTCTAGGATTGTGTACCTCTGTGCCAGCCATGCATTGGTTACTGGCTGGGGAGGAAGACAACTTTCCAGGGGGGGCAGTCCCCATTCATCCCAGGGCAATTGTGCCCAGAAGGGGGATACTGGGGATGGATTCAGCTCCTTCTGAAGGAGATTTAGGTGAGACATTGCAGCATCCGCTCTTTATGCAATCCATGGAAGAGGGGCTTAAGTGGCTTTAGCTCATACAAGAGCATAAAATGATCAGGGCATAGGGTGATGAGACAGAGAGAAAAAAATCACTGGCAGCTTTGCCCAAGAGGTGATGCCAAATTCGTGGTCCATTTCTAGTTACATGTACACATTTTTTTCCACTGTGTTTTGGGCAGCATGACTTCCCCCCAACTCCATCTTCTGTTACTTTTTACTCACGAGTCAAAATCCTAACCCTTCATGCTGCATAACTTGAAAAATTCCTCTCTCAAATGTCTCTGGGCTTTTCTAAAGAGTGTTCCATTTCCCTGGCTGTGGCATGCCATCCTGCCATCTGGGCCAGTGGCTCAGTCTTGTCCTGCATCCATGTCTGCCTTACTAAGAATCATTTCTCCTTTTATGCTTCAAAACTTTGACCCTTCCACACCCTTCACTCCTCAAATACTGAAGATAGCAAGCTTAAGATGACTGAAAGGAATTACAAAACAAGAAAACAACCTGGATATTAGACTGCTGAATAACCTGGATATCAGACTGAATAGTCTGGGTATCAGACCCCTAAATCCAACAGACATTTCCTTCACAGAAAGCCCCTCCTATTAGTTATTGTTCTTGCCCTGAGCTGTATGGCCCAGAAAACAACCTTCTCTTTCAAGCCCTCATTCTTCTCATTCAGGGACTCCCTGAATGTCAGCCTCAAGTTTACTCCCAGAGAAAACGTCATGGCTTGGTAATTCTTTTGAATATGTTGATTGTATTTTAAAATCCCATTTTACTTTTGACTCATTTTTTAAAACGTTTCAATTTATTTTATCTTGCAATAATGTATGTGCATTTGTAATCTATTTTGAACAGAGAAGTGTGTGATTAGATATTTAGGAAAACAATCTCTCTGTGTCTTCTATGAAAGCTATTTTTCCTGATCATCTACTTTTATGATGGTAGGATTTTTAGGGGAACCATGGCCACTTAGCTGAATCCTACATATCTCAGCCTCCCTTGCAGCTAGGTGTTACATCCTTTCCAACTGGATATGAGCAGAAATGATATGTATCATTTCTCAGTGGGGCATGTCTTCTCTTCTTTCCCCCAACCTCTTTCTACCTGTAAGCCATATCTTGTGTTGCTAAGTGAAATGTCACAAGGCCTGTACTGAAAAATGGGGCTTAAACCTGCACTGCCATCTCACCAGCTGCCCCACCCCATCACATTAGCCCAGACTAGAGCTCCACTCCTCTGGAAACACTTAGAGCTAATGATACCAGTCACTCGATATCCTTAGGAAAGAGAAGATGATGGCATTGCTGACAATGTCAACAAGATTGACACCTAGGGATGGCAGAGCTTCAAGAGAGAGGGTGCCTGAGTGTTCAACAGTGTAATGATTACAAGTCAACCCTGGGTTGTTTGTGTTTGAACATGAAAGTGAGAAGGACTTCTCTCTTGTCTAAACCACTGGTGTAATTCAGCACCCAAACATGCATCCTAATTCTGCCCAGCAGGGCTGGGCTTTGTTCAGAGATTGAACCAATTAACTGGAAGTCATGATGACTAAGACAAAGAGGGAGTGGCTGGGGGAGATAGAAAACATTTCCAAAGAACAAATTGAGAGATTGGAAGAGTAATTGTTTTTTGATGTCAAAGTTGTCTTTCAGTCAAATGTAATGCTGGAAAATACATACAAGAGAAGTGTACAATTGAACCAATAGGATCATAACCCCTTTCTGCTGATCCTTCTAAGTTATACTCCATTTTTTTTTTACAATTCTAACAGAAAACCAACCTTGTGGCAGGTTTATTAAGAACATTAGCAATTTGGCGTATTTTATTTCATTTGACAATAGGCAATAGAAACAACATCAACTCCCCTTGTTTTATTTTACATTTTTGCAAATGATATTCAACTAATTTTTTGAATAAAATCACTCTTTGTTGGCTCGTCAACATTCAGATTGCCATGAAGTCTCTTGACACATTATGGCAATATTTTAATGCTGGCCTGAGACATGATATACACTCCCAAGTGCCTAAATAATGCCTGGTATTAACTGAGGGAATCATGATGTCTATAGTCAATGTTTTCTCTTTACAGAGGATTTTAGAGTTTTATAGGGAGAGAATATGATATGATGTGTAATTTTTTTGGAAATAAAGCAGCCATTATATATCTACTTGTTACAGAGATCATGAGATTTCCACATGTCCTCCAAACAGGCTGGTCATCTGGTCCAAGTAGGTTTACCCTATAATATCACCAACAGGCTGACTTAGAGCTGAAATGGACTTGTTTAGCCGGTTTCTCTGTCCTGTGAACTTCTCCCCACATGCCATCCCATGCCCAGGCCTGTGTCTGCATTTTGAACCCAGCTTTTCTCCTTAGCTCTTCTTTTGGAATGTCTTATTCCTTCTTTTTTCTCAGTCTTGCCCTCTGACCATTCTTCATATTCTCACAGCTCCCAGAAAGCCATCTTCTGATGCTGACTAATGCTTTCTGTTCCCATGTGGGGTTTCTGAAACCTATAACTTCTATGTGCTCAGAGTCTGTGCCACAGATTTAACCCTTTGGCACGTCATGGCTTGTATTGATCAGGGTTGTTTCAAGTGGATAGTTTTCTATTCCCAATTAGATTCTTAAAGGGCAGAAATCACATCTTACCCAGCTCCTCTATTTCCTGTTGATCTGAGCATCTGCTGGATGCACAGGAGATACTCAGTAGAGAATAGTAGGTATTCAATTAAACCAATGGATTGGCTGTTAGTTAAAACTTCTAATTATCTTTAACTCCTTCTATGTCTTCTAAATTTTTCTCATTGGCTGTTGTAAATGTTGCAAGTTTATTCAGAACATTAGCAATTTGGTGTATTTTATTTCATCTGATTATAGGCAATAGAAACATTGCTTTATTTTGCATTTTTGCAAATGATATTGAATTAATTTTTAAAATAAAATCAATGTACACATATGTGTCCATACATATGTGTGTACGTACATATATGTGTTCATTCAGTTAACAAATATTTACTGAGTACCTACTATGTGCTAGGCATGGGGCTGGCTGCTGGTGTGATGAAGAGTTGGGTATGTCAAGACCCTGGTTTTCTTGCCCTGGGTAGCTGAGGGAATGATTACTTAGAGAAAGAGAAAATCAGGAGGAGGAGGAGCTGACTTGAGCAGAAAAGCTAGATAGAGAGGTGCTGTTCTTGAGGTGCAAGAGAGGCACTCAGGTAGTAACTGGAAATGTGATTCTAGGAGAGCAATGGGAGATTTGGGCTGGATGTGCTCTCTGGGAGACATCGGCCTGCAGGTGACACTTGTGCTCATGGGTCGAGTTAAGTTTTCTAGAGAGAAATGGCAGGAAGAAAGGGTTGTACAACAAAGGTATTATATAACAACTAAAATGTGAAGAAACTCAAAATTTAGAAAGTGACTAAAAATTGTATTTATTCTGAAAACAACATCTGTAGTAAGGGCTCAGAGAAATGGAGGAAAATTCTGGGGTTACTCTAAGGAACTGGCTGCTCCTCCTTTGCCTGAAGGCTTTGAACCCCTGTCTCATGATCATTGACCTGGTTGGTGGATAGACCAAAGGAGGAAGGAGAGAGTAGGCTCTGGCCAGACTCTACCACAAAAAGCAGACAAATAAGAAGAGTCCCAGGATCCTGGACAACCTTCAGACCAGGTGCAAATGCATCCTCAATACTGTGATCCCCAGACAGTCTTCAGTAAAAGGAACAATCAGAAATCTTGCCTTCCCTACAGCTGAGAACCAGGAAATCACAATACTGGCACCTGTGTTTGTGTGCATCTTGGGTCCTGGTGATGTCTCTCTTTGCTGCCCAAATTGATATCTGAAACTGTATTATTAGAAAGGGGTTTATAAAGACCTCTGTGTGATGACTTTGGGTCCTCAGACCTGTAGGTGGTAAATGAGGTTGTGCACCAGGTGGTATGGGCAACTACAGGATAAATGCCCTGAGTCACCTCAGGGCATCATTTTAATTCAAAATTTTAAGAGGAAAAAGCAATTTTAAGTTAACTTAAACACTATGGAGTAGAATACAAGCTTTGTATGCATTCTAAAGATTGCACAAAAGATGGAAATGAACCTTGGCACTTTCTGCTTGCTCTGGGCTATGTGGTCCATTCACAAGGACCAAAACCTCTCTCTTTTAGGTAGAAAGGTCTGGCATTGTTGCCAGACATGTCTTTGCTTGATGGGTCTACTGAGATAGTTACCACTCAGGTAACTGAGTATTTCTTCTTGAGTGAGAACAGTTCACTTTTTTTTTTTTTTTTGCTCATAGAAAATGTAAGGCCAGGCCAGGCGTGGTAGGTCACACCTGTAATCTCAGCACTTTGGGAGGCTGAGGCAGGTGGATCACTTGAGGTCAGGAGTTCGAGACCAGCCTGGCCAAAATGATGAAACCCATCTTTACTAAAAATACAGAAAAATTAGCTGGATGTGGTGGCACGCACCTGTGATCCCAGCTACCTGGGATGCTGAAGCCAGAGAATCACTTGAACCCAGGAGGCGGAGGTTGCAGTGAGCCGAGATCTCACTACTACACTCCAGCCTGGGCAACAGAATGAGATTCAATCCAGCCTGGGCAACAAAGTGAGATTCAGAAAAAAAGAAAGAAAAAGTAAGGCCAAATCTGGATAATTTGGCTTGTGCTATGCTGAAAATTTTAATTTATTTACCAGAATATTCTCTTGTGGAGGGGCTGGGGTAATTTGGCTTTGAAGGTTCTGGTTCCATTAGTTACATATGCCTTCATAAGAGAGTAGTTGCTTATGGCTTCAGAAGATCTAAAATTCCCTTCAGGTCATGATTTGATTATCATCTGGAAAATGCATAGTATCTAATCGTATGGACTCTAATAGTTCTGCTCTTGTAAACTCCTGAGTGAAAGCAATTATTTCTCAAGTTTTTAGAGACAAATGAGCCATAGACTAGCAGCTGTAGAACTTGTTGTAAGAAAATATGATAATTACAAAGATTGACATGTGCTATGACAACAGTCCTTTGCTAATCAACAGCTTCACTCCTAAAACAGTCATTGCAAACATGTCGGGCAGCCGGTTTTCAATTCTGCGTGCCAGTGGGAGGGCGTGGTAATGCAGAAAATCCAAAGCAACAGATAATCCCAAAATCATTGTTGTTTGGCCTCAGGAGGTATCATATGTTTGTGTGTTTGTTTGCTTTTGCAGCAGCAGAGGTATGTCTTTTAATTAGATCCTATGCACATTATTGTCAATATTATCTTGACTTTCTGAACCGATACTCATGGATGGCAGGAAAGGCCACCCTGGTCAGCAGGGGAAATTCATTTGGAAATTAAACATTAGCAGGTGACAATTCTGACATGAATAATCCTTATGTGGATAATTGAATGTTGAGTGACATATAAAGAAATGTATTTACAACAAAGGATAGTGCAGGATGCTGTTTTATAATTAGGTTGGAAGATGGATAATCTTCACTTATTACATAAAAGAGTTATTCAATGACTGCAAAACAAAACAAAACTAAAATCTAGTTGCTTGAAAACCAAGATTGTGCAAACTGCATGCTGAAGCAACTAGAATATCTCAACTTAGGGTGTTACAAAGGGGAAGAGGTGGTTGATAGTTTAATAGTTTTCAAAGTACATTATATGTTAATCCAATCATGGATCTTTTCTAAGTTCTCTCCATTACCTAAAGTCCTTCTGGTTTTCCTTTTTAATTTCCAGTTATGTTTTTATAGACAGCTTGCGTTTCATATACTCAAAGTGGCATTGGAGCGACTCAGTGAGGAGAAAAACGAGTGTTGGAGGTATCTTGGCTTCCCTACTTTCTCCCACTCTGTACAATAGAAGCATTGATATCTATCTTGCAGGCAAGTTATAAGGATTCCCAAAAATGAATGCAAAGCACTTAGTACTGCCACATGGTGACTAACCACTCTGTAATGAATATTAGTCTCATTCTTAATAATGATATGATATTAATAACAATGATCATGGTCTTTCCAAGGCAATATCACCTTATACTAAGGTGCTATAAAAATAAACTAATCAAAAAGACATGCCCTAAGAATACACATAGCATTACCCTTTAGAATTTACTTTCCTTCAAGGAGATACGATGGCAAAATTTAAGATTTGGGGCTATTTTGGTGGAGTAATTTTAGACACTAGAAGAAGAATTACAGAAGGATCTCTACACATTTCTTAAAGAAAACTAAATGCCTATCCTTCCAGGATAGACCACGGATAGCTGTAACTTCTGCATATCTCCTTGTTGCCCATTGTCTATTTCTTTCCTGCCTATAGTATGCACTGGAATTGGGTTTGCTTGCATATGGGAAATGCATTAAACACAGCTTATTCAAATTGATTCTTCATAATTCATTCATTTGGAGTTGTAAAAAAGTAGTTTCTGACACACAATATATACCCTTAAATATTTGTTGAATGAAAGCAAATCTTGCAAGGAAATAATCAATAGACTTGTGACTATAGAATCTTAACACTAAATAAACCTTAGATATTACTTATTTCATACCATTTGACCCAGCCATCCCATTACTGGGTATATACCCAAAGGATTATAAATCATGCTACTATAAAGACACATGCACACGTACGTTTATTGCAGCACTATTCGCAATAGCAAAGACTTGGAACCAACCCAAATGTCCATCAATGATAGACTGGATTAAGAAAATGTGGCACATATACACCATGGAATAATATGCAGCCATAAAAAGGATGAGTTCATGTCTTTTGTAGGGACATAGATGAAGCTGGAAACCATCATTCTCAGCAAACTATCGCAAGGACAGAAAACCAAACACCACATGTTCTCACTCATAGGTGGGAATTGAACAATGAGAACACTTGGACACAGGGTGGGGAACATCACACACCAGGGCCTGTCGTGGGGTGGGGGGAGGCGGGAGGGATAGCATTAGGAGATATACCTAATGTAAATGACGAGTTAATGGGTGCAGCACACCAACATGGCACATGTATATACATGTAACAAACATGCATGTTGTGCACATGCACCCTAGAACTTAAAGTATAATAACAATAAAAAAGAAAACCAGCAAAAAAAAAGAAATTACCTATTTCAAGTAAAAATAAACAATTTAAATGTTTTCAATAGAAGGTAACAAATAAATTAAGCGTAGCCATTCAATGGAACACTATATAGCTGTTAAAAAGGAGGTATGCCCAAAAAATTAGCCAGGCGTGGTGGCGGGCATCTGTAGTCCCAGCTACTTGGGAGGCTGAGGCAGGAGAATGGTGTGAACCCGGGAGGCGGAGCTTGCAGAGCCGAGATCACGCCACTGCACTCTGGCCTGGGTGACAGAGCGAGACTCCGTCTCAAAAAAAAAAAAAAAAAAAAAAAAAAAAAAAAAAAAAAAAAGAGGTATGCCTAATATGCATCGTCATGGGAAGGTGTTTATCATATTTTGTTTTAAAAAAGAAATCAGGGAAGTGTGCTACATAATTTAATTTGAATTTAAACGTATAATTTAAAAATATAATATAATCAAAACTGTTTGAATAAGCCTATATATGTTTGGAATTATAACAAAAATCTGAACAGTAGTTATCGCTGGGACATAGTTTGAGGAGGTGAATAAAATAAGAGAAAAGAGGGGGAAACTCTACCATATTATTTTATAGAATCATGTGCTGTTTGATTTTTTTCAACAAGCAAATATTACTTTCATAATAATTAAAAGGAAACAAAAAACCCACACATAGTTCCACCTTCTTCTTTTACAGATGAAGAAACTAAAACTAGAAATTCTTTTTTTTTCTTTTCAAAGCAAAAGCAAGTTTATTAAGAAAGTGAAGGAATAAAGAATGGCTACTCCATAGGCAGAGCAGCAACTTATGCCGCTCAGCTGATTATACTTATTGTTACTTCTTGATTATATGCTAAACAAGGGGTGGATTACTCATGAGCTTTCTGATAAAGACGAGGGCAATTCCCAGAACTGGAAAACTTACAGAAATTCTTGAATCATAGAAACTTGTAACTGAATGACAATTTAGCAGTCATTAAGCCCACCCTCCTCATATTACAGATAAGGAAACTGAGGCACAGAGAAGCAAAGTGAGTTATAGTTCCTAAGACTAAAGCCTGAAGAGAAAAGAAGTTGGGCACATTGATGTGGGGAAAAATGTAGGTTCTCAGCACATGCCGTGAGATCTATGAAAACTGACTCATTCATTTTAGATGAGGTAAGTGTTGACATTAGGGAATTTGGTGGGCAGCATTTATTTTCCTATTTATTAAAATGTCAGAAAGAGTACCGATGGCACCTCCTAAAAAGCTTGCAGGTGGTGATCTTCAGAAAATACCCTCAAAGAGGACAAGAATGCTAATATTCTAGCTTGATGATGAAAATAAGGCTAGTACAATCAAGATATCAAAGTAGGAACAGTTCATAAAAAAACTATGAAAGTAAGACAGACATATATATGTATGTAAAGATAGACACATATATTTATATACATTTATAAAATACATGTACAATAAACCACGCTTAAGAGTTGTAGAATATTAAACTAGAAAAAGTCAGACTTCAAAGAACTTTACTCTTTGAATAAATTCACCAATGCTTTTTCAATAATTTACTTCTTTTCAAGTTATATTTTGTGTATGTCCCAGTGGAAGACAATATTGCCCCTGGACATTTAAAGGAGCATAGAGAAATTCAAATTTATTTTATACTCTTGGTTAAGCGGTCATATGTTAATATGAGAACAGAGTAGCCATATTTTGCTGCAGTGAGCTTGTGTCTCTTATTATATACTGCAAATCAACCTCACAGCTAAAACATGTCACTCTGGGTCAGCTGAGTTGGTTCTGGTCTCACTGGTTGTTGCACATACTTCTGTTTGTGTTACACACAGAGAAGTGGAAAATGACCATTCCCTGAAAAGTTGGAGCCTCAAATTAACATTTGCCCAATAATCTGGATATTTTGATTGTAATACAGTAATTTCCAATTTACCCCACTTCTTCATCTCAGTTCGTCCAGGCAGAACATAAAATAAACCAAGTTTATGTTAAATGCTGTTATCAGAAGAAATAATTTTGAAAAGTTAATATATCTATATAATGATTCAACCTAAATTGCCATACCAGTACCAGTGGTTAACTCCTCAGGGTCACCTTTGAGCAGATTGGCTATGTCTACCCTCCTCTGGCTCTCCATGTCATCTCCAAATGGGATGTTGGCATTTTCACATGGAAGGAAAATAGAAGCTGAAGTCAATAAACCGCAACATCTGGAACTGGAGAAAAGATTTCACTGGAAAGAACTTGACAAACTCTGAAAACAAAGTTCTAGACTTTACTAATTTCTTTTGGCTGCAAAGCCGAGCTCAATGCAAAGCACAAAGAGGATTTGTCCGAGGCTCTTTTCAAAGAAGTAAAAAGCCAACCCGCACTAAAATTAATGCATCGACTGCATAAACAGTCGAGATAGTTATCTGATACTGAGGGAATAGAGCCACACTAGGCCTTTTTGTTATTTATGGGATTATTATTGGAGGAAACAGAAGCAATTAGATATCCCCTGCTTTCAGAGCAGGGGAAGGAAAAAAGGTGTCAAACATAGTTTTTCAATTTGGTCTCTTGATCATTTCGTTCTCGCTACATCTTAAAATCCAAATATACACATTCCCCCAGTGCCCCACTGGCCTTTTAGCTGTACCTTTGACTATTTGTCCTTCATGAAAACTCCATGAATTTTGAATTATGCATGGAAATACTTTAAAACATCTTAAAAATAGAAGCTGTGCCTTTAAAAATAAAGTACGTTTATTATTTTATGTGATTACAAAATAATACATATATATGTGTGCATGCATGTATACGTATATGACCATTCTGTTCTCATATTAACGTGGGACCACTTAACCAAGAGTGTAAAATAAATTTGGTGTGTGATGGCAGATAGTGAGTAGAGGGAATTACACTACCAAGTTGCAGATGCATCTAACTGTCCCCAGGTCTGTGTTCCGTTTGGTGAGATATGTTTTAAAATCTGAATCAACTGATGGACTTCGCATTTATTTGTTTCTGTTAACATGGAATCTTTTGCAAGAATTGGTTCAACAATAGCGTTGAGTGGGTGGACTTAATAAAAGCTCCAGCAGAGCCATGAAACAGCCCTGGCATGAGGCTTCCTACCAGTTGATGGGAAGCCCATCATGGCCAAAGCCGTGCTGCCCTTGTCCTCAAGGAGCTTTATGTTGAAAGGAAAAAACATAAATATGAAATAATTGTGGGAGAATGAAATATTCTTCATTGTACTTTTCTGACTCCAGAGCAGGCTTCATGGAGGAGGTGTGATAACCAACACTTTCTGGTACCTAGAGTAACAAAACCCCCTTGGAAGACACATTTTCTAGCAAAGTTGGGGCTTTCAGGTCAGTTACGATAGGGTTTCCTTGGATATGTGTAAATAGAATGTCAGACAAGGTGGAAAATCATTGCCAGAGAGCTTAACGTACCCATAATTTTAAAAAAAAATACAACCCAAGTGTAATTGATTGCATCAGACTAAAGGAATTTCTTGCTAAAACAGATGGCAAAATGCACGCTTTGTCTTTCTCTTTTTTTTCCTCTAAATTGCTCTTTTTTTCTTCCTCCAAACAATTAAGCCTGAAAAACTGGGAGCAATCAGGTGGCTGTAAGTATAACCAGTCCTCCCCTCACCCTCCTTTTTCTTTTCATAATGAGCTTGCATTTTCTTCACAAATATATTTGAAAGTTACACTTTCTCTTCTCTCAGACTTGAATCAAGATGAAAGGAGACCAGTGTGGCAGAAGGTGCATCTGGGGAGGTGGCCCAGGGAGCTGGCTTCAAAGGGCGGCTGTCGGAGGGTGACTCATGGTACTCTTCACTTCCCCTGCCAGCGGTTTCCTCCCCTGGTGTGAGTGCAGCCAAGAAGCACAAAAGCCATTTGGCGGATTGAGCCAGGTGCCAACTCTGAATATCTAGTTTTAATTGAACACAATCTAAGACAGTCTCAAGGGAAACACTTGATTATTATTTTTTGTCAATAACTCTCCAGTGTCATGCAAATTAAATAAAAGGGCACTGACTCTGGAGCCTTTGATGAGTCTGTGTAAAAGGAGTGTTATGCTGTCGCCAGCTCCTGGTGAATGGCTTTGCATGGCAAAGAATGTATCTTTCACAATCATTGTTCCAATTTACTGCGGCCGTGCTCTCCGCCCCACAGTTAGTGAACCAGGAGATGCTGCTCATTAGAAGAGAAAGTGCCGAAAGAGAGGAATTTTACTTTGTCTTCCTTGCTCTTGTGCAATGACTATTTTGCCTTCGTGGCTCAACCATCTCATGGCTTTCTCTGTGGTAGCTGAAGATCAGAAATGGTGCTGGCAACCAGGGTGTTCTACCCTGGGTCCCTTTGCTAAAACAAGCAGTGTTTAGTCCACAGGCAGATGAAGGCACCACAACACTCAATCTCCAAAGGGCTTTTGTCCCAGAAAAGAAGTGCTGCCCATGGCCTGATGTCAGAACAGAGAAGGTGGGATACATGGCATCCAGATTTTAGATATTCAGTGAGGATCAGAAAGAAGCGGGTGTTCTTCTTTCCCCTGGGAACGTGCTGGATGCAACACTGAGTGTATTGAATGTAAAAGTTGGGTTCTGAAACAGTGACTTCATGTACCCACCTCAGTGCCTGACTTGAGATGGCCATGCGGTGCTGCCCCAGGACACCTGCTCTCCTGTGCCTGGCGCATCCCTCCCGGACAAACTGCCCCACCCCTACACCTGACCACTGTGCTCTGCCAGGGTTTTCCTCTCCTGTAAAGTCACAGGCCACTTATTGTCCAAATTATACCGACGACAAATATCTCCTGTGGCAATATATTATCATTTGTCTCTCTATTGACAACCCTTTGACATTGAAGTAGTAGCAACATGATTACAAAATTTCTGTCATTCCTGACACTGTCCAAAGTATCAAATGCTTAATATTTTTATTTATATTAGCTTTCGTTACCATAGTTTTATTTAAATGTTAATTATTTTATTTTTATTTATTTATTTTTTGAGATGGAGTCTGGCTCTGTCACCTAGGCTGGAGTGCAGTGACACCATCTTGGCTCACTGCAGCCTCCCCTTCCCTGGTTCAAGTGATTCTTGTGCCTCAGCCTCCTTAGTAGTTGGGACTACAGGCATACGCCACCAAACCTAGCTAATTTTTGTATTTTTAGTAGAGACGGGGTTTTGCCTTGTTGGCCAGGCTGGTCTTGAACTCTTGGCCTCAAGTGATCCACTCACCTCGGCCTCCTAAAGTGCTGGGATTACAGGAGTGAGCCACCATGCCCAGCCAAAAATATTTTTTATTTTAATTTTATTTATTTATTTTTCTTTTCGAGACAGGGTCTCCCTCTGTTGCTCAGGCTGGAATGCAGTGGTGCAATCTCTGCTCACCGCAACCTCTATCTCCTCAGCTCAAGTGATCCTCCCATCCCAGCCTCCTGAATAGCTGAGACTACAGACATGCACCACCATTCCTGGCTATTTTTTGTGGAGACAAGTTCTCACTATATTGTCCAGGCTTGTCTCAAACTCCTGGGCTCAAGTGATCTGCCCACCTTGGCCTCCCAAAGTGCTGGGATTACAGGCAAGATCCTGGCCATTTTTTGTTTTTAAATTGGGGAATTTCACAGAGTAAAATGAACTAATCTTAAGTGCAGTGCTCAGTGAATTTTGTTTATGTATGGACTCTACAACTGCTGCTCGGACCAAGGTAGAAAGCATTTAAATATTTGTTTTTAAAAGAAAGCATGATATCAGTACCAGCAATAACTTCAAAAGCATGCTTTGATGTGCTAGCTAAACTTTTTCTAATATAGAACACAATAAAGACTTATAAATGATAAATGATCATGTTTCATCTAAAAGCATCCTGTGTAGTGCTAGATATCATTCCATCATTCATTTATTCATCCATTTGATAAATATTTATTGAGTATCTAGTATGCGTAAGGCATTGTTCTAAACATGGTGGAAGTAGCAATGAATAAAGCAGACCAATTCCCCATTCTTAGTACATTCTAGTTGGGGAGAAAGAAAATGACAAGGCTTGGGAGCAGACTAAACAAGAGAGGGAATAGTGAGAGCTGGGTCTGGGAGGAAGGGCGGGTTTGAAAATTCAAATAGAGTGATCAGACAAGGTCTAGTATTTAAGCAAAGACTTGAAGGTGGCCAGGAACTAAACCATGATGGCAGTGGGTGGGAGATTTTCAGGTAGCTCATCTGTTCCAGAAAACACATAGAAGCACAGCCAGAGGGCTAGTGCTCCACTCTGGGGAGCACTGGAGTGGATAAAGCAGGGCCATAGAAGTTCTTACTCTGCCTCCATGATCCATTTGAGGATGTCTTTGGGCAAGTTAGTTAATCTCACAATAATTCAGTGTCTTAAATTAGAGGAAGAATAATTCCCTTTTGTAGTACTGTAGGTTAGAGAAAATCTATGTAAAGCAACTAGCTTAATGTCTGCTTCATATTGAGGGTTTGGTAGGTTGTTGCTGTTATTATACACAGTGGGCACTTAATAAATATAGAATGATTGACATGAATACTGCAGCCCCTGGGTCTTCAAAATGAGCAAATTTCAATTATTCAAATTTCAATTAATAGTTCAATGAATAATAAGTGTGGTGCGAAGCACTGTGCTCCACAATAGTGAAATATGACTTGCTTTCTGGACTTCAGGTACATCTAATGAGAAGATAAAAAGAGGATAGCCAGGCACAGTGGCTCATGCCTGTAATCCCAGCACTTTGGGAGGCCAAGGCAGGCGGATCACCTGAGTTCAGGAGTTTGAGACCAGCCTGACCAGCATGGAGAAACTCCATCTCTACCAAAAATACAAAATTAGCCAGGCGTGGTTGCGCATGCCTGTAATTTCAGCTACTTGGGAGGCTGAGGCAGGAGAATTGCTTGAACCTGGGAGGCAGACATTGCAGTAAGCTGAGATCGTGCCATTGCACTCCAGCCTGGGCAACAAGAGCAAAACTCTGTCTCAAAAAAAAAAAAAAAAAAAAAAAAAAAAAAACCAGAAAAAGGGATAAACAGACTGTTAAATTATCCAGTTTTCCTTTTCGGTATATGGAAGGATTTTATTTTTCTGCCCTTTTGAAGTTAAGTATTCACATGACTTGCTTTTTTTGCCCATGAAAAGTGCATGATGGTGATACACACTTAAGTTTCCTGGGGAACATTTTAAGCCCCAGTGCATAATTTGCCCCAAAGCAGGTGTCAGGATAGTCTCTATCGCCTGGGTCCCTGAGTGATTGCAAAGAGATAAGCTTTTCTACACAGGAAGTGCAGCATTAGCAAAAAGTAGACATGCCCTGTAAAACCACTGAGATTGGCAGTCATTTGCCACAGCTTCATGTGCCTTATCCTGACTGAAACTATACGTAAAACAATCTGAGGACACAATCCGGGGTTTCTTTTTTTCTTTTTCTTTTTCTTTTTTTCTGGAGACGGAGCCTCGCTCTGTCCCCCAGGCTGACTGGAGTGCAGTGGTGTGATCTCAGCTGACTGCAACCTCTGCCTTCCAAGTTCAAGTGACTCTCCTGCCTCAGCCTCCCAAGTAGCTGGGACTACAGGCGTGTGCCACCATGCTCGGCTATTTTTTTGTATTTTAGTTGAGACAGGGTTTCACTGTGGCCCAGGCTGGTCTTGAACTCCCCGACCTGCCTCTGCCTCCCAAAGTGCTAGGATTACAGGCGTGAGCCACCTCGCCCAGCCTGGGGTTTCTTATACTAACAGTAACAAAATAACAAAATCAGAGTAACATTCTAGGATAAGAGATGAAAAGAGATAAATATATCTTCACTGTTTTTAGAAGGAATTGAAAAAAACACTAAATGTATCATGGCTTGATGGAAAACATTTTTTTAAAAAGCAACATGTAAATTTACTTATCTGCCATTCATGTTCCATGCTTGATCAGCTGAAGATCTGGAGAAATTTTTCAGAAAATTACAAATGAATCTGAAAACATTTTTAATGCTCTAACATATATCCTTCCCAGTTCTTGAATTTCACCAATATATTTTCTCATGAATTTTGTAAATATTAGTAGTTAGGTTTCATTTGTTGTCCAAAAAGGATTAGAGTGGTTTAAGACCAAAAACAGTGATATAAGAAGACAAAAATTTTACCAGATTAGAATATAGACATTCTGTGTATTACTAAGGGAAAAAAGCTTGAGATGTGTCTGTCTAAAATGGAAAATATGTTTGCTCTTAAAACTTTGCACTAGCCAAATCCAGGATCCAAGTGTTGTACTTTCCAAAAATAAACAGGAACTTAAGAAAAAACCCGTTCACAGCTTAATGTTTTCATGAATTCATTTGCCCCTTAATTACTGAGACTTTCTTTACCAGTAACTTTGATTCTACCACTCATTTTAAATGTTCCTCTTTCTCTGACTCATTCTATCATCAGAGCTGTTGGAGAAGAATAAGTGGAGATTTCATGATGTCCTTCTGGGGAATTTTTATCTTAAAGCATTTGTTCCAAACCAGGACAAGAGGGGGTTTGCTTTTTCACTGTGCCTATAGTCTTTCTTACCTGAATAAAATTGTCGAAATCTGTGCCTCATTACATGCAATACATAGCATGGAACAGGAAAAAAAAATCCCATTTGGTAAGACAGAAATCATGCTAACAAATTTATTTTTAACTTTCCAAAGAAATACATAATTCCCTTTGGAAGCAAAGCTTGATAATAGAAATGTAAACATTTTACAGAATGTTACTTTAAATTAAGAATGTAAAAAACAGTAGTCTAAATACGGTATAAACTAGTATTAGAGCCTTCACATTTCAACTTAACTCCCCTTTAACCTTCAATATATTTCCATTTTTGGTCAGATTTAGTCAAGCAAGTATTGATGTCTTCCCTTTTCCTTTCTCAGATTTTTTTTTCCCATTGTATAGCCAGCAGGTAAGAATTTGCCAGCACAAATGTTAATTCCTTTTTTTCACTCCCATCCGCTGACAGCCTTTTTGCATTCTCTTCTCTTTCCTCTTTCCAAATTGTCCCCATCTGCCTCCCGCTGTATCTGCTTTGAAGCTCCACACAAAAATGTTGTTGATTCCAAGGATGAGATTTGTCTTTATTTTAGGACTTTTAATACCCACGAATGGAGAAGAAGGTACCAATGACGAGGCTTCCCCAGTTGGGAAGTTTAAAGAAAAGAGGGTAAACTGGGCAGAGTGGATAGGCTCTGAGGATGTTGCTTTTTCCCCTCTGTCCTGGCTTTGCCTAGAGACAGCCCTGCCCAGGGAACAGTCCCACCGCCCATTTCCCCAAAGCTCCTTTTTCTCTTCTGCTTAGGTAGCGGTTGCCTGACTTCTCCCTGCAAAGGGAGTCTGCTAGTGTGGCCAGTGCTGCTCCCAGATGTCCTTGCTTCCCTCTCCTCACTGGTTTCCATTTGATCCCTGAACTGTCAGATTCCTCTCCCACATCCCTTGGTTCTCAGATCCTGCACTGACCACAGCCCTGCTTAGCCACCAGTTCAGAGTTGGGAAGTATAGCCCCGGCCTCTCCATGTCATCCTTCCTTAGCCTTTTCCTGGTGCTGGGAAAACACTCCATACTTAGATGCCACTCCCGCTAGCGAAACCACACTCGGAATAGTCAGAGAAGCTACCTGATTCCCACTTAAGTGTCGATGAAATTTAGAGACTCATTAGGAGGCCTCTGGATCACCGGTGCTGGAGGCAGAGACAGAGAGAAGTCAAGTGAACAACCGGAAGCTGCTCCGCTGGTAATGGCGGGCTTCAGGTTCCTCTGCCTCGGGTCTTGTCCACCCTCACTATGATCTTCCCCTTTCCTTGCTTCTTTCCGACTTGTTAAGGAGTCTTCTAGTGGAGGTCATTTGTTCACAGTCGTTATTTCTAAGTGGCTGGGGAAGAAGAGAAAAAGAAACAAACCAACTAAACACACATATTTCTGAATCTCCTGAATTTTTTAGCCAAGCTTATAAAAAAAACTAACTGCAACATGAATGAAAAATCAACTTTGCAGAAAGTTGTGAGTACATCTATCATATTTCATTTTAACATTTAAATTCTTTTGTACACACTTTATGCTTTCTTTTTACAGCAATAAAATTACAGCAAAACTGAGGACCTGCTGTGCTATGAAACAACAGCATAAAGTGCTTTTCTGGTGGCCACTTAGCTACGTGAAGGGCCCAGGTTAACTAAAGTTAGGGAAAACGGAAATGCTGACATTTCTTTAAACAATAAAAATTACAAGTGATTGCCAGAGTGCCATGAGTTGACATTTACAGAGATTGTTCTTCGATTATATATATGAAATATCATAAGTAATTAGCTTGTGGTAATTACCTGCCCCTCATTATTTTGCTTTTAGAATATTTTTAAAGCTTAGGTTACTAAAATTTCAAATAATCCTGGGCCGTGCTGTCATGGGTCTTTATCCAAATGAATCGTGGTCTCTTGTAAACAGTCCTGTGATCTGATTTCCATTGGGACAGAAGTTGTAAAAGGCCAGGGATTTTCAATGGATTTACACATATACTGTTTCAGTTAAGTTACCAAGGTCGACTTAACAGACATTTTCCTCAGAATCCTAAATACACTTGCCACCCAGTCTCCTTCTGCCGCTCTGGAAGGAATGGGTGGTGAGATGAAAGAGGCTGTGGGTGCAGGCGGGGAGGCAGCCCGGCCTCAGTGACATTTCCAACATGATTTCCTTCTGTAGTTGGTACTGTCAGCTAACTAGCTTGGTGGCATTTGTTGCTGAAAAGCTGACTCAGAAAGATAGGTGAACGTAGAGGCAGGGGCTGGAGTGCTCTTCTTTTGGAAAGTTATGTTCCGCTGAAGCCATTTTGTGAGGAACAGATGCCTACGAAGAAAGCTGGCAACTGGAATTTGGTTGTCCACGAAGGCACTGAAGCAGCGCAGCCTTGATCCTCAATCTTGGTTCCCCTCCCCTGCCCTTCAGCACAAAAGGAGAGGAGCTGGCTTTCTCGAGACTCGCTCAGTCCAGGCTGGAACTATTACAAACAAATATTAATAACACTCCATTACTCTGGCTACATTTTCAATAAAGTTTAAATAGTCTGAGTTATGATGATTAGCGAGAAATGTACGGATAATAAAGGTAAATGAGATTCATATTTAATCCCCAACTCCAAACCACCGGTTTGATTGTCTCATTCACTTGGCAAACAATTTCATTTCTAACTGTTATTTCAGCCACAGATATGATTTCTTTAACACAGCAGAAAGGAGGAGATTAAAATATGAGATAGAGGCAGCACTTACCTTAGACTGATTAATAGGCCTAGGCTGATCCCCTGCCTCCATACTTAAAAGCAACAAGACATGCTTTTCTAGCCCAGCCTATATATATTGATACTTACTGGGTGCCAGGAAAACCTCTTTGATTAGTCATACTAAACCACCACTTAAGTGGTGAGCATGTCACAGACCTACACTCTCCTTAATCAAGTCATAAATTTGGGGACTCTCAGAGAGTACCTCCTTCCCTAAGGAGATGTGGAGTCAGGTTCATTGAGAGTTCTCTCACTCTTAGCCCACCATTCTCTCCTTAACACATATGCTGGAGGGGCCAAAACAGGAGCCACTGGAAAAAAAAAATCTATGGAGTTTCATTTATGTGGATTGATGAGGCCAATGATTCAGACTGAATAAACCACCTTTGCATTGATAGCAGAAAAGGAGGGGAGGAGTGGGGGCTCCTACGTTTACCTTAAGCTTTGCTGAAGTCACAGTCACTGAGATCATTACTAAAAATTTTCTTAAATTGACAAAATTGTATATATTTATCATGCATAATGTTTTGAAATTTATAGACATTGTGGAATGGCTAAGTTGAGCTTATTAACATATGCATTATCTCACATAATTGTCACTTTTGTGCTGAGAACACTTAAAATCTACTCCCTTAGCAATTTTCAAAAATACATTGTCAACTGTAGTTCCTATGTTGTACAATAGATCTGTTGAACTTATTCCTCCTATTGAACTACAATTTTGTGCCCTTTGACTAACATCTTCCCAACCTCCCTCACCCCACCAGCCCCTGGTAACCACTCTTCAACTCTCTGTGTCTATGAGTTCAATGTTTTTAGATTCCACATATATGTGAGATCATGCGGTATTTGTCTTTTGGTGCCTGGTTTATTTCGCTTAATGTCCTCCAGGTTTATCCATACTGTTGCAAGTGACAGGGTTTTCTTCTTTTTTTTAATGACTAATTAGTATTCTGTTATGTGTATATGCCACATTTTCTTTACCCTTTTATTGTTTGTTTGGTTGTTTTAAGGATAGGGCCTTGGTCTGTCACCCAGGCTGGAGTGCAGTGGCATGATCATAGTTCCTTGCAGCCTCAACCTCCTGGGCTCAAGTGATCCTCTCACCTCAGCCTCCTGAGTAGCTGGAACTACAGGTGTGTGCCACCACGCCTGGCTACACTTATTGTTGATGGACACTTCAATTGATTCTATATCTTAGTTATTGTGAAATTGTTTAGAATCAGAAAGAAGTTTGACAACAGTTTTCCAGAAAGGCAAGATAGCATGAGTGCTATGAGGTGTAATTTCTCTTAGGAAAACTTCTGAATGATCTGATTGGTATTTAGCAAAGATACGCCTTTCTGAGGACTACAGGAAGAAAATGCTTTTTGAAAAATTTTCTCGTAGCTTGCCTTTCTATTTAGCTGTTGAGCGAGAATTCTTAAAGCAGAATAGGAGAGTGAGCTTACTTTTTCAGTCTCTCCACCACCTCCCTTTTATGTTTCTCTCCATGAAACGTTCCTATCAAGAATATCTTTCCCTCCCGTTTGGCATCTCTGAGAACAAAACATCAACTCTGAGTAATTGTGACATGCAAATAGAGCTTTGAACTTGCCACAGATATGGCAAACTGGGAGGAATGTAAGGTATTCCTCAACCCCATGGTCTAAAATGACAACATTCTTTAAAACTCTGCATGAAATTCAATCTAATTCTTCCTTTCTCAGATTACATGATCCTTGGTGTAAAATATTACATTTTTAAGCAGAAGTGCAAAGTTAATCTATCATAGTGCACCTCCAGGTGAGATTTATTACAGATTGCTTTCTAAAAATGGTGTGTTCTTTCTGCAGATGTGGACCATATTCATCCTATTATTATCCGGTTGAAAAATCCATAGCATATGTAATGCCTGAGAAATAAGAGTGGGCAAGCCTACAGAATATGACACTTATGCTAATCTGTGCCCTGCTGTGGAAAAACATACACAAGGATTCCATTACCACATTCATTAGGCTGCAGCACACTCTATCCTGAATAGGGATTACGAACTATAATAGACTGAAAACAGTTGATTGAGCCCACTTAGCCAAATCACTCTGACATTGGCCAAATATGTTGGCACTGAGAAGATCATCAGCTCAGACTTTGCAGCGGTTGATACTAGTTGAAAGTTTGTCCTTCCTCGTGACTGTCACATTCATCAGCTCAGGGCATATGTCATTGGCTTACACAGTGAAAGCTGGAACCAGCAATATATTTACTGCTGGAGTCTGGGATGCTTGTTTGAACTGTGTCACCCAACTCTCCACATGCACCTGTTGTATGGTGCCTCTGACCCTCCCTATCCACACTTCTTTCCTGATTACATTCAGAAAATGAGTTGTGTGGTGATAAAATTGTATAGCCAGAAGAGAAATTAGAATCAGATGGGAAAGGCAGCTCAGTGCTCAGCTTGCCCAAGTCCCCTCTATTTGGTCTTCTGGGTTAGTGGGTACAGTTGTTGCCTATCACCCTGATCTTTCTACAGTGGTGGAAATATTTGCCACTGGTGAGCTAAAAATATTTTAGATATTGTCAGAAATAATAAAGAAAGGAATACAAGTTACTGCTCCGGAGATGTTATGGAATCTGGCTATGCAAGCAAAAGAAAAGCTTAAATTGTATCCGTGTATATCATTAAGAAGATAATAATAAAAACCTTCTGCGTGAAACATGTTTTCAGCCTTAGGTTCTAGGAAACTTTTGTCTAGAGTTTTCTTTTTCAGTTTGAGAGTTTAATGGGAAGTTCTTAAGCGTAGTTGTAACTAACACCTTGATTTATATCACTGGTGTGTTCCTGAAAAGTTACAGATAAATCAAATGTTGTTTTTGTAAACTGAATCTCACATATGCTTCAGGGAGTTTCTTTTGACCAAAGTAACTCTGCAACAAATCCTTACATTTACGTAAAGTGAAAGATATAATTTTATGTTTGAAATGCAAATAACCGCTGAGTTTATCATTCGGTATGTTCCAAGTATACCTTATTGGCTTTTCCAAAAATGGGGTCTCCTGGAATAATGAAACAGGAATGGGAGAATACTTAAAAAGAGAACAGCTGATCTGAAATAATTGCAGCTTTTATTTTTTCTTCCTCTTGAGAAGATGAAAATGTCAGAGAATAGTGAGCCTCATTTTTCTCTGCATGCTTAGGTTGCGTCACATGTTTTAGAAAGCCATAACTAACCTCTTGAGTTTTCCAAACACAAACCCCATCGGTGACGGCTTATGATACCCATAAATCCAAGGGAGGAAATATGGATGGCACCCAAGCACCCAGCACTGCTTGCGGAAAAGGCAGCATCCTCAGCAGAGAAGGGTCATTGCTGAGAAGCTGCAGTGCCTGTGGCAGCCACTCCTTCTGCCACTTGAATCTCTGAAATCTGTCCCCACCTGTGGCCCTAAAAGCTGCTCTCAAACAGAACCAGATGCATGTGGACAGCAGGACAGAAGAGCACCTGGAGAGGCTTTTGGGTTTTTTCTTCCACATGCTGCAACTCTACCACCCCACTTTTTTTGGGGCATCCACTTAGTCAAGTCCCTCCCTGTATCTTCAGCTCCCTAAGATGCCAGGATGTATCAAACAGGTTTAAGGAGGCTCTGTTTTCTTGCCAAAGGAGCATGGCCCTTTACACCACGATTGTAATACAATCTTTCCTCTCTGGGGCTGCGAATGCTACAGTGCAAAACCGTGTTTGAAAACCTCTTTTATCATTCATCGTCTCCAGACTGAAATCATTTTTGACAACCTCCGCAGAAAACAAGCAGCTTTCTGGCTACTGGCGAGTCGATTAAAGGGAAGAAACACATGTTCACTGTCAGATGGAGCCCCCGGAGAAAGCACTGACAACCTTTTAACCCCCTTTCCCAGGGAAAGGGCCCAAATGTTTCTCTGGAACAAAATCACCACATTGTCTTAAGCATCTTTTCATTTAATGCATCTTTTAATTTTTTCCTAAGGTGAGACACTAAAAATAATAATCCTCAGCCCTCCATTTTTATTTTGGATGTTAACAGATTTGTTTTACACCCTCCTAGGGATGACAAGGAAAACAGTATCATTCATGAATGTCTTTTATGAACTAACCCCTCTCTTCATTTTTTTTAAAACTGTCTGACCACAGTTTAAATACCAACACACTGCTGAGTTCACTCATCTCATATAGTGATTCCTCAAAACCAGCCAAGAAGCCACAGGAGTGAAATTTTCTGAACAGTAGGAAAGCCAACTAGCCGGCATTATTAACACGCTGAGTGATAAGACGGGGCCATGGAAACTTTTGTGAATTTCAAAGATCCTGGGTAAAGGATGCCTGTACATTACTTATGCATATGTTATCCAGCAGAGCTATTTCCATAGAACTTAATCAGAAGCAACCAGGCTGGGAGAGGGAAGGTTCTGCACAAAACTGAAAACGAGTGTTAGGTGTGTGGGCTTGCTTCTTTAAAAAAAAAAAAAAAAGTAATAATTGTTTTAAAACGCCAGGCCCATAATCATTACAATTACAAAAATATCTAGCTCTCAGTTCCTTAACCTATAACCTTAGTATTTTTTCCCTCAGTCACACTGGCCCGGGTGGTTTGGTCCATTATGAGAAAACGATCCCTCTCACCCCCACCCTCAAGACTGCATATGTGCTTTTACAGCCAAAAGGCAGGGTTGGAGGTGGAGGAGGCTTTTAGTGCTGCTGCCTGAAAGACTGACTTGGAGAGAGGCTGTGTGCAAACTGCTACGGCATAGAGGGTGTCTCAAGTGAAAGATAGGAGAGAAACAGCATCACTTATGTGAACTGATACACGGGGACCTACCTCTGCCATATTCTACCAGCTCTTCTCTCTCACTCTGTCATACAAATTGCTTTTCAAATAGACTTTTATTAATTAATTTTTATGGAGGTAAAAATTGCATAGAAGAGAATTAACCATTTTGAAGTGAACAATTCAATGACATTCACAATGTTGTGCAACCACCACCTCTGTCTAGTTCCAAAACATTTCCGTCCCCGCCAAAGAGAAGAAAATCTTGTAACCATTAAGCAGTTAATCTCTATTTTTCTCCTCCTGCCCAGCCCATGGCAAACTGCCATTCCTCTTTCTGTTCATGCATGTTTTCCTATTTTGATATTTCATTTTAATGGAATCATACAGTTTGTAACCTTTTATGTCTTTCACCTAACACGTTTTTGAGGTTCATCTACATTGTAGCATATATCAGTACTTCATGCAATTTTATGGCTGAATACTATTCCATTGTATACTTATACCCTAGTTTGTTTATCCAATTATCCCTTGACAGATATTTTGGTTGGCTACTGTGAATAATGTTGCTATGAACATCCTTGGACAAGTATTTGTTTGAGTACCTGTCTTCAGTTTTTTGGGGGAGATACTTAGGAATAGAATTTCTAGGTCACATGGCAATTCTGTGTTTCACTTTTCAAGGAACTGCAAAACTTTTTTGGAGTGACTGAGCCATTGTACATTCCCACCAGTAATGCACAATGTTACCAATTTCTTCATATCCTCACCAACACTTGTTATTTTCTGTTTCTAAAAAATTATTATTATAGCCATCCTAGTGGATGATGAAGCGGTATCTCATCTCACAGTTTTTGATTTGCAGTTCCCTAATGTCTAATGATGTTGAGCATCTTTTTATATGCTTGTTGGTCACTTGTATATCATCTTTGCAGACATGAATATTCAAATCCTTTGCCCATTTCTGTGTTTGGCTATTTGTCTTTTTGCCATTGAGTTGTAAGAGTTCTTTATATATTCTGGATACTAGGATCATCAGATATGTGATTTTAAATATTTTCTTTCATGCTACAGCTTGTGTCTTCACTTTCTGAATCATGTCCTTTGATGCAAAAAAATTTTTAATTCTGATTAAATCCAATTTATTTATTCTGTTCCTACTTTGGAAGTATTGTAGCTAAGAAGCGATTGCCAAATTCAAGATCATGAAGATTTACCTCTGCTTTCTTCTAAGAGTTTGATCATTTTAGCTCTTGTACGTAGGTCTTTGATCCATTTTGAGTGAAAATTTTTTTTTGGTGCAAGGTAGGGGTCGTGCTTTATTCTATTGCATGTAGATACTTAGCTGACCCAGCATTCTGTTGAAAATTCTAATATTTCCCCATGAATGGTTTTGGCACCCTTATTGAAAATCAATTGGCCATAGATGTATAGACTCTCAATTCTGGCCTTATTGTCTCTCCTTATGCCAGAGTACTACACAAAAAAAAAAATCACTCTAGCTTTGTAGTAAGTTTTGAAAACAGGAAGTATGAGCCCTCCAAATTTCTACAAGCTCTCTCAATGTGCCTACCACAATGAGCAATAACTCAGGTGAAGATCTTTCAGTCCTCTTTTTCCTGACAAAGTCTTTGGATCTAAAACCTGAATATATCTCCAAACATATTATCTATAGCATATTATTTAATAGATTCCCTTGCCCCTTTCAAGTTTTACAATTAACTAATACTTCCTCATTAGAGATGCTTTTTGTGTTCTTGTAATTCTCAAGTGATATTTGGCAAAGAGTGGCTTCAAGAGCAGTTGACTTTCTCTTATTCAAAAAATACATGTCTGAATGTTTTTCTAACACCACATTAAGGTTAATTCCCTGAATAGCTTCAAAGAAACATTACTGGTGTTGGTCACTAGGAGCCTGCAAAATACCGATGTCTGTTTGGAGAAAGAACTAGGTTGTAATATTTCTACAGTCTGAATAGCCCTTTTCTGAAATGCCTGGGATGAGAAGTGTTTCAGATTTTAAATTTTTTTGGAACTTGTAATATTTGCATATACATAATGAGATATCTTGGGGATGAAATCCAAATCTAAATACAAAATTTATTTATGTTTCTTGTACACATTATACACATTGCCTGAAGGTAATTTTATACAATATTTTAAATAATTTTATGCATGAAACAAACTTTTGACTGCAACCTGTCACATGAAGTCAGGTGTGAAAATTTCTACAGTGGCATCACATCAGCACTCTAAATGTTTCAGATTTAGGAACATTTCCAATTTCCAGTTTTTGGATTAAGGATGCTCATCTCAAGCTGTACTACAGAACTACCTTCTGCTCTCTGTATTGTCAGACAAATTGGGTACATCTCAGTTTCTATGCTGAGTTTAGTAAAAGTTTCTTGGCCATACTTCGCACCAAGTCCTATAACAAATGTAACATACATGCGCCTCCATGCTCCTGGTCTCCACTTGACTCTTCGTGGACAAACCCGAAGGAAACCTTGTTTCATTTGTTTATTTTTTCCATCAGATCATTTGTGTCACCAGAGTACACATACTCAACCTCCTAGAAAGGCATAAGGGCCAACACTTTATCTTCCATAAATTGATGATGACTGAAATCACTCACTAAGAGTTAAGCCTCGTGGCTCACGCCTGTAATCCCAGCACTTTGGGAGGCCGAGGCGGGCGGATCACGAGGTCAGGAGATCGAGACCATCCCGGCTAAAACGGTGAAACCCTGTCTCTACTAAAAATACAAAAAATTAGCCGGGCGTAGTGGCGGGCGCCTGTAGTCCCAGCTACTTGGGAGGCTGAGGCAGGAGAATGGCGTGAACCCGGGAGGCGGAGCTTGCAGTGAGCCGAGATCCCGCCACTGCACTCCAGCCTGGGCGACAGAGCGAGACTCCGTCTCAAAAAAAAAAAAAAAAAAAAAAAAAAAAAGAGTTAAGCCTCTTTTATAGTTAAAAAAAAAAATCAGACTTAAAACACTCCCTGGGGGAAGAATGTACTGGCTTTTTTGGGGAAAACAGAATAAACTCTACCATCTTTGGAACAAACATTCCAGGAGGAAGGAACATCACATCATCCAATCTGTGGTTTCACTGGAGGAAATGGAGACCAGGGAACTAGAGTATTTCATGCTTTCCAGCACTGCTGTTATCTGGCTAACATACCATCTTTTCAACCAGTGAGAACATAAAAAAAAGATACAAATTCAGAGGGGCACGCAAGACCTTACATCCCTGCAGGCAGCTCAGCACAGGGAGGTGCCTGATGTCAGTCTTAGCAAATGTTTGCCTGGGAAAAGCCATAAGTCCTGAAAGGGAGGCTGCCCCTCTGTGAGCCCAGGACCAGTGACATCAGAGGGTTTGCACCCAGTTTCCAAGCTCAGTGGTCCTGCGTGAGGTGTGAGTGGCTGGTGCTTCTTTTGATTCTTTTCAGAAAAACCACATAGGAAATAAAGTTTAATAATGTGACAAGGGTTTCAAGAAACGACGAATCAACAGGAAGAGCCATTCTGATCATATGCTTTGTCTTTTGGTGAATTTATTTCTTCTCCCTCTCTTCTTAAAAAATAAAATGTCATTTTTATGTTAATATGCCAAATTGTCATGTATTAAATATTTACTATATGCTTAAATGGTGATTTATTAAATATTTGTGCTTAACACTGTGCTTGGTTCTTTATAATTACTCAAAACCTATGATGGTATTTTAATCCTTATTTACAGATAAGGCAACTAAGGCCCAAAGAAATTAAGATAGTTACCCAAGGAAGCACAGCTAAAAAGTGACAGAGCCATTTCTTTTTTTTTTTTTCCTGTTATAACTAATATTTGCTTACTGTAGAAAAAGTGGAAAATGGAGATGTAAAAATGGAGTATAACGATATAAAGATGGAAATAAAAGTACAAAAAGTAAAAGATGGAAATAAAAATCAATCACAACATAAATAACCCAAATTACTTCTATAAGTCACCCAAATTATCTCTTTTAACCAAGGTGTAATTGCTTTGAGCTCCAAAATGTCTAAGCCAGTAACAAACTGTTATGTGTGGTCGTCCCACTGTAATGCCTGTGAGTTTGTGTTGCTTTTGTTCCTTTTCTGCTCTTCTTTTTTCTCTGGTCACAAATTTTCTTTTTCCTTTGGCATTTCCTACCCCTCACCCCTAGTTGCTCTTCTCTTTATATTACCTCTTTAAAGTGGGAGCTGAAGGAAATGAAAGTAGAGTTCCCAGTGGGTGGCAGGAAAGGCATTTCTCTTCTTCTGCCTAACTCTGCACCCTAGAGATTCCTTCCACTCTTGCAATATTTAGTCCCCACCCTCCCCACCCCTGGTTGGCCTGTTGATACACAACACGTAGCCTGCACAAGATAAACTGACAGGGCTGTGCATGCATGTTTATGAACAACAGACAGTGGAAGTAAACACGGCCAAACCATTTTTCATCCATAACACATATTGTTGATTTTTCTCTAATTGAAACAGTCATCACAAGTCATTGTTGTCATGCCCATGTTTCTCATCTTTTATATTTTAAATAGGAACCATCTTGGCTGGTAAGAAACAGCAGCCTTCTTTCTTTTATCCCTCCTCTCTTCCTCTCAGTTGAGGGACATCTCTTTTTAAAGAGTCTTTGGGGGTCTTTGGCACTTCCCTAATGTGAGGGTCTTCACTCATGTCCATCTCTATTAAATCTCCAGGCTGTAGGACTCCTCAGCAAAGTAAGGGTGAACTGTGGGTCCTGCCAAATGCCCCTTCAGCATCACCCTAACTGGGAGCTTGAGGCATCTGTTTCTGTGATTCCTCTTTGTTGACTGTCATTCATGTTAACAGCTGGGCTTGTGATCTGGGAGATTTCTTCATCAGCAGGGATGCCACAGGCTCTGCACTGTCATCCCCCTGTCCCCTGGTGGCCCAAAGGGAGCGAGTGGCAATGTGGGGAGGGCTGGGACTTTCTGAAGCAGCCCCAGCTTGGAGGGCAACAGAGGAGCATGCTTCCAGCATGACGCTGGAAAATAATAAACATTTGAAACTCTGGGTTGGGCACCAGTGACAAAAATGTTAAAAAGAATCTCATTTTCTGTTGATGGACAAGCAAATGAGAAGAGTGTCTGAGGAATGTATTGATCTGCCAGTGACAGCTTCTAGGTGATTTGACAGCATGGAAAGCACATCAGCACAGAGCGCAGCGTCCTGCCACTGCCTGGTTTTGTGGCCTTAGACAAACACAGCATTTCTGGCTTTCTGTTTTCTCCTCTGTGAGCAGTTTTCAGAGTTTCATGGAGTCCTTAGAAGACAGAGGAAAGAAAGCAAGGAGACCAGAGGGCTCTGGATTGTATAACCCTATAATCTGCAACAATTTTATGCATAATTTCTATGCTCTGGATGCATATTTGTGAGTAAAAGAGATAACATCCATAATGTAGGAAATTTACAGTCTAGTGTGAAAGACAGACAATAGATAAACAAATAGATACGTACTCTAATGTCGGAAGTAATAAGTGATATGAAGAAAATGAGAATTTTGTTAAGATTGACTGATATTAAGGAGTGAATACTTGGAGCTATCTTTGGGGCATGAAAGGTCCAGAGCAAATCATATTAGGTATCAACGATGTCCACACTTACCACTCAGAAGACATTTGTATAAACCAAAGACAGATTTGAGAGCAAACATGCAGCATAGAAAGATTACATGCATGATAAGGTACATATGCTTAGTAGAGTACAACTGGTCCATCCACTTGGCCTTGGGGACCAGAAAAAGGGTAGAAACAGAGGATCCAGGTGATGGTACAAGAGCCTCAATTGTCAGCAGTTAGACAGTCCTTTTTTGCTAAGGGTTGTCTCTTCTGGACCCACTGCCTTATAAGGGACCCCCAATATTTGAGATCAGAGGCAATTGTTCATATTCTATGATTATGTATCATAACAGAGTTAGATTAGCAAATCTGGATAGCTCAGGTCAAATCCACAAATTTGAATTAATAAAAGCAGGTGTATTATCCCGAGACAAAACTTGTTAGAGATTAGAGGCACCTTTAGTTCATCGCTTCCAATCTTCATTTTTCAGCTGAAGATTTTGAAGAGCACAGAACTTGGAGAAGAAAAGCCAAGGTTGCGCAGTGGCTTAGCCATGTCAGAGCTGAGCAACTCCAGATCTAGGCCACTGAGATTATTGACACCACCCAGCCGTGGTCCAGGCTATTGGCTTACATATCAGTTACACAAATTGTTAGAATCGAAGTATTTTCCTAGGTGAGTGGTCTGCTAAATTATCCAACAAGAATCAGTGGCTGTTCACTCAGGCTTGGATCTCTCATACTTTCTTAATTTAATTCTCTTCTGCTTATTCTCATCTGGGTTATTTGTTCTTCTTTATGGTAGAATTTAAATTATACATTCAGATGCATCTTATGAGTAGGACCAGGATTCAAGGCATTGAAAGATGACTCGACACTCACCTGATAAAATTGGACTATAAAAATTTTTCATTTAAATGATGCAGAAAGAAAAAAAGTGCCTCTGGATGAATCAGAAATAGCAGAGAACCACAATACCAACTCCTCAGTTTATGGAGTTGAGCTCTTTAAATATACGAAACAAGCCCTGTTGAGATAATCTGTGTTTGGAAGGCTCCCAGTTCTCTCTGTAACTGAAAAGAAGGGACACAGATCTTCAAGAAGAAAGGAAAACCTACTGTCAGAGATGATGTGGACTGCTGAGTTTCAATTCAGAAAGCAATCTCATACGCAGATGATGCTTTATAGCTTAGAAAACTATGGTTTTACATATGTGGTCTTTTCATTCTTCAGAAGGGTCTGACAATATTTCTAGAAATATAAGTGGCATAAGAAGTGCAAGACATATTTATCAGATACAAGAGGCGCATGTCAGAGGCTGAAGCATAGAATTAAAAAGATTTTTACTTTTGGAAAAGACCTCAGAAATTGTTTAGTTAAGCCCCTCCCTAATTACTTTACTGTATCTCTGAGAGCTGCAGATACATAAGTATCTGAGATCTGCCTGTACATAAGTGTGTTGGAGATGGCTGCTCAGAATTCCAGAAGGCAGATCATTCTGTTTTTAAAAAATAGTTCTTGTTGATTTAAAAAAAAACAAAAATCTCTGAGCTCAAATCTATCCCTTTGTGGCTTTTACTCATTAGTCCTGACTCAGGTATTCTTATACAAGTCAATAATAATACTAGCTACCACACATGAAGCCTCTGCTATGTACTCAGTTTTGCATATATTACCTGCAATCCTTATGACCCCTCTCAAGGTTTTTGTTGTTGTTGTTTGTTTGTTTGTTTGTTTTTGTTTTTGTTTTTGTTTTTTTGAAACAGAGTCTCACTCTGTTGCCCAGGCTGGAGTGCAGTGGTGCAATCTTGGCTCACTGCAACCTCCGGCTCCTGGGTTCAAAGGATTCTCATGCCTCAGCCTCCCGAGGAGCTGGGACTACAGGTGCCTGCCACCACATCAAGCTAATTTTTTGCTATTTTTAGTAGAGACGGGGGTTTCACCATGTTGGCCAGGCTGGTCTTGAACTCCTGACCTCAAGTTATCTACCCGCCTCAGCCTCCCAAAGTGCTGGGATTACAGGTGCGAGCCACCACACCTGGCCTCAAGTTTTTAAAAGTAAGGAAACAGATGACCAGAGAGATTAAATTAAGTGCAAAAGGACATGTGATTACTCAGTGGCACAGCTAGGATTTCAACAAAGGTCTGTCTTTCTTTGCCAGAACACATTGTCCAAATGAAGTCTAATCCTTTTATACAGTGTTGCTCCCCAGTATAGTTACCAGAGGTTGGGGGCATGTGCAGATGGGGAAAGGAAAGATGTTAGTTAAAGGGTACAGAGTTTCAGTTAAATAGGATGAATATGCTCTCGTGACCTATTACACATAATGGTGATGATAGTTAATAAAAATGTGTTGTATCTTTCAAAAATAGCTAAAAAAGTGGATTACAAAAGTTCTTGCCATCAATGGATCTTGACCCCCAATCTCTTCTGGCTTGTACAGTTTATGCTCAACATCACTGATCATTAGAGAAATGCAAATCAAAGCCACAATGAGATACCATTTTATGTCAGTCAGAATGGTGATTATTAAAAAGTCAAGAAATGACAGATGCTGGTGAGGTTGTGGAAAAATAGGAACACTTTTACACTGTTGGTGAGAATGTAAACTAGTTCAACCATTGTGGAAGACGGTGTGGTGATTCCTCAAAGATCTAGAACCAGAAATACCATTTGACCTAACAATCCCATTACTGGGTATATACCCAAAGTAATATAAATCATTCTGTTACAAAGATACATGCATGCATATGTTAATCGCAGCACTATTCCCAATAGTAAAGACATGGAATCAACCCAAATGCCTATCAATGATAGACTGGATAAAGAAAATGTGGTACATATACACCATAGAATACTATGCAGCCATAAAAAAGAACAAGATCATGTCCTTCCCAGGGACATGGATGGAGCTGGAAGCCATTATGCTCAGCAAACTAATGCAGGAACAGAAAACCAAACACCACATGTTCTCACTTATAAGTAGGAGCTGAACAATGAGAACACAGGGACACGAGGAGGGGAAAAACATGCACTGGGGCCTGTCAAGGGGGTGAGGTGGGGGGAGGGAGAGCATTAGGAAAAATAGCTAATGCATGCTGGGCTTAATACCTAGGTGATGGGTTGATAGGTGCAGCAAACCCCATGGCATACATTTACCTATGTAACAAACCTGCACATCCTGCACATGTGCCCAGAGACTTAAAATAAAAATTAAAATTTGATAAAAATTATTACCACAAATAAACAATAAGTATTTGAGATGATAAATATATTAATAGGCTTGATTTGGTATTCCATAATGTTTGCATATATCAAAACATCACATTCTACCCTATAAATATTTATATATATAATTATTATTTGTCAATTTAAAATAAAACTAAAAACAGAAAACAATTAGGAAATCCTGCCAGTATCTTTATTTCAACTTGGGTAGAGTTCAGAATACTTTTGGGGGTGAAGAGTCAAAAAAAAGTACATATGCACATAGCAATAAAATATACATCTGATTTTAGGTCTATGAATTCCAGGTTAAGAACCCAGGAGTATTCCTCCAATCAGTTTTTAATAACATGAGTTTTTTCACTCATTACTTTCTAGTCATGTTACTCTGGAGCTGTCTTGTCTTGTTAATATTCCTCATTTTATGTGGTGTCCATCCAGGACTGAACATGCTGCTCTAGGATACCCTGCAGCCCACTGGACAAGAAAGCACTCCCCATGAGCACCCCCAGTCCCTCTGTTCCACACACTGTGCTTCCATGGGCTCACCAGTGTTAAATGACCAGAGCAAGGTCATCTGTAATTGATAGTTATCTGTAGGACTCAAGCCTTTTGATTCCAGCCACAGGGCTTTTTCCTTTAATGAGGTAAAGTTAACACCTGGGTAATAAGACTCTTGCTCAAGACCTATTAAAAGTTGTGTAGAAATTTCATTTAAATACAGTAGAAATTGCTTTGCTTTATACTATTCCCTGATACTGCAAGTTAAAGTTGCCTGTAGCAAACAATCCCCCATGGAATCTCTGACCAGCAAGGATGGCAAGGATGGCCACTTTGTATGATGACTGCACGTTTCGACTTGGTCTCGCTATCATTGTCCCCTCTAGAAGACCTTACAGGGCCTCTGTTCTTTTTTACACCACATGCAGGAGAGAAATACTTAAGAGAATATGCATAGCCTTAAAAAGTCAGTATCATGACCTATCCACATACATTATTATTTTCTTTGCTCTCCACAAAATGAATTTATTGTTTTCTAGTATATAATGCATATTCTTTTCCTCTGACTGGCTTTGTGATTTTTCTCTCTATGATTTTCAGCAATTTCATAATGATGTGCCCAGGTATGGTATTTTTATTTGTTTTATTTATTCTACTTAGGGTTCATTGAAATTCTTGAATCTGGGGGTTGTTTTCTCATTAAACTTTGGAAAATTTAGGCAATTATTTCTTTAAATATATTTTCTTCCCTTTTTTCCTCCTCTTCCTTTGGGACTCTTTATTTATGTATGTTAGATTGATTGATATTATCTTAAAGATTACAGATGCTCCGCTTCTTTCTTTTTTCTAATCTCGTCTCACTCTTCTTTAGCTTGGGTAATTTCTATTGACTTGCCTTCAAGCTCACTTAATTTTCTGCAGTGTCCAGCTTACTACTAACCCATTTGGTGGATTTTTCATTCCAGAAATTACATTGTTCAGTTGTAAAATGTGAACTTTTAAATATTTTCTACTGCTTTCCTGAAATACTTCATTTCTTCCTCCATTATATTCATCTTTTTCTGTGAGTTTCTTAACATATTTATGTGTTCTTAAAGTTCTTTTTTGCTAATTTCTGGAGTTGTGTCATCTGCAGTTCTGCTTTTATTGACTATGTTTTGTTTTAATTATTATTACATTTTCCTAGGTTTTTTTTTTACAAGCTTTCTACTTTAAATTTTTTTTCTAGAGGTTATGAGTAAAAGAATAAAGTATAATATTGTTTGTTTTGCTGATTTACTAGAGATTGAAACCCCTTTCCTTTGTTTGGCAGTTAGGGTGAAGCACTGACTATTTAGGTTCCTCCTCAAATCAAATAGAATTGTAGCTTTAATTATATTGAGTTCACCTGTGAATAGCTCAACCCCTAACTTTTCTTATAACTATATTTTTGATCTTTTAATTGTAATTGAGAGGAGTTTGCGCCACCATTCAAAATATAGTTGGTTTACCTTTGGATTCAATTAAACAGGGCCCAATAACACAATTACTGTGAAAGTATGAAAACTCAGCAATATTAGGCTTCCAGACCCTCTCCACTACTGCTTTCTTGGCAAAAATTCAGGAATATGATAAGGCTACATATTTTTTAGGTATACCAATTTTATTTTTGCAGTTAGGGCTTTTCCAGATTCTGATCTGTCCTTCCAACTTACATGGTATTCTAGGGCTTGTCTGATTCCTCCTTACCCATGGTGAGTCTTTATGGGAGGCTGGTTTTCCCACCCACTAGCACTAGAAGTGACCATCCTTTAGGTACAAAAGCTGCTATGGCTCTCTGTTCATTTATGAAGGAATCATTTGAAACTCTGAAACTCAGTTTGTCAAAGATTCCTTAGTTATACTATTCTTTGCCAGCTGGCTAGAAAAATAAAAATATGATTTTATTTCATCTAGATTATTCTTATTTTTACCATGAGAACAATGACCTTTTACATCTTTCCAGATCCTAACCAAAATAAGCAGTGTCTTGTATTTATTTTTTAAAATTATTTCATATAGATATAGAATTCTAGATTTTCAGTTATTTTCTATAAGAGCTTTGAAGATGTTATTTCATTATCTTCTGTTTTCTGTATTTTCTGTTTTTAAGTTGTCCTTTGAGGGTAATTTTTTTTCCTCCTGCTACTTTTAAGATCTTTGACTTTAGTTCTTAGCAATTTTACTAAGCTAAACCTAGGTATGGTGCTATTACAATAATCCTGGGTGAGAATTTGTGGTGGGCCTATATTAATATTTAATTGCCTTTGTACCTTGTTCAGAAATTGATCATATGTACGTATGAATCTATTTCTGGATTCTTTATTCTGTTGCATTGATCAAAGTGTCTATACTTCACCAATATAACACTGTCTTGATTAAATTGCTACTATTTTATACATTTATACATTGCTACTATTTTTGATTTAGACATTTTATTAATTTTCTAACATTTTCTCTAATCTTTAAATGCTCTAAAACTGATACAGATAATACAATTATCTGTATATTTACCATTTCCATCACACTGTACTTCCTTTGTCAATCAAACTTTCTTTCTTACCTCTGAGGGACGTCTAAGGCTTTGTTCTGGAGGGGAGAGATTTGGGCAGGTTGTTGCCTACTTACAGTGAATTCTGCTCCTCAGAAGGGAGGCTCTCTTTGGTCTCTTGCCCTGTCCTCATTCTTTCCCATGAGCACCCAGCAAAGTTTCTCAGTGAAACTAACGGAGATGATTCTGTGGTTGGGTGTGAACTTCCCTTGTGTCTGTGGCTCATGGTGGTTCTTATATTCTCACAGTAGCCCAAACTTGGCATTTATCAATTTGTAAAAAATATGAACTAAAACTTTCTTACCCATGAGGTATGATTACCTCGTCTTTCCCATATGCTCTGCTGCAGGGAAGTCAGGGTTTGCATCCTAACATCTCTTTAGAATTGCCTGTCTTTTTAAAGTGTTTGTCATGCAATCTCAACTCTCTCATAGGTTCAAGAAAAGTTATGATTTTGTAGATTATACATCTTTTCCTTGTTATTATTGCAGAAGCAATGACCTTTCCAGTTTCTCATATCCCAAGCAGTAGCTGGAAGTTCCTGTTGATAAACTTTTAAGATATTCACATACTATTTTTCAAATAAGTAGTAATAACAAATTTTAAACCCAAACAGCAGTTTGTTAAGTAAATGGCCTGTCCCATGCATGCTAAAATTGGTGACCGTGGTTCACGTGAATTGCGACTCTTGTACAACTTCTCAGATTTAGATTGATTGAAATGTGTTAAGTGTTTACTGTTTTTCTGGTGTGGGAAAGAACTGTGTGCACTCTGATTCACAACAAAGTCCAACCATCTTAGCCTGGCTTTCAAAGCTCTCCTTCTCTTGGCATGAACCATACTTCAGGATTCCATCATGGCTCAGTCTTCTGCAGGAGTTTTCAGTCACAGGCAGGATGATCACCTTAAAATCTGCCCACCTGCGTCTATTCAAACTCTGATTTCCGTTGATTCAGAATGCCTTTCCATACCACTATGGCTTTTCTGCTGTTTTATTTAGCCACCAAGTCTCTGCTGGGATTTATGCATGCATTCATTGTTTTAATCAATAGATATTTGTTGAGCCCCTAGTTTGCACTGAGTTCTATCCTAATTGGCAGACATAACAGTGGTAACTGTGCCACACTTATCTTTAGGGAACTCACGGTCTTCAGTTATACTCTTCTGTGAACAAGTGATTCAACTATGACAGTGATGGTAGTGATGATGGAAATGATAATGATAGCAATGATTATAGCTAACCTTTATGAATACTTATTATGTACCTGGGACTTTTCTTAACCTTTGGTATGTATAAACTCTTTTAATCATTCCAACCACTCTAAGAGATAGGTATGATTTTTATCATAATTTTGCAATAGAGAAATTGAGATAAAGAGAATAATTAATAAGTGAACATTTAAGTAAACTAATGAGTTTTGCTATCTAAACACCTTGGCCACATCAAATAAGGTAGTGACATTTTGGATGCTTTTTGAATCTGGTCTATTGCTTTCTTCCTGATACCTCCCTCTTGATAACGCCAAAGAGAAAATAACCAGTTGTTCAAGTGTTTGGTGGTCTGCTCGCTCTTCTTATAAAAATTTATTTCTTTTCATAGGGTTCCTTTAAAATTCTGTGAATGCTCTGAGTATGAAAGATATAAAGAGGTGGTGACATGGTGAAGGAAAGACCTACAGCCTCTCCTTCCAGCCACATGTTTACTTTGGTTAAGATTCTCTACTGCAACCACAGTTTTGAGTCTGCTTGGCTATAAGCCAGACCTGGACAACTTTATGAAGCAGGCAGGGTGTCCATCAGTAGCACAAGATCTTAAGATCAGAGAAATAATATTTGAATGACCAATAGAGGAAGGAAGTAGTCTGGAGATTTATTCATTGTTTTTACAAATATTTATTGAATAACTACTGTGTACCTGGCATAAAATGGCAAACCAATAGACATGACACCTGCCCTCATAGCAATTAAAGCCTACACAATAATCCAAGATTAGGTCCTTGCATAACTGAGAAAAGTGTTAGGCCCTGAGTTCCTCACATTTCAGTAGTAATCTCTATAGACTTTCAAACGGTAGTCTTTCAGCCTACGAGTCTGACCAAGGGCACTAGTGTTTCAGGAGACTCACACCACTGCAGTGGAACTCATCTCCAATCCTAAAACTGGAGTTCCAAATGGGCTTGGGGGAAATTCCAGTCCTCCTATGACTTTTTCCTTCTGAAACGGGCTGGCCCGGTTCCCATGGTTTGCACTTCAGCCATCCTGTTGAGGTCAGAATCTACCCTGAATCCTACCCCATTTGACGGAGGATATCTTACCTTGTTCTTCATTATTGCACCCAAGATATGCCAGAGACAGTTCGATTTCTTGCAAGCTTCTTCGCTTAAGAGCTAGACCCTTTTTCTGGTAACCCCAGCTGCTGGCTGGGGTCTTATTCCAAAGCAGATGGACCACCCAGAACCATGATATTGTCAGCTTCCTGACCTCAGGCCTCATTGCTGTCTGGATAATGCTGCTGCTGCTGCTGTGCTATGTCCTCCAGCTCCAAATTCTCTTCAACATTAGCAAGGGCCTGGTGGGAGACTGTTTGCTATCATCTCCCACGAGGCAGCACTGTAGACTTTTTTGTGCTAGTGGTCACTCCCCCAGGGACCACTTTTCAGATCAGATAAAGCTCCCGACTCCAGTGCTGCTTGTTTCCACTCCTTCCCGTTCCCAACAGCCGGTCACTAAGTCCCAGGGCGCTTCTCATCAAAGCCCTCCAAAGATGTGACAAGCTTTTGTTCCTGGTTGTTAATCCTGGTTTTTATTGTCTTGTGATCTCATGCACCAATGTCTGGCACTTTATCCACTTACCTTTTCTTATTTTCCCACAGAAAGAGAATTTTCCATAGAAACTCTCTTAATTCTGCTTGTGTGTCTTTTGACAGAATGCTTTCTCTCAAGATCCAATAGAGAGGATGGGAGTCAGTGTATGTCAGAAGGGCTCCGTTTCCACACTCTACCATCATCTGGCTGTGTGGACTTGGGCAAGTCACTTCCCTTTGCTATGACTCAGTCTCCTTGTCAGTAAAATGAAGGGGGTTTGCTATAAGGTTTCTGGTTCCCTCCCAGCTCACCAATTTGTTGACATTTAATTGTCTAAGGATAAAATTTTTAATCAACTCTCAATTTGATTTTGTCTCTCAAATGCCCCTAAGAAAACAGCATCTACTCAGTTAACACATCTCACCTTTCTCCAGCTTTGGATAAAGTATATTCCTAGGACTTACACATCCCCGAATTTTAATGTCCAAGTTTATGATACTTTAAACACTAATAATTCCTTGAATTTGCAGAATATTTTATATTTGCCCAAATCCTATTGGGTTTTCATAATGATCCTGTGTATTAGGAAGAACAAGACTTTCTATTGCTCCATACCCCCTTTCTCTTCTTTTTCCTCCTCCTCCTCTTCTCCTTTTAAAGAATCAGGCATTTGATGCGTTAACAAGTAAGAGGTTTATTTCCCCAAGGCAGTATAACTATTTAGTGGCAAGTCCTGAACTAGAACTCAAGTCTCTTGATGACTCATTTAATAGACCTTTGACTTTTCCATGTTCCCTCCCTCACACTGAACTTTTTTTTTTTAACAGCTACTATATGTAATTCTCTCAATATTCCTAAAGTTCTCCCTGCTTACATGAGCCAGGACAGTCTGAGTATTAAAGAAATGGATGAAATGAATTCTTCTCTCCTCCAAGTAAAATGTCTCTAGTAGCCAGAATCATTTTTGCATGGTACCTGTCTTTCTGGGCCGTAAAGACTGTCAGCAGATAGTTCTCTGGTCAGCCATTCTGATGTTTCACTATATTTAATCAATTCAGTGATTTGATAAAACCCAAGTGACACTAAGGGACAAAGTCAAAGAGGGGTTTTAGGCTACAATGGCCTAGTTTCACTGGCTGGGCTATAAGTTACCAAAGTTGCATAATTTAGAATTTTCCCAAGAGCTGAAAGGACTGCGTGTGTTCCCTACTCTTCAGTATCAGGAAGGAGGGATTAAGTGAATGTTTTCAGTTTCACAGGAAAAGGTAATAAAAATACAAGTATATTTTGGGTCAAGTTCAATTTCTGCTTGCTTCTTCCAAATCTCTGTGAAGAAAATAGATTGCAGCACAACAGAAACTTTAACACCTAAGCAGATAAGATTCTTTACCACAACCCAGGTAGTTATCAGTTCTCTACTGCAAACCTAATTACAATGACTAATATAGCAAGCCTAATAAAATTGTATGTGTGTCGGGGTGGGGGCAGGGGTAAGTTAAAGAGAGTTGGGTCAGGTCTGTCAGTCATAGTAAGACCATCATTAGTTACTATTTTAATGGTTCATTTGATTAAATGCTAAGCTATTGTCTTGTAATTATGTGTATTCAAGGGAAAAATACTCAAGTTCAATTAGGAATGTATCTTTTACTGCACTATGTTTAATGAAGTCGCAACATCCCCATAATAAGCAAGGAGTAATGAAAATCTTTCTTTGAAATTGCAATAGAAGTATTTGCAGAGAAGTAGCTGGCATGTGTAATATGATGAGTTCCCTTAAATGGCTCAACTGTTGATCAAAAAAGCAAATTATATAAGTGGATACTGCGAGGCAGAAACATGTGGACACAGCTGGAGTGTCATGTGTCACGGTTCCAGTCATTGCCAGCTGGCGGTCACACAAAGGCAGGCCAAGCCAAACAATTACTGTTATTCATAAGAGCAAATGTGCATTCCAAATACACAGTGCAGGCTTTATGAAATAACTGAGCGTTCAGACGCATCCAGACAGCCGAGCTTTTTTTTCATCACACGTGCGTGGGTGCCAGGCCAATATGGCAAACTGACTCTGCTATTCAGAAACCCTTATCTTTACCCAATTAACCAAATCACTGTGACGTTCAAGAGTTCTTCATGCACTTTGCTGAGCGCGTCAAACCAGCAGGCTTACCGGGTAGCAGATGCATAGCTTCTGGAAGCAATCTGCTTTTTTTTTACCCCCTTCAGCTGTAAATACCACATTAGACCACTGCCCATTACAAGCCAGAGCTTGGAGTCAGACTTTAACATCTGAATATCCAGTGCTCCTCCTTGTCTTCAATTCTGTGTGCTTCTGCAATGAGTGCCCTCCAAAATTTTGCCTTGGGAGAGTCAAGAGTTGCCAAGAGGCAGGCAACAGGGATTTATGTTCTTGTTTAGAAAAAAAAAATTAACTGGGAGAATGTACTAGGAGACAGTCTGGTAATGGACTGAAATGAGAATCTCTAGATTGTTTAAATATAGACATCAAAGGAGAGAGAAATAAAATGGAGCTGTTACTTCCATAAATTTAACCTAATTTATTCAAATAAAATGCACCATTCCTTGCCTGCTACTTCTTTCAATAGAGAGAGTCATAGAAACATGTGAAAATGTGTGTCATCAGGTTCTTGCTTTCAGGTGTGACAGAATAGAAGGAATGCTGGAGAGGAATGTTGTCCAATTGCTAGGGAATTTTCAGTGCAATGGAAAGCGAAAGGTTATATCCTAAAGAATCCCTCCAAAGAAGTGTCCAAAAACTCTGTCCACATGAGCACCATCCCATAGAAACATCATGCAAGCCACATCTGTGACTTTATGTCTCCTAGGAGCTGCATTCAATAAAGTAAAAAGAAACAGGTGGAATTAATTTTATGTTTTACTTAACCCTACATATCTAAGATATCATTTCAATACACCATCAACATAAAATTAATAATGAGATATTTTACATCTTTTTTTCATAATAAATCTTGAATGCTGGTGTGCATTTTACACTTATGATGCACCTCAGTTGGGACTAGCCACATCTCAAGTACCCAGGAGCCATGCGTGGCTCATAGCGACCATGTTGGACAGCACAGGGCTAGACTTCTGTCATGGGAATTTGGAGTATGCCCGAGTGCATTTTGTCCAGTGCCATGGACAGATGTCTAGCTGAATGAGGCATCAAGTATCCAGTCTCTTGTAGGTCTTGTCAACTTTTTCCATTAATCCATATATAAAATGGAGATAAAATTTGCTTTATCACGTCCATTAAGTTTTCTATAAGAGTTTAGATTAGATAATAGATGCCTACTTTAGGAAATTTACTGTGTTCTATCAGCAGTCGATCAAGCAAACCCCTGCAAACTTGTTGACAGCAGCTGAAAGTTCTAAGAAGTGAGGAAAAAACCTTCTTTTCCTTAATTCTCTTTGTCCTGTTATTTCTTTCACAGGATAAGTTTTAAAATCCAGTGTGGGTTTAAAGGCAAGAGTCTTGCTCATTACCTATAAAGGTCTTTGGCAGGTTTAAAAAATATCAGCAGCCACCAAGATAAAACCACTGTTCTTTTGTGTAAGTGGCCTTACTTCAGTGGCTACACCATAGAGGTCTGGATTCCAGCCTTTTTTTGAAACCCAAGGCAAGGAACGCTGGCAGCACACTGTCTGGCAGATGCTAGGCCTGGGGAGATGTGCCTTTACTACTGTGCTTCATTCACATGACAGTTAAGTCTTAGCCACCTTGGAGCCCTGCCACCATTTTCTTCATCCATGGCCATCTTAGACATGCCATGCCTTGCACCTCCTTTGCTGTGTATGGTTGTGAGAGGACAAGGGAACGACTTGCTTTTGGATTCTCTATGCTGAAGAATACCAGCCAATAGGAGTATCAACATCCTCAGCCCATGAGGTATCATATGTCCATCAGCCCAGAGCTTTCATAGTTACAATACTTCGCATTCAATGTTTGCCAAGGCTGAGACTGCTGGTAACAGTGACAAACCTGTTTGTATGTATAGGCACTAATTTCTTATTTCAATCCAAAATCACAGTAATAATGGTTATGCTTCCACACAATGCCTTGAGTTGCCCTAGAAGACTTTTGGGATTAAGCACTGCAATTTATCATCATGCACAGTTCTAGGAGGAACCTCACAGCTACGTAGTACACAGGAAGGAGCCCGGGGCCAGGAGTCAGGAATTCACCTGTCAGTTTCAACTTGGCCACTGAGGTGCTGTATGACTACAATCTCTTGCTGTCTCGGTTTCACCTTCTGTGGAACAGTAAAAATGGGTGCCCTACATACTCCTCTTGAGGTGCTTGTAAAGAGGAGATGAGACCATGGCGTGAAGTACTTGACAAGAAAGAAGTGTTTTTACAGATATAAGGGATTGCACTTACTAGCAGCAGTTCTGGAGTTCTAATGAAAGGAAAATAAGGAGGAAGTGGGCTAACATTGTGGAGGCTTCTCCTCCATGCTGGAGGCTTTACCTCTGGAACTGGGTGACTCTCCTTGGCCAGAGTTGAGATTCTCTGGCTTCTTACCACTCCGTCGCAGCTGTATTATATGAGATGATATTCATGAGTGATTTTGGTCTGGGCTTAAGGAAAAGGGTGCTGTGTGTATGTATGTGTGGGTGGGTGGGGTGGGGGCACACAAGGAAGGGAGAGAAATGAAGTAAATGCAGGGAGAAGTATGGCTTTTGTCACCTTGCCTGGAAACCTGGACTGGGTTGGGGGGCTTGGAGAGATGAAGTATAAGCAGTATCCCTCTGCGTCTTGGTGACTGGGTACTCACCTCAGGGCCTTTATACCCTTCCTTTGGGAATTTTCTTCCCTAAGGAAACTCCAAAATTCTGCAGGGCTTAATTTCTCATTTCCTTCAAATCTTAGGTCAAATGTTCTCTCTCCATAGAGGACTTCCCTGATTATCCTATGCAAAGTGGCATGCTTTGTCACTCTCTATCCACTTACCCTGCTTAATTTTTCTTCATAGAAGTCATTTTTACTCCATAATGATATACACATATAGCCTTAACATATATATATATGTTTCTTCTTTCATTATTCACTTCTCCCACTGAAATGTAAGCTCCATGAAAGCAGCGACTTTTTCTGGTTTTTAAATATTCTGTGTAGCACAGTATTTCTAGAATGAGTAAACAGATGAATAAAGGAATAAAATACGTGTTAAACTGAAATTTTTACTATATATTTTCCTAAATTATTAGCACAAAGTTTTCCTTGAATAAAATTCTGATATTTTCCCCCAAGTGATTATAACACAAACACATTCATCTTTGAAAACTCATGCCTCAGTTTGCAACAAGCCTTTACAGACAAAGGCTGACCAACAGGAGCTGCTGGTGGTAGCTGTGCTGGAGCGGTGGTAGTGCTTAAGCAAGGTGTGGTATGTAACCTAAAACATGGGACATTCATGGCTACTGAGATCACTCATCCGTTTATTCTGCAAACACTACCTGAGTACTCTGTATGTGCTGAGGCCTCCACTAAGGACTGGGGAGACACAGATGATCAATACTCCCTACATATTCACTGTCCCCATGGGGCTTACAGTCTGGTTGTTTCCTTCAGAATCTTGGGTACAAAGTGGAATGAAATTTCTGGGTTTCTGTACCCACAGCCACACACATACTTGTGTCAGTCAAAGGGCCAAGGCTGAAGCTACTTTTGCTTTTTGCATTTGGAGAAAATAAAATCCCACTTTACCTCTCCCTCCCCCACTGCCCACCAAAGCATGCTAATAGCACACATCCACGTAACTTCTCTCATGGCCACACTTGATGCATGCCCCCATTCATTAAAAACAAATTCCACCCGTACCCTTGCCAGTGAGGGACAGCCAAGGACATTGCGAGGTGGAGGGTCACACTGAAACTGCCGTGGAAGGACCCTAAACCCCTATCAGACATCCTGACTCCCAGGCCGGCGCACACACACACCATGCCCATGACCCGTCTCCAGCTCAGGACTGGCCAGAGCTCTGTGGAAACCTGAGCTAAGTGAGGACAGCCCCCCTCCAGGTGATCCACTTCTTTTCCCCTTTTTGTTTTTTTTCCATGGTTTCTGACACTTCTTGGCCCCACCGTCATTTTCCATTTAGTTGCGGGCAGTCTTCTTATCTTCAAAATGTTTTTCTTCACTTGCAGAGGGAAGCCTACTTCTGAATCAAGTCGTTGGTTTTCTGTGTGTGCAGGGAACCTCTGCCAGGAGCCCAGCTGCTTTCGGACCCTTGCCACCCAGCCTCAGCTTGCATTTCCGAGTTTTCACTACGGGAATAGATTCCTTGGAAGGAGGCTTGCTTCTTTTGGGCCGTGAGGCCTTTTTTTTTTTTTCTGCGAGGGAAGACAGAGTGAGAAAGCCCAGGGGATGGCTGGCTCGGAGGTTCCATGAAAAAGGTTCTTTAGGGCTGGCTTGAACGGTGTTTTTGTGTGACAGAAGAATCCCTCAGTCTTTCGGGTTTTGGCCAAGGCCCCCTGCTTTTTCGTGAGATGTTGATGAATTTGTGCCTGGTTCCTCTCTTACGATTACCTCTGTGTTTACACGGTACCGACTCGGAGTCGCTGCTGTATCTTGAATGCTCATTCAAGGAGAGTAACTCAAGGGCTGACAGCTGGTGAGGTCATTCTGCAGTCTAGCCAGGGCCCGTGTGCCATTACAATGAAGTAATAATGTATTTATAACACACCTAACCACTGATGGCTTCTATTGCTGTGGCATTCCCTCTGCGTTTGCACAGATGTTTTTTGAGAACTCAAGAATTGGCCTCCAGAAACAACCTCCTAGCAAACAAACTCTGCTTGTTGACTCTGGCGGGTGCTTATAACGAGAGTTGTTAGCACTCGGGATTTATGTTTCAAATATCATTTTAATTTCTCAGGCAGCATTTTTACCACAAGATGTTAATTCACTGGTGCACTTGAATCCCATAGCTTCTCTCTCTCCCACTTTCTCTCTCTCTCACTCGAGTGTGCACTCTCTCTCTCTTAATGAAAATATGGACTTGGTTTCTAAGGAAATATTCTCAGTGCCTGATTCATCGAAACACAGTGCATTCATTTTCCATGGAATTTACTCTGAAATGTCATACTCTTTTTATTTGATAAATTATGTACTTTTGTGATTCATTAAGCCCCTCTTCTTATTCCCGAGTAGCACCCTCTTCGTCATGCACAAGGTCTATGCAATTAGTCCCCACAGGGGCAGTTGGTCTTTCTGAGAGGCACAAGCTGCTTTTAACATTTGCCAGAAAACATGGGAAAGCATTTAAAGATGACGGCACACACACTAGGTTGACATCTAGAGGGGATTCCTATGAGAACTGTTATGTCAATTTTGTAAACCTTAATGTTTCCTGATAGAGGTGAGTTAGAGATAACATTCCAGCTGATTCCATGATTAGCATTCCAGATATTTAAAAAAAAATAAAAATAGTTGGGGACTTCTGTTCAGAATATCTCCTATTTTTCCTTTCTTCTCTTTCCTCTCCTGCAATCTTGATGCATTTTATCTTTGCTTCTTAGTCATCTGGCTGAATCCTCTCAGAAGACATTGCATTAAGTTAAGGCATTCCCATTGGCTCACACACCCCCTCCCAAACCCCAGTGCAAGAGTACACATTTCTAAATTCACAAACATCCTTCCTGTTTTTTCACCGGCCCTGAAACAGGTGATATCAACTCTGGGACTTAAGACAGGACAGTAAAAGCCTTTCGTCTCTCGCTCATCCCCTAAGTCCTCCATAATCCACTAGAACTGGCTTTTAAAAAATGGATACATAATATTTTACATATTTATGGGGTACATGTGATATTTTGTTACACGCATAGAATGTGTAATGTTAAGTCAGAGCATCTGGGGTATCCACTGCCTTGTGTCATTTTGTCATTTCTATGTGATGGGAACATTTCAGATTCTCTCTTTTAGCTACTTTGAAATACACGACACATTTTGCTAACTATAGTCATCTGAGTCTGCTATGGAACATTTTGACATACGGTTTCTCCATTGATGCCTCCCAATGGAGTTGTCCTCCATTGACAACTCTGAAGCTTTTGCTTCATCATCCCTAGACCCTGTAGACTACACCCTTCACAAACCTTCTCCCCCTTTAGTTTCTGTCACCCTCCCCATGCTGGCTCCCCTCCCATTTCTCTCATCACTCTGCTCTTTTGTTCCCTGGTAAATCTTGGGGGCTGCCTTCTGCCTGCACAGCACTATGCTGTGTCATCTTTTCCAACATCCCCTGCCCATGGTTGCCACAGCATTTTTGGTTCCAGCTCTGACCTTCACTTCCAGATGCTGAACCTGCTCACATCTGGGTGCCTGGGAAGGGATGGATTTCATATCCACGCTGGACATGTCCTTTCTTCTCCTGGGGTAAGTTCTGGCTGAGCTAATGTTCCCGCCATTCTGCAGGAGGCTCAGCTAGCAATCTTAGTGTCATGGCGGTCATCTTCTCCGCTTTTGCCCCCGTCCTCCTTGCAGACTCCTTCACTGAGTCTTGTTGACTCTTCCTCATTACGTATTACCTTGGCATTTCTAAAACATACACTTGCTGGGCACCAGCTCTGGGGATTGTGACTGAGTTTGTCTAGGGCAGGGCCAGGCCTTTCTCTGGCTTTTGCTGAATCTCTGAGGGGATTTGGAGACGCAGTTGGGTAGAGAGCAATGCTGCAGACCCTGACTCCTCTTCTCTATCCCCCAGGGAGGCTGGCCCTCATACCCACCACCTGGCCTTGCCCCTGCTTCCCTGACTTCCTCCTTCCAACCAGACACCCTACTGCAGCAGAGGTTCCAGTCTACACTCCTTATTGTGATTGGTCATTTACTTTTTTTTTTAAGTGTTTCCTGCCTTTCTCCATCCCAGTGCCTTTTCCATAGCAAGGAAGGTGCCCTACTCTTTTCTGGGCCCCATGGATCATTCTTGCAGTACAGACATTGGAGCTGGAGTAATTATTCCAAGTCTGGCTCCAAAGCCAGCTCTCTTACCTACTGGGGGAAGCCCGTCTTGGCCAGGGACACTCCCTTCCCCATGTCGCCACAGCACTGTGCATCACCCTTGCCCCAGGCCTGGCACTTACTGGGTGCCTGCTCCTCTCCCCTCCACACACAAGGAGGGGCTCCTAATGGGCAGAGCCTGCAGCCCTCTGCTCATCTCGCTCCTCCCAGTGCCTGTCTGGCACTCAGTACTTATACAGTTCATGATAGACAAATGGACAACAGTTTTCTCAGAGACATATGTAGTGTTGCTTCAAGATAAGGGATTAGGGTAGAGTTTTCAACACAAATCACTTAGAAATAATGAACATCTTTTTCCTTTGGTAGGAACTCCCCTGCTTTAATAGCATACTCAGTGCACAGTAACTATGGTGTCTATGCTGTTTCCTATGGGAGTCACACCGGTGTGGGACACAGACAAGGGCTCAGAGAGAACAGAGTGCAAATACCAGCCCTGCTCTTCCCCGCCATGTGACCCTGAGCCAGGTATTTTGCATCTTTGTGCCTTAGCACCATCTGAAAAATGATTAATTATACCTACTTCACAGGGTCAGAGTGTGAATGAAACAGCATAACCTATAAGAAAGCACTTGGCCTGGAGAGGACACCTCACAAACGTCATTTTGCCTTTCCTGTCTAGGAGCAAGGGTGCATTTTACTCAGTCCAGGGGTCCCCAAAGGCCAGTCCTCAACTCCCAGGCCTGACCTGTCTGCTTTCTTTTGCTTTGTTCAGCCTCTCACCACTTCTGCCGTCACTCTCTCCTTCCTTCAGAGCTGTGTGTGTGGCAGTAAAGCCATAAATGGATGGCACAATTTGGAGTTAGAATGTTTTAGTAACTGTCTGACCTCAGAGAAATTACTTCATCAATGGAGACCTCAGTTTTCTCTTCTGCAAAATTGGATAATAATAATACCCATCTCGCAGTTTTATAGTGGGGACTTTATGATGTAATACACATAGGGTATTTAGTATGGTGCTTGACACAGAAGGGCTTAGTGTCTATAGCTGTTAATATTAGGAAAAGGGGCCAGGCAAGTTGGCTCATGCCTGTAATCCCAGAACTTTGGGAGGCTGAGGCAGGCAGATGACCTAAGGCCGGGAGTTTGAGACTAGCCTGGCCAACATGGTGAAACCCCGTCTCTACTTAAAAAACAAAAAAATTAGCCGGGCATGATGGTGAGCACCTGTAATCCCAGCTACTCAAGAGGCTGAGGCAGGAGAATCATTTTAACCTGGGAGGCCGAGGTTGAAGGATGACAAGAGTGTTGTCAAGTCCTAACCAAGTATCAATATTTTGGAGCATAATCAAGAAAAGATACTCCTCTTCCAGTGAGATTTCTTTTTAGGTTGTTGCTCAGTACACTGGAGTTTCCATTTCACCACCTTAAACCTCTGCCATTTTGGTAAGTTTTCAATGGGCTATGCAATGTAATGTAATTAATTATAGGATTTAATATAATTATACTTACATAATTAATTTAATAATCCAACTCAATTTCAATTGTCCTTTTTTTTAATGCATTGAGTGTGCACCTCCTCATTCAAGCCATTGCCTTAGGCTCCTAGGAAAGAAGTTGGCTTTTTGCCTTTCTTTAGTGTTTTAGAAAACAGGAGGGGAGAGCCCTTAAGGTGTTGCTGGGTCACCTCCCTTCTTAGATAATTCACATTTGAGGCTGCAAAGTAGCTTGTGTTTCTGACTCAATTCCTTCACTGGGTGTTCCTACCTATGGGAAAAAAAAAAAACCAGAGCCAAGGTCTAGAGGTCGTCTGGGTGAAGTTTGAATGTCTGGGCTTGGTGGTAACGCCTCCATAAGCCACAATAATCTTCTCCTCTCCATGTAGACAAAGGCCATGTTGCTTGGGCCATTCTCTGTAAGATTTGAGATCCTGGAAAATTATTTTCAACTCAATATAGCATAGTAGAGTCTTGTGTTGTACTCATAGATACCCAGTTTTCTCTTCTGCACAAAAGCTTAATAAACAGGGCCAGTCCCAGAGATATAAACAGGACACACAACCAGGAGTAAAGACATGCATGTGCCTCTCATGGACCTCAACTACTAAGGTTTTATTTACATAGATTAGAAATTTGCGGGGTTTCTATCTCAAGGGAAGGTGATTTTCTAATAGATGTGGTGGAGTGAAGAAGACAAAACACATACAAAAGCTGCTGGTTATTGGAAACACAGAAAACAATCATTCTTGACGTTTTGACAGTAGATGCGGCATATTTCTTTCTGTATCAGAAACTCTGCTTTAAAAAGAGTAAGCAAAGTTTATGATTTCATAGTAATGGAAGGATTACTCAGTAATCACTGAAAGTGATGACATGGAAGAGAGGTGGGCCCAGACTCTTAGAACACATTACACCACACTGCATGTTGAACAATCCCCATCCCCAAATCCCATCTGTTTTTTTGTTTTTTTTTTTAAAGCTGTGGGTTATTTTGTCCCTTAGATGGGGGTGAATTTGAAGTTGGAATATTTTTCTTCCTGATTCCTGCTTCTCTGAAGGAGCAATCAGGCCTTGCTTTTGTCATTAGTAGGGTCTAAAGCTTGTGTAACACTGCTACCTATTGGAAGAGAATTTTCTGTGTTCCAGAAGACTGAGGACACCCAGAAGTCCGGAGGATTGTTTATGGGTTCTATCATTGTGAAGACTATTTTAAATATTTACCATGTTTCTAGCACTGTGATTAAATAGTTGTCAGTAAAAAGGACTATTCAGTCAAGGTAACTGAATCACTCAGAGATGTCTAATGATGTCTCTTTTCTTCTCATTTATGCATCTGTGGATGAGCTTGCATTTAGCTGATTTATGCTCACTTTAACTGAGCTTGGCTTCAAGCTGCTGACTGGGTCAAGGTCTATTCTACTTGGCTCTGATCTATCTTAGTCCAGTTGTTACCCAAGGCACACAAGAACAAGTATAACTAGGCAAGCCTATTTTGTGTCTATGCTTGGAGTCACATCTGTTAACATCCCATTGGCCAAGGAAGTAACAATGTCAAGGCCAAAGCTAAGTGGATGTAACACCACCCATTACGAGACCAAAGCAAGTCACAGGGTGAGGAATAGGGGTGGGGGAAGAGGGAGGGAGTGAACATTTGCTGGACAATAAACTAAACTACCAGAATAAAACATATATTTTATATGTAGGTCAAGGCATTAAACCTTATTTAGTTATTTTAGTTAAATTGTATCTGAGTATAGGGAAAATTTATTACCTTAAATAATTTGCATTGTGAATCTTTAGGGAGAGGAGCATAAGAATTGGAGACAGAAGACCATATCCTAAGTCTGCACCTTACTGAGGAGGTAAAATGTGTAGACAAGTGGGTTAAGCACCCTGAGCCTCAGCCTCCCCATTATAAATGCAGACAATCCTTTAGGCTGCATCCCAGTATTTCCATGAGGATAAAGGGAAATAATGATGGAGCAATTTGACAACTGTAAATTGCTACTCAAATTATCGGTTTTTGTTCTAATTAACAGAATGTAAAGTCCCTTAAAAGCCAAAATATTGCTCATGCTTTTTACATAGGGAAATGGGAGTTGGTCTCCGGTTGGAGAACTCAGGTTTGAATCTTGACTCTATTAATTATTTGGTCTTTATAAATCTCAGTTTCTTTCTGTGTAAAACAGGGATCATAATATCAGCTCTATTCACCCCCAATGTTTGGGGTGCAAAGGATCGAAAACACTTCATAAAATGTAGAGTGCCATGCCATATGTAATGGGAGCTCAGAGCTTCATCATTAGTGACATTGATGCTTGTTGTCTGAATGGGGGAGTCAAAGAATTGCAGGTTCAAAGTAGTTATTCTTTACACGCAAATGTGGGTTTGGAAGGAGAAGTGGTTTTTGACATAAAAGTTTAAAGAGAACTGTCTTATAAATCTAAATAAAACTCTGGTGCTTGGCTGAAACTCTAGACCAATACTCTGAAACAGTACTTTCTTTCTTGAATCAAAGATTGTCAATCTGAGAAAGACTTTACAATTTACCTTGTGAAGTACAACCCCTTCAATTTTACAAATGTGGCAAGTGAGGCTCATAGAGTTTAAACCACATGTGAAAGAAAGAGAAATCCAGTGACGGAAAGGGCAGCTTTTGGTGGGAAGTTGAACGCTGAGATTCTCCTCTGGAGAAAGGTGAATACTGGGGCCACAGAAGTGTCAAGGGGTCTGTTGTGTAGGCATCTTCATGCAGAGAACTTGGGTTATTTCAATTGGCTTTTCTTTGGATTTCCATCAACTCTGAGTTTAAACCAGGGAACTGAACCAAAGTCAGGGAGGTGAGGCTAGTGGTAAAGAGTTTGAGAAGATGGATTTACAATCCCAGTTCTGCTACTTACAGTGGAGCAATGCCACCTTGAGAAGGTTACTAAGCCTGTGTGTATCTGGGTTTTCTTGTCTGTGTAATGAGGATGAGCCTAAGTGTCTAGGAGTGTTCGGCATCAGCTTGAAGTATGGTGTGGCCACCTGTACCTGTAACCTTTGTGTCAGACTTGGCACTTCTGAAGGAAGAGCAGAAATGAATGATGGGGCACTTTTTTGGAGTAAGATGATGGGCTGGCTGGGGCCCCAGAGTGGACCATATATGTGATGATTCTGCATCTTAAGGAGCTTGTTCTAGGTTCTCAACTTAGCTCTCTTGGGCTGCCTCTAAATACTGAAACATTGAGACTGCACTGGAGACTAAGCAAATAACAATTGCTGGGGCTGGAGTGCAGGTGTCAGCATCTTCTAACCCCCATGTGCACACAGGGCTGAGGACCACTGTTCCAGTGCAACAGGGGGCTTCTTCTCATGGGCCAGGTTAACATAGTGGCAGGAGCACAGGACTTTGGAATTAGATATGTCTGGCTTTGGATCTTGGCTCTGCTGCCTGCTAGCTGTGGACCTTGGGCCTCAATTTCTTTCTTTCTTTTCTCTTTTCTTTTCTTTTCTATTTTTTTTTTTTTTTTTTGAGACAGGGTCTTGCCCTGTAGCTTAAGCTAAAGTGCAGCAGTGTGATCTCGGCTAACTGCAGCCTCTGCCCCCTTGGCTTAAGTGATCCTCCCACCTCAGCCTCCTGAGTAGCTGGGACTACAGGCGTGCACCACTACACCCAGCTAAACTTTCCTTCTTTCTTTCTTTTCCTCTTTCTTTCTTTCCTTTCTTTCTTTCCTTTCTTTCTTTCCTTCCTTCCTTTCTTTCTTTCTTTCTCTCTCTCTTTCTTTCTTTCCTTCTTTCTTTCTTTTCTTTCCTTCCTTCCTTTCTTTCTTTCTTTCTTTCTTTCTTTCTTTCTTTCTTTCTTTCTTTCTTTCTTTCTTTCTTTCTTTCTTTCTTTTTCTTTCTTTCTTCTTTCTTATTTTGGTAGAGATGAGGTTTCACCATGTTGCCTGGGCTGGTCTCAAACTCTACGGCTCAAACAATTTTCCCTTCTCAGCCTCCCAAAGTGTTTGGATTACAGGTGTGAGCCGCTGTGCCCAGCTTCAATTTCTTAATCTCTAAAAGGGGACTACGACTCTTCCTTCACAAGGCTGTTGCAAAGCTACAACCAAATAACAAATGTAACGTAATTGGCATATAATGAGTATTCACAATATGGTAGCTATTGTTACTAAAAGAGGCCTTCTCAGAGCAAACAGTCCATTTAATTTGTCTCTGCTGTACTCTCAGCCATATTACCTGGTTTTATTTCCTATGTATCACATAAGAGGATCTGGAATCATTTTACTCACTTATTTATTGTTGGGCACTATCATGGCAGAGATCTTGTCTGTCCTCTGTGTTCCCGCTGGGTTTCCTCTAAGTTCCCAGCACCTAGAACAGTGCCTGCTATACAATAGGCCTCCTTATAAATACTGAATCGAAAGCATGAATACAGGAATCTTACCTGCCTTTGGAAAGTCTGATTCAAACAGTTTCCCTTCCTGTTCAATTGCAAGTTTTAAATGATTGAGTCCCCTTTAAAAGAGATGATTGATTGCAACTGTAGAAAAAAAAATCTAGAAACATGGTTAGTGGCATAGCATCATTCTGGAAGGAGTTCTGGGGGAGGGTTGGCTTCGGTGAACCCTTCTCTTTTTGCTGCCCTGGAGGCTGGAGAGAGCACACCTGCTTTTCTTTTTTTTCTGATTGATTGCAAGATAGGGAGATTTGAAAAAGCCTCCTCTCCCTGCAAAATGAACTCCATCCCAGGTCACTGGGAGCAGGAAGTAAGAAGCACACATTGTTTTTTCTCCTTCCCTCTATATTGTCCACCTGTCCTCTCAGGAGCCTGCCTAGGAGCCCATCTGTATCAAACATTCACTTACCTTTTGTTAACCCTTGAACTTTACATAGCAAACAAGACTCCTAAGGAGGAAGACAGGCATCCAGGTAGTTTGTTATAATACTTAAATGCTGACAAGTTTGCACTTGTTAGTAAACTCCGGTAGGTTACTTTTGTAGTCAATTTAACTACCCCCCACCACCCCCCCGCAGAAGGTTCTGGGGAAGTCAAGACTATTGAATAATTACACTTTGAAGGTGGCTTCCATCCTTAGACTGGCCTTCTATGTGGTAGGCCCTGGTGCCTGGCTCAAACTCTAGACTGAAACTGTAAAACAGCACTTTCTTTTCTTGAATCAAGGATTGTCAGTCTGGCAAAGACTTCGAAATTTACCTTGTGAAGTACAACCCCCTCGGTTTTACAAACGTGGAAGTTGAGGCTCATAGAGTTTAAACCACATGTGCACACTATCCTATCTGGTTACTGTGGATCCAAGACTGGAACCTCAGTATCTCAGATCCTGGCTCACTCAGTTGTCTACAAGCCCACATTCTGTCCTCTGCATTGACAAAGAAAGGAGCACAGAGGAACAATCACGTTTGATTTCTTGACTGCAACAGAGTGAGTAGAGGGCCTGGACCATCTAAAAGTTGAAGCTATAAAGTGGAGAGAAAGGACAAAGGTTTGAGCAAAGCAAACTGCTCTCATGTGTGAGTGTCTGAACCTTGAAGTGAATTTCCGGTCCACTAGAGCAGCAGAGAGTCTTTTTTTCCCTTTCTCCCTAACGAACATTCTAGGCTGTGTGCGAAAACATAGTTTATTGTTGTTATTTCTTTCTCTGTTGCCTAGAGCCATGCTTGGGTATAGAGAGTTTGTACTTGTCAGAAATTCAATAGAACCTTCAATATTTCATTTGGGTGAATCTTTGAAGGTTGGGATGCGAAAAAGCGTGTGATAAAGATAATGTGAATTTAACCAGCCCGTGTTCACTATCTGAGTTTTACTTTCTTTGCATCATACTTAAACATATATTTGCTGGTTTGTCAGGTCAGTAATTTCTTCTGGATAAAAAATATATTGTATCCTTTGTTACCTATGCATTATTTAGCGTGAGGAAGTTGTTCAGTTTCATGCTCTAGAATCATTTTTATTTACTAAGCCACCATGGAGAACATTGAAACAGAGGCTCATAGACAGTGGAAATTGCACAGTCGCACAGCAATTTGTCATCCTAGTCAAGTTAGAAGTCAATCTGATTAAATATATATTTATGGCTGGGTGCGGTGGCTCACGCCTGTAATCCCAACAATTTGGGAGGCCCAGGCAGGCAGATAGCGTGAACTCAGAAGTTCAAGACCAGCCTGGACAATATGGTGAAATGTTGTCTCTACAAAAATACAAAAATTAGCTAGGCATGGTGGCACACACCTGTAATTCCAGCTACTCAGGTGGCTGAGGTGGGAGGATTGCTTGAGCCCAGGAGTTTGAGTTTGCAGTGAGCCGAGATCATGCCACTGCACTCCAGCCTGGGTGACAGAGTGAGACTCCATCTCAAAACAAAAACAAAACAAGCAAACAAACAAAAAACCCCACCAAAACTGTATTGAATAAGGAGTTCCATTGAATCATACTGATTTGGAGTCTATCAGAAAGGGAAATTTTGTTACTAAATTGTCTTTTTTCCTGGAATGAAATTATCCTATGATCTCTCTAATTCTTAGTAAATACAAATAACTAAAATTGACTCAAGAATAGCAGTAAAGGAAAATGGAATCATAAATAAGCAATCAATTCAAAAATGCTGTCAAAGAATTGCTTTTGAAAGAGACTTTAGCTCAGATTATTATTCCAAGTGATTTTTTTTCAAAGTTTTAATGAAAATTCCCATTGTATATGAACTGTTCTAAAGCAAGGGGAAAAAAGCCATTGCAATTGATCTTTCAAGGCTAGTGCATTTCTGATACCAAAACCTAACATAAACAACATAAAAAGAAAGCCACAAATCAATCTCACTCATGAACTTGTGAATAGTGAGAAGTAATAATTCTAAATAAAACTTTAGTAAATTGAACCTAGTTGTATATTAAAGATTGATTCACTATGAACAAACACAGCTTATTAAACAAATTAAAACTGTTTTACTATAGAAATTTACTAACAGTTCAAAGAAGAAGAAATATGACAAGGTGTATAGATCCTGAAAAACATTTGCTGAAATTGAATATTCATTAATAATTCTTAGAAATCATAGATTCCTAAGCATCTATGAATAGAGAAAAATTTCCTCAATTTTGTATGGAAAATCTAACACAAACCAAAAGACAATGCCATTTGGGAGAATAAAATGGGAAAGGCATTATTACTAATATCAGGAACAAGAGAGGAGACCGATTAACACCACTGATATTTAATATTGTTCTGGAAATTCTGGCAAATGAAACTGATGATGAGGAATGAATAAATGTATTAGAAAGGCATATAAGAGGTATCACTATTGTGAGTTATAGAAATGTCTACCAAAAACAAATAAGCAATTTCCAAATACATTAAAAAAATTGCATTATAGTAAAAATTGCAAATATTGCATTTGTAATATAGATGCTTAGAAAATATTCAGCAGAAAGGTTATATTTACAATAATAACAACTAAATAAAAATTACCTAGGAATAAATTTATGAGATAATTTGGATCTATTTGGGAAAAAAACTATAAAACTTCACTGAGTTTCCTAAAAGGAATATTAATAAATAAAATGGTACCCTATATCTATTTGTTGATTCAATATTATAAAATTTAAATTTCCTCAAATTAACACATAAGCTTAATGAAATTACAAAAAGAACACAAATTATAATTCTTATTTTATTTTGGATGCAAGATTTGATAAAATAAATCTAAAATTTATCTGAAAGAATAAATGAATAAAAATTCCCAGGAAATTTTGTAAAAAATGTAACAGGAGAATATTTGTGTCATACAATATTAAAATACTTTAATTCTAAAATAAGAAAAGTTTTTCTACTAATATATGAATTGACAAACAGATTTCTGGAAGGAAATTAAGTGTTTAAAAATAATATTTGAGAAAAGGTAGCATTTCAAGTGAGTAGAAAAAGAAAAATGTTTTTTGCACAAAACGGTTCTCAGATAGTAGATTAACTATTTGAAAAAAGTTCCAAAAGGAATAATAATTTGATTATCTTTAAAGAACAATCATTTAATTTGGATCACAGATATAAATGTAAGAGATAAAAATTATAAAATGTTTAGAAGAAAACAGGCATAAATCTTCATGACCTTGGATTAGGCAATGGTTTCTTAGATATGACACCAAAAGCATAAGCAACAAGAGAAAAAGGTAAATAAAATGCACTTCATCAAAATTTAAAATTTTCGTGTTTTAAAAGACATCATGAAAGAGTAGGAATGCAATCCATAGCATGGAGAAAGTATTTGCAAATTACGTGTTGGATCAGACTTGTATTAATGATATGTAAATTATGTTAAGTGAAATAAACCAGTGCAGAAAGACAAACATCACATGTTCTCACTTACTTGTGGGATCTAAAAATCAAAACAATTGAACTAATGGATAGAGAGTAGGAGGATGGTTACCAGAGGCTGGGAAGGATATTGGGGGGATTGAGGGGAGATGGCTAATGGATAAAGAAAAATAGAAAGAATTAATAAGACCTACTATTCGATAGCACAACATGGTGACCATAGTCCATGATAACTTAACTGTACACATTAAAACAACCAAGAGTGTAACTGGATTGTTTGTAATACAAAGTATAAATGCTTGAGGGGAGGGATACCCCATTCTCCATGATGTGATTATTGCGCATTGTATGCCTGTATCAAAACACCTCATGTACCCCATAAATATATACACCTACTATGTCCCTACAAAAATTATAAATTTTTAAAATAGAATATGTAAAGAACTCATTCAATTCAACAACAAAAAGGCAAGTAATCCAATTTAAAAATGGGTAAAGAGTTTGAATAAACCTTTCTCAGAAGAATGTGTACAAATGGCCAATAAACACGTGGAAGATGCTCAGTAAGATTAGTCATTAAGGAAATAAATGCCAGGTGTGGTGGCTTACACCTGTTATCTCAACACTTTGGGAGGCTGAGGCGGGTAGATCACTTGAGTTCAGGTGTTCAAGACTATCCTGGGCAACATGGCAAAGCCACATCTCTACAAAAAAACACACAAAAAATTAGCTGGGTGTGATGGTGAGTGCCTGTGGTCGCAGCTACTCAGGAGGCTGAGGTGGGAGGATCACTTGAGCCCAGGAGGTCAAGGTTGTAGTGAGCCATTATTGCACCACTGCACTCCAGCCTGGGTGACAGAGTGAGATCCTGTTTCAAAAACCAAAAAAAGGGAAACAAAATGAAAAACACAATGAGATACCACTTCATACCCACTAGGATGGGTACAATATAAAAAGTATAATACTGTATAAAGATGAACAACAAGTATTGGTGAAAATGTGGATAAATTGGAACATTGCTGGTGAAAATGTAAAACAGTGCAATCACTTTGGAATACAATTTGGCAGTTCCTCAAAAAATTAAACATAGAATACCATGTGCCCTAGAAATTCCACTCCTGTGTATATAGGCAAGAGAATTGAAAACATGCTCACACAAAACCTTGTGCAAGAATCTTCACAGTGGTATTATTAATAATAGCCAAAATGGAAACAACCCAAATGTCCATCCAATGATGAGTACAGAAACAAAATGTGATCATATCCATACAATGGAATATCATTGAACTATAAATATGAATGAAGTACTGACCTATGCTCTGATATGGTTTGGATATTTTTCCCTTCCAAATCTCATGTTGAAATATGATCCCCAGTGTTAGAAGGGGGCCTAATGGGAGGTGTTTGGGTCATGGGGGCAGATTCTTCATGGATGGCTTGGTGCCCTCCCCACAGTAGTGCATTCAAGTGAGATCTGGTTGTTAAAAAGAGTCTGGTACCCCTCCTTTTCTCTCTCTTGCTCCCTTTCCTGCCGTATGACATGCCAGTTTCCCTTGCCTTCCACCATCAGTGAAAGCTTCCTGAGACCCTCACCAGAAGTAGATGCCAGGGTCATGCTTCTTATACAGCCTGCAGAACTATGAGCCAAATAAACCTCTTTTCTTTATAAATTGCCCGTCCTTAGGTATTCCTTTACAACAATGCAAAAGGACACAGGCTACAACATGGATGAACCTTGAAAACATTATACTAGGTGAAAGAAGCCAGATACAAAAGGACAAATCATGTGCAATTTCCCTTGTATGGAACATTTCAAATCAGAATATCTGAATATAGAGAAAATAATTTAGTGGTTGCTGGGGGATAGGGAGAAAGGGGGATGAGGAATGACCCTTAATGGGTACAGGTTTTATTTTGGGTATTGATGAAAATGTTCTGAAATTAGACAGTGGTGATGGTTGCACAACTCTGAATACATTAAAAACTACATAATTGCATGCTTTAAAGGAGTGAATTTTTGGTATGCAAGTTTTATTTCAATAAAGCTGTAATTTTAAAAATGTTATACAAAATACATCACTTTTAGTGAATCAAAAGAAAGATAATAGTATTGACAATTATTTGTACATGCTGTTCCTTGGAGTTCTTGAGGAGGATATTCTCCCATATATATCAGTAACAATACAAATATTTGTATCCTTTCACCTAACATTTATATGTAATATTCTATACAGTTAAATGATTACACCTCCCCCACCCCACATTTAGTGTACATGTGTTCATTGAAAAACTGGAAATATGGTTTTTGCAATGGAAATTAGTTAAGCATTTTTGCATATAGCTCCATGCTAGAACTTCATGTGATCACTGAACTCATATTGTAAAAGAATATTTAATGACTGTGTAAAATGCTTGTGATATAATGTTCAGTGAAAAAAAAGCAACATACAGAAGTTTCTGAATGTAGATCCTTATTTGTAAAAGAGAGATAGCCATTAATAGACAGAGGAGAGAGAGAAAAGAAAAATGAAATTAGTCACTCCAGAATTGAAAAATTCATCTTGCAAAATGTGAAACTTAGAAATGGGCAAAATAAAGTATTCTAGGCATAGTCTGTGTCACACAACAGAGAAGGACTGTTAGATGCCATGTTTCAGACTTGGTATTCCACTCACTGTGCCTATTATTGAACTTCTTTTTCCAATTTTATTCAATTCAGTTCAATTAAACAAATATTTACTAAGTACCTATTAGATGGATGGAAGACCTTGTTCTAGGTGCCATAGCAGAAGCAGAGATGAATAAGTAAGTAGATAAGACAGAGAGAAGCATTGATCAAGCTGGGTAAGAAGACAAGAGAACAGAGATGGGCTCAGGGTTAAGGATAAGATTGAGGGTACAGGTGCAGCTGTTGTGAGAGAAAGGAAGAAAAGAAAGATGGTGTTGCTGTGGTCATTTGAAAGATTTCTGAAGGACAGTGAGACCATTATTATAGCCCACCTGTAGCCAAAATGGAGAAATGGAGAAATGGCTGGTGGAGCAGCCCAGGTGAAACTACTTTTAGAGTCTTGCCCTTGGAGGCTGAAGTCATGGGGATGAAAACAAGAGAAGAACTAGGAAGAAAGGCTGAGCCTGGCATGTGGTAGGTATTTAATAAATACTTACTGAATGAATGAATGAACTACAAGTGTAGAAAATAAAAGGTACAACTGGGGATAAATTATAAATCAGTCACATGGACCTTTTAGAAGAAAATTTGTTGGGGGACAGGGAAGGCCCAAAGAGCTAGAAGTGGCGGTAGTGAGCTAAATGCATCCAAACCCTGTCCTTAGTTTCTGGGCCTGAAGAAGAGGTAGAAAGAGATTTTCCCACTGGAAAGTTTTGCCAAGGAATGATACGGTTAGAGGTATGTTAGGTGAGGCTGTAGGGAAAAGCCTTAGAAGGAAATATTGGAGATGGAGGCCTGCCATGGGGCCCTAGGGGAGGACTTTGATCCAGATTGGTCAGAAAAGATGGGGGTGAAGGGCTGCAGGGAAGAGCAGTGAGAGGATGGGAGGGAGAAGGAGCTGGGAAAACAGGCTAAGTAGGCCTGTATGCAGGAAGAGAGTCAAAGAAAGAGAACTGAAGTCAATTCTCACTTACCTTGATCTGCCTCCTAACCCAGAGCTTGCCTAGTTGGATGAGACCTCTTAGATGCCATCTGCAGTGAGAATGGAATAAGATGACCAATTATGACATGATTTTTGTTTTTAATGCACACACATGCAGTAAGTGACATTTCTAGGTGAATAATTAAATAATCTCAGGTCCTAGAGATAATTATGTCTGGTATCCAGCACACAGAGAGGTAAAGAAGTAACTTGCCTACAATTTCTCAATGATAGAGCTAAGACTTAAATCTAGGTCTCATGACTCCTTGACCAATGCTTAAAATAAAATAATTAAATTTCTAAACACATTTTTTCAGATAATTGTTTAAAATGTCATGTTGGAGAGTATAAAACATATTATTGAAACCAATATGGATTGCATTTCTCAGTTTCCTTCCATTTACCATATTTTGTACTATCATAGGAGTAGACTAGAGTCTTAAAAGAGACTTTAATAGTTGTGATGATATCATACTGCTTACTACCTAATACCCTGTTCTAGGCTATGTGTTGAAAAATTGATTTTGTGATAATTCTTTCCTGTGTCTAATCAGGTCGATAAATTAAACTTACAGGTCTGTTATTCTAGGTCATTCTTTTTTCTCTAAAAAGAGCATTAGCCATTGGGCCTTCCCAGATATTACTCTCAAGCTTGCATTTGCCAGTTCAGAATATGATATCTGAAGCTCTTTGCTGCACATTGATGATTTCCCTTCCACAACCCTGGTTGCTATTATCGCCTTTGTTATTTCCAAAGACAGTGTGCTATGATAACAATTTGGTTGGGAAATGTATTTGGTATGCCAGGAAATCCCATTCTTTCAATGATTTTTAAATTTTCTTCAGGGTTATCTATAATAAAAATAAGGTTTCCAGACCACACACATCAAAAATGAAACATTATTATTTAGAGCATGTGTTTGGTTTAAAAAAAAATCTGGGGTGATTTCAGTACAAATCCTGCTACTGTGATTTCCTATTTAAACTAAACAGATGAGTTCTCCCTTTCAAATATGCCACTGAATTTCAGCCCTGCCCTGGTCCCAAGAAATGGGGAAAAGAAGTATCTATCTACCTTTTGAAATATGTGCCAACCATATCCCTGGCCCCTTGATATGGTGTTTCCAAAGAGTGTTACTTCAACCTGGAGTGGCTATCAGCACTAGTGATTAATTACTGGATTATTTACTAAAGTTCTTTTCCTTTCTTCTCTCCTTCTGAAAAAGATGCAGAGGACAAGTGAAGAAAAGCCAGACATGTGTATTCCATTTGAAATCCATGATTAAAAAGCTTAAAAATTCAAACCAACATAAAAAACTGTTTTATTTTAATACTCTGGAAGGTTTCAGTGAACTCCATTATTTTCACTCACTATTTGCTTGAATAATTTAGGCAAGAAAGCTAAATTATACATAAAGTGTACAGTTAGAAGAAAAAGTTCATGCACAGCCCTAGGCTATAGCCTTCCCCTAATGATGTCTGAAGTCAGTGAAAAGAACTCGTTAGACTGAGAGTAATTTCTCAGGGTTTAATTTTTTTTCTTAAAGCAATAATGTTCTTATAAAAATCTGACAAATAATACACTAAAAGAAAGCCACAAAAGAGTCTCCAGTTAAGGCCTTAGCCCCTGTAAGCTTTCATTTAATTTCATGTATAAAAGTTGGCTTTCCATACACCACAATAGATGATTGTTAGCAATCTCGAGTGATCTGATTCAACAAGGAAAATACACGTCTTGATTGAATCGAGTTGCTATTAGGCCCCATCAGAATTCTGAAGTTACAGAGTTAAAAGGAGATGCTTCAAGCTAAGAGACAAACCCGAATCCACTGTGGAAAGAGGATCAGCACCCAATCAGTGCACCATGATTTGAACAAGTGGTTGCCACTTGGTAGGGTATTGTACTTAAGGAGCTCCACATATCATTAAAGATTTATGGATTCACTAAAATGTCCACATTCCCTTTAAGCATAACAACAGAGACTCTGGCTGCCGCAAGATGACAGGAATATCAAAATGTTACCATTCTCACCTTTGATTTCTGAGTTGCCTTTGTTCTTTCCTTAAAGTTACACAATTGTAGAATTTGAAGAATCCGGTTCCACCCCTTCATTTTATAGATGAAGAACCTGAGACCCAGAGAGGTGAAATGATGAGCTCAAGGCTATACAGCTAATGTGTTTGCTCATTCATTTCCAAATGTTTATATATTTAGAGAGAGAGACAGAAAATAATTCCAAGTGGAAAGAACACCATATGTAAAGGTGAAAAGGTAGAAACTGGCATGATGCCTTGGGGAACAAGAGGTGCTGATTATTGTCTGGTCATATTCCCTGTCCCCATGCCCCACCCCCTATCTCCCAAGACACTTCTAAGCAAATCTACACCAAGGCAGACTAAGGTGGCAGGTGAGAGCACAGATTACTTGAGATTGAATCCTGGCTCTGCCTTGTAATAGCTGTAAGGTCTTAGACAGTTCACTTGCCTCTCTCTGATTTATTTTGCCTAACAGTAAAATGGTGGTGGTGGTAATAGAACCTACTTCTTAGGGTTGTTTTGAAGATCACATGGGTAATAATGCATCTAAAGTGTTTACAAACAATGTCCAGCACATAAAAGTTACATGAACATTTGTTGTTTTATTAATATTAATGGGCAATAAACTCTTACATATGAATTAGGTCTCCTGTCCATAGCTGATGAGACAAGGGGTGGGCAGTTGACCCAGGTATACCAGCTGTCAGGTGGCCAATGTTCTACAACTTGTGTGGCCTCAATTTGAAAGGATAAATTGGGCCATCAGAGTGGGACCATCAGGAATTATGAAATGGGCAACCAAAGCCTTGGGCCAATTAACCAAGAGGCTGAGAAAAGCAAATGATTAAAAAGACTCAGGGCTAGAACAGATAATAGGGTCCTAAGTGGAAAATGAAGTTACCAAGTTTTGAGGAAGCCAATTGGTTGAGGTAGGAGAATGGGGCATGTGTGGGTGCATACTCATGTGTGCATGTGTATACATGTACACACACACACACACACACACACTCAGTTCCTGAAAACTTTCTATGTTTAATCCAATTCCATGGGTAAACAACTCTCACTAAACCTTCTTTTCTTAGAGGTAACTGGAGTGAATCTCAGGCTCTTACAGTCAGAAGAAACTGCCAAATACTAACAGACAGTTCTGCCAGGTAAATGTCATGAGTCCCAGGGAGAAGGATAGAGGATGACACTGGGATATAGGCAGAGGCCAATTGTGAAATGCCTGGAATGTCAAACTGTGTTGAATATTTCTCCTGAAAGCCACTGGAGGTAACTGAAGGATTTAAACCAGTGAGGCATGTCTGATCAGATGCCACCAGTTCTGTAAGATTCCCCAGGCAACCATGCAGAGAGTAAATATGAAGGGCAAAAATGCCTAGAGGAGGAAGGACAGTAAAGGGGCTTTGGGCATAATCTAGGCTAAAACTGATCAGAACCTGAACTAGGGAAATCATGGTAGAAATGGAAAGAAATAGACAGATAAGAAAAATGTTAAGAACCTGGCTCTTGCCATGGGGCACGAGGAAGCAGCTGGAGTCTAGGCAAGATATTTGACTCGAATGTTTGGACAGATGAACTGGGAAACATAGTTTGGGGATAGACACTGAAAGGCTTGCCTTTGCCTATGCTGAGTTTGAGGTACCTGTTGAAAATTCAAGTGTAGATGTCCTGTTGCACTTGGATATGTAGTTATGGAGCTCAGCAAAGTATCTGGAATGACCAGTTTGAGGAGCTTACAGGATGAAAGTGGTAGTTGAAGCTAAGTGTTTGGCTGCTGTCAGCATGATTGTCAGGGTGAGAAGAGAGGGCTAGGTTTATGGTTTGGGGAACACCAGCCATGTATGGGGCCAACAGAGGAGTCTCTGCAAGAGTCCAAAAATGAATGGACAGAGAGATGGAGGAGATCCAGGAGAGGGTATAAGAGTGAAGAGGACTTAGGAACCAAGAGGGGAGGAAATGTTAGGGTAGAAAGAATGATCAGCAATGTCAAGTGTGGAAGAAAGTTTATATAAGTTAAGGGCACAAAACCAATCATTGAATGTAGCAGCATGAAGGTCATTTGAGACCTAAGCTTAAAGAATGCGAACAAAATTAAGATGACAATAGCTTAAAGTATGAAGAGGAAGGAAAGTAAAGGGAAAGTATGTGTGTTCCAGCTGTAAAAGAAAAGAAGGTGAAGAGAATGTGGGGTCAAATAAAGATTGTTTGTTTGTTTGTTTCATGCAGAATAGCTTTGACACTATGAACTGAGAAGAGACACGTTGATGAACTCAAAAAAGGAAAGTTAGTGACACAGAAAAGGGAGGCCTGTTGGAGCGAGGTGTCCGCTGGGGAGGCAGGAGAATACAAGATCCCAGGTACAGGTGGAGGCATTAGCCTTGAACAGGATGAGGGACAATGCTTCCATGGAAACAGCAGGAAAGGATGGAGACCAGTAAAGATGTTTCTAGGTGAGGATTCTGCAAGTTGAGGGAGTTGGTGTTTGACGGAGCTGTTTTTCTCAGTGAGGTAGGATGCAAGAGCATTTGCTGACAATGAGAGGAAAAGCTACAGTGTAAGGAGTTTGAAGAGAAAATAAAATGTTAGGGAAAAGTGCACCACAAGGGCAAAGAGAGGGATGGAGCAGGAACTCATGGAATTGCAGGGCCATTGAAGAGCCCAGTGAGTTTGAAAACCATTGCTATATGAAAGCACCAGTCCATGTGGTAGTTAGACTTCCCTAGCAGTAATCCACATCCCAGGTGTAGGAGCAGAGAAATGAAAAGACTGGAGGATGCAGGACGGGTTGGATGGAAAAGCTAAAGTGATGGTAAAAGGAAGATGGACGAACTTAGATTTTAAAGAGGTAGAAATGAGTCAAGAGGGAGATCTGAGTTCAGGAGGCAAAGGGGAGGGTTTGGCCTGGAAGATTTGGTGGGAGGAGGTGAAAAGGTGGTAGTTACGAGAGGAGAAAAGTGGTGACAAATAGAAAGACAGGAGTTTGTTGTCAGCATGTGGGATATAAGAGTTTAAGATTTTAGAAATAAAGTCTTGCCAAAACCAAGACCAAAGGCAGGTACCCTGACTCATTCATAGAATTTCTTTTCCTGGAATGCCTCTGGCCTCTCTGAAGAGACCTAGTGCCATAACTGAAGGCCAAACTTGTTATAGGCTGGCACGAACATTTGCCAGGGTAATTTATCCTCTTTTGTCACTGGGGTTCCAAGTGAGGCTGGAAAAGCTTGAGAAAGTTTAATCACACCATTCTTCAGAGTCCATCATAGACACTAATAATTTGCTGTGTGATATTAGCAGTTTTACATCTTACACTGGCATCATTTTGTCACACTAGTTTAATATTACCATCATGTAGCTTAGTATTAGTGTGATACAGAGGTAAAATTACATGTGCACTTTTCATATTGTTATATTGAAATCCAGTATGTATATGACACTAATACTATTCAAATTCCATAAAATATACAGTTCCTAATATAAAGACATTTTAATGTTATGTTAGAATAAGAATGCAGATCAGTACATTTCCAGAGCTATGCAGTGGGAGAGAAAGGACTAAAGGGCTTAACATTTATGAGCCTTAGGGAACGCAGTCTAAAGATGGGCTTCATGCCTGACACCCCAAACCCAACCTTGCCTTAGCGGGCAATCAGGGCAGTACTCATTGGCCAGTTGTATAAGAATACAAGTCAGCAAACTTTCCCTCTAAAGGGTCAGTTTGTAAATATTTTTGGCTTTGAGGACCATTTGGTCCCTGTAGCAACTTCTCAAGTTGGCCACTGTAGGACAAAAGCAACCACAGACAATAAGTAAACACATGAGTGTGGCTGTGTTGTGATCAAACTCTACTGATGGACACTAAAATTTGAATTTCATATAATTTTAATATAATGAAATAATATTCTTAAAATTTTGTTGCAAATATTAAAAAATGCAAAAACTACTCTTAGTCTGTGGGCCATGCAAAAACAAATGGAGGATGAGATTTTGTACACAATATTTCATTGACCCTAGGTAAGCAGATTATAAATCTGCACGAGCCCTAAATCAGGATTCCCTGGCAAGCCCTAGTGGGTTCGAGTCCTCTTGCAGAACTTACCTATGCTAGTACATACATTCCTAAACTGACCTTGACACAAAGGAGACGTATTTTGTCTGCTCTGTATTTTCAGTTTCCTCATCTTCCACCCACAGAGAGCTGGCTTTCGTCAGCTGTCACAGTGGCAGTGCTCTGATGCCTGGCCAGCGCATCAAAGAAGGTGTGCCATGACCTTATTTGTCAAAAAGAAAAGAAAATAATTCTTAAGTTCAGACCAAGTCTTTGGATGCCCTTCCCTTTATATTTAATAGCAAAATATTTATTCCCAAGCCGAAGGCCAAAATTATGATAGTAAATGCAAAAGATACCTCTACGAAAATGTCACATGGTGATCAACATTTCTTTGGTAGCACTTTTGCTTTTGCATGTAACCTTGTGGCACCTTTCCAGCAATTTTTGGCTCGGGGCTTCTTTGGTTGGTGCTGACTGCCTCAAATTTCCAAGTCCACTTGTCTCCCCATCCCTTTTCTTAGAACGAAATACAGTAATACTAGAGTTAAATATCTATCCTCACAGGAAAGAGCCCTTTTGAAACCTCAGAATACTTCTTAAATCCTTTCTCTGCACTTTCTCATGGCAGCCTTTGAGTGAGGCTTTCCGAATATTGAATAGTCTTGCTAGTGGTTGCTTGCTGCAAAACATGCACAATCATGGAGGATGAGGTTACCTGCTCCCCTTGAGGCCATGGTTTATTCAAAGTTTAACACCTAAGTAACTCAGAATTGATCAATTTCAGGCTCTATTCTTGCCAACACCCATTTGATCAGAACCTGCAAATAGCCTGGATTTATTTTTAATTAAAAGAAGAAAATTCAGAAGTGGGAGTAGAGGTAGGACTTACTTATAAGCCATGCCCATTTTCCCATATATACCGTCTTTAGGAATAGGATGGTTCTCCTCCCAAATACTTCACTGGGTAAACTTACAAATAGCCCATGAAATGGGATTATTGATACTTTCTCATAATTAAAAAAAAGTTTTATGTAACAAAAATGTTCTCCAGATGTAAGGCGCATTTTCTACCCCAAAGATGGCCAATACTTCACTACAACTCTCCCCATATAAACTCAGGGCAGTTACTGCTCCTCCAACAAGTGTAACTTTCTATCTGAACCTGGTTGTGCCCATTAAATTCTTCCCAAACAACCATTGCAAGCAGCCTCTAGCAATTGGTCAAGCTTGGCTCAGATGACACTTCTTTAATCTCTGCACTACATTTAAAAAAAAATTTTGTCATTCCCTGTAATCATAACAACAACTTCCAAAACATGTAATGCTTATTTATGCAGTGATACACTAAGCACAAAGATTGGAGTCCTATAATTTTTATATCATGCCACAAAGCTTCTATTACTGGAAGATTTTCATGGAAGAGTCTCTCTTGTGGAAAAGAATGATTTCATAGCTTAGTGCTAAAATGACCTAGAGCTTTTTCTGGGACTCAACCTTACATAAATAGTAATAATGTACAAAAATATATACATACATGATATTCATAATACCATTGTTTATGATAGCAAAAAGTAGGAAACAACCTAACTGGACAAAAATAAGGAAATGGTTAATCAACATGGTAATTCCATATACTGTAATATTATACAGTCATTAAAATGAGAAAAAACAATGTGCACTGACCTAAAAAAGAAATATACATTGACAGAAGCTCATTAAGAATGTATGTGCATGTATAAATGTGTTCCTATACATGGATATGTTGGTATAACTCTATCAAAGGGAAGGACTGAAAAGATCACGTAAAACTATAAATAGTGGCTAAGTTATTCCTGGAGTCCAGGATAAAGGAAATTTCACTACATAATTTTTATAGTTTTTGAAAAAGCAGTGTATGGGTGTGTCAATTTGTAAAGATTATACTGTTAAGATGTGTGCCTTCTAATGTACATACATTTTATGTATTATTTTATTTAAAATAATAATAATAATTACATGGGAGTGGGGAATAAGTAGATATATAGATGATAGAAGAATGACAGAATGATGATAATTATTGAAGCCAGGGTGGATACAAGGGGGTTCATTGAATTATACAGCTTATGTTGTATCTGTTGGACATTTTCTACCATAAAAGTATTTATTTTTCTTTTTAAAAAGGTGGGATTTTACAAAGCCCTGGAGATTATCCTTTGGGACCTGGTAACAAAGACTTATTTGAGATGTAGCCATTAAAACTAAAGTCTCAAACAAGCAAATAAAAATTATTAAAATATCCAACAGACAACATCAGTTTACCCAGGTCATTTCAATGTCACCACCACAAGGTTATTTCATGTTTCCTCATCCAAACCTTTAAGGAAGACATACAAACACGACAACCCCAAATATCAGCAATATTTCAATACATTGTTTTTAACTTGCATATAATTTAAAACTGTTATTTGCTTTCAGTTAGGAGTCACATAGCAGGCTTCAAGTTGGATTCAAGACCCTTTGACTCTATTGTGAAGTGACATTGTGTAACGTACCTTATCTATGCTCCATCAGAGAACTGAACTACTCCGCCCATCGTCTTGTCTTTTTACTTAGATTGAGTATGGAAGGATAGAGATGAACCTAAAAGATTTTTGAGTAACTTAAAGGACCTAAGTGAGATTCAAATATATGTCAGAAGGAAGCCTGGACTTGGCCATCCAGAGCACTTCAACAATGGCAAAAAGGAGGGGACTGGGGCTCCTGGAGGGTGAAGTGTGAGGAACCACAGTAGGGGGAAGATAAGGCAACAGGGAGGGAGGAAAAGCCATAGGACTTAGCCTATTGTCCTGCATCTCTTTTTCTTCACATGGCTACCTGCAGTCCAGCCATCACAGACATAACCCTGCTCTCTTCCCGTGATGAGGCAGAGTAGGTGCCAGGAGTGCTGGTGTGAGATGGAAGCTCTAGCAACAAGGAAGCTAGTTATAGGAGCATCAAAACCACAGCAGTGGATCTGGAATCACATTGTTTTCCTGCTTAGGCCTTGATTTTAAGACAAGAACTTATTATGGAAGGTAGGAAAGATTTATTGCCATCTCACGTTCCTAAACATGCAATAGGAAGAAAGAGTAAGATCCCTAACCAAAAAAGATTTACAATTTCTGAAAATTCCAGAGGAGGGTGATGTAATACTTCCAACATCCTGCAGGGCCCCAGGACACTGAATTCTTCCTGTTTATCCTGGAAAGGGAATATATTTTCTGGTAGTAGTAGGTTTTGTCCAAGGTTTCAACCATATGTTGTTGCCCCAGGCTGTCCTGGAAAGCTGGAAATTGGAGCCATTCTCTATGGAGCCAATTGGTTGTGGTCTGATCCTCACTAAGGATGGTCAAGCTTTGAGAGGGGAGGTCCCCCACTTACAAAAAACCCACTCATGCTTTGAAAACATACAGCGTAAAGAATAGGCTGACCATAGGACCCTGTTTGACTGGGACGATCCTGGGAATTTATGTACTGACTAGTTATTAATAGTACCCTTTCATTTTAACTAGCAAATTAGATGATACATTATACGATCACCCTAACTGAAAGTTGCTACATTCCAAGTCTAGCTTTTGTGCCTAAATTCTTACTGTTGTATCATCATCAAATCACGATTTCCTACTTTATATTCAGAGCATATGATCTTCAACTACTTTAGGGGACAATCTGTTCCAAAGTGACATTTGCCTGGGGCAGCTGGCCAATCAAGGTGAAGAGGGCCATACTATCTGAAGAACAAAGTTGGGTGAAGCATGCAGAAAGGTATATTCAACTCTGGGTCAGGGGACAGAAAAGCCTTCTCAAAGAAAATGTTTTGAGTAGAGGAGGAAGAGCATTGCAGGCAGCGGGGACAGTAAAGCAAATGCTCAGAGGAGAGAAATAGCATTTAAACTTTTGGGGAATTAAAAGGTGATGAAAATGGCTGAAGTGTAAGAAGCAAGCTGGATGGATGGGCCCTAAGAAAAAAGGCTGGAGGGAGATGGGGGTTCTAGATCACATGGGGCCCTTGGTGCTTTGCTGGGGAGTTTCAACTTTATCTTATAGTGCTTTGGAACTCATACCTGGCTAGTCTTCAGAAAACCTGGAAAGTGTTTTAAATTCAGACTTACTCCAAACCAAAGTGAAAACATTTTTATACAATTAAGAAAACTATAAATACGAATTGGATATTAATTACATTAAGACACTATCATAACATTTACAGGGATCAAATGATACAATGTCTAGGATTTGCCTTGAAATTCTCCAGCAGGAAAAAAGGGGAGAGTGAGGATCCTGTAAAAAAAAAGTGGGGGTAGGTATAAGGAAATGTTGGGCAGTAAAGATGTTGTTGAAGTTGAAGAATAAGAGTAAGGGGATTGATTTTTTATATTTTCAACCTTTGAGTGTGTTTAGAAATGTTCATAATCAGAAGTTAAAAATGCATATTCCTTGGGTCTCATCTTATACCTAGCTAACCAGAATCTTGAAGTAATAGGATGGAATTTTAGAAAAATTCCCTCTGGTCACTCGGTAGATGTTGGATTGAGGGGTGGTAGGTGACAGACTGAAGGCAGGGGGACTAACTGGAAAGCCACAACAATTTTCCAGGAGAGAGACAATGAAAGGTTCAACCTAGGCAGTGGAGGTGGGAGAGAAGGATAGACCTGAGCTGAATCCTGGAGTTTCATAAACAAGACCTCGTGCCTGATTAGATGGAGAAGATGAGGTTGACATTGACTGTTTAGTGACCGAATGAATGGTGCCATTACTGAGATGGGAAATATAGAAGGAGCAGATATGAATAATGAAAACTAGAGAATTCAGCTTCAGCTTTTTCCAAAGATTAAAAATATGGAATCTCCTCTATTAATATAGTTTCAATTTTTGCCAAATTTCTTATTTATTAAAATTACTTCAAGATGTGAAGTCTATGCAAATAATACGTTTTCTCTGCTCTGTGTTCCAGGACTATGTCTCCATTCAGGGTTTTCAGCAGGTCTGCCTTTGAATTCATGTGACTTGATTCACTATTTACAAAGGCATATACCCTTAAGGTTTCCAGCATCTCCTGTGTCTCTTGCATTTTCCTCTCTGCCTTTCCCCAGTATCCTACCAAGTCCTGTCATTAGAGAACAAGCAACAGGCCAAGTACAGGGTCTTCTCTTCCCTTGAAAGTGTGGAGGCATGTGTAAACACTCCCAGTGGCTGAGACCCCGAGATCAGCCACATCTGTGCTTTCAGCATTTTTGTCTTTTTTCCAGTCATTTCCTTTTTTCAGTTGTAAGAATTTGAGCTTGAGACATGACATCTTTTAGGAAATCCAGTTAAACCCCACGCTTTCTAACAACTAGATTTAGATTTGCCCAAGGGACATGAGGAAGTGGCCTGCGAGTTCCTTCTGTGTTGGGAACCTCTCTGGAGACCTGAGTCTTTCCTATAATCTCCAGGGGCTCTTTGCAGAAAGCCGTATTTCTTCCGAGTCTTCCTTTTCATCCCTGTCTGAACCTGCCTTCATCTTCCTAATGGCTAATTAAAAAATTACAACCAAGAGCATTAAATAGTAAACCCCTTCCCTGCTGTTCTCTGTTTAATTTCTGAGGCCCCAAGCAAAATGTCTTTAAAAGAATTAGAAAGAGCCACCTTTCTGCTTGCAAACTACATGATAAACAGCATCCTCATGGGGAGAGGCCTTTATTCTAATGGGTAGCCCTTTAATATGGGATGTGCTTGGGCATTATTTACATCTTATTCCAGAAAAATAAAGATTAGCGAGCCACATTCTCCCCAACGTCATGATTTTTCACTTGTGTGTGTTAAAATAATTTTGGTGTGTGTGTGTGTGTGTGCATGTGTATGTGTTTATTCTTCCCTTGGTGCTTGCTGATTCCATTCCATGCTAAAACAACTATGAGTTTTAAAACTCAGAATTATTTTTTTTTTCATATGACTTAGGAGCCTGAGCTTGACGAAAATTTCTCCCCATTCATAATATGCACACTTAAGCTGCTGCTCAATTTCATTTGCAAAGAGATCTTGGAAGGCAGCGTCTAAATAATAATCAACATAGTGCTCTAGTTGGATTTGTTTATACATTATCTTAACACTTTATTACATATTTTAATAGAACAGGAGTTTAAAAGCTGAAATCAGACATAGTCAGCTTGGCCTATTCTAGATTATTCTTCATCAATTGTTTTTTCTTGTGATTATACAGTTTTACTTTATCATCCCTTTGATAACAATTTCTGCATGAAAATTGACTTTATATTTCATTTTTCCCGTCTGTTATCTTAGCGGCATTCATACGCAAACACCCTTTGTGCTGCACTGGTAATATAACTGATCAGGCGAAGCTGTGCCATAAGAAATCAAAACCATAATAATGTCTTTGGGTTTTGCATTTTAAATACTTCGTTCATTGTTGCACTGAGGTTTCTGATCCCTTTCCAGACATTATGGAGATTACCTTTGGTAATGCCTATTTCATTGTACTTTGATATAAAATAATGTGTGTCATAAATCATCTGAGTGACTGTCATTAAACAGAAAAGCGCCTACTTATGATATGTAACAATTTGCTTTTCTAATTTGAAGAAGATTGAAGCATTTTAATTATGGAAGGTCTTTGCAAATGAGACTGGAATTCAATATAAAATTGTATTCCTTGTGGAATTGTTGGTTAGAAATAATCAAATCCTTATTCATTAATTTTACATTTTTTTTTTGCAAGCACTAAATAAAAACATTCTTAGGAGGGGTTTTCCTAATGAAAGCCCCATACTTTTGTTACCATTAATCTGAGAAAAAGTTGTGTTCACATATTTAAGAAAAAGGCACAAAAGAATTGTTGTTATTAGGAATTAATTTGCAACTGTGAATTTGAAAAAAGTAGATTTAAAATTGGGAGAGTCATTGTCTAAAAAGTTGAGAAAAGATGAAGAAGGGGCATAAAATAGAAAGGGTCGGGGGAGAGAGCCATTTAAAATTATTGGTGTGTTTCATAGTTTTAAGATTGCTTCCATTTGGAAGAGAATGGGGGTTTGGAGATTTCCCAGTGAAGAACAATTGAAAATTATTGGAGCCCTCCTCTTTAAAGGTGATCAGAGCTCTGAACATGGACATTGCAGTGAGATTTAAAATTATGAGAGCTCTTTGAATTGTTTAAAACATTGATTTTTTATAAAATGGATTTCCACATTTTATTTCTTCAGTGACTAGGTAATTACAGCTGCCTAGAATCTGAGATACTTTATTCTGAAACTAGTATTTTCTCTCTCATTCCTTCCCTTTTCTTTCCTTCTGCATTTTTTTTTCTCCTTAATAAGTTTTCTAGTTTCCCTTGCTTCTGGGATAGACACATCATTCTTTGTTCTTGCTCATAAATCACTCTGTGACCAAGGAACCAGGAAGTTATTAGGGGTGAGGGGAAGGTCAGGTCGAAAATTCAGATTGATCTAACCTATTCTCACAAAATAGCACTTTGCCTACCTTACACCCAAAGCAAAGCACCAATGCCAGCTACTGCAATATGACTTTTAATAACGCTTCATGAAAGAAAAGACTTCAGCAGCTTTTACAGTAAGTGTGATAATGATTCATAGGAACTACGAAGTTGTCACTAGTAAGTATTTAGTTACAGTTACATTTTCCCATACACATCATTCCAAGTACACTTTCTTCCTTCTTCCCTCCTGTTTCTCCTTTCTCTCTTCTCTTCTTTCGTCTCTTGTTAATACCGACAGTTGAAAAGGAAATTCTGTAATTCAGTGTGGAGACTGATGAAACTGGAAAGTGGATCCTTTAGTTGGGAACTCTAGATGTTGTTCTTCCCATGTGTTAGAAATTGGTCTTGTGTAAAAACACACACACACACACACACACAGAGTCTTGTGCAAACTAACAAGGGATGTGATCAGAGATAATTAATTCAAGAACTCTAGTTTATATAGCAAATTCTGTCTTTCTCTCCATTCGTAAAAAAATTCTCTCCCCTTGCTCCGTCGTCCTTTCTGTTGCTTATGATATTTGGTAATGGGCAGGAAGAGGGTTCCATGTGTTTTGTACAAAGCTGTATCAAAGTGAATTGAACATAGTATTAGGTCTTTGTCAGCCTCAACTCACACCTGCCACACACAAGGTTTGTTGGCCTTTCATGCACATCATATCTTGAGTCTAAATCTAAAGGAACAGGGAAGGCAATAGAGCAAAGCTATCCAGATGTTGCTCAGTCTGTGCGATTGTAAATTTTAAAAGTACCAGCTTTTCATCCAGATTTTAGTGCATTAGGAACTATATGAAAATTCCAAGACATACTTTTATTGAAATGTCTGGCCATTTCTATATGAATTTTGGAACAGATGTACTGAGGTTGGCAATAAAACTGTGATAATAAGGAACATTTCCACATCAACTCACTAAACTACTAATCTATAATGAGGGGCAAGACTCAGCAGTGGAGGAGGGTGGATTTTCATGATTATCATTATTTGTAACACAGTGTCAATGATGCAAATTCATCCTTGACTTTAGTTTTGCTCAAGATTTCAGGGGGATTGATGCTGACATGTACATGGTCTGCTTTATTCCAAAATACATTGACAATTGAATTTCAGTTTTACTTTTTAAAATCAACAATAATAACATAGAAATATGCTACATGTCTTTGAGTTTATCCTTATAAAAGTTATCATTGTATCATTATATGTGATACCCCCAAGAAACCCAAATCAAGTGCTTGGAGATCCTTAGAATTTAGAAGTCTGAGTCTAATTGATTCTCAGGGTCTATGCAGAGAGTAGAGGTTTGCACTCCAAAAGCTGGGGGCTTGGTCTGGGTGTGCCTGTGGTGTGACCACTGTCTTTACAGCTCACACCTCTAGATGGAGAAGAAGGTATGCTGTCTTGCTGCCTTCTCATTCTTAGTCACAACCCAGCTCATTGACTCCTCCATTTGAGAACATTCCAGGATGCAGTTTCAGGAAGGGGATCCCTGGGGTTAAGGTTAAACCATTTGTATCCCTTTCAGGGATTTGCATAACTGTGCAATTACAGCTTTGGAACTAATGTGGGTCCCCTAAATTCCTGAAGATTTCACCCAAGAAGATTGACTATTGATCAGTCGAGACTACAGCTCATGGAATAAAAGGAAAATATACACAAACAAAAACAAAAATGAAATGTGACTTACTTGGTACTATATGGCTTTTTAATTCTTTCTCAGTCCCTTTTCTACTAACCTGTTGTACTTAGACACTGGATTTTTTTAAATGAATAATTTTACTCTCCAATGCTACCAGGAAGACTTCAGAAGCAAAGGAAGCATTATGCGGGGGGAAAAAAAGAAGCGGAGGCAGGTTTATAAATGACACAGGCCATTTCCACATGAGAACTACCTGAAGAACAGGGCTTCAGGGCTATTGACAAGCAAATAAGCATGTCACAGAGCATGCTTAAAGCCCAGGTACTGAGGCATCCTCCTACTCAGCTTCTTTATTTGGTCGCATTTGGGAAATATTAAAGCTAGTAGGGTCTCATTTACTCTTCTCTGGAATTTTAAAAATTATTTTTTCTTCCATGACCCAGTTTTCCCACAGCAAGTTTTGCTTATTTCTCTTTTTAACTATAACATAGATCTCATCGATCGCCTCATATATTTCCCTGTTACTTGTTTTGAGAGTCCTGAAACCCTAGGAAAATAGACAAATGACCAACAACAGAAGGAATCAATAGAAGTAAAAGGAGAAAATGTCTGTGACCTCTATTTGTGGAGAAAATCAGCTCTGTTTTCTCGGAGCAGGACCTCTTAGAGTCAGAGAGGGGCCTAGGCAACTTCCTTCATTGTTGTTGTTTTTTGGTCTGTTTTGTTGTTTTGTTTTTCTTTTGAAATCTTTGGTATAGTAAAAAGCAAGCATGGTGAAAACATGGGTGAAAAAAACTGTCAAATATTTCCAATATTTACATTTAACAAACTAATAATTGTAAAACACACAGAAATACAATGACCATATGTTTAAGTTCATTTAAAGAGAAGATCAAAAGTCCAAATTGGAGGCTTTTGTGGAATGTGAGCCCTGGGACAAATGGCTCCTTGCCAACCTCTTCTGACAGCCCAGCTCCAAGCCCCAGATATATGCCTGCCCCCAAGTATGTGATGTATATCTTAAACATCCATTTCAGGGTAAAATGCGAACATAATCAATATGATGGCCCAGGTACCTCACTTTGTGCATGGGTAGTCATGAAGCTTCAAGAAATGGTAGTTTCCTTCTTCCTTCTGTCATTTTTTCATTTAATTTAGACCTGAACCTGGAAGATGGTCTTAGGGCAGCCTTTGTCAATGATGAGTAAAGTGAAGTAAAATTCTTCTTGCCTTGTGAATGCTGGTCTGTGAGAAGAGAAAATGTGGTCTGGCAGGAAAGGGTGGATCACCTGCATCTGTGACAGTGTGCTGCTGTTACACTGTCACAGAAAACAAGAAGACATGCAGGAGCTCTGAGCTACCTGGTGGGCCACAGGCTTTATTCAGCCATCCTGTTTCCTTGACCAGATATTGCCAACTGGGAATAGCAGCATTGATGAACTTCATTTTGTCAGCTTTATTCCTTTTGTAAATCTAATTTTTATTATGAAAAACTTCAAATATATACAATAACAGAGAGATTAATATAATTAATAGATTAATTATTCTCAGAGAAAATAATATAATAATGAAAATTCTGTGGAAATGCAAAATATATAAATAAAATAAAATACCTAAGAATGCATTTAACCAAAGAGGTAAAAGATATCTACAAGGAAAACTACAAAATACTGAAGAAAGAAATGACGCACACACGAAGAAAAACATCCCATGCTCATGAGTTAGAAGAATTAATAATATTAAAATGATCATACTGCACAAACAACTTATATATTCAACGTAATCCCTATCAAAATATGGATGTTATTTTTTGCAGAAATAGAAAAAATTACTAAAATTCATATGGAACCAAAAAAGAGCCTAAGTAGCCCAAGCAATACTCAGCAAAAAGAACAAAGCTGACAGCATCATATTACGTTACCTAAAATTATACTACAAGGCTATAGTAACCAAAACAGCATGATGCTGGTATAAAAATAGACACATAGATCAATAGAACATAATAACTCAGAAATAAACCACATATCTACTGCCAACTGATCTCTGATAAAGTTGACAAAAATGTACACTGAGGAAAGGACACCCTTTTCAATAAACGGTACTGGGAAATTGGATTGCCATATGCAGAATAAAACTAGACCCTTAACTTTCACCATATGCAAAAGTCAACTCAAGGTGGATTAAAGACTTAAACGTGAGACCTGAAACTATAAAAATACTAGAAGAAAACTTAGGGAAAACTCTTCTGAACATTGGTCTCATCAAAGAATTCGTAACTAAGCCCTCAAAAGCACAAGCAACAAAAACAAAAATAGACAAATAGGACTTATTAAACTAAAAAGCTTCTGCATAGCAAAAGAAATAATCAACAGAGTGAACAGATAACCCACAAAATGAGAGAAAATATTTTAAAACTATGCATACAACAGGCCACTAATACCCAGAATTTACAAGGAGCTCAAATAACTCAATTACAACAACAAAAGCACAAATAACCCCATTAAACAGTGTGCAAAGGACATGAATACACCATTTTTTAAATGGAGACATACAGATGGTCAAAAAGCCTATGGAAAAAAATGTTCAAAATCACTAATCATCAGAGAAATGCAAATTAAAATCACAATGAGATAGCTCACACCAATCAGAATGGCTATTATTAAAAAGTCAAAAAATAACAGATGTCAGTGAAGATGTGGAGAAAAGGGAACACTTATACACTGTTGGGGGGAGTGTAAATTAGTACAACTGCTATGAAAAAAATCTAGAGATTTCTCAAAGAACTAAAAATAGAACTACCATTCTATCCAGCAATCCCACTACTGGTTATCTACCCAAAGGAAAAGAAATCACCGTATCAAGAAAAATGCTGCCCTTGTATGTTTATCACAGTACTATTCACAATTGCAAAGACAGGGAATCAACCTAACTGTCCATCAACAGATGATTGGATGAAGAAAATTGTGTGTGTGTGTGTGTGTGTGTGTGTGTAATGTATATGTATATATGGTATGTGTGTATATATATATATATATATATATATATATATATGATACACACACACACACACACACACACACGGCCATAAAAAGAAACAAGTCACGTCTTTGCAGCAACATGGATTGAAATGGAGGCTGGTATCTAAAGTGAACTAAAAGAGAGTCAAATACCACACATTCTCACTTCTTTAAGTGGGAGTTATATAATGTATACATGTGGATATTGAGTGTGGAATAACAGACATTGGAGGCTTGAAAGGGTGGGAGAGGGGGACAGGGGTGAGGGATGAGAAGTTACCTAATGGGTACAATGTACATTATTTGACTGATAGCTCAAACTTAACCATTACACAGTATATCCAGGTAACTAAACTGCACTTGTACCCCTTACATTTATATAAATTATAAAAAAACTAAGACAGCATTTGGTTTACACCTGTGCATTCATGCAACTAAACCTCATACATCTGCACCCAGAAGACTTCATAAGTGCTTTTGAATCAAGAAAACTGTATTTATTGCCATGGAAAGGAAGATTCAAAATGAACAAAGTTAGAATGACTTACCCCTAAATTGCTGTTTTTCTTATTCTTAATTTAAGGCTTATAGGTAGCATAAACATGTTGGTTGACAACTAGTTGCAAAGAGGAAAACACTGTTGGCTAAATACAGAATAATGTATGCTGCTTTTAGCTACCTGCTTTAAGAGAAGTGTGTGTGTGTGTGTGTGTGTGTGTGTGTGTGTGTTTCTGTGTGTGTCTGTATCTGTCTGTGTAGAAATGGGAAGAAAAACTAAGTTGGAGAAACAGAAATACCTCAAGAAAAGTGAAATTGCAAGAGAAATCCTAGATAAGACAGGGCACATTCAGAAACGAGGCTTTTCTTACTATTATCAATGATAATGTCAAGTCTAGGGCACAACAGGGCATTTAACAGGGTCATTGATGTATCCCATTTTGTAGAGAGAAGTCATTCAGCTCTGTATCCAGGTTTTCCTTTGATATTATTACCATGTGATATGGTTTCTAGTTAAAAACTTGTGCCAAAAATGAAGCAGGCCTGACTTGGTACTGAGAACATTTATTTATGTTCTGTAAGTGCCAGTGTTTACTAAATAGAATGACAAGGTTACAGGCAGCTTTGGTGGTGACTGGGAATGGTGATATCTACTTTTGGGCTTCACCACCTGTAGCTGAAGGCTCTGGCTTTGGTGACATTACCCACTCTCTACATGTTTCAGCTTGCCCACCTGTGAAAGCCTAAAGACAATGCTTGATTTCTAGAACTATAGGTGCTGATATGGTTTGTATGTTTGTCCCCTCCAAATCTCATGTTGAAATGTGATCCTCAGTGTTGGAGGTGGGGCCTGGTGGAAGGTATTAGCTTACGGTGGCAGATTGCTCATGAGCGACTTAGCGCCATCCCCTTGGTGATGAGTGAGTGTTCGCTCTGGTGGTACACAGGAGATCTGGTTGTTTAAGAGTCTGGGAACTCCCCTTCTCTCTCCTCCTCCCTCTCTCTTACTCCCTCTTTTCCCTTAACCTTCGCCATGATCATAAGCTTCTTGAGGCCCTCACCAGAAGCAGATGGCAGCACTGTGCTTAGTATGCAGCCTGAAGAACAAGGAGCCAATTCAACCTATTTTCTTTATAAATTTCTCAGCCTCAGGCATTTCTTTATAGAAATGCAAAAATGGACTAATACAGGTACCAAGAGTGTTGAAAGGAAAGAGTGATGGGTGATTGTGAATTCTTATTTTCCAACCTCAACATTTTGTAAAGTGTTTTGGGGTCCTTGAGAAAAAAAATGTTCATTTGGTGGTTCATCCCACTGGAGTCTCCAGAGGCTGGGCTAGCCTCCACGGGCATCTGACCTGTGAAATTTCATAGCGTCCCATGCTTGCTAATACACTGCTGTCACCATCTTGAAATTCTTAATTTTTGAACAATAGGTTCTGCTTTTTTATTTTGCACTGGGTCTCACAAGTCCAGTAGCCATTCCTGTCCAGAGGCTCTTTGGGGACAAGCCACTATTCATGTGATGGCATGACCATCTTACCAAGAGAGTTTCTGTATTGCCTTCTTCATGTCTGGGGCTCCCCTTAAAGACTGAGGAAAAGAATGAGTACCTGTTGTCTTCATCCGTTTGTACTGCTATAATAATATATCTTAGACTGAGTCATTTATAAACAACAGACATTTATTGCTCATAGTTCTAGAGGCCAGAAGGTCCGAAATCAAGGCCTCAGTAGATTCAGTGTCTAGTGAGGGCTCATTCTCTGCATCAAAGATGGCACCTTCTAGCTGTGTCCTCACATAGCAAAAAGGCCATAGTGCTAACAAGTTCCCCCAGGCCTATTTTATAAAGGCACTAATCCCATTTACCTCCCAAAGGCTGCACTGCTTAATGCCATCACCTTGGAGTCTAAGTTTTAACACCAGGGCACAAACACTTAGATCATAGCACTAGTTTTTAGGAGATTTTGGAAGTCCCACATCATACATGAGGAAAGTTAAGATCTAAAAACTCTGAGAATAAGGCTTGAGGTCAAGTGGACCTCTGAGAAGCTCTTCGAGAAATATCTACTAGAAATATAAAAGGCAGATCTCCTATAGATGGTCATTTCTTTCTGCCATGCTGACATTTCCAGGGTTCATCTTTTTCTTTCTGTTGCATCATTTCTCTGTGTCAAGTATGATTCAAGTTCAACAACGCTTTTACAGTCTTTGAAAGTATTCCATTTTGTAATGTTATTGTGTTTTGTTGGCTAGAGTTTGATTGCATCTAATAAGAGAAAGCATTTCTTATTTTATGATTTCTTCTAAAATTTGGGTTTCCACTCATTTTACTTTCCAATGAACAGCAGCGTGCATTTGTTAATATTTGCCTGCTAAGAGTTCATAGGCCTTGGGGTGGTAATTAAATGTTTAAATAACATGGAAGTTCAAGAATCTCTGTGATTTTGGTTGCTTCTGAAAGTGTCCAGAGATGGAATACCACCTATATTTAAGACTTTAAAAAAATAAAACCTGTACATCTGAGAAAAATGGATTTCAGCCTCAGGAAACAGCTGGCGAGGAGCCTGGGTTAGCCTGACCTGGCCGGAGGTGCACATGGTCTGCAATGGAAGATGTGAGTGGGTGAGCCGGGCCAAAGCCGAGGTCTCCTATGAATTCTACATTTTTATAAATTCTACAAGGATGTCATCAAATCTATTAAGTCTTTGAGTCTGATAGCTCTTCTCTACTTTTCCTCAGTCTACAAAATGCCTGTGTTTGTAAATTGCCAGAGGGGTTTTTACTTATTTCTTGTTGCATAGGAAGCAAAACCTCCAATATCATAAAAATCCCTTTTAAATGGTTTCTACCTGGAAAATAGACACAGAGTGGGGGTTCTCTCAGTTCACAACTTGTACAGTACTTGATATGTGTTACAGTTGGAAGAGGTAAAACATGATGTCCTATTTTTGTTCCTGCTCCAGTTTGGTACCAGTTGAAAGAGGTACTGTAAAGAAGTCAGTGGATGGAAATCAAAGCATCAGCTTTGAGAATGAGGCTTAGGTCCATGGACGATTGTGCTTGCTAACATTTTACGTCTGCATTAGAGTCATACTCACAGGTAGAGTATGACTCTACCTGTGTTGGGGCCACCCCCCAGGGCATGAAGAAAAGGATGGTGGGCACCTTGGCAGGTAGTTAGCTTCTCAGGAGAGAACCAGGAAGTGCTGGGTCATTCCTGGTCTCCAACTCACCACTCTGAGAAAGCGATGGAGAGACACTGAGAAAGTAATTCTAACTGTGCAAATTCCTCTACGTGAACACATGAGGAGTAAGGAATAAGCGTCCCCCAAACAATAAATAAAAGAAAATAGTTATTTCTTTTGAGTTTAACATATGATGATTTCAGAAAATAAAATATTATAAATTAATATTCTAATAATTGAGAAACTTTCTTTAAATGCCTAAAATAAATTTCTTGAAGAACATTTACTAGCTCAAAAAATTTTTTCAGGCTGGGTGTGGTGGCTCACGCCTGTAATCCCAGCACTTTGGGAGGCTGAGGCGGGTGGATCACGAGGTCTGGAGATCGAGACCATCCTGGCTAATATGGTGAAACCCCGTATCTACTAAAAATACAAAAAAAAAAAAATTAGCCAGGCATGGTGGTGGGTGCCTATAGTCCCAGCTACTCGGGAGGCTGAGGCAGGAGAATGGCATGAACCCGGCAGGTGGAGCTTGCAGTGAGCCGAGATCGTGCCCCTGCACTCCAACCTGGGTGACAGAGCGAGACTCTGTCTCAAAAAAAAAAAAAAAAAAAAATCAGTCATTTAAGGAGGGAAAAAAGTTTACTTTCAAGAACTTTTAAAGTTACTTTAATAGCATGTAAAACAATGGGTATGTTGATAACATTTTTTGTGTGTGAAAATTTCCATTAGAACGTCTACATGGCTAGACTAGTAGACTTGTTCAAGATTCTGTACATTCTTGGAAGTAGAGACTGGCATTTCTTTAAGAGTCTCTAACTCATGAACATAATGGCAATGAATCCAAAGAGGATTCCCCTATGCCTCCCCATCTGGCTGAATTCAAGTTGCTTCACCACTTCAGCAATTCTAGGCCAGAAGTGCAGGGAGAGAAACATGGCTACACTAGGACCTCTTAGGGCTGTTGTCACTGGGCTTCCTGGCCTTCAGTGGGGCCTGTCTTCATTCTCCATCCCTTCCTTCACAAAATCATTCATTTGGTGGAAGCACAAAGAGACTTGGGAGAAGGAAGTCCTGCCAGGATGGGCCTGAGATTCTGCCCCTTTAAGACTGGCTTGTGCAGGAACCCATTAGGATAATATGAAACCCAGCAGTGCCCAGGAGTAGAATTCAGTTCCAGTTTGAGTTAAGCTGGGTCTGAGATTCCCTTCCTCTCCACAGTACCTTTGCAACATTAAAAACTAAACTGGACCTCTTATTTCAGGGTTAAAGCTTTATGGTGTTATGGGACAAGGAAGAAGATAATCCAGTTAGGGAGTAACACAATCGCCTTTAATAAATGGCATTTTTAGGTACTCTTGGATGCAGAAAAAGGATATTGGATGAGGGCAGGGTGGTCTTCCTGATGAATTTATTCTCAAAGTTTGCCACTGTCGTGCTGGGAAAGAAGAGCACCTGATAACTGGGCTGTCTATCGGCTTAAGTTCTCTCTGTTGGAACACAAGAGAGTGCTTTTGCCTGGCTAGAGAGGGTAGCAGCCTCTCTTTTGAATGATTTATTAAAATGACGATGATTATTGTTGGATTATTACAGTTGCCCATTGGCAGGGCTATAGTTAAAAACTTGGCAGTGTTTGTATAATAAATGACTATTTTTACAGCTCAGCTATAAAAGTTTACTTAGGTCTGAAATATGATATACAAGCCCTTCATCCAGGAATGCGTTCCTTTCAAATAGAATTTTAAAAAATGGTTAATAAAACTGGTCTGTCTAATTTTCCTGAGTTATATGAATATTTTGGAAAAACAGAAATGTATCATTTGTAAAGAATTTTTAACACTTTTTCTCAGTTGGCCTTGAGTTTAAACAAGATGCTATAAAAAATTGAAATTATTTAAGCTGAGCTTGGATGAATTGAGTAGAAATGATATTATGCACAGGGATAGACTGAAAAAAATAGAGAAGCAGGCAGTCTTTCTATTTAACTTTAAAAACTCTATCTTTGGCTCAGTAGTAGAAGCCCTTTGGAACAATCACAACTGTGCATTTTCATTATGCATTTTATACCTCTAAGTACATAATCACCTGCTCATGTCTATCTGATAAATACTGAGACTTTTTATTTCACATTTGCATTGTTAATTACAGTATATTACAGAAGTAAGATTCCAGGCATCTGTTATTAATAGAATATAATTTTTTTAAATAACAAGGGCACTTTAAATAGACAAAGAGAAAGAATCTTTTATTATTGGAGGCCACCCAGATTTGTTGTTAGCTTTTTTTTGTTTGGACTTTAAGGTAGATGAGGCAAGGGTGGAGGGAAAATGTAGCCTCAATTGAAGCTATCAGGATAAAATTATATTTGTTATTACTTGTGATTTATAGTCTGGCAAGAGTTTATGTCTGTATTCTTGAGAAAGCAGTCACAAGTTTTGTAAATGCAAAAGCAATAAGAATATCTTTCCCAGGCATGGTGGCTCACACCTATAATCCCAGCACTCTGGGAGGCTGAGGAGGGTGGATTGCTTGAGCCCAAGGGGTTAGAGACCAGCCTGGACAACACAATGAAACCCTGTCTCTACAAAACACACACAAAAAATTAGCCAGGTGTGGTGGCGTGTGCCTGTATTCCCAGCTACCCAGGAGGCTGAGATGGGAGAATCACCTGAGTCTGGGAGGTTGAGGTTGCAGTGAACCAAGATTGTACCACTGCACTCCAGCCTGAGCAACTGAGTGAGACCCTGTCCTCCCCACCCGCCTAAAATATATATATGTCTTTAGGTTGAGAAGATGAAAAATACAACCCATGAGTTCCTTCGTAGTGTATGACAGCCTCTGATCACAATATGAGGGCCCAGTTGGAAGAGAAAATTCTAGGGGTCTCAGAATCATTATCTTCAATACCCAAAAATAGTTCTGAGCAGAGTTTACCCTCTCTTTCCACTTCCCTACCTGGGGTCTGGTTGAGAGGAGATGTGGTGAGAAAGTTAACAGAATAAAATTCTAGGAGCCTGGGTATTTTTCATCTGCCCATTTCCATAACCACCTGGGTGATGGTTAGACTTGCTGAATCAGTGAGGGCTACTGACACTGCCCTTCCAACTCCAGAGGGCCACACTGAGAATCAGAGTGCAGTGAATGCACTGTGAAAAGCAGATCCATGACAAAAATGCAAATACTCAAGTACTGACTACCCTTTGGGAAGAGCTTGTGCAGGTCAGTGTTTGCTGCCTATTCTTTTTGGCATTAGATTTTACAGCTTTGTCAGTCACTACAATCAGGATATAGAACAGTTGTAGCACAGAAAAAACTCCCACAAGTTACTCCTTAAAAATCACACTCTTCATCTAACTCCATCCTGATCCATCATTATAAGTTTGTCACTTTGAGAACATAAATAGAATCACACAGCCCATAACCCCTGGAGATCGGTTTTCCTCTCAGCATAATGCCCTTGAGATTCATCCAAGTCATTGCATGTATCAATACTTTATTCCTTTTTAGTGCTAAGGAACATTTCACTGAACAAATGCAATGCTGTTTGTTTATCCATTCACTCATCAAAGGACCTTTGGATCATTTTGGCTATTGCAAATGAAGTTTCTGTGAGCATTTGTGTACAGGTTTTTGTAGAAACAAAAATTTTGATTTCCTTAGGCAAAATATGCAAAAGTGTGATTGCTGGTTCATATGGTAAGTATATGTTTAACTGTATACAAAACTGACAAACTTCCAGAGTAACTGTGCCATCTTACATTCCTACCAGCAATGTCTGAAAAATCTAGTTGTTCTGCTTCCACATCAGCATTTGATATTATCAGTATTTTTACTTTAGCCATTTTAATAGGTTTATAGTGCTAATATGTCCTTGTAGTTTTAATCTGCATTTTTCTACTGGCTAATAATGTTGAACATTTTTTAATGTATTATTTACCATCCATATGTCCTCTTTGGTGAAATGTCTGTTCAAGTCATTTGCCCATTTTCTAGTAGAAAATAGGCTTTTAAAGAAGTTTTTCTTTATATTGTGACTATATTCTGCCTATAGTATGTTCATGAGAAGCTGTAGTAATAAAGTAAATTGCTTTCCAACTATTGTGAATGTTGACCATGCTGGGATGGCCCACAAATCAGGACTCATGAGAAAAAATATCATGTCATTTTCTCTAATATATCTTTTCTTGGTTCCATATTTCATTTCTATATTCTAGAAATATATTTTTCTTTTTTTTTTTTTAACCAGGGACAGGAAAATATCACTAATTTAGAAAGATGAAGGGAATAGAGAGAGTAGAGTCAGAATCCCTCAAGGGAAAATACACACAAAAAGATATTCCTGAAGAAATGTAGGCTGGGCATGGTGGCTCACACCTGTAATCCCAGCACTTCGGAAGCCTGAGGTTGGAGGATCGCCAGAGTCCAGGAGTTTGAGACCAGCCTGGGCAACACAGTGAGACCCCACCTCCACACAAAATTTAAAAAAATTAGTCAGCGGTGGTGGTACATACCTGTAGTCCCAGCTACTTGAAAGGCTGAGGTGGGAAGGTTGCTTGAGACCAGGAGGTCAAGGCTTCAGTGAGCTGTGATGGCGCCATTGTGCTCCAACCCGGGTGACAGGGTGAGACCCTGTCTCAAAAAAAGAAAAAAAGAAAAGAAATGTAGCTAAATTAGAAGTCTGACTGTTACCAAGAAATCAAAAAAATTGTATGTATATTAAATACAATGTGATGGTTGATTTAGAGGATGATTATCATTAAAAAATAGAATGAGAATTGAGAATTTACCAGACAAAAAAGAGGAATATTTCATTAGGCTTTAGTGTGTGTTCAAAATGTTACTTGACTTGCAAAGCTTTACTTTTCTGGGGCTGCATTTTTTTTCTTAAGTCCAGATACATTTGAAAATTTCTAGGAAAGTGCATTTAAAACTTTTATGTGTGTAAATACTAAGAAGCAAATTAAGGTGATCTATGTAAAACAAACATTATGAAATTTGAAAATCTAATCAAAGCACACATCTCCTTTAATAGAGAAGAAAATATGTAAATTAAGAAGTTGAAAGGGTATTGAAAGAACTTTGATACGAGGAATATTTATTTTGAAAGACTTTTATATTGGAATTTCTTCATTTTAAAGCTACCTCCATTAGACCTGGGCATCTGGGGTCCCTGCTTTGGATCCCAAACTTTAGAAACCCTCCTTTGGCTCAAGTCCAGGTGCTTCCCCCACTTCAAGGGGAGGATTCTAAGGGGTCAAGAGGCAGCCCACCTGGAGCTTGTACTCTACCATCTCCCTTCAGGTACATCTCAGGTACCAGGAACCTAGAATTTGTTGCCCAGAGGGACTGAGCCTGCTCCCACACCTGCATGGGCCTCTTCCCTAGCACCTCTTTCATCTTCCTCAAGACTGACCACGCTTCTGGTGGGCTCATGCTAGGCCCAAGGGGTAGCAAGGGTGGCTGTTTTGTGGGGTGTGGCTGTGGACTTAGATTGCATTATGTGCTGGGGTTCTCATTCATGCATGTGATGCTTCTCCTTTCAGGAAGAGAGCCAGGGATGGGAGGAGAGGGAGGCAGGCCTCAGTTTGGGGTGGGAGGTGGGGAGTTGGGGAGCATTTGTGGTCTAGCCCAGGCTGAGGCCTGCTTGTAAGAACAACCCTGAAAGTTTTCAGAAGAAATATATTTTAAACTACTCAAAATTCACCTATGCCATAGCTGAAATAGTTTCCTTTTTTAATGCGTGTGGTGCATTTCACGTGTTAACAGAGATACTCTTTCTGACAACTCCTATAATACTTAGTCTGTACTCTGCAGTTTATAATTTAATTGTATTTTTGTTATATGTGCATTTTATTTTATTTTGTCTCTATTATAGACTGTAAGTCCCTAGAGATAGTAAATAAGACTTATGCCTCTGTGGTATGTACCTACCATGACTAGCAGAATTTTGAATACAGAGTAGGTAATAAATACTTGGTACTTGATTGATAAACCTATAATGCCTTATAAATATGTTAAACAACACTTAGGCTAACAATTTGAAAACATGAAGTTGTGGAGAAAAAGAAGCAGTTTCTCAGGTATAAAAGAAAACAATACAAAATTTGGGAAGGACATATAAAGACAAAGGAAGGTATGTGAGCATCTGACTTAGGATTGAACCAGAAAAAGGAGTTTTCAAAGACATTTCCCCTTCCCCATGTCCCATTATCACCGAAGAGTCCTTAGGAATGGACAGGCAGACCTGGGGAGGATCTGCTAGCCAGGGCTGGTTTTGGCTGTGAAAACAGTAGTAAAGCAAGGGATTTGAGTAGCTCTATTGCTTAAAAGCAAGCAACTTACTATGCCCAAGTCAACAATGAATAAGTAGAATGGTTTTAGGTGTGATATAAGAGGATTGCATGTTAGGGAATCTGCTTTTGCTCTTAAGGCACAATCTCCCTCTGCCTTTCCACTTACGCTGACACTACTATGTCTTCCCATAAAAAATATCAACAAAAATCAGTTTATTCTTCTTTTGTTAATAAAAATTAGTTTATTCTTCTCTTATTAAACTTAATAAGTTTCTCTTAACTTTTCTAAGGTTGATAGCATGGATGTTTGATAGTTAAAGGCTTTAATTTGTTGTATAATGTAGTGTAATTTGATTTGAGATTAGACTACACTACTTGCTGACTGCCAGTATATCCAGGTCTACTCTGAGGATAGTGCCACACTTTCCATAAAACAGCAGAACTCAATATGTGGTCCTGGGACTACAAGGATCTCCCAGACTCTTCAGGAGGTCTTCAGAGTCATACTACTTTATAATAAAACAAATATGTTATTTGTCTTCTCAGTTTCATTCTCTCATGAGTATACAATAGAGTCTTCTAAAGGCTATGTGACGTGATGACTTCATCACACTGACAGATAATGGACTGCTTACATGTGTATTTTGGGTCTTAGAGAGGTCTCAGTCTTAATTTCTAATCTAGAAAATATTAATAGATACTATTTTCAATGGCAAAAACCACAATTACTTTTGCACCAATCTAATATAACCCATGTAAATAAAATTTATTTGGGGTTTTCAGTTTTAGGAGTGTCAAAAGGGTACTGAGAGCAAAATGTTTTGAGAACTGCTGCCTCAAAGACATGAATGACCACCTGTATCTCCAATTAATCTTTAAGTATACCAAAGTTCAGGAGAAAGTCATAGAGATGATTAAAAGCTAGAAAGTAAGATTTACCAGGACAAGTGGAAGGAATTGGGATTGATCATCCCAGAGAAGAGAAGTTGGAGAGATGCCTTAATAATGTCTTCAGGTATGTGAAGGTTGGCTTTCAGAACAAGAAGAAATTGGCCTAAAGTGCAGTGTGTGAGATTTAAGCTACAGATAAAGGGAGACTCTCTGACAGGGGTTGTTAAACAGCCGAGTGGGTAACTGACTGGGCTTGTGGAATCTCCCCCTCTGGAGGTCTTTTAAAACGGGATAGATTTCCATCTGTCTGAGATGATTTAAATGGAGGGCTGGGCCAGATGATGTCTTGGGCACTCCTTCCAGCCCCTTGGTTCTATAATTAACTTGGTAAAAGGGGCTGTGGTAATTTGTCGTGAAGGGTTTAGATAGGAATGTGCTTGCCAATCTTGGGATAGGTCTTGTGTGGGAAAACCAGAGGTTTTGCTTCATGGCTAGTGACAATTCCCACGTCATCCAGGAAAATAACTGATACCTGGAGCAATCAATTTCAGGTCAGATTTAAAGAGATTGGGCCCTCTACTCCTGCTGAATCTTCCTCACTGTCGAGGAACACTAAGAAAAATAATTTAGTAAATTGACTTTAGTCAAATGCACCTTGGACATTAAATGCACCTTGGACATTTAAGCTGATAGTTTTAAAGGAAAAAGAAAATAAAATGCAATCTTCAATTTCATTTAAAAAATCAGAAAATCTGAATGGAAAGTATGAGAAAAATGCTGGCCATGAACATACTCTTTCCATTTTACTTTGTGTGGGTGCTTTATTTTCTCTTGCAAAGTTAGTGAAATTTCATTGCTTCCAGTCTTTAGAGCCATTTTGCATGTTGGAGATTAGAGGTTTGAAGTTTCCCTACACTGGGTCAGAGATCCAGAGAATCAGCCAAATTCCAAGGTAGTTTGTTTCCTTTGCTTATCACTTAAATTTCAATGAGTAATGTCCCTGGGCCAAAACAAGAAGGAAAGAATGCAAATTTGCTAGGGTTTCTTTTGGATCCTGACATTAGGGACAACATAGTGGAAATCAGTGGAACCATCTAGGATAATGAGCTAGATTAGAGAATATAAATCAGATTTTATCTAAGTGTATACCCAATCACCAAGGTCTCTGTTGACACTTAAAAAATATTTGGATCACATATTATCTTGGCTTGGGCTGATTGATAGAAAGCAGAGAAAGAAGTTAGTGAAGTCCCCCTTGGGTGCTTTTAGAGACTGCAGGGTAGTTTGATCAGATATCATTCAGGAAAACAACCCTGGCAGATAGCAGATAACCCCACTGTGGGAAATGGTTACTAGGCTCTATCTATCTCCAAAAGATTCCAAGAGGCTACTGACCTCTCTTTTGACAAAGTCTTGGTGTTGAATGAGATGGGAAGACCAAGCCTGGGGCAGCAGGGTAAATAAGCATTCTCTCCCAGAGAAGAGGAAAGTGGGGGAATTTAATGGAAGGTTTAAACCTAAAGCCTCTTTGATTTTTAACATCCATATCATGCAAATGTTCAATTAAAAGAAAATATCTTTCAACTTTATTTTGTGGCTCAAATTCAAGCCCCTTGATGTTGAAGAAAGACAATGAGAGAGAGAGAGGAAGAGGAATTCCTTTTTTGAAAAACAAAGAGTTAACCTAGCAAAGCATGTTTTCCAAAACATACCTAGTAAAATATCACAGATAGAATTTTAAAATGAGTTGGACAATGTCCTCATTTCTTCTAGCCATGCTTGTAGCTAAACTATCTAAAATAGTGAAGGTAAAAAACAAGCTTATAACTTTTGTGAATTAGGAATAAAATCATTTTCTTCTTGAGTAGAGCAAACTTGTGATCATGAAGATATGAATTTGTCTTTGTGACTAGAAAAGGGAGACGCAGCTGGTTTGCTTGTTGTTTTGTTGTTTGGGTTTTTGTTGTTGTTGTTTTGTTTTGTTTTAGCCCCATTCTAAGCCAGTCAAGGGCAGCCTCTGCTAGAAGCTATGCATCTATCTTAAGGAACTTGACAATTTGGCACTTTGCCTCCTCTTCATTTACCCAGATGGTTCTTCAAGCAGTTACCTCTGCCTTTGTTCTTCACTCCCATCTCCCCCAGTTGTGTTCCAACCAAAGTTTTACTCATTTTCTAAGACAGCTGACACATCACTGTAGCCTCCAGATCTCCCAGAGCCCCAGCACACTATTTCCTGCATCACTCTATCCTAACTACTACTCTTTACCAAGTACTAGAATTAGTTGTGTACATGTCTATCCTTGTCACTTAATTACATGCTCCCATAGGGCAAGGGCAAAGTTACTTTTTTTTTTTTTCAGATCTAAGCCTTATATCTAGTAGTTGCTCAATTAATGTTTTCTACTGAGAGTTGCCTTTGATTTTAACATAGCTTTTTCAGAAAAAGAAAATGACTCAGATGCCACTAGTGCATCTCACCTCTAGAAGTATGTTTACTACCATTAAATAATCAGAAAACAATGTAATTTATGCATTCAAAAATAGAAGTGATGGGGAAACCCATTTCTACATACATACTTATTCAAACAATTATAATCCAACAGGACAGTGACTGAAAGAATGCATGTACATGTATGTACACTTATTTATGTATGAATGCCATTTCATATCTACATTTTAGTTTTTCAATCACAAACCACAGAAGATCAAGAACCACTATAACTGAACAAAACCTTTGAAATGTTAGATTAAAATCCTTAGTGAATAATGTCCCGATTTTAACATGGGAGATATAACAAGGAGGAATAGAATAAATAAAACGATCACTCTGACTCTTCCTAACATAATTTCCTTATTTTTGTAAAAGTTCTGAGCTTCACAAGGCTGGTATATTTTTGAAATTTTTATACTCATAGTTACCTACTGAAAAATATGTAAAGATAACATCTAAAAAGTAATATAGTCACTGGTTTTCTTATTTTTCCTCTGTCCTTTAGGCGAGGAGAATTACAAATTATTTTCAAGGGAGGAATATGAGATTTCCACAGATGGCTCCTTTCCAGTACAAATGTAAACAGCAGAGCAAATAACTTTTTCTTTTCATGAGAAATGATCTCTGTAGTTTTAAAGCAGAGTTTAAAATGATAAGAAACACAGAAAACATTTTGAATAATTACTGTTGGCAGACACATAGTCACATTTAATTTTCTCCATTGCCCGTGTACTTCTTATTTTCTTCCTTTCTGATTCCTCAATTAAATTCCTTTGTGGAATCAGATTTCAAACGTGAATTAATTTCTGCTTTGTGTAAATTTGGGTGTGTGAGAATGTGTGTGGATGCATGTGACATCAGATTTTTTTAAAGCTTCTTTTGAGATATTTGTTTTTTATAAAATTTACTTTACTTGGTTGTATAGATTTTTTTTCTAATTAGATGCAGAAATCAATTATTCCAATTATTAAGTTTTAATGCATGGAACCAGACACTCAGAGCCAGTCCCATAGACTGGCAGTTTCAGAACTAGGACTGAATCTTGGGTTATTTCCTTTATTTTACTTCGAAAATATATTTCACATTGATTTGCTTAGTTTTCAGCAAATCCATGCCCTTTGTAGCAACTGTATTGATCACGATATTAGTGAAAAGTGCAGAATCTGTGATCTAGAGAACATGTGTTCTAGAAAGATTGAGTTAAAAGCATTGCTCATTGTCTCCTTCAGTTCTCCAGAAGGTTCTCGGAAGAAGCACTTTCAACCTCGATATGAGTGGGATTCTCAATGGAGAATGGATTCCAAGTTGGTTTAGATCACAATGAAGTGTGTTGAAAGCCATTAGCAATTAAGAGCATGGCTCTGTGCTGATTTGCTTTGTGGTATATTTCATGCCGTTCATGCACAGTAGGTAATACACACAGATTCAGCATAAATTTAATTTTGCACATTAAGTAAAGTGCAATAGATAAATTATGGCTGAAGAGGAGCCACCAGCTGCCGTAGCCACTTCAACTAATGTACCCCGGAGGTGCCTGAGCACATCAGTTGTGTCGAACCACTAATGCATCCTGGATATCTGCATGTATACATTTGCTATGTGGAGCCAGGAGTAGCCTCCTGGCTCTCCGGGAGGGGCTGGGAAAGGAACTAGTCCAGCCTCCTGGGGCTGAGCTCCTCCCTGGGGCTCTCAAGAGTACTTTGCCATGCCTGGCCTCATTCAAGGTCTTGGTGGAAGGGTCCTAGACAGGATTTTCCCACGACCTGGGGAAATGAGAAGGAGGGAGAGGAACCCCCAAACATCCCTCCCCTGGCTTAGTTGAAGGATCCAGAGTCTATGTGAAATGGGAATTCCGCTGAGGATTCAGAAATCGGAAAGGATGCATTACTGCAAAGATGGCTGAATTAGAGGTGCTGGGGGAACACTTACTTTTGAATTTCCTGGCATCCTCAGACCTCATTTCTCAACCTTAATGTTCACTTTATGGTCATTTTTTTTTGTATTTAATATATCTATGTCCCACACAGGGAATTGAAGCAGAACACTCTTAGGGCTTTAAGGAAGAAAACAGATCTCCTCTCTGGGCAGGATTCATTCCTGCAGCCAGGAATGGTGATGACATGCTTTAAGTTATTTGTGATGAGTAAGCAGTTACAAGTTCCACTGGAAAAGGGGCTCTGATTGTTTTCATCCAAACTCTGAAAATGGAAGCTTCATCCTCTCAGCCATCCCCTACTGGGGCCCCCATGACTGCACCTGTTACAGGCTTGCCCTCTTTCCCAGGAAGTGGAGAGGAATACCTCGTCGGCACCTGTCATCGTGTCCTCTTGCCCATTGAAAGCACCCTGCAAGGCCTGGCTTTCTGCAAATAGTTCATTTACCAGACCCTTATTCTGGGGTGAATGGACTTTACTGGCAGCTGCTGCATCTTAGGAAAGGAAACCCAAACACGCTGAGTTCTGTGAAAGGGCAGACTGGACAATCAAAGGGCAATGACGTTAACAACTTACCAGGTGCCAGACTCTGTTCCAAGTCCTTTACTTGCATCTTATTATCTAAGTTCTCATGGAAACCCTATTGACATTTTCATTTTGCAGAGGAGCAAACTGAGGTTCTGTAACTTAAGTTACTTGCCCAAGGGCAGTTGCAGCCCCCCAGAAGCTGAGCCAGTGTTCAAGTCCAGATTGCTGGATTTAGGGCACATGTTCTTCACCATGACATTACTCTGTCTTAAACTGTACTTTAGTATACTTTGCCTTTGAGTTGTGATTTTTTTTTCTTGCAAAAAAGCATATATTTTCAACTCATTTGTTTTTCATAGCTAAAGCAGGTCGCTTTGTCTTTAAATGAACATTCTCTTGAATGGAAACTAAAGGATGCTTTTCACTTAGCAAGCCTATTCATGATGAATCATTTCTGTTCACTCTGACATTGCAGAGGACGATTCTCAGGTAGGAAGAGAGAGACACTTCTATTACCCATTAGTTAGCTGACTGGTTTACAGAGATCAACTTCACCACAGAGGTTTCAAATGTTTCTTCTAGAAGAAGAACACGAGCCACCAGAGTAATGGATTGCTGGTTCCTTGGAGGTCCTTCCTTGGACTCAGTTAGAGGAGAGGGATCAGGAGGGACCTTTCCAGTGGGGCACTGGAGCCAGTTAGCACCAGCTTGTGAGAGCCCTTTGTGTACACCTCTTTCCAATTCTGTGTTTGGTGACATCATATTAGTAGCTTGACATTGGCCATGGTAGGAGTATGTTTACCACAGAAATTTGCAAGCACTAGAAATCAGAGCTTTGTTTTTTGGAGAATCTGCTGTGAAACATTTACCAGAACATCATCAGGCTCATCCCCCGTGGCCTAATGGGCCTTCAGGACTGTTCTGGGTACTTGGTAGTTCTTGTTCCACTCTCTTTTCAGTCCAGAACTTTAAAGGGGAGAAAAAAAAATCCCATCATCGACATAAACTATCACATATAAAGTATGATTCATGTGGTTGGGTTTCAGCAATGTTAAGATTAGGCAGTATTTATTAGGAGAAATAAAAGATTTTGCAATATTAATGTTTAAGTCTAACACAGAGGTTGGCTGTATGGTGATAGTTTCCCAAAATGTTTTCCTAAATACATCCATGTCCTACACAGGACAGAGAAGCACATTCAAAACATTTTAATGAAGAAAAAAGATGCATGTCATTTGGCAATGATTATTGCTGTGGACGGAAATGTTCTTCACCAATAATTATTTCTACATCATATCCATTTTGCAGTAAATTGGGCATTAGAGTCTCAGGGTTCCACAATTAACTAAAGTTCCCTATAGGCTCCAGACACATCATTTAACCCATTTGCACTTAGGTAGCCTGGCTCACATTGTGTTTCACTTAGGGTTCTGTGGTTGTAGGCAACAGAACTTAACTTAAGCAGAAAAGACATTTACTGGTTGATTATTGGATGGTTCAAATAACTGATAGGAAGGTTGGAGAACCAGGCTCTGAGAGGGACTGGAACCTGGGCATTAGCACAAACCAGTCACTTTCTTGGTTGTGCACAACCACTGGGAAGGAAGCAGCCACAGTCATTTGTCTCCTCTTGCTATTGCACAGCCTGTTTAAGATTCAATGTCCTGGGTGGGACAGAGTCAGATTGGGCCAGGTGGGAGCTTGGGAGGGACAGGGACACAGCATCTTCACTTAAAACAAGGGAAAGGCAATTCCCCAAAAGAGAATCAGGAAGCATTACCAAAATATTGAAAAACAGACACAGTATGGTCAACCTCCTCCTCCTTATTACCACAACAGCATTCACTGCAGAGGATGAGAAATCATAGTCTGCTTCCAAACAAATAATTGGTAAAGCAACATGGCTGTTTATTTCACCTGGGTGCAGGCGGGCTGAGTCCAAAAAGAGAGTCAGCAAAGGGAGATAAAGGTGGGGCCGTTTTATAGGATTTGGGTAGGTAAAGGAAAATTACAGTCAAAGGGGGTTTGTTCTCTGGCGGGCAGGAGTGGGGGTCGCAAGGTGCTCAGTGGGGGTGTTTTTGAGTGAGAATGAGCCAGGAAAAGGACTTTCATAAGGTAATGTCATCACTTAAGGCAAGGACTGGCCGTTTACACTTCTTTTGTGGTGGAATGTCATCAGTCAAGGTGGGGCAGGGCATATTCACTTCTTTTGTGATTCTTCAGTTACTTCAGGCCATCTGGGTGTATACGTGCAAGTCACAGGGGATGCGATGGCTTGGCTTGGGCTCAGAGGCCTGACATTCCTGCCTTCTTATATTAATAAGAAAAATAAAACAAAATAGTGTTGAAGTGTTGGGGCAGTGAAAATTTTTGGGGGGTGGTATGGAGAGAGAATGGGCGATGTTTCTCAGGGCTGCTTCAAGCGGGATTAGGGGCGGCGTGGGAACCTAGAGCGGGAGAGATTAAGCTGAAGGGAGGTCTTGTGGTAAGGGGTGATATTGTGGGGTTGTTAGAAGAAACATTTGTCATATAGAATGATTGGTGATGGCCTGGATACGGTTTTGTATGAATTGAAAAACTAAATGGAATAAGAGAAGGAGAAAAACAGGTATAAAAGGTAGATATCAGCTGTGATGGCTTGGAGAAACAGTGTAAACCAGCAGTGTAAACAAGAGCAGGGCATGTATGAGTAGTTGAGAACAGTGAATAGGAGTATGACTAGAAAAAAGATAGTAGGGATGACAAGTTTTTTTGGGGCACAGTCTAAGTTGGTCTGGTGTCGAATGAGACTGGGGCCTAATAAAAAGGAGCGTCTATACAGGAGCTTAAATGGGCTGTGCCTTGTAGCATTCTGAGGACAGGCCTGAATTCTGAGAAGCGAAAGTGGTAAAAGTATTGTCCAGTCCTTTTTAAGTTGGTGGCTGAGCTTGGCGAGGTGTGTTTTTAAAAGACCTTTAGTCCGTTCTACTTTTCTTGAAGACTGAGGACTGTAAGGGATATAAAGGTTTCACTGAATACTAAGAGCCTGAAAAACTGCTTGGCTGATTTGACTAATAAAGGCCGGTCTGTTATCAGACTGTATAGAGGTGGGAAGGCTAAACTGAGGAATTATGTCTGACAGAAGGGAAGAAATGACTGTGGTGGCCTTCTCAGACCCTGTAGGAAAGGCCTTTACTTATTCAGTGAAAGTGTCTATTTAGACTAAGAGGTATTTTAGTTTCCTGACTCCGGACATGTTGAGTAAAGCTGATTTGCCAGTCCTGGGTGGGGGCAAATCCTCAAGCTTGATGTGTAGGGAAGGGAGGGGGCTTGAATAATCCAGGAGTAGTAGTAGAATAGCAGATGGAACACTGAGGAGTTATTTCCTTGAGGATAGATTTCCACGATGGAAAGGAAATGAGAGGTTCTGAGAGGTGGGCTAGTGGCTTGTACTATAGCATAGCCTGCCTTTGGTGGTGTGAGGCGATTAGGCCTGGTGGAACTGCCATCAATAAATCAAGCATGATCAGGGTGAGGAACAGGAAAGAAGGAAATATAGGGAAATGGGGTGAATATCAGGTGGATCAGAGACATACAGTCATGGGGGTCAGGTGTGGTATCAGGAATAATGTGGGAGGCCAGATTGAAGTCTGGGCCAGGAACAATGGTAATTGTGGGACTTAACAAAGAGTGAGTACAGCTGAAGGAGCCAGGAAGCAGAAAGTATATGCATCAGGTATGAGGAAGAAAATAGATTTTGGAAGTTATGGAACTGTAGAGAGTGAGTTGAGCATAGTTTGTGATTTTGAGGGCCTCTAAAAGTATTAAAGCAGCGGCAGCCACTGCACGCAGACATGAGGGCTAGGCTAAAACAGTAAGGTCAAGTTGTTTGGACAGAAAGGCTACAGGGTGCGGTCCTGGCTCTTGTGTAAGAATTCTGACCGCACTAACCATACCTAGGAAGGAAAGGAGTTGTTGTTTTGTAGAAGGTGCTTGGGTTTGAGAGATCAGTCGGACACGATTGGCAGGGAGAGCACGTGTGTTTTTATGAGAATTATGCCGAGATAGGTAACAGATGAGGAAGAAATTTGGGCTTGACTGAAGTAATGGGGGCTGTCTATAAAGCCTTGCGGCAGTACAGCCTTGGTAATTTGCTGGGCCTAATGGGTGTCAGGGTCAGTCTAAGTGAAAGCGAAGAGGCTGGGACGAGGGGTGAAGGGGAATAGTGAAAAAAGCATCTTTAAGATCAAGCACGGAATCGTGAGTTGTGGAGGAAGGTATTGAGGACAAAAGAGTGTACAGGTTGGGCACCACAGGGTGGATAGGCAAAACAATTTGGTTGATAAGACGCAGATCCTGAACTAATCTGTAAGACTTGTCTGGTTTTAGGACAGGTAAAATGGAGGAATCCTAAGGAGAGTTTATAGGCTTTAAAAGGCCATGTTGTAGCAGGCGAGTGATAACAGGCTTTAATCTTTTTAAAGTGTGCTGTGGGATGGGATATTGGCGTTGAGTGGGGTAAGGGTGATTAGGTTTTAATGAGATGGTAAGGGGTGCATGATCGGTCGCCAAGGAGGGAGTAGAGGTATCTTATACTTGTGGGTTAAGGTGGGGGAATACAAGAGGAGGAAGCAAAGGAGGCTTTGGATTGGGAAGAAGGGCATCAATGAGATGCAGCTATAGTCCAGGAATAGTCAGGGAAGCAGATAATTTGGTTAAAATATCTCGGCCTAATAAGGGAACTGGGCAGGTGGAGATAATTAAAAAAGAGTGCATAAAAGAGTGTTGTTTAAGTTGGCACCAGAGTTGGGGAGTTTTAAGAGGCTTAGAAGCCTGGCTGTCGATACCCACAACAGTTATGGAGGCAAGGGAAACAGGCCCTTGAAAAGAAGGTAATGTGGAGTGGGTAGCCTCCATATTGATTAAGAAGAGGACGGACTTACCTTCCACTGTGAGAGTTACCTAAAGCTCGGCATCCGTGATGGTCTACAGGGCTTCCCAGGCGATCAGGCAGCGTCAGTCTTCAGCCGGTAAGCCAAGAAGGAGTCAGTCAGAGAGCCTTGGGCCAGAGTTCCAGGGGCTCTGGGAGTGGCTGCCAGGTAAGTTGAATAGTCTGATCTCCAGTGGGGTCCTGCACAGATGGGACGCGGCTTAGGAGGAATCCTGGGCTGCAGGCATTCCTTGGCCTGGTGGCCAGATTTCTGGCACTTGTAGCAAGCTCCTTGGGGAGGAGGTTCTGGAGGAACGCCTGGCCACTGTAGTTCAGGCGTTTGGAAGTTCTTGTGTGCTGGAGATGTGGCTGGGGTTTGTCTCGCAGTGGAGGCAAGGAATTGCAACTTTTTTTTTTTATTATTGTACACCTTGAAGGTGAGGTTAATTAAGTCCTGTTGTGGGGTTTGAGGGCCAGATTCTAATTTTTGGAGTTTTATTTAATGTCGGGAGCAGATTGAGTAATAAAATGTATACTGAGAATAAGATGGCCTTTTGACCTTTTAGGGTCTAGGGCTGTAAAGCGTCTCAGGGTTGCCGCCGAATGAGCCATGAACTGGGCTGGGTTTTTATATTTGATGAAAAAGAGCCTAAAAGCTATCAGATTTGGGATAAAGAAAAAGGAGCATTAACCTTGACTATGCCTTTGGCTCCAGCCACCTTTTTAAGAGTAAATTGCTGGGCAGGTGGGGGAGGGCTAGTCACAGAACGAAACTGTAAGCCCAACCAGGTGTGAGGAGGGGAGGCGATAAAAAGATTACAGGGTGGAGGAGCGGAGGCTGAGGAAGAATTGGGACCTAGCTTGGGCTGGTGAGGAGGGGAGAGGTCAGATGGGTCTGTAGAAAAGGAAGATTAAAAAGACTCAGCGATACTTGGGGTTGGGACTGAGGGGACAGCCGGGAGGGAAAGAAGGAAGATTTGGGACGAGTTGCACTGGGCACAGAGACTAGGAAGGGACTGATGTGTAAAAGAATGCCTGGACGTCAGGCACCTCAGACCATTTGCCTATTTTACGACAAGAATTATTTAGATCTTGTAGGATGGAAAAATTGAAAGTGCCGTTTTCCGGCCATTTGGAACTACTGTCGAGTTTGTATTGTGGTCAAGCGGCATTGCAGAAGAAAATAAGGCATTTATAGGTCAGGTGTGTGTTGAAGAGGTTTTAAGTTTTTGAGAACACAGGCTAAGGGAGAAGAAGGAGGAACGGAAGGTGGAAGCTTACCCATAGTGAAGGAGGCAAGCCCAGAGAAAAGAGTAGAGACATGGAGAAGGGGTGGGGGGTTCTTGCCCTCCAGAAAAGCAGAGAAGGGGTTGGAGCACGGAAATAAGGGATTGGGGCACAGATAAGAGGTCAGGGTGCAGAAATAAGGGATTGGGGCACAGAGATAAGAGGTTGGGGTGCGGAAATAAGCGACTGGGGGGTTCTTGCCCCCTAGGAAAGCGGGACTTGCCGCTAAGGGTGAAGGAGAAGGGGTTGAGGGGTATTTGCCCCTGCCCCAGAAAAGCGGGACTTGCCGCTAAGGGTGAAGGAGAAGGGGTTGAGGGGTACTTACCCCTCTCCCAGAAAAGCAGAGAAGGAGTAGAGACAAGGAGAGAAGGGGTTGGGGTATTTGCCCCTTCCCCAGAAAAGCGGAACTTGCCGCTAAGGGTGAAGGACCAAGGCAGGCGTCCCTGCATGGTCTGACACCTTTGAAAAGTGGGTGAACAATCAGAGGCGTCCCTGTAATGATTAAACACCAAGGGAAGGCTGCCTTCCCAGTCCGTGACTGGCGTGGGAGTTTTGGGTCCACGGATAAAACGTGTCTCCTTTGTCTCTACCAGAAAATGAAAGGAATTGAAATTAAGAGAAGGAAGAGATTGAAGTGTGGCATCAAGATTGAAAGGAGAAAGAGGTTGTGGGATAGTGAGGGAAGCTGGAGAAGAGAGTAAAAAGAGGCCACTTACCGGAATTGAAATTGGTGAGATGTTTCTTGGGCTGGTCGGTCTGAGGACCTGAGGTCGTAGGTGGATCTTTCTCACAGAGCAAAGAGCAGGAGGACAGGGGATTGATCTCCCAAGGGAGGTCCCCCAATCCCAGTCACGGCACCAAATTTCATGCACGTCCGTGTGAAGAGACCACCAAACAGGCTTTGTGTGAGCAAGATGGCTGTTTATTTCACCTGGGTGCAGGCGGGCTGAGTCCGAAAAGAGAGTCAGTGAAGGGAGATAAGGGTGGGGCCGTTTTATAGGATTTGGGGAGGTAAAGGAAAATTACAGTCAAAGGGGGTTTGTTCTCTGGCAGGCAGGAGTGGGGGTCGCAAGGTGCTCAGTGGGGGAGCTTCTGAACCAGGATGAGCCAGGAAAAGGACTTTCACAAGGTAATGTCATCACTTAAGGCAAGGACCGGCCATTTACACTTCTTTTGTGGTGGAATGTCATCAGTTAAGGTGGGGCAGGGCATATACTTCTTTTGTGATTCTTCAGTTACTTCAGGCCATGTGGGCATATACGTGCAAGTCACAGGGCATGCGATGGCTTCGCTTGGGCTCAGAGGCCTGACAGTGATAGTTTCCCAAAATGTTTTCCTAAATACATCCATGTCCTACACAGGACAGAGAAGCACATTCAAAACATTTTAATGAAGAAAAAAGATGCATGTCATTTGGCAATGATTATTGCTGTGGACGGAAATGTTCTTCACCAATAATTATTTCTACATCATATCCATTTTGCAGTAAATTGGGCATTAGAGTTTCAGGGTTCCACAATTAACTAAAATTCCCTATAGGCTCCAGACACATCATTTAACCCATTTGCACTTAGGTAGCCTGGCTCACATTGTGTTTCACTTAGGGTTCTGTGGTTTTAGGCAACAGAACTTAAGCAGAAAAGACATTTACTGGTTGATATTGGATGGTTCAAAGAACTGATAGGAAGGTTGGAGAACCAGGCTCTGAGAGGGACTGGAACCTGGGCATTAGCACAAACCAGTCACTTTCTTGGTTGTGCACAACCACTGGGAAGGAAGCAGCCACAGTCATTTGTCTCCTCTTGCTATTGCACAGCCTGTTTAAGATTCAATGTCCTGGGTGGGACAAAGTCAGATTGGGCCAGGTGGGAGCTTGGGAGGGACAGGGACACAGCATCTTCACTTAAAACAAGGGAAAGGCAATTCCCCAAAAGAGAATCAGGAAGCATTACCAAAATATTGAAAAACAGACACAGTATGGTCAACCTCCTCCTCCTTATTACCACAACAGCATTCACTGCAGAGGATGAGAAATCATAGTCTGCTTCCAAACAAATAATTGGTAAAGCGTTTTGAACTTCTGTTGTGAAGTTCTGAACACCTCAATTACTGATGAGTCATGTAGTCTTGAGCAAGTTTTTGTTTTTACCTTGAAACTAAAAAGTCTGAGTCAAATTTATGCTTCATGTATGGAAGTCTGTGAGCTTATATTAGCTCCATTGCTGGTTCCATTTTATATTTTTATGCTGGTGTTTTCTCCTTTGCTTTATGTCCACTTCTAATTTATGTAATGTTGCTAAATTTTATATATCCTTCTAAGCTGCCTAGGATCCTTCCAACAAGGCAGTCTATAAATAAATAGATGCATACAATCATTTCTTAGGATTCTTTTCTAATTTTAATGTCCTATTGTTCTCATTCAGAAAAATCAGATATTTGAGTGAACAGAATATATTCTTTTAAACTCAAATATAATATTAGATCGCCCTGTCTTGATTGATACCTACTCAAACACAGAGCTGATTTTAAATCTCTTTACTTAAATTCACATGCAGAGGAAAGCAATGCCATAGAAGAGGAATGGTAATTATTTCCCTAGAGAACAATAATTTTGCAATAAATTTCAAAAACAGCATGATTTAGCAAATTAAGCTTAGAGCCAAGGATATTAAATAGAGTTAACTTTGTAGAAATAAATTCTGATACCACAGGCTTCAAACATTACTTTAAATGTGTTCATTTGGAAAAAAAAACTAGTGAAAGGGCCCTGAAGGCCTAGGTTTGGGATGTTGGATTTTGTTTTTAAGGGTGGGAAGAGTGAAATTTTTTTACACCAGGCAGGATATAATGAATATATGTGTATATGTGCACTTTATTTTGATATTAATAGACTGCTGAGTAAGCAATACTGATAGCAACACCACCTTCAAAGGAAACTTGTACTTTCCAGCCATGCTTCTGTGCTTTGGCAACTCCATATGGAAACAGTATTTCTTTGATCTTATATTTAGTACTGATATTGTTTATGTTTAAATGTTAAAAATAACTCTTTAAAGCAACATATCCTAAAGTTAATTAGAAAGGCACATTCTCACCTTTTAGAAGAGTTTAAAAGAAATCTTGGGCCACCTTTGCTTGGCGTACACTTAGCTGCAATGCCTGAGAGGCTTGATGTGAGTGGCAATTCCTTATAAAAACCTTCCCTTTCAATGCTCTCCTCTATTCATGTGCTCTAGACTGTTGAATTGCTACTTTGACTTCTTTTTTCTTTTCTTGGCCAGTATTTACTCAAGGGAATTATCAGAACATGGATCTTAAAAAAGAAGAAGAAAACGGAGAAATGAAAAAAAAAAAAAAAAAAAAAGACACACCACCAGCATACGTGCACTCATATCCCTATCTAGCAATCATCTAGCTACCAATCAATCAATTTACCTCTCCATGTATCTGATACATGCTGTCTTTTTCTCTGCTTTAATCTGGAGGAATAATTCACAAATGGAAATTCAGAAACTGGCCCTCTCTTGCTTAAGTTAGATGCATTCTTCTTAAAGTGCTGATGTTGGTCTATTGTCAGACTACAGTGCACTCTCTCATTAATATTAACCATTTCCTCTAAAAAGTCTTGCCCTTTGACTCTCTCTGTTTTAAGGAGCCATTATTTTTATAGTTGTTTCTAAGTCACCATCAAAGAATTCTAAGATCTTTGAAGCACGAACATACAGGAAATCAACATTATCAGTTCCCTGGCCTCTGCTGGTATTGTGAAGTAATTTTTGAAACTTGGAAATATTACGATCGGGTCCATCTATCTAAGTGGAGGTAAATTCTACCCTAGAAATGTATTTCGCTGAAGAGTTGGGTATATGGTTGCCAATGTTGCTCTGATACTGTACTGGTGATTATGAGAAAAGCCTATCTAAATGACTATATGTGTCTGTGCACCTGTGTTGCTATAGATAACATATGTTCTAGAAAACTGAGACTGTGTAACTGTGTGTGGCTAACTTAATCTAATGTAGTTGAGAATAAAAAATTTCTTCTTAATCTATTTATTGGTTGGTAGTCAGGCTAGTTGCTGATAGGTGGGGATGGGGAAGGCTGGTAGTGTTTTGCTTTTGTTTTGCTTTCTGGTGATAATGGTAAATAAGTGACTGTGTGGCTTAGTAATCAGAGATAACTATTCATAAAAGTGTCCAGTTGAATGCTTTCTTTGATTGCTGCTGATCAATCAAATCTCTTTAGTCTAACCCTGGACTTTAAACCCAAACTCACTCCAAAATTGCTTCTACAATACCACATGCGGCAGATCTGTGATCTTGCCAAACCACCTGAAAAGAATTATTTTTCTTGCACACCAAAAATAATCGTCGGTTCTTTAAAGTGCAGACGGTAGAAGTCTTGAATAATTAAAACCTTTTCTACACCTTGGTAGCACTCCCAAAGGTTAAATATGTTTCTGTTCTAACATCTACAGGATAATTATGGGAAAGGGAATGAGTTTCTTCTGTGAAAAGACATGGAAACCAAGTAGTTATTTGTGCCTGCAAATCCTTTTGGGTCTAAAGAATCAGCAAGATAATAAATTGTTTTGCTAAAAACAGGAAGTTTGGCAAAGATGCAAAAGTACAGCTAAACTTTGGCCAGGCAACCCAAAACATTGTGTTCTTCTTTGAAAGTATTTCCAGCAAGAAAAAAGTGGAGTGCCTGGAATACATAGTTTAAGAAACGGTGAAGGCATCTGGCAACATGAAATGCTTGCCAAACTTGTGGTTGTGCTGTGCTTGCTGATGGAAAGATGTGCCAGTTTACAGTGAAGTATGTCATGCACAGCTGGAAACCCACGCATAAATGAGACCCCAAGTGCTGTGAAGACCGAAAAATTTGAGCAAATGTTTCCCTTTTCTCCCCTTCATCGAACCTGTAAAAAATATTAAATACAAGGATGGATTTGGAGTTTAGATAGGGAAAAAGCCAACTTCAGATTTCTCAGGGAAACCTGTTTCTGGGCAGGAGCATTCAATCAGTCAGACACATTCTGGAAGGTGTTAGTTTCCCCTCCCCCTTCCCTTGAAATTCTTTATCCTCATTGTTGCCAGCTTTATTAATATGACTGTGATTATGTGGCATCTGTTTTGGACATAGCCGATTGGACTGTAATTTCCACTTTGGTCCATCAGTCTGGAAAGACTTCAAAATGTGAGCCAAAAAAATATATATAAAGAAATTAACCCAGGACGCCTGAGAAGATGGGTATTGTGCTTCTGTCAGTTCGAACTGCAGGGAACACTGGGATGTCTTGATTGGAGGAGAATGTGCTGGAGAAGGGGAGCTTCTCAGACTCGCAGGGCCTCTTCCAGCTGGCAAGGTCAATGGGACTCCTTTTGTTCTTGTTCTGCACCGGGTGATTTGGCTTGCAGTTTTGAACTTGGGATTCCGGAGAGGAAATCCCAATTTTAGTTCTTATTTGGAACTGGAAGCAATGGTCCATCTCTGTCGGTTTCTCCTCTGAGTAGTGGGAGAAGGATGCAGAGCATCTAGAAGTCAGGGATGCATTGGCACCTGCACCCAGAGCCAGGAGCAAATGCAGAAGCAATCGGCCCCTTGCTTATTTCTTAAGAGATGGGCTTTCTTCTCTGGTCACTGTTTTCTCTCTGCCTACTCTTAGATGCTTGGTTTAACCTTTGAGGCACCTCTTGATTATAATTTCCAACTATTTTCTTTTGGGGGGAAAAACAGGGAGGTGGCCAGCAGCCTAGTGCAGTGATGGAGTGAGGTTGCGGACTCTGTCAGTAAGTCCTAATAACAGTAATTTCCTCAAAGACATGTTGAGAAGCATAGATGAGTGGATGTAAGTAAGGCCTGGGCTACAATCTTGGACTGAGCTGCTCCATATGTGATCAACAAATGCTGGCTGTTATGGGGATGGGGAGAGCCACAGTGTGATTTCCCCCCAGCAGCCAGGGAGGAATGCTCTTGCTTTTTTTCCAGCATAAATTTGTTCTTTTTAGGGATAAATGTTCTGAGATTATCATATTTAAAAAACACAAAAATATATTATGTTTATTTGCTGATTATAAAATAATTGAATATTTATTTTAGAGAATTTGAGGGAGAAATGACACATAAGAATAACCTTTTATTTACTACCTAGAAATAACTACTACCCATAGGTCAACATAGTTCCCTCCAGTCTTTTTTCTATGATTTTGTTTTGAATTATGAAATTGAAACACTATCATATACCCTACGCATTTTACCATATGTTATTTTATAAACATTTTCCCACTTCATTAAGTATTATCTTTTAAGTGCCTAAAAATGTTATTTTAAACGGCTTATAAGATTCTATTTTATGGATAGTCTTATTGAGATGAAAGTTTTTCCTCTTTTTAAAAACGTCATGGTCAACATCTTTGTCTGCATGTGTATTTCCTTAGGACAGAATTATTGGATTAAAAAGAAGTATTTTTTAGAGCTCTTAATAAGTGATGGTTAGAGAGATTTACTTTCCTTAGAAAGGGTGGAGCAAGAATCAGGGAACACTGGCCAAAGCCGACTGGGAGTCAAAGTGGCTATATTTACTATATCTATACTACATCTGTGTATCTCTACCCTATATATATCTGTACCCTAGTGTGTGTATAGATACATACATTTAGTGTGTAGATATAGTGTGTGTGTGTACATGTATATTGAATAAGGAAAGAGGGGAGGAAAATTCTGCTTCTTTCCCACTCCTACCCCACTCACCTTGGATTGGTTTTGATCTCCAGTGGGAAGGAGTAAGGCTAGAAGTTGAAGGAGGTGACTTTAGGGCTGACTTAGTGATTCAGTGGGCATAAGGAATACTGCCTGGGAGACCAGACTAGAGGAGGAGCTGGGTGGAGGAGACAGCTGTTCTGCCACTTTTGCCTGGAGCCTCACTCCACGCTTGCCCCTTGAGGACTGACAGCTTAGGCTGCTCCAGCAAACAGCATCTTGCCTAGACATGACTGTTTTCATGGTTAGCGGCTGGCACTAGTGAAAACTGCGAAACTTCTTTGGCGGCTTGAGAATGGAGTTCCAGAAAAGAAGGAAGCTGGTGCAGTAAGAAACGCATAGAGCAGATGCCAGGGGTGAAAGCTCCCAGCAGGTTGGCATACTAGTGCTTATGAGATAACCCTGGCCCCAAATCAAAACTTATTAGGGTTGTTGCAGAAACTGGACTTCCTGTTCAAGCCTGTGGTGACTTTCACTAGTGAGAGGTGGGTTTAACCGCTAGTGTGACTTTGTGCCCACAGCCTAGCTGAGCTGGGGGTTGTTGGCTTTTACATATGCAGGGCCCTATTCAATGAGGTATAAAAAATGGAGCAGGAGCTGAGAAAAAGGGGAAAATGTGATTAAAGGGGAAAAAAAGAAGCCATGCAAATCTAAAGAAACCAGAGCCTGGAGCCAAGGGGGGTTATTTAGAGTTATAGAATGTGCAGGCAAAAAGGAACAATAAAGGTCTTCCACTAAAATCCTAGTTTTGCACAGGAGGCAGCTGTGGCCTGGAGGAGTTGTCGCTTCCTCCAGGTCATGTGTGAGTCAGTCTGATACAGCCGAGAAGCACATCAGGCAGGGCTCCTTCCACTACCTCACGCTGCCTCTCTTCCTCTGGGTGCCTTTAATGAGGGGTCAGTGCTTACTGGTTGCTCCCCAGGGAAACCTCTCAGGAAGGGGCTTCTGTGTTAGGTGAGTGCTGTCCTGCCTGGGTTTAGGATCCCCCAGGGAGCTTCCCGCAGTCATGATGCCCAAGCCGTACCCAGGACCACTGAGATGTGAATCTCTGAGAATGGAATCCTGCCTTCAGCATAGTGTCAAGCTCCCCAGGGGATTCCAGTGGCAGCCAGGGTCCAGGACACGTCAGAGGCACGTCAGTGGCACGTCAGTGTGCTCAGCGGCGGGGTCCTGGGGCCTGGTTTGTATATAGATTTGGCGGCTTTGTGACCCGTACCACTGGCCTGTCTGTTAAACAGTGATTACAGTTTATCTTTTCAAAGTCAGTGGGCAGGACCTACTGCTCTCTGAAGTACCTCTCAATTCTAGAACCTGAAAGTCCAAGTAAAAAGAAATAAACATTGTACTAGAATAGCGCCTTTTTTTTTTTTTTTTTCTTTTTGAGATGGAGTCTCCCTCTGACGCTCGGGCTGGAGTGCAGTGGTGTGATCTCGGCTCAGTGCAACCTCCGCCTCCCAGATTCAAGCAATTCTTCTGCCTCAGCCTTCTGAGAAGCTTGTACTACAAGCACTAGCCACCATGCCCTGCTAAATTGTTTGTATTTTTAGTAGAGATGGGGTTTCACCATGTTGGTCAGGCGGGTCTGGAACTCCAGACCTCAAATGATCTGCCTGCCTTGGCCTCCCAAAATGCTGGGATTACAGGCGTGAGCCACCACGCCCTACCTAGAAGAGCTTTAATTAAGCACACCTTTTCTTTATCTTGTCATTCTTTCTCTTGACTTTTCTGCCTCAAAGATTCCCAGAACCTCTTCATAACTCCTCAAAGAAATGAAAGTGTATTGGATTGCCTTGAAATCACTGTAAAGCTAAACAGCTGTCTGGCATTTTGGGTTGACTGTGGCGTGGGGCCCTTACTCACTTGGGATAGAGCACTCCTTGCTCTCAGGGTTCTCAACAAGCCCCGTCACGCTGCCCACAGCCTCACAAGACCTGGTTTTGGAAACACCAGCGTAATGCTTATGAAGTCACACCCCATGAGATTTGGTCTTGAAGTGTTACGGCTGAAAGAACACAGTCCATGCAATCAGAAGTAATTTCAAAATAAATCAAGCCCTCGACTTGAACTTCTCAAATGCCGTGTGTGGATGGAAAACTTGGGCCCCCACACTTCTCACATGTTCCCTTTTACCCCCCCCCCCTCAGTCCATTGCTCCTGCATTCTGGGACTGCTTTCCAAAAACCCTCCTCCAGAGTACAGTAGTCAAGAATCTCCTCTCAGAAGGCAGGACCGACTACACAGGGCTGAAGGAGGCAAACACCCTCAAGGCTGAGTGTGCGGAATTACCTTGTAGATGCCAAGGGGAGGAAAAGGTGAGGGCACACATGTGCTAGTTATTGTTATCCCTTTATACAGAAACCCTTGTGAGGCAGTTTGAGCTCTAGACAGGTCATGATTGGGAGCTTTGGGGTGCTGCAGAGAGACCAAGATGCGGAGAGTGTGTATGGGTGTTGGCTGTTTGGAAGCAGAGAGCTGCCCTGGTGACATCTTGAGATTCTGTCCTACTGGGGACTCCTCTTCCCCTCACTTTTCACGTATGGAAAGTTTATTTGGAAGCATCTCACCTTGGGCTCTCAAAGTAGAATATCACTGTCTTCAAACACAGCTGGCTATAAAATCCAAGTTCCATTAGGCTCACTGACTACAGTTTTTTTGGTGACGACTTTAGAAACAGAGGCCGGGTGAACTTGGTTTAATGTTTCCTGAAAGCAGGAAGAGAGTTCTCTTTTTTCCTCGTTTATTTATTGCACAAATTTTCTTGTTCTTTGGCACTTGGGATCAAGGCTGAGGAGCCCCAGAGAAAGCTCCATTGCCATGACGTCATTTTATGGACAGAAAGTTCCATTCTCCTCCTCTGCAAGTGTTGTAGCCTGACATGGGGCCAGGCTAGGAAGAATGCTGCGAGCCCTCTTTGGAGTGACACGGACTGTATGGATCATCAGCAGACACACTTTATGTAAAGGAGAAGGAGCTGTTGAAGCGTCTTGAAAACCTACTGAATTGCTGAGCAGGAGAGTATGTACTAAAGCAGATCCTAAGAATACTAATTATTCAGATATGGACACTGAGCCATTGGTGCCTATTTTATTCACTCTATGTGTGTGTGTGTGTGTGTGTGTGTGTGTGTTTCACATTGCCAGGGATTTGCTCTTCTCCCTGTCCTACTGACAGTATGTTGGGCTGAACCCCTATTCACCTCAATAGGGAAGGTACTAGGTTCAAGAGGCCGAAGAGGAGACCTAGAGCCAGCAAACAAGACATGAGGTTTTACTAGGGGCTCACATACAGAGGAAAGAGTCCAGTGGCAGCTGGCTGGATAATGTATCCACCTTACCTATGATCCAGTGGCAGCAGGCTGGACAAGATATCTGCATGGCCCAACGGCAGTGGGCTGGACAAGAAAACTGCAGCCACTGGCAAACAGCATGCAGTTTATATAGCATTTTCACTTGACACCCTCCCCTTAACCACCTACACCTAGCAACCTTCATCCAACCCAAAACTCAGGGCCTCAGTTCCCTGTGTGGCCTATCTTCCATAGGACAGGTGGGAGACTCAGATGTTCCTTATAGACAAGGAATGAATCTCTGGGTTGGCCACTCCCAGATCCCTGAGCTCAGGGCACACATTCAGGTACATCTGCTATGCAGGCTCATTTTAAGGGTATGCTTAAGTTATGCTATCTAGTGCATTTAACCACCATAGCAGCCTCAGCATTGGGGGAGGAATCCCAGGATTTGGAAAATTATTTATGGAGGCCCAAAGCCAGTGGCCACAGGGACTGAAGGGACCAGGAAATTGTTATCCCAGAAAGACCTGTTCTCTATTAGGCAAATCTCTCAGTGAAATGGGGGAAAAGATAGGTTTCAGAGCCAGAATGATCTGGGCTCATGTGATTCATTAAACATGTACATTTGGGCCTCTAAGTTTTTGCATCGGTATAAGATGCTGTTGTGCTGGATCCCTGTTGAGTTCAACAGGAATGACACCATGTTCAAGAGGCCAAAGACCTAGAGCCAGCAAAAGAGACATAGGGTTTATTGAGGGGACTTACATACAGGGTGGTTCAGTGGCAGCAGACTGGACGAAACAATCACTCCTATTTGTAAAAAGCATGCAGTTTATGTAACATTTTCACTTAGCACTCTCCCCATAGCAACCTCCACCTGGCAACCTTCATTTAACCCAAAACAAAGGGCCTTGATCTCCTGTACAACCTGCATTCCAAGGGATAGGCCAGCAGTTCAGATGTTCCTCATAGATAGAAAATGAATCTCTGGGTTGGCCACTCCTGGATTCCTTAGCTCAAGACTCTGAACACACATTCTTCTCAGACCATAGGGTCATTTTCAGGGTGTGCTTAAGGGAAGTTATTGCTGTCAGGTGTGTCTGGCATACAGGTTAATAATTCTCAGGTAATGCCGAAGTCTTTGCTGTCAGGTGCATCTGCCATCCAGATGCATATTACTGATTTTTCCTACCTTATTTAATCATTGGAGGAGTAAATGAGAAAACATTCCTAGTATGTCTGGCATGGTGCCTGGCTCATAGTAGATGCACAATAAACTCCACATTTCCTCCTTCCTCAAATACACATAGGCACACACCTGGAATAATACTTCAAGGGAGTTTTTTCAAAGAATCCATTACTTTTGTTCGAGTCACCAGTTCCTAGCCAGCAGAGATGAGTCTACAGAGCTGAGCTCTTTCCAAAATATGGATGAATGTTTAATCTCTAAATAAATAAATGAGTGTTAGTTGCTTTCATTTTGGGGGAGCTAAGGAAGGGAAAAGCTTATTCCTGCCCTCACTGAGTGTAGAGTGAAGCTGGGAAGACAAGATGCATGCAGTGTCACATTCAGAGATGAGGTATAAAGACATTCGAGTCTTGTCACTGTCTGGTTTAATTATTAAGCCTCCCAAATATGCCATCAACCACTCAAAGGCATCTAGTTCCTGCTCTCCTCTTGAGTGGGTCCATGCGTAGCCCCTCTCTCTCTCCACGTGACTTGGCAGCTGGTAGTAACATCACCATTATAGCTCTTCCCTCAGACACCCCACACCAGTCCCACTACAGGCTCACTTCTGACTCCCCAATTGCTCCTGGTTTTGCTATAGCCAATCCCTGAAGAGCCTGGGACTAAGGATTCCACCCTGCAAGGGCTCCAGGGCTCTGGCTGCTCCACTGAGCACTGTCATTTTCCCTTTCCCCCAAGAAGAAGATGCTACAGGCAGCATCTGTTTCAACTATCCTTAAACAGTGATGTTAGTGATTACCAGCTCAGACTTTGGAGCCAGAATGGGTGAGTTCAAATCCTACTTTTTCACCTCTTATGACTTTTGTTAAATTAATAGTGAAGCCTCAGTTGCCATGTCTGGAAAATTGGAGCTAATAAGTTTGTACCCTCCTCATTTTGAGGACCAAGTGAGATGATCTACACTTAGTGTAGCACATAGGCTATTAGGAAATGTTTTCTGTTATTACACAACAGTTGCAGTTTTGGGGTGTTGAGTGTGTGCTTGATTTATTGCCAGAGTCAAGGTCAGTGGTCCTTTTTCACCTGACCTTCCTCTCCACCTCTCTCTGTGTCCCAAGATGGGACATAGGATTTTCAACTCGGCTCTGCATTTGCTACTTTTCTCCTTCTGGAATCCCTTCCTTTCTTACCAAGGCTTTGCCATAGCTCTCAAATTCCTATGTTAGTTGGAGACTCTTAATCCTAGCTTCTAGGAATCCTACTATCAGGCTTAAAATATTCAACATTGTTTCTTCTAAATAGCTTGGGGTCTTTCACACAGCTAAGGAGCTAGTGGAGGCTGCTTGACACTTCAGAGGTTCAAAATAGATGCAAAGATCAGGCTCCCTGGAGACCTTTACTGAAGCCAACAAGGGGAGCCATTTGGTCACAAGAATGATGCAAATGATAAATGCTCTTGGAGTTTTTAGCTCAGAGAAAGCTTTTGACTCTGTAAGGTGGATACCAATTTATAACCATCAAGAGCTTGAGCTACATCAGCTGTGGCCTCAGAGGAATGACTCTTGGTTGCTATTTTCTAATTATAAAATGGGCACACCTGGGAATGATGATTCTGACTAGAGAAATCTTCAAACATGGGCTACAAGGCAATTCTTTGCACTGAATCCCAGATGGGGAAGAACAGAGGGCACGGATAGGAAGAATTTCGCAGTTCCACAGAGAATTAGAAATGTCAGTCAGAAAAAGGGAAAAGCGTTCCTAGAAAAACAAAGAGAACAAAAGTGGAGAAGAATGAAATGGAGAGCAGAGGAGTAAGAGGACAGAGAGGAAAGAAACATGAAAAAACCAAAGCGGCTATTTAACATAATGAAGAAAGGTGAATCCAAGATTGCAGAAGAAAGCTTGTTCAGATCTCTTAGATTAAGCAACTTCAATCAGTTGCAAAGCACAATGAGCATCTTAAAAGCATCTTGTCTCAAGTGGTTTTGTTTTTGGTTTTTGACACTTAGCAGTAGTTTTTAACACTGAACTAAAGCATATAGGTGAGCATATATGCAGAGCATAACCATCCTAGAAATGACATCACAGGCTTCCAGTTTAGAGCCTTGCTCCCAAGACACTCAGATTTCAATGTGATGAAAATGAGAGTTTGCTTGATTCTCCACTATGATCTCATCTTTGACCTACAATGGCACTTTCGGGAATGACTACCATAGCTTTCCTTCTGCCATATTACAAGATAAGACTGATTTGCTTATGGAAAGTGATTTAAAAATATATCATTGATCTTGGAAATCTTTTAAAGTCTATGACATTTCTTGGCTCAGCAAGGTCAATTTTTGTTCCAGTTTCTAAAGAAAAGCTCTATCTCTAAAGGGTTGATTGATTTATTTCAAATAGCAACATTATTCCTTCTTGTACCTATAAACCATCTTTGTTTTAAATTTAGTTTTCTAAGGTCTTCAAACTGATGGGACCCATAAGAAAGAGCATCAATCTTTCGTCTATAATTCCTTTGGATGGCCTTAAATCTACCACGTGCTCCAATGGTCCTGATAATGAGTAATGTCACATTGCCCCAGGTTTGATTGGGCACTTGCTTGGAGCCCTGTAGAGTAACTTGTACCATTTTTCTTTTCCAGACAAGAGAGAAGATAAGAAGCTACTGTAAGACTCAGCCTAGTGTCTGGCATTTCCTTGGGATGATTTTAAATCTAATGTATAAATATGGAATACAAATAACAAAGTCATTATTAGGCCACTTGCTTAAATGACAGAAGATTAGTAACTGAAGGACAATGATGTTAAGCAGTGGTTTGGATGTTGAGAGTTTGATTCCTTCAGGGTTCCTGGGCCTTTGCCTGCATACCCTCCACAGTTCCTCCCAATGCTTCTCCTTCCTCTTGACCCACAAACAGGGCATCTTGGAAACAGGGAATTCCTCCCAGACTTTTGTACATCGACGGTTGCATGAGAGGCCAAAACTCCATCCCCTAAGATGATGGTTGTGACCTTGATTTGCTTCTTAACCTGTATCCAAGATGCCTCCTGCCTGGGAGAGGTAAAACAATACTTCTTATTGCCCATGTGATTTGGATATGTCAAGGAACCTCCTTGAGACTCAGATGGTTTTTAGTTGTTTCTTTCTGTGAAATGGGGTGGTTGGGAGGATTTGGTGACCACGTATAAAAGGGCTTTATAAATTATAAATGCTCTATCGAGAGGTTGGGGGCAGACCGGCTCCTAACTGTGTGAAGTCTGAGGGAAGAGCAGAAACAAAGGCTCACATACACATCTGAATTTCAAAAAGTTATAAAAACTGCCAAGTAAACACTTCAATCTTTCTGCCTTGACAAGACACCTTATAAAGAACTGAAAGGCTGAATTTAAATGTAGAATTTTTTGACTTCTTGTAGCCCTATGCTGCAGTGTGACTTGCCTCCCCACACCTCTTCCCTACTTTTTCTCTCCTGCCACAAAGGCCCTGGGTTCACAGGTGCAGGCATCACAGTCCATGGTTCAAGTTCTGCCTCCTCCCCCTCCAAGCAGCTACTTCTTGGCTACCTCCTCACCCCCATGGCCTAGAAGTGTTCCAGGACCCACAACAGGGAGCTTGGAGTGGGCGTGTTTATGATGCACATGATGAACCATTGGGCTTTTTCTTTTCTTTGACATGGAGCTAAAATTTGTAATTGTCAAGATTTCAGGGCCATCGTTTTGAGTTATAAGAAGTGAGTATCTTGAGACCATTATCCTATAGCATTTTCCTAGCCTAAATGACCATTTACCAAAGAGATTTAATAGCCTAAGAATAAATTTTGTCTTTGTAATTTTATTTTTTTATACTTCTGCAGTTCTGAAATCAAGTTTACTTTCTCTGACCTTTTCTTTCTTTTCACAGTTTTGGTTTTTATTTTAAACAAGCTACAGTCAAGAAATAGAATTGAGATTTGTTATAGTCTCAATGCAAAATACTATCCACTGATGTGTGCTTTTGCTATCGGTTATTATATTTAGTTAATAAATAGCTCTGAAAATACATACAAAGTTTTTGGTACAATGTTAAATTTCCCCGGAGACTGTTCATTCCCTTATCAAATATTTAAGTGGCTTCCACTGCATGGTGGGATGGTTTAAGATCCAAAAGGTACAGATAGACAGCTATGGATAAAAGTATTAATCTGACTCAATTGAACCTTTGACTACTACAGGGGGAAATATCATCACTGTTAGTAAGAATCGGAATGTTGGTTTTTAACTGGTGGTTACAGTTTAGAAAATGAAAGATCATTTTGAATTCCTCTTTTAAGCTGTTTTACCTTGATAATATCAGTCCCTTGCCCACTTACATGGTATTTGGATGCTTACTCTAACAATAAGTCCTAATATGAAATAGCACAAACTAAGACATGAGTCTTGGGGTCTCCTATGGGAGCTCTGTGGCAAGTTCATAATCATGATTCTGAGTAGGTGAGGATGAAGCATCATTGGGTCTAAGGGTGAGAATTAAGGAGACACACTTGGCTATGACTAGGGGGAATCCTATGTGGTAGCCACTGGCTAACCAGCTGGATGCTTTTTAAAGGAAGGGCTTGAGGTATTGCTCACCAAATATTGTAGGCTAGCCTATAGAAGTCAGAAAAGGCTAGGGTGAAACCAGAAATGGGTTTCAGAGTTATCCAGCAGGCTCCACATCAGCTCACTGGTATTAGAAATTTCACCAAAAGAGCTTAAACCATTTAAATTTAAGGCTTTGCTATCTATTAATTGTACTTATCTTTTCTGGTCAGAAGTTTGAGAACCAGGACGGACACATGAATGCCACTGCTTTGTCACAGCTGTTTTGTCACCGAGGATCTTGCATGACACCAATAAAACAGCTAATTTTAAATAGGGTAATTATTTTGCTTGATTCTATGCTAAGTCCTCCACAGGCATATTTTAGCCCTTATAATATCCTATGAAATAGTATTATTTTATCTAGTACACAGAAGAGAAAAGGCACAAGATGTTAAATAACTTTGCCCGAGATCACAGCACTGTGAGATAGTGGGACTGAGCTTCAAATGTGGACAGTGAGTTCAGACAGGAATCTATCATTTTGATCTCTGTTAATACCTCATTTACAGAACTGAGGATTTTGGACTTCTACAGGGTTTGGTATGTAGACCTGAGCTGATCTTCCCTAGATATATGGGACCAGGAGACCCAGCTAATGCCTTTTTTATCCTTGTTAATAAGCAGAAATAAAAGGGTAAAATTTGGATTGATTTCTAGGAGGCAATATATCCAGAGTTCTGGTGGGGGAGGCTCTGAAGTTGAGGTCCAAAGGAACCAAACAATCCCCCCAAATCTTCCATAATCCAAAGGCTGCAGGAAAGGAAATGATTGCCACTCTGTGTTAAGAACTCAGGCCCCTGGTTCAGCACTGACTAAGGGCAGTGATTGATGCATACTGAGCAGTGGAGATGTTTGTCCTTTACCAAGTCTGTGGCTGTTGGTTGCATCAGAGCCTGGAACACCTCCAGAGGCAGGCTGGTCTCTGGTACGGATCCATGGGCTCACCCCCCCAACTCCCCACCACCAAGTGGGGCTTTTGGATTGAATGTCCAAGGAACTGCTGTCGTATTGGCTTGAAGTTTCCAGATCTACAAATCTGATCTCTCCCCAAGGCTTACCTTGATGTTGATTCCAAGTCTAGTGCACAAGGCTGACGATGACGTAAGAGACAAATGCTTGAAAGTTGGACATGGGCCCTTTTCAGGCTGGGGCAGAGCTGATGGGCAGACTTTGCTTTAGAGGTCTGAGAGGCTGAGTGGATGGTGTGGGGAAAAGTCATACCAAGTGTTCTCTGTGATTTGTTCCTGAAAACTTGCATGCTTGAGCTGCTGTAATAGAGCAGCACAGGCAATCCTTTTCAAAATCAGTGCCTCAGTCTCCTCAAATACAAAGTGTAGGATAATAATCTTAGGTCCTTTGGAGGACCTTAGAGGAATGGTGGTAACAGACAAACAAGTATTACAAACTGTTATTATGCATGAAATACTGCAATGCTAAGTTTCAAAGAATTAAACTTTAATTCATGTATATGATATGAATGAAAGTCATGGTATTGGACTAGTTTATACACTGCTCTTTAAAAATGAATGATTATTATGATGATAATTATTAAAGACGACCTTTTTTGTGCACTTTACCTTGTGAATCCTTACCTTGGCTCTACTCTAGCCCACAGACACACGGATTGTGGGAAAAACTAGGTAAAATTAAATATGAATAACAATAACAACAACAAGTAGACAAATATAATAATAATACAAGAAAACTGACATAAGGTTTGGCACTTTAAAAGTTTTCATTTATTTTCTAATTGTATAAGTGGCAACTATACATGTGCTCCTTATTAAAAAATGTTAAACTGTATAGATAAGGCAAAAGTCTCCGATGACATCCATCTAATCTCAGTGTTTTCTGAAGGAGGCACAGCAAACTGATCACACTGGTTTCATCTTTGTTTCATCTTCCAGATCTTTCTCTATACACTTACATACATACATAAGTCTACATAGAAGCACATACTTTGGATGGTTTCTTTATATAGACAGCATCATTCAGTACCTTTATTCAACGTCACTTTCTTTTTTTTCCCCCTCTTAATCTCGGTGATTTTCCTGTGTCAATGCAGCGCTATCTCATTCTTCTTAAACTGCTCCACATAACTCCTTAGTATGATTCTACCAAGATTTATTTAACATTCCTTATTTCCTTTTGCATGTGCTTCTTTTTGCACATGTATAGTAGCCTACAGAAATACACCCAATATGCACAGGGATATGTATACAGTTTGCTGTTTTATCCAACTAAAGATTTTAGTAAAGAACAACTTTCCAAATACTCTCCCCACTATTCTGTAAAATAAAAAATAAAATAACAAGTACATACTTATCAGGAACAAAATTACAGGAAAAAAAAAAGCAAACAAAAGAGACAGCCTTCTCCCAAGAAAGGATGAATGGAAGCCCTACTGCAGATCACTGAAAATTTCATCAGAGATGAGCTCTGGTGCAAGAAGCTGCTTTGGAGAAACATCGCTTGAGTCTCCCCTCAGAAACAAATGAGCATTTCTTCCATCAAGTCTTCTTGCTACCAAAAACAGCCTTTAGCATGGGACCATTTCCTAAATTGTGGTTGGTGTTCCCAGGGGAAATGCCAGGTGAATTGACGAGGTGGCACACAAGTAAACATTCTGTAATTTAATAATTAGATATTAGTTTACTATTTATTACAGAAAAAAGGATACTTAATATCTACTGCAAAAACCTGGGTTGATTGAAATAAAAAATATTTAGAATCAGATCTGCATGTACTGACATTTAAAAAAAAAATCAGCAAGGTTCAAGTTAGTGCTCTCTCTGTGACCCTGAGCAATTTCTTTAGTCTATTTGAACTCCAGTCTCCATCTCTAAGGTGGGGTCAGTAATATCTACCTCACTGGAATCTCATGGAGTAGATATGAGATGAAGAGTAGAATGTGTCTGGCACATAACGAGATGTGAATAAATGTAGGGTTTACTCATCTTTTTCTACTGTTTTCTCTTCCTCCCTCAGGATTTTCCATCCCACAGTTGGAATCTAGAGTCCCATTCAGACACAGTTTAAAAACTTTGTTGATCAAAGTCTTGCTATGATGTTAACTGCCAATGATGTATTTGAATTGATATCGTGCAAGTTCTGAAAGCCAACTAATCTATGTGCAAATAAATGAATCTCTTAGTGACAGAATTTCGGGCCCAGAGAGGACATTCTTGAGTAGGGAGGCATTCCTAGAGATAGAAAAAGAATACCACATAGATTAATTGTTAGGTCCAAATGGGGTGCAGAAGAATCCGTGTTTGCCATATTCCAATTTGGAGTTGTCATTTCCTCTGGGCCAAGTTATTTGCTTTCTGACATACAAGGTCAAGATAAAAAATCTATTAAGATCCAAAAAGAAATGTAGGTTATTGAAAAAAAAACCCGGCTGTATCTACTCATCCAGGAATAACCTAGGGGAGTGAAAGCTCCTAGTTCAGGTTTGAAAGTGGATTTTATTTTCCATTGAATTGGAATCTGCAAAGAAGCACAGCTTGCAGGAATCTCCCACCGGCTGCCCGAGGTCCTTTGTGAAAATGTAAGTTATACTGACTCTCATCCAGGGTGAGAGCTTCGTGTATTGTCTGGAAACAATTAGAGGTATTTTTCCATCTTGGTCTGACAACCTCAGACACATAGACAGTGGGAGTTGGGTCGGGGCAGGGGGCAGTCTAAGTTCTACTGTTAGCTATTTAAACGGTTAAAGTATTAAAACTAATTAAGTTGCATATGTTTGGAGCCCCAAAGGGTGGGCACTGACAGAACAAGGAGCCTCAGAGAGGTTAAAAGTCACCAGGAAGAAAAATCTTGGAGCTCTGGAAAATATTTTATCATTGCTAATGATTTTCTAGGACACGTTAGTAAAGTAGTGTGACAATGAAAAGCTGTTCAGGGAATGCCTGAACCAACATCAGTGGTGGCCTGGGAACCCGGGTGACTGCAGGTGAACCTGGCATCACCTGGCTTCAAATGTGGCATCAGGGCTGTGGTCCCTGACCAGGTGAGACAGAGATTCCAGAGTGGCAGACTGTACCTGTACAAAGCTCATTTTGTCAAGGTATGCTAGTCTCCTGGAAACTGCATTTGGATTATTAAAAAGAGAAAATGACATGAGTTTACTCATTGGTTTGTTTTGTTTTGAAAGAAGGCTGGAGTGGAAAGAGAGGTCGGCAAATGGCCCAGGGAGCCGGAGCAGGCGCTCAGGGAAAAAGGACCAATGTGGACATGGACGTACGCAAACCCTGGGCCCACCTCGTTTGACAAGATTTGTGAAAAACCTTTTCAACTTTATTTTAAAACTGAAGTTCAAGGCAAATGTTCCCACCTTTACCCTCTTTGTCAGCAACATCCAAATTGCCAAGTGCAATTGTGTCAACAGCAGAAGGCTTTGCATTTGCCAAATGGCCATCAGCAAAAACACCTCACGTTTGGGTGGGTACCTAACACTTTGCAGTGTGTTTTCACAGTTATGGTTTAGTGGATCCTTATGGCAAACTTTTGGGGGAAGCAGAAAGGTGTTGCTATTTCAGAGATGGAGGAGAGGAGGCTCAGGGTGATCGAGGATCCTATATGATCACAGAGCTTGTGAGCGGTGGAGTGAGGATTTATTCCTGGCCCTGGCACTACAGTCAGGTGTCTATCCCCATCCCATGCTGCCTCGCCACATGTAGCTGATACAACTGGGCTTCAAAACAAACTTTCTAAAATATAGAATTCAATAGAAAATCTCTGCCTTCAGATCCATCAGTAGATTGGTTAGGAATGAGAAGACATCTCATTTCTCTCCAATGAGCATCACTTAAGACTGGTTCTTGAAAATATGCCCTCTTCTTTTAAAATGCTAGCCTTTTTTTCATGGATAGAATAATTTTTTCATTATTTAATAAGAAACAAAGTAGCATTAAAGAAATATTCATAATATTGATTCTATGCTGAAGAAAACTAGTCAGTGTTTTCTTAGGAGATGAATTTATGTTTGCTCAGAGAGCCCCTTAATTTTGATCATAGATGTACCTTTGTAATATGTGTGCCAATTGATTCTTGAGCCAAGTTGTTATTAAACCTCTGCCTTCTCCATCCATGATCCTGGAGCTGGCGATATTGCCCACGTAGACCCCTGTGGAAAGGTGGGCAAGGGTCCCCATAGCAGGCTTCCAAGAAGAAAAAAGCAGGAGTGCCCAAGACCAGGTGCTAAAATTCAGGAGATTTGCAGAAACTTTTTGCCCCTGATTCTGCATCTTTTTGTCCTCATTTTATGCAAAACTTGAATGAATGTGTCTTACAGTTCCTTAGCAAATGTGGAGGAGGCAAGAGACCTGGCCCACAGAAAAGCAGTAAAAGTTCAGAGTCTGACAACAAAAGCAGCATTAAAGCCCTCAAGACACAGACTTAGTAACTACAAGATATTTTTCGGCCACTTTGTCTAAAGGCAAATATTATCACCCAGCTCAATAGGCTTTGAAGTCAACACTCTCCTACTACTGTATACACTATCTGAACTCTTAAAGGAGGAGTCAAATTAGATTTGGTACGTACTGTTTGAGAACACAGGAAATGTACAGTTATTATTGAAAAATGATTCTTATTCAAATGATTAAAATAAATCTATTAGGCTGTATTTTTTTCTTGATTGTGATAAAGAACACATAACATAAAATTTACCACCTTAGCCATCTTTAAGAGTACAATTCAATAGTATTAAACGTATTCATATAGTTGTGCAAACAATCTCCAGAACTTTTTCACTTTGCAAAAACGAAATTCTGTTCCCATTAAACAACTGCCTTTTTTCCTCCTCCCTCCCAGACCCTGGTAACCAGTCTCATTGGTTTGCTTGTTTTGCAAGAAGGCTGTCTACTTTCTGTCTCTATGAATTTGACTACTTTAGATATCTCATTTAAATGTAGCCATGTAGTAATTGTCTTCTTGTGATTGGCTCATTTCACTTAGCATCGTGTCCTTAAGGTTTATCCACTTTGTAGCATATGATGGGATTTCTTCCATTTTTAGGGCTGAATAATATTCTATTGTATGCATATACAAAATTTTGTTTATTCATTCATTGGTGGAAGGAAATTTGGGTTGCTTTCACCTCATTGCTATTGTGAATGGTGCTGCTATGAACATGGATATGCAAACATCTCCTCAAGAGCTTCTTTCTGTTGGTTTTTAAAGAGGTCATTCCTGTGCTATTCAGAAAACATGACTATCAAAAGTCACTTTAAAATGAGCCCTCTTTTCATCTCAATTATTTACAGACAGCTGAGTTGTCTTCATAATAAATGCTTTTATGCAGTACCCTAAGAGTTGTGTTAGCGATATTCCAGGACCAGTAATCTTTATCTCTGTCATTGAATAGGAATCTCATTTTCAGCCATGGCTACCCCGTTCTCCTCCCATCCAAAGGCTTTGGGTGTGAGTGCTTCCTTCTTTCCTTTCCACGTGGCTTGCTTCCACCCTGTGACCTTCTTTTCCCTAAACAGAGTAAAGTCCTGACCAGTCCAGGCCCACTGCCATCCTTACCTGGAGGGGACCACCGCCTGCCTCACCTCATTGGTTATCATTATTATGTCATCCAGATCAATCACTGGGCACTCGTGCTGTTGTAACTGTCGCTTTGATCATTCGTTACACTTTGTTAGTCCTCATCGGATCCAGGCTCCACTAATAGGAAACAGCGGCCCTCCAAAAGCAAGGCAACCTGGTGACCAGGGGCAATTACCACATTGTTTGGTTTTTAAATTAGTCCCTTCTTGGCGCTCTGATCACCATCAGGAGGCTGATGATTCAGAAACCCAGGGGGTGCCTGCTGCACGAGGGTAAGGAGGGGGGCACCTCCCCCCAGCCTGCTCGGATTCAGGCACACCATGCCAGTGGCTCTAAGTTGAAGGTCACCTCCATGGGCCTGAAAAGCACACAGGCCATGACCTAGAGGCATAGCCTCCTCCTAAATGGGAGTCCTGGCTGGGTTTTCTCACCCAGGGGAACTTACATATAAGATGATGCCTGTCTTACCTTGGCTTTCTCTGTTGGGAGTTCTGGGATCTTAACATTGGGATTGAACCATGACAGTAGCACAATCCTGTGGCTCAACAGAAATCTATTTTCTTCTGGTCTACACCCAAGAAGGTGCAGGAACTGGGGGGTAGGGTCGGGAGAGGCAGATATCTCTTGGATTTCCACATAACCAAATAGATGCTCTAGCTTCCAGCTCACATGCCTGGGGCTGGCCATAGAGAAAGGTGTGAGAGGGTCAGTTAGTAGGAAATTAAAGGTCAATCTAAGCCGTCTTCCAGGGCTTCATTTTCTTTCATGTCAGTGTCTCCCAAACTTCAGGCATTTCTGTTGACTGTCATGATTTTTGCTATGCCCAATCCTCTTTTATATTTTAAAAGAACTATTTAAAAATGGAAACTTTATCTCATATCTTGAATGGAAAGCAAGTGTTTCTTGTCTTCCTTACAGCAATGAGAGTCTTAGAATGTCAGTTATTCCCACCTAAAATGTCATTTATTCCCACCCTAACTAGTACTCAGCCCCATTGATTAGTTAGCCCATAAATGAATACCTCTCATTTTCCTGCTAGTCCAGTTGTAGCTCCTTTCATGACTTGGGGTGGGACAGCTGGATGGCCACTGAATAGTGGTCATTGGATTTGGTGGATTACATTTGCTAATGCAAAATCATTGTAACTTATTCTTGTTAAGTATTTGTATTACACAAATTTGTATAGTAATGCCTCTTCTTTCAGGAATCCTTTTGCCAGTTCCACAGCAGGCTATGTGGAACAGGAATAAAATGGGAGCTTTATGGCCAGAGTACTTTCCCTGCTCCTGGGGACCTTCAAACTGTTTCCCAACACATCCCCAGTTTGCTGTCTTTGATTCTGCATGATACAATCGTGGTCAAAATAGGCAAGTTCCTAAGCTACCTTTGATAACATCTCAGATGGAGGGAGTTATGTTCCTAAGAGCAAGTTTCATAGAAAGTACACAAGAAGAAATGCATGTACCTCCGGTTTTACCTCTTCTCTCTCAGAAGCTGCAGTTATCAGAAGGGACACAGCTCTAGCATGCCTTTTGATTTAAAGTAAAAAGGAGATATTTTGTTTTTCAGTAAGGCAGAATATATCTTAATGTAGTAATTGAATTTAGTTCTATTTAGTCTAGTTTGATGGGGGTAGAGCTAGAGTTGTGAGGGCAGAATTGACATTGTTTAATACTTAACAGATGGATAGAAAACAAAAAGTTAGAAGATAAGAATGTCAGAAGGTTACCAGCTGCTGTGGGCATACAGTAAAATGAAATGTATTTGAAAGGTTAGGCTCATGTTTATTAATACACGTCTCTTCTTCTATTATAGTTTAGATTTACAAATTATTCAGAGGGAGAGCTGTTTTTTTTCTGAAACCCTAAGTGAATTGCTATGCTCCAAAAAGATGTCTTTGTGTTTCATGTGAGATATACCTTATTATGCAAGAAGATGCTGATACTCTTGAATGGTATAGAATTTGAATAGCATTTTATTAGCTTAACTCCATGATGCAGCAATCTTTGCTTTCTTTTTTATTTTCTTTTTTTTTTTTTTTGGGACAGAGTTTCACTCTTGTTGCCCAGGCTGGAGTGCAATGGCTCGATCTTGGCTCACCGCAATCTCTGCCTCCCGAGTTCAAGTGATTCTCCTGCCTCAGCCTCCAGAGTAGCTGGGATTACAGGCATGTGCCACCACACCTGGCTAATTTTCTTTTTTTTTTTTTTTTTTTTTTAGTAGAGATGGGTTTTCTCCATGTTGGTCAGGCTAGTCTTGAACCCCTGACCTCAGGTGATCCGCCCACCCTGGCCTCCCAAAGTGCTGGGATTACAGGCATGAACCACCGCGCCCGGCCAATCTTTGCTTTCTATTATCAAATTTGAAAGTCTGACAATTTTTGCTTTCTATTCTCATATTTGAATGTCTGTCATTAAAGAGTTACATGAAGGTAAGTAAACTCCCTAACATGTGCACTAATTTTCATGTCACTGGACATGAAAGTCTACTTCTAAGAAGGTTCATTAGGCAAGGGCCACCTTATACTCTGGAAAGGGTAAATTCACCATTGAAAATGGAGGGAATTGCTCCATTGAAAGTTTCCTAACAGAAGACTTTTGGCACCAACTCTTTCTACATTGAGTCTTGTGTCTAATGTGGAGTCAGTCAAAATGAGTCCAGGTGTTGAGGGATGATGGGAGCCCTGTGGAAAGAGCTTCACAGAGCCTGAGGCAGTGACTTCTTCAGGGATGTTTGGCCAGCCCTTAACCTACAGATTCAATCTGCCCAGCTGCCCAGTGGAGATTCGGTTGCTTAACTGTTTAGTGTGGATTCTTTGAAAAGCAATGAAATTAGTTCTTACCAGAAAAGCAGTTTGAAGATATACTAAGCACTATTTTGGTTAAATTGAGGGAAGTTGTTTTTATGCACACTTTTTGTAAAAACCATTAAATAATTCTTTTTTTTTTTTGGTCAAACTGGCAATACATAGGAAGAAATAAGTAGGAAATAAGAGAAGTTATCAAAGAGAAAGTAGAACACTTGAGAGAAACTCCAAGTGTGGTAGGATGGATTGGTTCTAGCGTTACAGGGGATTGCCAATGGATAATAGATTTGTCGGGAGGGGAGTGGGCTGGGGGAGGGTGGGAAGGCTACTGTGGAGAACCTGGTCACACAACTGAAGCTCCAAAAAACAAAATATGAAACCAAAACATGGTATTTCCTTAAAGCACCAGCTAGTAATCTTTCTATCTTGAGAGCAAGTCATGTCCAATCAATGATTCTTTGTTGAATGTTGGCGATGCATTTATTACCGTGTTAGAATTTGTGAGAAATGCTATAGTGTAAGAAACAAGGAGTCTCAGGCCTCAGGGATTTATAAATTCATTGGGAAGCCAATGGTTAGTACAATAAAAGGCTCTAAGAGAACAATACATTCAAGCAATATAATCAAGGGCCATTTCTTGCTCTTTTCTTGCAAATTCTTCTACTTCTTCCTTTTTAAATGTTGGTATTCTTCAAGTTTTGTACTTGACCATCCTTTTCTACTCCCAATACCAAATGTTAGTAATATGATGTGTTGAAAACTAAATGACAACAGGGAATGGAAAGGAAACATAAAAACATAAAAATATGAGTGGGTAGGTATAATAAGGAATGGCAGGGTTCATGGTAAAATAAACAGCTCTTACCTGCCTAACGGCATTCAAATTTAAGTTTAAGTAATGTATATGTTTTTCTGAGCCAAAAAATCACCTTTACTAGCTGGGAATTGGGCTCTCAGTGAGTGACCTATGATCTATATACTGACTTCTTCTGAACTTTGTTCTCTAAACCTGAGTTCCTCTCCTGAGTTTCAGATTGATTTATCCAAATACCTAGTAGTCATCTGCATCTGAAAGTCCCCCAGAGGTCTTAATCAAGGGGGCTAAATCTCACCCACTCCCCGTCCCATTATAGTGGAATATAGCCACACCTATCATTCACATATTATCTATGGCTACCTTCATCCTACAAAGAGAGTTGAGTAGCTGTAACAGAGACCACATGTCCAACAAAGACTGAAATATTTACTATCAGGCCCCTTAGCAAAAATGTGTGGCAAACCCTCCTTTAAAGCAACATGTTCTCAGATGCACTCATCCTTTTCCCCCCAAACCAACCATCCAATGCATCTTAGTCAATATCTTCCTCATTTACTATGGATTCCCTCAGGTTCCTTCCTCCACCTCACCCCCCTAGTCTAGGACCTGTCCTGAGACCTGGCATTGCTCATACTTCTTCCCTCCTCTCCATTTCTCCTACCACAACACTGGCTCTCTATTTCTCACCCCTCTTAATAGTTTCTGCTATCCCTACAGACCACCAGATTTACATTTTTGTAAAAATAAATCTGATCCTCTCACTTCCTTATTTAGCATCCTTCAATGATGTCCATTTCCTCCTAGATAAAATAAATGTCTTTCTGAGGATACAATCCCCTCCCTCCTCTATATCCCTATTCACAGGTTCAGCCTCATCTTCCCTGCACTCACTTGCTCTCTAAAGTCTGTCTACTGACATTTATCATTGCCTCGAATGTCTCATTCTCTCCTTCACACCTGAGAGAGATGTGCAGACTGTTCTTTTATCTCTTCATTTTAAGGAAGTTAATTGTCAAGATTCCTTTTCAGCATCACTTCCTTTGTGATGCTGTCTCACCTCTGATCTCTCCTGCCTCTGTCCTGCACTCTGGCTCCCACCAGAATTATGGCCCCTTTATTCTGATTCTATAGTGTATTATGTATAACTGTTGCAGTATGTGTCAAATTGCATTGAATCTTAATTATATTTAGACCTCTGTCTCTCCTCATTAGGTGTGAACTCCCTGAGGGATCTTTTCTTACATATATTTGTGTCCCTAGTACTTATCATAATGCTTGGCCAAAGATTAGGTGCTCAATAAATGTTCAGTGAATTCCTGAAGTTGATTATAAGTCAGTAAGTTTTTAACGAACAAGGACTAATCCCTAACTGATACCTTGGGCATAAGGAGTAAATACAAATCTATAATTGATTAAATGATGAGATAATTCAGGAGCAGAGACAGCCTTCTGAAATGCAAATCACATCATCATGTTATTCCCACCCTTAAACCCCTCCATGGCTTCCTATTGCACTTAGGATAAAATTCAAAATCTTTGAGGTGACCAGCCTCAAACTTGATCAAACAGGCCAGTCTTTTACTACATAGCCACGATTCACTGTGCTGCAGACACACTGACCTTTCTCCTGTTTCTCAAAATCACCACATTCTTTTGTGCCTTCGGGTCTTTGCACCTACTTTCCATCTTTTGGAAATAAGCTCCTGCTCTTCCCCTGGCCAAATTCTATTCAACTCGCCTGTCACAGTTGAAAGATTATTTCCTCCTAGGGACTTCTCCGACCTAGAATGCTCTGCGGGAGTGCCGATTCTTTTCTGCAAAAGCACTCATTCCCATTTGAAGCCGTATGCTTACTTGCTGGTTGGTATGTTTAACACTGTCATTCTTCCATCTAGATGGAAAACTCATAGGGCAAAGATCATGTTGGTTTTATTGATTGCTGGTATTGCCTGGCACATTCTGGGTGCTCAATAAGGATTTGAGAAATAAAAGAATAAATGAAAAAGAGAACATTCTGGATATTTTTGAATAGAGAGTGGTTAGATTGGTCAGCGCTGTGTAGGGTAGAGTGAAGAGTAACAGGAATGAAGAGGAACTTCAGGAAGCTCTTGCTTCTATGTGAGGCAAAAGTGTTACAGAATAACTGTGATGAAGGGAGGATGGAAGGAAGAGGCAACTTTATCACTCTTTTCTAATTATATTTTTTTGACCAGGAAAACAGCACAAGAAACAAACCTCCAAGGATGAGTAAGAAGTTTAACAAGTTGGCCATTTTCAGAAATATGTGTACTAAAATCATAGCGTTCCAACACACTAACAACAGCTAGTTTAAAAAATGCAAGAAAAAAAGCAATCCATTCAAAGTAGCAAACAAAATTTTTAAAATCATAAACTAATAAGAATTATATGAAAGACCTTAAGCATCAGCAAGATTATAAAAAAGACTTCCACAAATCTTAAAATTACCATATTTTTAAATGAGAAACCTCATCTTATTAAAGGTGAGTTATACCTATATTAATCCGTAAATGGAATGCAATTCTTTTTAAACTGCTGTATGGATTTTTGTGAAATTTGACAAACATGATATTTAAGATCACCTGAATAAATAAATGTTTCAGTTTGAGACAAGCCTGGGCAACACAGTGAGACCCCAAATCTACCAAAAATGCTTTAAACAAAAATTAACCAGTCATGGTAATGTGTGCCTGTAGTATGATGTATTCAGGAGGCTGAGGTGGGAGGATTGTGTGAGCCCAGGACTCTGAGGTTATAGGGAGCTACCATTGCACCACTGCACTCCAGCCTGGGTGACAGAATGACACCGTGTCTCTTAAAAAAACAAAAAAGAAAAAAGAAAAGAAAATGGCAAAAAAGTGAAGCAATGAGGAGAAAGGTGTCATCCCATATATTAACAATTTTAAGCTATATTAAGTACGGCAGTATGGTAAACAGTGCCAGAGAAGCCAAAGAAACTCATTGAGCCAAATGAAACATTCAGAATTAGAGCCATTTAGAAAAGATTTTAATATGGTAAACAAGCTATTTTAAATTACTGAGGCAAGGATGAATTATTCAATAAACAATTTTGATAGTTGAAAAAACTGAAATTAAATCTACCTCATAAAACACCATTTTGTATTTAAATATAAAATGTTATATAAGTATATAATATGTATAAATAAAAACATTAAAATATTAAGAGGAAATCCTCATATGATCTTTGGATGGGAAAGTGCTTTCCATGAGACTAAAAGTAGAAATCCCAAAGGAAAACTGATTTCTTCAACTACATAAACATTTAAAATTTCTTTGTTAGACAACTGTAACAAGGTTAAAAGTTAAATGGTAATCTAGAAAAGTATTTGCAACATTTTAATAGACAAGTTTTAGTGTCCCTAATACAGCTCTTAAAAATCAAAATTTTTTAATTGGCAGACTTTCTGAAAAATGGATAAGAATAGGCAATTAACACAACACACAGAATATGAAAAGAAATACAGATGTCTCACATTATAAGAAGATGTTTAATTTCACTAGTCATCAAAGAAATGCAAATGATATCAGTAGCAAGATACGATTTTCACCTACCTATCTGACAAAATAAACATTAAGTAGTAAATTAACACCCATACTGCTGGAGGTGATATAAATTGCCAAAATTTCTTTGACACATGTCAAAGGCAACAAAAAAGTATAATCCTTTTGAATCAAAAATCCCATTTCTAGAAAATTTTTCCCTACAAATTAAAGCTATACCTAAAGACTCTATGTATTAAGTCATTTATAATTTGCAATTACTTGCTCAATATTTATCAAGCACCCAGCAGGTTCTAGTTACAGTAAGGATGGGTTGATACAGGAATGCACAAGCCAGATATAACCTCTGCCTTCATGGAGCTTGCACTCTCATAGGAAAGACAGGTGGTAAATAAGTAACCAAATCAATAAAGATGATAATTAGAGACTGTTAAATGTGTATGAAGAAAATAAACAGGAAAGCTATGACAGTCAGATGATAGTCAGGGAAGGCTTTTCTTAAGAGATGACATTTAAACTAGGACCTGAAGTCTATAAAGGAGATAATTTTCCAAACAAACAAAAAAACAGGTGTAGGAGACAGCAAATGTAAAAGTCTTTGGGGAAGAAAGAGCTTAGCACATTTGAAGAACTGACAGAAGTCCAGGAAACTACAGAAGAGTAACCCAAGGGGGCAGGGTGGTATGGGAAGGTGGGGGAAGAAGGTGGCAGTGGTGTGTTGATGGAGGTGAGGTCGGCATTGGCCATCCAAGTAGGACTTTGTCAGGCATGGTGAGGAGGTTGGAACTACAATGGGAAGTCATTGAAGGATTTTGAAAGGGGAGATATGTGATCTAATTTGTACTTTAGAACATTACTTTGGTTGCTATATGGAGGGTGGATTTGGTGGGGGTTGGGGGCAGCAGTTGAGAAAGCAGGAAAATTGGTTTGGAAGCTATCACAAAATCAGAGAGAGAGGTGATGGTACATTGGATGCATCTGATGGTGGAGATAATGAGGATATGACAGAGATTATTTAAAATGGTAAAAATTTTGCAACCCTCCACATTCTGTGAGAGAGGGAATGCAGAATAAAATTATGAGCTCCTAAGCTACCATTAAAAATGAATTGTCAGCCAAATGTGGTGATTCCAGCACTCCCGGAGACCAAGGAGGGAGGATCACTGGAGCCCAAGAGTTTGAGACCAGCCTGAGCAGTATAGTGAGACCCTGTCTCTAAAAAAAAAAAAAAAAAATTAGCTGGGCATGATGGCATGTGCCTGTACTCCTAGCTACTCAGGAGGCTGAGATGGAAGGATCACTTGAGTCTGGGAGTTCGAGGCTGCAGTGAGGCATGATTATGCCACTGAATCCAGCTTGGGCAAAAGAATGAATGAAACCCCATCTCCAAAAAAAAAAAAAAAAAAAGGATTGTTAGAGACAATCTTGACATAATAGGCACTTTTTTGAATATTCAGTGAATAAACTAATGGACAAACTGAGAAATAATAAGAGGAAATAAATTGGTGGAACCAAGTCCTGGAGAAGACATAAAGTATAACCAAAGCAGAGGCAGAAAAGTATTCTGGGCAAAGAAAGTTTCTACTTTCCAGGGTGACCACAGGTGCCGGCTCGCCCAGGACAGTTGTTGTACACTGTGCCCACACAGTCCTAGTGTATCGTGTGCTTGTGTAAGTGTGACTTGTGTGTCCTTTCACTCTCGGAAGTATCCTGGTTTGAATGAGAAATTACATGGTCCCTCCATAGTGCTTCCTCATCCCTAACAGAAATGAAGGAAGAAAGGAAGCTCTGTTAAAGAAGTAGAGAGATGTGGAGTAGAATAGTAAGAGAACTCACAAGAGGTTGCCTCAGTCACCACAGTGAGGTAGGAGGCTGGGTTTTCCAGGCGTCCAGGGTGGTGGTTGGTTTGGGTCTTGTGGAGGGTAGGAGAGGGCTGGTACCACCAACACAGTGAAACTCCTGGGAAGCCAACAGATAAACTAAAAGATGCTCGGGGGATCTCCACGGCTGGACAGCATTTCATCTATGGCACTTAAAATCCAGGAGTCTTTGAGTTTCTATGTTCATAATTTAGATTCAACAAAGATCGATTTAATTATCTGTAGTGTAATGTTTGTGGTATGTTTATTTTATTTTGTCCTTTGAAAACTAGAAAGCCATGTATCTGAAATTCTTTTCACAAAATCAGGACCCTCTATTCAGTCCTTCAAATAAAACCAACCCCTTGTGTCAATGATCATGGATTTCTTTTTTTTTTTTTTTTCCCTAGAGAGGATCTCGCTCTATTGCCCAGGCTGGAGTGCAGTGGTGCAATCATGGCTCACTGCAGCCTTCGTGTTCTGGGCTCAAGGATTCTCTCACCTCAGTCTCCCAAGTAGCTGAGACTACAGGCATGTGCTACCACACCTGGATAATTTGGCTTATTTTTTGTAGAGATGAGGTCTCACTTTCTTTTCCAGGCTGATCACAAACTCCTGGAATCAAGCAGCCCTCCTGCCTCGGCTTCCCAAAGCGCTGGGATTACAGGGGTGAGCTACAGTGCTCAGCTGATATGGATTTCAATTTCTATCTTTTTGTTTACTCAACAAATATTTATGTGTCACAACACCTCACTGTATGATTGTATCTCTCTGAGACAGCATGACACTGGTTCCACCAACTACTGCCAATCTGTTTACATTTCCACCTTCCTCCTAGCAATAAAGTCTCTAAACATAGACAAACATTCCAACATTCATTTTCTTTCACAAGCTCATGCACAAACTCACTCTCTTCTTTCTTTCTCTCCCAGTGTCAGCCTGTCTCCAAAAAATACACGTTAGATTTTTCTCCTTCAGTATTTCTTTGCTTTCCTACAGGCACATAAGCTAATGCATCAACTGTTTTTAAAAAGCTATGCATACAAAGACTTGAATGCAAATGCTTATAACAGCTTCATTCCTAAATTCCAAAAAACTGGAAACAATCCAAGTGTCCTTCAATGGATAAACAAATGGTGGTATAGCCACACAATGGAATTTTTCCTATCAATATAAAGGAACTGATGTGTGGAAGAACACGGATAAGTTTCAAATGCATTGCGCTGAGTAAAAGAAGTCAGATTCAAAAGGTTGTATACTGTATGGTTTCGTTTACATGGCAATATGGAAAAAGCAAACCGGATCAGTGGTGCTCGGGGCTGGGGTTGGGGAAAAGAGATTGACTACAAAGGGACAGGAGGAAGCTTTCTGGGGTGATTTAAATATATTTTTTATTATACTTTAAGTTTTAAGGTACATGTGCACAAGGTGCAGGTTAGTTACATATGTATACATGTGCCATGCTGGTGCACTGCACCCACTAACTCATCATCTAGCATTAGGTATATCTCCCAATGCTATCCCTCCCCCCTCCCCCCCACCCCACAACAGTCCCCAGAGTGTGATGTTCCCCTTCCTGTGTCCATGTGTTCTCAATGTTCAATTCCCACCTATGAGTGAGAATATGCTGTGTTTGGTTTTTTGTTCTTGTGATAGTTTACTGACGATGATTTCCAATTTCATCCATGTCCCTACAAAGGACATGAACTCATCATTTTTTATGGCTGCATAGTATTCCATGGTGTATATGTGCCACATTTTCTTAATCCAGTCTATCATTGTTGGACATTTGGGTTGGTTCCAAGTCTTTGCTATTGTGAATAATGCCGCAATAAACATACGTGTGCATGTGTCTTTATAGCAGCATGATTTATAGTCCTTTGGGTATATACCCAGTAATGGGATGGCTGGGTCAAATGGTATTTCTAGTTCTAGATCCCTGAGGAATTGCCACACTGACTTCCACAAGGGTTGAACTAGTTTACAGTCCCACCAACAGTGTAAAAGTGTTCCTATTTCTCCACATCCTCTCCAGCACCTGTTGTTTCCTGACTTTTTAATGATTGGCATTCTAACTGGTGTGAGATGGTATCTCATTGTGGTTTTGATTAGCATTTCTCTGATGGCCAGTGATGGTGAGCATTTTTTCATGTGTTTTTTGGCTGCATAAATGTCTTCTTTTGAGAAGTGTCTGTTCATGTCCTTCGCCCACTTTTTGATGGGGTTGGTTTTTCTTGTAAATTTGTTTGAGTTCATTGTAGATTCTGGATATTAGCCCTTTGTCAGATGAGTAGGTTGCAAAAATTTTCTCCCATTTTATAGGTTGCCTATTCACTCCGATGGTAGTTTCTTTTGCTGTGCAGAAGCTCTTTAGTTTAATTAGATCCCATTTGTCAATTTTGGCTTTTGTTGCCATTGCTTTTGGTGTTTTTGACATGAAGTCCTTGCCCATGCCCATGTCCTGAATGGTAATGCCTAGGTTTTCTTCTAGGGTTTTTATGGTTTCAGGTCTAACGTTTAAGTCTTTAATCCATCTTGAATTGATTTTTGTATAAGGTGTAAGGAAGGGATCCAGTTTCAGCTTTCTACATATGGCTAGCCAGTTTTCCCAGCACCATTTATTAAATAGGGAATCCTTTCCCCATTGCTTGTTTTCTCAGGTTTGTCAAAGATCAGATAGTCGTAGATATGCGGCATGATTTCTGAGGGCTCCGTTCTGTTCCATTGATCTATATCTCTGTTTTGGTACCAGTACCATGCTGTTTTGGTTACTGTAGCCTTGTACTATAGTTTGAAGTCAGGTAGTGTGATGCCTCCAGCTTTGTTCTTTTGGCTTAGGATTGACTTGTTGATGTGGGCTCTTTTTTGGTTCCATATGAACTTTAAAGTAGTTTTTTCCAATTCTGTGAAGAAAGTCACTGGTAGCTTGATGGGGATGGCATTGAATCTGTAAATTACCTTGGGCAGTATGGTCATTTTCACGATATTGATTCTTCCTACCCATGAGCATGGAATGTTCTTCCATTTGTTTGTATCCTCTTTTATTTCCTTGAGCAGTGGTTTATAGTATTCCTTGAGGAGGTCCTTCACGTCTCTTGTAAGTTGGATTCCTAGGTATTTTATTCTCTTTGAAGCAATTGTGAATGGGAGTTCACTCATGATTTGGCTCTCTGTTTGTCTGTTATTGGTGTATAAGAATGCTTGTGATTTTTGTACATTGATTTTGTATCCTGAGACTTTGCTGAAGTTGCTTATCAGCTTAAGGAGATTTTGGGCTGAGACAATGGGGTTTTCTAGATATACAATCATGTCGTCTGCAAACAGGGACAATTTGACTTCCTCTTTTCTTAATTGAATACCCTTTATTTCCTTCTCCTGCCTGATTGCCCTGGCCATAACTTCCAACACTATGTTGAATAGGAGTGGTGAGAGAGGGCATCCCTGTCTTGTGCCAGTTTTCAAAGGGAATGCTTCCAGTTTTTGCCCATTCAGTATGATATTGGCTGTGGGTTTGTCATAGATAGCTCTTATTATTTTGAAATACATCCCATCAATACCTCATTTATTGAGAGTTTTCAGCATGAAGGGTTGTTGAATTTTGTCATTGAGAGTTTTCAGCATGAAGGTTGTTGAATTTTGTCAAGGGCCTTTTCTGCATCTATTGAGATAATCATGTGGTTTTTGTCGTTGGCTCTGTTTATATGCTGGATTACATTTATTGATTTGCATATATTGAACCAGCCTTGCATCCCAGGGATGAAGCCCACTTGATCATGGTGAATAAGCTGTTTGATGTGCTGCTGGATTCGGTTTGCCAGTATTTTACTGAGGATTTTTGCATCAATGTTCATCAAGGATATTGGTCTAAAACTCTCTTTTTTGGTTGTGTCTCTGCCTGGCTTTGGTATCAGAATGATGCTGGCCTCATAAAATGAGTTAGGGAGGATTCCCTCTTTTTCTATTGATTGGAATAGTTTCAGAAGGAATGGTACCAGTTCCTCCTTGTACCTCTGGTAGAATTCGGCTGTGAATCCATCTGGTCCTGGACTCTTTGTGGTTGGTAAGCTATTGATTATTGCCACAATTTCAGCTCCTGTTATTGGTCTATTCAGGGATTCAACTTCTTCCTGGTTTAGTCTTGGGAGGGTGTATGTGTCCAGGAATTTATCCATTCCTTGTAGATTTTCTAGTTTATTTGCGTAGAGGTGTTTATAATATTCTCTGATGGTAGTTTGTATTTCTGTGGGCTTGGTGGTGATATCCCCTTTATCATTTTTTATTGCATCTATTTGATTCTTCTCTCTTTTCTTCTCTATTAGTCCTGCTAGCAGTCTATCAATTTTGTTGATCTTTTCAAAAAACCAGCTCCTGGATTCATTGATTTTTTGAAGGGTTTTTTGTCTCTCTATCTCCTCCAGTTCTGCTCTCATCTTAGTTATTTCTTGTTTTCTACTAGCTTTTGAATTTGTTTGCTCTTGCTTCTCTAGTTCTTTTAATTGTGATGTTAGGGTGTCAATTTTAGATCTTTCCTGCTTTCTCTTGTGGGCATTTAGTGCTATAAATTTCCCTCTACACACTGCTTTAAATGTGTCCCAGAGATTCTGGTATGTTGTGTGTTTGTTCTCATTGGTTTCAAAGAACATCTTTATTTCTGCCTTCATTTCGTTACATACCCAGTAGTCATTCAGGAGCAGGTTGTTCAGTTTCCATGTAGTTGAGCGGTTTTGAGTGAGTTTCTTAATCCTGAGTTCTAGTTGATTGCACTGTGGTCTGAGAGATAGTTTGTTATAATTTCTGTTCTTTTATATTTGCTGAGGAGAGCTTTACTTCCAACTATGTGGTCAATTTTGGAATAGGTGTGGTGTGGTGCTGAAAAAAATGTATATTCTGTTGATTTGGGGTGGAGAGTTCTGTAGATGTCTATTAGGTCCGCTTGGTGCAGAGCTGAGTTCAATTCCTGGGTATCCTTGTTGACTTTCTGTCTTGTTGATCTGTCTAATGTTGACAGTGGGGTGTTAAAGTCTCCCATTATTAATGTGTGGGAGTCTAAGTCTCTTTGTAGGTCACTCAGGACTTGCTGTATGAATCTTGGTGCTCCTGTATTGGGTGCACATATATTTAGGATAGTTAGCTCTTCTTGTTGAATTGATCCCTTTACCATTATGTAATGGCCTTCTTTGTCTCTTTTGATCTTTGTTGGTTTAAAGTCTGTTTTATCAGAGACTAGGATTGCAACCCCTGCCTTTTTTTGTTTTCCATTTGCTTGGTAGATCTTCCTCCATCCTTTTATTTTGAGCCTATGTGTGTCTCTGCACATGAGATGGGTTTCCTGAATACAGCACACTGATGGGTCTTGACTCTTTATCCAATTTGTCAGTCTGTGTCTTTTAATAGGAGCATTTAGTCCATTTACATTTAAAGTTAATATTGTTATGTGTGAATTTCATCCCGTCATGATGATGTTAGCTGGTGATTTTGCTCGTTAGTTGATGCAGTTTCTTCCTAGTCTCGATGGTCTTTACATTTTGGCATGATTTTGCAGCGGCTGGTACCGGTTGTTCCTTTCCATGTTTAGCGCTTCCTTCAGGAGCTCTTTTAGGGCAGGCCTGGTGGTGACAAAATCTCTCAGCATTTGCTTGTCTGTAAAGGATTTTATTTCTCCTTCACTTATGAAGCTTAGTTTGGCTGGATATGAAATTCTGGGTTGAAAATTCTTTTCTTTAAGAATGTTGAATATTGGCCCCACTCTCTTCTGGCTTGTAGAGTTTCTGCCGAGAGATCCGCTGTTAGTCTGATGGGCTTCCCTTTGAGGGTAACCCTACCTTTCCCTCTCGCTGCCCTTAACATTTTTTCCTTCATTTCAACTTTGGTGAATCTGACAATTATGTGTCTTGGAGTTGCTCTTCTCAAGGAGTATCTTTGTGGCATTCTCTGTATTTCCTGAATCTGAATGTTGGCCTGCCTTGCTAGATTGGGGACGTTCTCCTGGATAATATCCTGCAGAGTGTTTTCCAACTTGGTTCCATTCTCCCCATCACTTTCATGTACACCAGTGAGACGTAGATTTGGTCTTTTCACATAGTCCCATATTTCTTGGAGGCTTTGCTCATTTCTTTTTATTCTTTTTTCTCTAAACATCCCTTCTCGCTTCATTTCATTCATTTCATCTTCCATCGCTGATACCCTTTCTTCCAGTTGATCGCATCGGCTCCTGAGGCTTCTGGATTCTTCACGTAGTTCTCGAGCCTTGGTTTTCAGCTCCATCAGCTCCTTTAAGCACTTCTCTGTATTGGTTATTCTAGTTATACATTCTTCTAAATTTTTTTCAAAGTTTTCAACTTCTTTGCCTTTGGTTTGAATGTCCTCCCATAGCTCGGAGTAATTTGATCATCTGAAGCCTTCTTCTCTCAGCTCGTCAAAGTCATTCTCTGTCCAGCTTTGTTCCATTGCTGGTGAGGAACTGTGTTCCTTTGGAGGAGGAGAGGCGCTGTGCTTTTTAGAGTTTCCAGTTTTTCTGTTCTGTTTTTTCCCCATCTTTGTGGTTTTATCTACTTTTGGTCTTTGATGATGGTGATGTACAGATGGGTTTTTGGTGTGGATGTCCTTTCTGTTTGTTAGTTTTCCTTCTAACAGACAGGACCCTCAGCTGCAGGTCTGTTGGAGTACCCGGCCGTGTGAGGTGTCAGTCTGCCCCTGCTGGGGGGTGCCTCCCAGTTAGGCTGCTCGGGGTCAGGGGTCAGGGACCCACTTGAGGAGGCAGTCTGCCCATTCTCAGATCTCCAGCTGCGTGCTGGGAGAACCACTGCTCTCTTCAAAGCTGTCAGACAGGCACATTTAAGTCTGCAGAGGTTACTACTGCTGTCTTTGTGTTTGTCTGTGCCCTGTCCCCAGAGGTGGAGCCTACAGAGGCAGGCAGGCCTCCTTGAGCTGTGGTGGGCTCCACCCAATTTGAGCTTCCCAGCTGCTTTGTTTACCTAAGCTAGCCTGGGCAATGGCGGGCGCCCCTCCCCCAGCCTGGCTGCCGCCTTGCAGTTTGATCTCAGACTGCTGTGCTAGCAATCAGCGAGACTCCGTGGGCGTAGGACCCTCCGAGCCAGGTGCGGGATATAATCTCCTGGTGCGCCGTTTTTTAAGCCTGTCGGAAAAGTGCAGTATTCGGGTGGGAGTGACCCAATTTTCCAGGTGCCGTCTGTCACCCCTTTCTTTGACTAGGAAAGGGAACTCCCTGACCCCTTGCGCTTCCTGAGTGAGGCAATGCCTGGCCCTGCTTCAGCTCGCACACCGTGCGCGCACCCACTGACCTGCACCCACTGTCTGGCACTCCCTAGTGAGACGAACCCGGTACCTCAGATGGAAATGCAGAAATCACCCGTCTTCTGTGTTGCTCACGCTGGGAGATGTAGACCGCAGCTGTTCCTATTCGGCCATCTTCTAAATATTCTATATCTTGATTATTATATGACTGTACGTGTTTCTCAAAACACAACCATCTGCATAATTCAGAAAGGATGATTTTATTGTTTGTAAATCATGCCTCAATAAACCCGATTGCTTAAAGCTTCTGGCAGATTGTTTTTCTAGACACACACACACACACATGAGTGAGAGATAAAACAAGAGAAAAGAAAATTCAAGAGAAGAAAAGAGGAGACTGATAGGATGGAAAAGGAAGATATATTTTGGTGAGGTTCTTTTGGTAAAGCAATGTAGTTACTAGCTGACTAAATAGAAATATGGTACTTAACTGCCTGAAATTGTCAGATACATGTCAAGAACATATTGGAGGAATAAAATATCACCCATAAAATTTGAGAAGGTCCCTAAAATAAGAGTAAATAAAATATGTTGAAAATAAGAGTTTTGTCACTGTAGAGTAGCGCAGAAAATGATGCTTCTTTTACTTGTCTAGGGCAGAACTCTATTGTGAACCTCTTCCAGGATAGAAGGCTTGTGCTTTTCTGCACAGCTGCTGTAGAATAAAACCGGGATATTGAGGATGCCCCTCCATCCCCAAACCTGAAAGTCAAGGAGGTAGCAGCACCTAGCCCTGTTCATAGCACTGTCATCTTCAGAGACACAGCCATCCAAAGACGTTAGCCAGTTCACATCATAGTCGGCAGAAAAGAGTGAGTGGCTTGTGGTTCTGCATTGAGAGAGTGCAAGTAAATTAATATAAAGGATTCTATGTAAAATCTGCACATGGCATGGCGTTAGGTTTATTTCTCAATCAGAAAGGAGAGCATACCACGGGCCAGTTCATATGCATGAGTCCAAAGACAGCACAGAAAATATTGGTATTGAGGTAGATAAAGGTAATTTAGCTCACAGAAAGAGAATGGCTAAATTATGAGAAGAGTTGACTTCTGCAAGGCCAAGTTCTTACTGTGAAAAATCCATGCCCCCTCAATCCCATCTCCCACCCCCCACCCTGAACCTCTCTTTTGAACACTCATATTAGCGCTTTGGCTTCTTGCCCAAGAACTTGAAAATGAAAGGATAAAAAGTGAGCTTAATGTTCTTTACTAGGCATAAGTCCCCTTTATTCTTTAACACAGGCCCAGGAGCTCCCCTGAGAATTAATAAGTAAGAATTTAGTATTTTTAATAGAATGATTTGAGGGCAGCATCATAAGGATTTAGTGGGGGCCATAAGAGTAGGAACCCCTGTTGGTCTCTGAGGTCTGTTCCCCAGACTGGCCATTCTGTTTTCACATATGGGAAAATGCAGGTAGAGTTTTCTTTCCAACCTTAACATCCTCTGTTAAATCATATGCTTGTATTTCTCAGCCACTTCTGTCCAAACATGTTTTCCTAATGAGGCATTATATTCCTATGAAATTAAGCTGCTTTTCTTCAAAACTAATATTTCGTTTTTTAAAAAAAACCACGTGTAGTAAACCCTATTAGATTGTGGTTGTGGACAATAACATTATGTTATTTAGAAATAGTCTTTGTTGGTAGTTCCAGATACCAGCAGCCACCAAATACAGTTTATATGTGTTCCAAAAGCACATTTTTGGAACAGGTTTCTTACAGAATTTACTACATATGATACATTTCCAAGCTAGCCTATAGTGACTAACTAAAAGGAACAAAAGTCTGTAATAACATCATTGTCATGGTCAAAAAAAATAAAGCAGGAAGTTTTAGAAATTATTGAGACAAAATAACAATGCAAGAGAAAAAAACAAAGTCCAGAAAGGTTACAGAAAAAAATACACATCAAACCAAACAAAAATCCAAAGAATCATTTATCTTATATATGGATATCTGAGAAAAAGTGAATAAAGTACAAGAAAATTTTCAACAGATTTACATAGAAATTTTGAGGGGACTTTCTAGGTTGTAAAATTAATGGCACTGTTTTTATTAAATTACGTTTCTATCAAAAGGAACACATTTTATTTTCCTTGGCAATGAAAATTGCTAACTTTAGGATTGGTTTGGAGGCTCACAAATGGGAAGTTGATAGGAAAAGAAATCCTGAAGAGTGTGGTTTTCCTGAGGCAAGAGGAGATGGTGGGTTTCTTGTAATCTTTTCTTATTATATGAAAGCCAGTGTTCCTTCTGGTCTTCCCTACAAATTTCCCCAGGTAACCTCTTTTTCACCCATTGATTATAAACTGATGACTCTCAGATTTGTTTCTGAAGCTCGCACCATCTTCGGGAACTTCAGACTTACTTCATGCCTTCCACCAATTTGACTCACAGATGAATCTGTGAAAATTTGTCCAACAAGTACATTCATACCCCCCAGATTCCTTCCCAGTCCCATCCCCCAGAAGACAAAAGAAGAAAGAACGCACTCCTCTTCCTCCTGCCCTGGTTGATAGCATCCTCTCACCTCCCCAGTCCTCTGGGCCAGATGTACTAGGGTCATCTTTGACTTTTTCTTCCTGGACCCCACGTGTCATCAGCCTTCATATCTTCTCACATTTCCCTACCAAATGTCTCTCAAACTTATTGCTTCCTTTCCATCCCCAGCACTACTGCAATAATTCAGTTATTACAGTAACCAGTCTTCCTGCCTTCAGTCTTGCTCCTTGTAGTCAATTTTCCAAATTGCCAAGGAAGGGATAGCTGCTCTGTGCAAAACTCTTCATGGGCCCCCCAGTCACTTACTACAGCATGGCCCAAAGGGAGACCACCTGCTTCCATATCAGTGAGGGGTCAGTGACTTGGTGTAAGGCTGTGCTTACCAAAGTGCACATCCTGAGCTCTGCTCTGGGACAACAGAATGTGAATTTTGCAGGAGAACGGGAGTAGGTAAGACATAGAAAGCGGCAATGTTAAGCAGGTTTGAAAGATTTTTTTCTAAGTGCACTTATGTTTGGAAGCCACGGACTGAGGGGTCAATCCTCCTCCTTCTATAGCATGTCTCTCTTTTCTGACACACACCAGGCTATTTCCTAGACTCTTTTGCATGTGTTTTTGCCTTACTTGGAATATCCCTCTGGCCCCTGTTTCCCTGGTAAATGTGATTCACCTCCCAAATCCCAGCAGAAGCTGGCAAACTGAGGTAGAATGAAAGCAATTATTTGTTCTAAGGTTTCCAAGGGTGCTTATGGCAGTTGTTAGGATACATTTTAATAGCCATTTTCTATGTCTCCTTTGGTTGCCATGAAAGAAATCATCAGAAATCCCCTATTCCCCGATCTTCATTTAAGAATAGAACCAACTATCCCATTTGAAAATGGGACATAAAAATAAGCTCACACATGCCGCCATTGACATTTATATGGGGGCCACATATGAGCCACATGGAAACAGACTTTTTTCTGGCTTTATCCAAGGAAAGACCCTCAGAAAGCGAGAATAATCATTATCATTTGTTCTAAAATCCAAATGTATATTTTCCATCCTTTTTATTTACAATATAAAGTGCTTTTCTCAGTAAATCAACAAATATGAGTATTCATGTCACCAAGTGCTGATGATTAAAAATAATTACTTTAATGGGAGCTGGCCTGATGCCAAACATGATCAGGTTTTGCATTTCAAGCATGATCATGGATAATTTACATCTCCTTTCACACCAATACCCCACCATGCTTAATGGATTCTATTTTAGTTTTTATGAATTAATAGAAATTTAGTACCTCGTTCCCTGTATTATAGTCCACCATTTGCTTTTAGAATCCACAGAATTATCTTTAAAAAAACTGAATGGCTCAACATCATATAATTCTTCAAGTTACTTATTTAAAATGTTTGGCTGTCTGCTTTCTGTGAGTCCTGAGAGGACAGAGTAGAAAGGAGAAACAGCACCCAGTCTCAAGCCACCCAGGAGGGCTCTTAGTTATGGCAAGGAGACCTCTGAGCCCAAGTTGGTGCCTGCTTCTTTCTCAAAGCACAGGACCCCTCAAAATTCAGGTCACAGCCTGAGGGTCCTACTGGCAGTACCTCTCAGCATGAGGAAAGACAAGGCCATATTTTTTCCTTTTTTCATTAAAAAAAAAAATTCCTTTGAGTTTTCATATGTAATGAAGAGATGTCAGACAAAATTACAAAGAATTGTAGCAGGTTTTTAAAATGTTTACATTTAACAAATTAACACTTTTAAGAAAAAATGCAATATAATTGAATTATTCAAACTATAATTATAGGATTAACAAGATATATATTAATACTTGGTACGATAATGTCAGTGTGGCCCAGTAATAGGAATCCAGTTTCAATTTGTATAATTTTTTTTGAAACCTATCTATGTATCCCTGTGGCACTATATGGACAAAGGATAGTAAATAGTCATTCAAAGATAATGTTAAAAGTAAACATTTCCAGCCTCACCAACATGGTGAAACCCCATCTCTACTAAAAGAAATAATAATAATTAAAAAATTAGCCAGGCATGGTAGCACGTGCCTCTGTAATCCCAGCTACTCAGGATGCTGAGGCAGAATGCTGAGGCAGGATGCTTGAATCCAGGAGGTGGAGGCTGCAGTGAACCTAGATTGGGACACTGCACTCCAGCCTGGATGGCAGAATGAGACTCCATCTCAAAAAAAAAAAAAAAGTAAACATTTGATACTCCCAAGTGAATGTGAGTTCTTGTCTTCCTGCTAGACAGATTTATTAAAATGTGTAAAATATATACACCCTTAAAATATATTATTTGTCGATAAGGTGAAGGCAGAAAAAGGAAGGTATTCCCAAGAAACTGGCTCAAAGGTATAGCTGTAATAAGCAAGGAAGACCCAGAAATGTTACCAGGTCTTGGGCCAAGAGGAGGTCCTCCTTGTGCTGGGGAGAGGCAGCAGAAGGGTTAACGGGCGAAGGTGCCCTGGGCATCTGTAAGCCTGGAACAGCTTATTCTAAACATTCCTTGCATAGCTTGAGCCTTGCTGGCCAATGGTAGGCATGAAAAGACATAGACTTATTTGCTTATTCTGATTTATGTGTTACCTGTGCCAGTCTCTCTGGCAACAGGAAAATGTAACTATAACCTGGATAGTGCTTTCATTTATAGTATCTCCTTTGCTCATCCCTCTGAAAGCTCAAGAAAACTTTGAAGAAAAGCTCAGTAAAACAGTGGAGAAAAAAACATTTTGCAGGAAGAGCTGACTAGGTTTTTAGATGTGTGATGTGCACATGTTTATAATATGGTTGGAAGAAAGGACTGAAGTTGTTCCATTTGCTTTGGGAAGGAAACCAGTGCATATCAGATTATTAGGCTGCCCACCAAGGAATCAAGTCCTTTTACATAATTACCAAAAATGTTACTCTTTCTCCAAGGGTAAGTATGCTGTCCTACTTTGCCTGGCCTAGAATAGATCTTGGTATCAAAATGGCCTTGGACAGGGACTCTCCTTATTCTCCAGCCCAGCCAAAGTACAGGGTCTGGTGATTTCTATCCAGTTGCACAGTCCATGTTTAGAGAAGCACCCTTAGGCATTTGTAATAATTAATGTGAGATAGATATGGCTCGCCAAAATCAGTCACCTGTACCTTATCCTACCGAGTCACCTGCACCTTCTACAGAAACCTCTCAACCCTCTGGAAAGGTCTCATACACACACACACACACACACACACACACACACACACACACACACACACACAAAGAAAGAGATAAATAACAGGGGAGATGTGAGGGGAGAATAAGTTAGAGAGAGAGAGAGAGAAGGAGGGAGACTTCAACTCTAGTATTTTTTTTGGGGTTGATTTCCTTGTGCATTCTCAGGCTACCCCTGTCCAAAGCATCAGGATGCACACGGGTCATCTATAAACACATCCTAAGACATGTATCTTATGCAATAATAGCATCTACTCTTTATTTATTTACATTCTTACCTCAAAAACATTTATTTAATATTTATTGAATATGCTATGGACATCATGCTAGTTATTAGAGACAAAACTAGTCTGTAAGACCCAATCTTTATTCTTAAAGAGATGGCAAGTCAGTGGGAAAACAGACATGAAAACAGACCATTAGAATACAGTGTGGAAAGTGCTATAAGTTCAGTTATGTGCTGTGCAGGGAGGGACTGGTCCAGCAGAGGCAAGACTCATGACCTTCTCTGAGGAGGACCTTGCAATCTTGTTGGGACAAGAACCTAATTAATTGATGAGTGAAGCAGCATTGTGTAAATATGTTCTGTGCTCATAAAGTGAAATTGTCATCCTGAAGTTTCAGACAATCAGAAGAGTAGGCTTGTGTGATTTAAGGAACACACTAGGACATATGCATGAGGGTGAGCACAGAGACCACTGCTGTCTCAGCAGAGAGCCCCGTACTTTTTCTTAATAGTGACAATAGTTACAATGAACTGAGTTGTTACTGCTGTAGCATTTTAAACTTATCTCATTTATTCCTTATAATAGTGCTTTGAGGTAGCTACACACAAGGATTATATCCATTCTAGGATAGGCCAAATGTGGTTTGCTGATTGGCCCAAGGTCTTATTGCTGGGACGTGATGGAGCTGAGATTTGAACACACCAGAATCCACAAGTGCTTTTTATCAAGGCCCATTCTGCCCCTGCCAATGACATAGCCCACACCCTGGGTGGCTTTTCTGCTACTGTCCGAAACTGACAAATTGTACCAGTCTCATCCTTTGTGGCTCAGGGATGGGGCTGAAGACACTGAAGACAGTGACTATTCCTCCTGCACATGCACAGAATTGGGTAGAATGAAGTTCCTGAGCTCCCTGCTGCTGCAGCTTCAGTTGGAGGGGAGGAAAGTGACCCTGGATGACCAAAGTATATGTACAATAATTCTCTTCTCCACCCACCTTCCCTATCACCCCTAAACAAGGGTGGTTTTACGTGGAAGCAGTGGAAGCAGGAAATGGGCACCTAATGGGACCTGCTTTCACACCTTATTTGGCTATTCCCTGTTCCGTGTTCAACATGCTAGGCTGGGAGAGGCGGACTTGTGGTCCTTAAGCTCTACCTACTGAAGAGTCCCTTTCTCTGACTTTTCTTGATTAATCTGCAGATTTCCCCAGAGATCTTTTCTTCCTTCTGTCTCCTGTGTTATGGCTTTGGTTGCTCCAAAGTTGGTGGGTTATTGTTGACCCAAAAGGCAACTTAAAAGGCACCTGAGGAATGAAAATAAAAGAAAAGGAACCACAAATTTACTTTGCAAGCAAGGCCATTCTTAATAAGCAGTGGCAGATTAGAGCCTGGTTGTGAGAGCCCTGGAACCTATTATTCAAGTCCATGACTTATGTAGGTCAATGTAAATAACCCCAGGCATAAAAAGGGGAATGTTTATGATGGGTGAGGCATCCAATTCAAGTGGATGGTTCAACATGCATTATAGTGTTTCAAGCCAATTTTTAACTGAAAAAAAAAAAAGCACAAAGATTGGGATAGCAACTGAACCTCACTCCTTAGTGTAAAGGAAGGCAGTGGGATCACTTAGACTTCCTAGGAGTGTCATTGTTGCCGATTTTGGCAGATTTTCCATGTCCCTTTGGGTACTTTCAACGGAGACAATCTGCTTTGGTGCCTTGGTTATGGACTCATGCTTTCAACAGTCAAGTGTATCAAATACATGGTTAATTGGAAGAGAACTGATCATGCTTCATTTTTAATAGTCTTACTAATCTAGTTAAATAGTCTATTAGTAACTACAATTATTAATCTCTTTTAAGGTGTGTTCAATTACAAGATGTAAAGATGAAATTCTACTTGCTAGTAAACTGTTTGCTAATTGTTTACTCAGTGGCTTATACTAATTGTTGCTTAATACAAACGGTTTAAATAGAACACTTCTTTCAACTCATTGTTCATATCTAAACAGAATCAAAAGCTCTTCCACCAGCTATTTTTCTTTAACTCCAATTGATGGCAACAACCTTTTATAGGTTGAGATGCTAGTTCCATATCCCAATGGCATAAAATAGATCGAAAGTATATATATTTTCTTGCTTAAAATTATACTGAATTTAGTATTGGCCATTGTTTTTCCCTTTTTTAAAACTTTTATTTTAGAATCAGAGACAGAGGGTACATGTGCAGGTTTGTTACAAAGCTGTATTGCATGATGCTGAGGTCTGGAGTATAAATAAATTGGTCACCCAAGTAATGAGCATAGTACCCAACAGGTAGTTTTTCACAACCTTTACCCCTCCCATCTTGTATTCCCCAGTGTCTATTTTTCCCATTTTATGACTATGAGTACCCAGTATTTAGCTCCCACTTGTAAGTGAGAACATGGCAGTATTTGGTTTTCTGTTTCTGCATTACTTTACTTAGGATAATGGTTTCTAGTTGCATCCATGTTGCTGCAAAGAACATGATTTTATTATTTTTTATGGTTGTATAGTATTCCATGGTGCATGTGTACCACAGTTTCCTTATCCAGTCCACCCTTCATAGGCACCTGGAGTGATCTCATGTCTCTGCTATTATGAATAGTGCTGCTGTGAACATGTGGGCACATGTGGTCTTTTTGGTAGAATGATTTATTTTCCTCTGGGTTTATACCCAGTAGTGGGAATGCTGAGTTGAATGGTAGTTCAACTCTCAGTTCTTTGAGAAATCTCCAAACTTCTCTTCACGTGGCTGAACTAATTTACATTCCCACCAACAGCCCACGAGTTCCATTTTCTCTGCAACCTCACCAACATCTAATTTTTGATTTTTTAATGAGAAAACAATTGCCTTTCTAAAAATGACTTTTCTGGGATAATATACACTCAGTCTCCCTCCGCCCTTCACCCTGGGTATCTCCTGTTTCTCTAACAGTTCCTAGACAAGGTCATCTGCTGATCCTTAGCTTTGGTTGTTGATATTTGGTGTCTGGATCAAAACCCATCCTACCAAGAAGATAACTGATTATTTGTGGGCCTTTTGCCATGACTGTCTGAATGCTTACATCCTTGATTGATTGCACTCTTCTAAAATTCCCTCATGCCATTATGAGAATCTGGTTTTCCTGATATCCACACTTGGGTGTGACAGAGACAGAAACTATATCAAGTGACGTGATGCTACTGATATGCTTGAACTTGTAATATCGGGTTGTGGATTAGAATGGAGTGATTCTACACCTGCCCACCTCTCATCTTTAGTTGTTTGCCCCTAGAAATTTCAACTTGATTATACTGATAAATTTATGTGAAATGTTCCCGATCATTTTTATTCCAGTGTGCTTTGGCCCTCTTTACCCTGTCTTAATTTTCTTAATAGCAATTATCACTACCTGATACTAAATTTTATATTTGTTTGTTTATTGCTTGTTTCCACCACTACATGTAGGTTCCATAAGAGTAGTTACTACATCTTCAGTATTTAGAATAGTGGCTGGCACATAGTAAGCACTGGATATATATTTTTAAAATAAATGTTGAGTGGATGAATTAGCCACAGGCAAGAAGGACAGCATATTATCAATGATCAGTATCATGTCCCCTCCATTGGAATCTTTCAGACGAAGATCTCTAGGCTGTTTTGCTATAGTTTTGCCTAACGTTGGGGGAGATGAGTGAAGTGCTGTACCATAAATGTTAAGAGCGTGGGTTTTGATTCAGATTCTCTGGATTTGAATATGGTTTTAACTCTTATCATCTGTTTATAATTTTATGCAAACTATTTAACATCTCTGTGATTCTATTTCCTTTCTTTAGAATGGAGATAACCACACCTACCTCAAAGGGCTATTGTGAAGATGAAATAAAATAATATAAAGCCCTTCTAATAGTGATTGGCTTATGGAAAGGGCACAATTAATGCTATGTGTTCCTAGTTAAGATCTAGTTGCAAATAACAGAAAACTCAACTCAAATTGACTTAAATTATAAATGGGGATTTATTGGTTCGTGTAACTGAAAATTTCAGAGGCAAGGTATGATTTAAACATGTATTGATAAAAATTCTGGTCATGTTTTTCTGCGATTTTCTATATCTTTCCTCCCTCCAGGGACTTCATTCTTCATGATAGTATGGTGATTGCAATAAACTTGGCCTCACAGCCACACTGCACATCACCCAGAATGAGAGGTTTTCTTTAAGTGCTTCCATGGAAGCCAGAGGAGGTTCTTACCTAGAAGCAAGAACTCTGACATTTCCTGGGAAAATTGGGTCACATGCCCATCCTGAATCAATCACTGTGGCCTCTGAGATGGGATGTATGAAATGTATTGATTGGCATAAGCTAATAATTTATCATTCTTCGACTGGAGGTGAAGTCAGTTTGCATTGGAACACTAGAATTTCACGGTGGAGAAATAGAAAGCCAAACAAGAATTGAGGCACTATAACAAGAGAAAAGGACAATGGATGCCAAAACATAGCAAAAGTGCTCTATTGGTGAATAAACTATAGCAAACATCTTGAGTCCTGATGACGCTGTAAAATGGGCAGAGGGAGAAGAAATTTCATCATCACCTTCACCTTTACAAAATGTTTTGGTGAAATGGTTTACCTGATGCACAGCAAGGGACAGAGGGTTTCCTCCAAGCTAATGGCTTGCTAAAACAAATTTCACTCCAATCTCTTACTCTTCAACAGCCTCTCCTCAATGAACACATTCCATTATTTTGTATTTCCTGAACTATTTTGGATGTCCTTATACACTACATGAATGAAAGTATTAATCTCTTTTAAACCTGGGTTGTATTCTTTATATATATATTTATTTATTTTTGAGACAGAGTCTCACTCTGTCACCCAGACTGTAGTGTAGTGGTGCGTTTTCAGCTCACTGCAACCTCCACCTCTCATGTTCAAGAGATTCTCATGCGTCACCCTCCTGAGTAGCTGAGATTACAGGCCTTCACCACCATATCCAGCTAATTTTGTGTATTTTTAGTAGAGACAGGGTTTTGCCATGTTGGCCAGGCTGGTCTTGAACTCCTGGCCTCAAGTGATCCACCCGCCTTGGCATCCCAAAGTGCTGGTATTACAGACGTGAGGCACTGCACCCGGCCTGTATTCTTAATTTTATAAAATAAAAGCATCTTTTGCAATCACTTCTCTTATATACAATGAAAACCTCTAATTGTGAATGGATTTAAATTGAGAGATGATATATTTTATGTGATTTTTTTTCTTATAAATCCTGTGTGACTTTGTCAAGTTGCATAGATATTGAAATAACCATAATTTTATCACAGTGACAAGGTACACGACATAGTAGAGCATCTTGTTTTAGAAAATGTTCAGGCCATTTCTTATTCTTGATTTTCTGTTGTTGTTTTAATGATATGCACAAAAGACATTGTTTTTATTGTAACCTTATGTATAAAACACTGTTATTGACATCTGAGGATTAAGTTTTAATTGAAGTAAGATTTCAAATAGTCTATTATCTGTGATCCCTATATAATGATCACAAAGACATCCTAGAGTAGGCAATGAAACAGATAAATATGTTGAAAAGACAGCTAACAGCTCCATTTAGCTCACCCATGCTTGCCGAACTTGACACACACAATTTATCCCAGACTGATGGAAAGGGAGCATAAAATATAGCCAGATTGTGATACTGTATGTCTCGCCGATGGTGCTTCCTTAGGCTGAAAATCAGGTGTCTCATATGCCCAGTCATGGTATTCCCATAACTGTGGATGGGATTTTTGGCCCAAGTTTATCATATTTTTTGATTCTTTAGTTTGGAGCTTCCCTGAGAACAAGGTTAGCAGTAAGTCCCTCATCTGTATAACATCTTGGATAAAATGAGCTTCAATACGAAGAGAGAGTAGGGAGCCATCCATGACTAAACCCAAATCAACTCCTAAGAGAGAAGTGAGAAGTGAATTCAGCAAATATTTAACAAATGATAATCATTTGTGACAGTGATTGTAAACAATGGGAAGTAATTAGATTTGCTGTAAAGTGGCTCTCATGATGTTTCAGTTTCTAGAATTTTTTTTTTTTACATCTCTACTCAACAGTTTTGCCTGGGGAACATGCCCAACAGAATTCTGCTCTGGGCTGATCAGTCTGAATTTGAGTCTGTTTTCAAAGGTGATTCAACAACTTAGGTTTTCAATAGCCAACCCGTGGCACTGGACAACCCTTGGATTACAGCTTGAGAGAGAGTAGGAGGCCAGACCACAGCTGCGGCACTGTCCATTTTTAATAGAAACAACAACCCCCTTCCATGTGTGTCCCCCTTCCAGACCTCCAGCCAGCCATCCACTCCCTACTTCCCTGCTAGGAAGTTGTCTGAGCTAAACTGGGCAAAAGTGACTCCACATTGTAAGGCAAGGTCCTGTCAGCAAGATGCCAGTAAAGGAAGCCTCTTGTGAACATGGATTGGAAATAAAATTACCTGCTGCTTCTTGTTTATTTAGGACTGCAGAGACACAGGAGTTGACAGGCTGTGGAGGAGGAGCTCAGGGGACATCAGGGCCTGGGCTCCAGTGTGGGTTTCATTGATCTCACCCCAATGGTCCAGGATGTTCTTGCTGCTGCCGCTCATCCCCTTGCATTCGCTTTTCCTCTGTTCCACAGGTCTCATTTTCTACCCTCACCTAGTTAAGTCAGGGTGGAGGTAAAATTTGCCATATAGAAATAGCAATTTGAAACAGTCTCCTCAAGTAAGTGAAATGAGCAAAAGGTCTTTTCTTTTGCTTCCCGAAAGAGGACATGATGATAAGGACATGGAGACAAAGATGCTATGAATAGGCGAGATCCTCCAGGTAAGCCTTTACATCACGTGAGCCGTGGGGGACAAGAGTTACCGTTGGGTCTCATGTTCAGATAAATCTGAATATTGGATAGGAAGGCTGATTGTAAGACCTAGATAAGACACTTTACTCATGGGTGGTGGGGGCTGGGGGTGTAGACACAAGAGAAAGAAACGTGTTTTGCTTGCTTGTTTCCATTTGCTTTCTTGGAGAGAGTTCACCTGCTCTCTAAGGCAGGAGCTCACGCTCTCTAAGGCAATCAGCTCACCACCTTCACAGGAAAACATTCTCTTCACCTGTCTTCTCCCTTGACTGTGCCACTCTCCCTGAGAATGTGGCTCTGCTGTCTGACCTCTGCATTGCCCAGGAGGTCCCCAGGAGAGCTCTCAAGGATTCTTGAATGGACTGAAATGTTTTGTGACCTGCAGCCAAGAACCAGGGCAGGACAGAAAGCATAGGCTTCTACTCAACAGAAGTGATTGAGGCTGATTTAAGGCAACCTCAGGATTGCTAAACACAAAGTGACATCCTTCAGCCCAGATCACTTTTCCCTCCTCTACCTGGAAAATGCCTTGTCAGTCATCAAAACCCAGCTCAACAGCCTATTTCTCTGACAGCCTTCTCTGCAATCTCCCATTTGGAGTTGCTAGCACATTTCCCCATTACAGTGATTCTCTCCCCTTCCTGCACTGTTTACCTACATGCTTTCTCTAGCCGGACTATGCATCTTTAGAGAAAAAGAGGTCCTGTCCTATTCGTGTTTATGCTCCCCAAGCCTGGAATAACAATATTGTTGTTGAATGATGATGATAATGAAAGCTATCACTCAAATAGTACTTACTATGTACCAGCCATTGTTCTAAGTGGCTCACGTATATTCACACATTAATCTTTACAACGATCCTGTAAGGCAGCTTCTGTTATTTCACTCCTTTTACAAATGACAAAACCAAGTCCTAGAATGGTTAAATAGCCCTTTAGATGTTAGATAATATAACCACACAGCTTCCTAGGGTTGGGACTGCTGCTCAGAATTTTGGCTTTGTTTTCTCTACCATTTGAGCCCAAAAATGATTTTTCATGAGTGAATGAATGTACTGGAAAAGGAACCAGGAACAAACGCCACTGAGAAATGGTTTGGATTATTATTTTTTCCATGAAATATAGTTATACAGGCCATATTTTGTTTTCAAGCTTTTGGTCTGACAAAAGATTGATTTTTTGATTAATTAATTTCTTAATATAAATGATATTAGAGAAACATAAAAAATAAATACTATTTAGTCATAAGTAACATATTAGCATATATAACTGTGTGTGTATATATATGTGTGTATATATATATGTATTTAAAATTGGGAACATAAGGCTACAGTGAGTATGGAATAAAATACTCTCAAACATAAAAGTCATTCAGATCATCTACCAATCTCATGTTTATATCCCTTCTACAAAACATTCATTAATAATGATCATCCAGGCCAGGTGCAGTGGCGTGTACCTGTAGTCCCACCTACTCAGGATGCTGAGGTGGGAGGATCCTTGAGCCCAGGAGTTCAAGGGTGTGCTATGCTGTGATTATGCCTGTGAATAGCCAGTACACTCCAGCCTGGGCAACATAGGAAAACCACATCTCAAAAAAAAAAAAAAAAAAAAAAGATCCAACCTTGGATTCAACTCCCATAGGGAAGGGAAACTCCCTACTTTTCAGAATAACCTATTCCCTCTCAAAATGACTCCACTGTTGAGTTTCTTCCTTACACTGAGCTGCAGTTAACTGTAACTGACTCTGCTAACTTCCTGGAGCATCTTCCCACTGGTTCTAGTAGGAGGCAAAGTGCAGGGCTAGAAGACGTCTTTGGCTCTCTCTTTGCTATATATTTCCAAGTTATTACATGTTGATCCCTTTGTCTTAAAGGAACCAATCTTTAGATTTTACTCATTGTATCCATATCTTACTGCTTGGCATTGTTCCATTGTCTTGAGTTTTCAGGACCTAGAAAAGAGGAGGATGAGACTTCTAAAAAAAGGCAGACATGACAAAAGATCTGTAAATCACATAGACTGATGAGACTTCTAAAAAAAGGCAAGACAGGCAGACATGACAATAAGATCTGTAAATCACATAGACTGATGTGTCTCAAAATTTAAGTTTAACATGCACACAAATCTCCTGGGAATTGTTAAAATGTAGATTTTGACAGTTGTTCTGACATACTATCTGAGATTCCAAATTTCAAATAGGTCCCGACTGATGCTGATACAGTTGGTCCAGCAACCACACTTTGAGAAACAAAGAACTGGAACTTAAGAAGGTGTGAGACTGTGCATTTGCAATAATTCTCCTGATCCTGGCATTTTCCATGAAACTAGCACCCCTCCTTATGCAAGAACTCTAGTTTATTCACTTCACTCACAGCAGGCTTTCTCAAACTTTAATGGGTATAAACAGTCCTGTGGGGGAATTCTTTTAACATTCAGATTGCTGGTCCTTTCTGGATACGCTGATTTGGTAGGGTTGCATTTCTTTTTTTTTTTTTTTTTTTTTTTTGAGACAGAGTCTCACTCTGTTACCCAGGCTGGAGTGCAGTGGTGCAATCTCAGCTCACTGCAACCTCTGCCTCCCGGGTTCAAGCAATTCTCTACCTCAGCCGCCAGAGTAGCTGGGACTACATGCACCTGCCACCATGCCTGGCTAATTTTTTTGTATTTCTAGTAGAGACAGGGTTTAACCATATTGGCCAGGCTGGTCTTGAACTACTGACCTCATGATCCACCCACCTCGGCCTCCCACAGTGCTGGGATCACAGGTGTGAGCCACCGTGCCCAGCCGAAATTTGATTTTTGTAACACGTGTGTCCCCACATATGATTTTGATGCAGATGGCCTTTGGCTCAGGCTTTGGGAAACACTGCCTGGAATGAATAAGTTAAGTGGAAACACCAGTTTTCTACACAGCTCATCATTCTTAATCATCAGAGTGAAGGATGTCAACTAAATGGTGACCATATTTTGTAGGGTTTAGTAATGAAGGCTCAGATTGACACTGTTAAGTCAAACTACTCTGTCATAGCAACCAGGACATGCCCCAAGAATGCCTCCCTGACTGGAGAATATAGTCTATATGCTTTGATTACAAGAAAACTTCAATAAATAATATATTCAGAGAGCAAACAATGTAGTGGACATATGGATACCACTGATCATTGGATTTGCTGGGCCAGTGCACCTGTGTTCTGCCTCTTAACAAATAGTATCTTCATAAAATAGGATGATGCTACAAGGCCCATGCCAAGTTAGTAGCACTCTTGTTTTAATCTGGACAATTAGAAAATCATCCAACTCCCTTAGAAGCCAGAAGAAACTTAGTCACATTTGAAAATACACTAAAACCATGAACTCACAGCTCTGTTTTCCCAATATGTCTTCTTCCCATAGGATGTGAAGGGAAAAAGTAAGTGAGGTCAATGTTCTTAACTAAGCCCTGGAAATAAACTGTCCAAGTGTTACCTGTAAGGATTAGGGAGAACTCTTCCAGGGAAGGAAGAGTTAGTGAGAGATGTACTCTCTGCATAAAGGAGCTGAGACCAAAGACGCTTCCATGTTGATTTCTTGAGTTCTTGAGATGTTGAAAGGTGAGTAGAATTTCTGCCATAAATATTTCTCAGGAAACCCATAATCCAGTTTGCTTTCCGCTCAAACAGGCAAAATTCCACAGAGCTCAAGCATATACTAGGTACAGGGAATGGGCAGAATGTGAATTTTCCTATTCTAATACTATGTGTGTATTGCCAGAGCTCTTGGCTCACTCACACATGCTTGCATAATTATTATGAAATGACCTTGTTGTGTTGAAAGCTTGCTAAGGCTGTGGTAAGATGATGAAAGGAAATCTATGCTGCCTTAGGGAGAAACACCAAGGAGACACACATTTTCAATGTGGATTGTGTGTGTGTGCATTTCTGTGCTGACTATGTGTTGGAACAATGTGACTCATGCTATCAGGATATCAGGCAATGTGCCAGTAATGTTTGAAAATAAAATGGCTAGGAAAATTACTGCAAAATACAGATGTGCTTATGGCAATCTTTGATAAATGATATGCACATCTACACATCAGCAGAGTGTGTAGCATATCCACTCCCAGATCCTCATAGATGAGGCATGATGATTGGATATGGTGATAGAGGATCAAAGGGGTTATTGGGACAACCATCCTTTGACCTTTGCAAAGCAGACAAATATTCAGCGTTGCATAGAGACATAACAACATACGATGACATGGAGACTTTTGTAACAAGACACAGATGGAAACAACCAAAATGGGCCCAGCTTTGCCCCCTTGATTCGTGGCTGTGGCTTCATCTCTTTTCTTCAGACTAACTGATAGTCCTTGCTCTTATGAGAATCAATAGGCTTTTTAAGAAAGGATTTCCCTGGGACAATACACCCCAACTCTTACAGCTAAGATTACTCAAAAGCTAAGGTTAAGTGGCCTATTTGAAAGTTACATACAGTTAGTGGAATGCAGGTCAGGAAAGTTGGGGATAAGGCTCTAAATTGACACCTCCTACATTGGCTCTAGCCATCCCCATCATCTATGTACAAGAGTATGCAGAATTTGTGTCACCCCATTTAATTAACCTTGACACATTTATTCAGATGACAGATTTCCAAGCTGCATCTCCTACATCCTCAGCCCCTAGCCTGGAAAAAAATAAATGATCAGAACAAATTTCTTACAATATTTGGAGAATGAATGAGTGAATAAATGAGTCTTTGTATGTCAGTTATCTTTTCAGATTCTCAGTAAATTCTTATATCAATGTATTCTTTTCACTATAAACTCATTTTGAAAAATATAAACTGTCATTTAAACTTCTTTTACATACACTGCAATCAGCTATGGCTCTACCACTAGCACCATCATGATGACACATTCTTAATGCCAACAGAGACTACCATCAAAACCATTCAAATTCAGTTTCACATTCCAAGGGTCAGCTTCTCAGGAGGGCCAATTACAATTGATAAGTAATGCCTCCGGAGGCAATACTTATATAGACATTTTATAATCCATTTTCTCCAAAAGTAGTCTTCCTGGTTGGATTATTAGCAATGGCTAAAGCTGTGGTTAAAATCAGCAATGATATGCTGGGAAAGCTGGCTAGCTATATGCAGAAGAATGAAACTGGACCCCTACCTTTCATCATATACAAAAATTAACTCAAGATGGATTAAAGATTTAAATGTAAGATTGTAAACTGTAAGAATCCTAGAAGAAAACCTAGAAAACACCATTCTAGATATCAGCCTTGGGAAAGAATTTATGACTAAGTTATCAAAAGAAATTGCAACAAAACCAAAAGTTGACAAGTGGGACCCAATTAAACTAAAAAGCTTCTGCACAACAAAAGAAACTATAAAAGACAACTTACAGACTGGGAGAACATACTCACAAACTATACATCTGACAAAGATCTAATATCCAGAATCTATAAGGAACTTAAACAATTCAACAAGCAAAAACAAATAACCCTGTTAAAAAGTGGGCAAAAGACATGAACAGACACTTTTTAAAATAAAACATACAAGCAGCCAACAAACACATGACAAAATGCTCCACATCACTAATTATCAGAGAAATACAAATCTAAACCACAATGAGATACAATCTCATACTAGTCAGAATAGCTATTAAAAAGTCAAAAAACAACAGATGCTAGCAAAGCTGCTTAGAAAAGGGAATGCTCACACACTGTTGGTGGGAATATAAATTAGTTCAGCCACTATGATAAGCAGTTTGGAGATTTCTCAAATAACTTAAACAGAACTACCATTCAATCCAGCAATCCCATTACTGGGTATATATCTAAGAGAATATAAATCATTCTACCAAAAAGACGCAGGTACTCATATGTTCATCACAGCACTAGTCACAGTAGCAAAGACATGGAATCAACCTAGTCGCCCATCAATGGTGGATTGGACAAAGAAAATGTGGTACATATACACCATGGTATTACACAGCCATAAAAAAGGAGATTGTGTCCTTTGCTGCAACATGGAGGCAGTTGGAGGCCCTTTTCCTAAGCATATTAATGCAGGACTAGAAAAACAAATACCACATGTTCTCATGTAGAAGTTGGAGCTAATCACTGGATACTCATGGACGTAAATATGACAACAATAGACACCGGAGACAACTAGAAGAGAATGGGAAGAAAGGAGGGGGACAAAGGTGGAAAAACTAACTGTTGGGTACTATGATCACTCCCTCAGTGACAGGATCAATCATATCCTAAACCTCAGCATAATGCAATATACTCAGGTACAAATCTGCACATGTACCCCCTGAATCTAAAATAGAAGTTGAAATTATCAAAAAAATAAAAAACCTTCCATTGCAAGAAAAAATCAGCAACCACTAATTATGTGATATCTACTGTGTCTCCCATCCTGGTCACACACACGCATACACACACACACAGAGCACAAACCATGCCTCTGTGTTTTCTAATTCATTTTCTGATTTCTGTTTCCCTTCTCCTCAAATGTGATGCATTATTTTAACCCTAAATGATTATTTTCTGCCTCTTGTTCAGTTGTCTTTCTAGTGTTCCTGGTTATTATCTGCTAGTACTGGCTACCTCATAGCACAGAATGTACCTTATTTTCCTCACCAGTGGGTGTGCATAGGCCGAATTTTAAGATATAAATTTAATTAACACAGTTTCTTTTCTTTTGAGCTCAGAGTAGCAGCATCAGGACTGTGGGGCAAATGTAGAAACAGATGTCTCCAGCCTTTCTCACTGTTTCCAGGTTAATCCAGCTTGTTCTGAATTGAACTGGAAACTCTGGCTGTCCCTGAGTTTCCTTTGGCTTCCTATTGGCTCAGGGCCTGTGCTACTTCAAACTGAGCAAAATAAAACTATATGAAGAGTGGGCACCATGGAGATCAAAGTCTCTGTCTTCCTCGTTTACACATTAGCTCACGTGCCTCTGGGGGGGTGTGTGTGTGTGTGTGTATATTTGTAGCGATGGAGGTTAAAGCAAAAGGGAGGGAGACTTGAGCTTATTCTTCATTCATTGACATTTGCTAATGGCCAGATTTGCATGGTTTTTGGAAAGTAATTTTGCAGCCTGAAAGTCTTTTACCAACAAGATGATACATTCTATCCAATCTGAATCAGATGCACTAACTGAACATGTCCTTGTGATACTCTGTGATGCTGATTAGAAAACCCAAGAACAACAGAAAAATCTGTCATCCCTGTGGATACCAAAAAAACATAATCCAAAGGTTAGATTTGAAATTCTAAAAATATTTTAAATTTAACTATTCAGAATCTGTACCTATTCGTAATATAAGTTGTGGGATATATCACACGAATGTAAGTGTGTCTGAAACTCTGAAAATGTATCTCATCTCTATGGTGATGTCACATCAGTTTTCACTTATCTGTCGACAATCGGTGTTCTCAATATCCCAGTGCAGGTTTGCATATAGAAGGCAGAGTGCAGAAAGGGGAATTATGTGGTGAGAGGCCCAGGCAGGTCTGATGTGGTGTAGCTCAGCATGCAGGGGAGCTGTGGCCTAATGAAAGCCGAGAGCTGTTTCTACTCAGCTTCGTTGAAGTGCTTCCTTTGGGATCCTTGGTCCAAAAGGAGATGGCCCTGACTCCCACCTACCCCTGCTTAGAAAATGTAAACCTAAGGGGTTCCTGCATGGCCCAGATTTGGGAGTCTGCTTTTTGGTTTTCTTTCTTTTGATGCCAAGCGTGATAAAATAAATGGTAAACGAACTCTGGTTTCTTTATGAGGCTCGCCTATTCAGGTTGGGACAAGCACTGCGTGGAATACTCCACCCGCCCCTCCGAAGCACCATCTCCACCCTTAGCAGAGGCCTCAGGACTGCTTCAGGTGAGCGACTTTGGCTTATTTCATTTCTGGTCTCCACTCCTGCTTTGCCCGGAGAGTATATATGAGGCAATCGTTTTCTACCTCTCATGATGAGCCAGTGCCCTAGAGAACATTTCCTAACCCAGCTCCACCCTGCCTGAGAGTGAGTTTAACCCCAGAAAATTCCTTGAAGAGGTCTCAAAGAAATCCTAATCATCCACCCCAGAGAGAAAAGATTCTAACTTATGGATGGCAGGCCACGCAGAAGGGATGTGATATAGGAAAGTCAGAAGGAATGCAATGTAAAAAAGTCACCCATCCCTCTTGATGTTGGACTTAAGGGCATTTAATGCAGTTTTTTAAATGAACACATATTCTCCACACCCTCTTTCCTCTCCCTGTCCCCATGTGCTTACATTTTCTTCTCTCTTTTTTATATAAACACACACCCCAATACCATAACCACTACCACCACTGGTGCCATGTAGCACATTCATAAAGATCCAGATTTACATCCTGTTGTGCCATTTGAGAGCTGTATGGCTTTATTCACATTATTTAACTTCCCATGCCTCAGCTTCCTCCAATGATAAGAATAAACACTAATATCTCTCTCATATGGGATGCTGTGGGGATTAAAAGAGGAGATAAAGTTTCCGATCTAGAGTTTGGCCCAATGCCTGGTGCTTAGTAAATGCAAATCTACCTTCCCCTCACCTCCTGCTTTTGTTTCTCCTTGAGTAAATCCTATAAGCTATCCTCATAGCCACTCATTTTCAGAGGTCTTCCTATCATGAACTGAACTTCTTTCCTTGCATCTGAATGGATTCTGACTTCTTGTACTGGAAGAGTCACATACATTCCCTCAATTGCCTGCTCCTCTCCTTGATAGTCAGATGTTTAAAAAGTTTTCCTCCTTTCTCACCTCAATCTCTCCTGCTTCCTTTTAAAAATACCTACATGAAAATGACATTTAGCTGGAAGCCCTTTCCACAGCAAGACAGCCTTTCCTCTGGATCTCTGGGTAGCCATCTAAATGTAGCCTTCACAGATTAAAATCGAACACCACTAAGGGGCTCTTCAGCAATGGCTCAGCTGCTTTTTCCTTTGGGGTCCAGGGGCTGTGTTCCCTGTATGAAGATCCCTTTGACTTCAACAAATTGAAATAACACCTATTTCAAATATATTATTTGATGAAAGCAGATGTCAGCAGATACTGCCTATGTAATTGATATTTGATTTATTCAAGATTTATGCATGCTGTGCCTTAGATTTATTAATGATAATCCCCAGCTCTTGTGTTTAATATAGTGGAACCAAAACATAATTTGCTGGGATCAGTCAGAAATGCATCAAAGTGATTAACTCTACATGCAAACCATTATCCAGTGACATCCCTACTGTGCACAGAGCAAAAGGAGGCAATAATACAGTAATTGGCTTCATTTATGCAAGTTAGATATTTGCCGTAATTGCTAGTAAAATTTGGTCCCTTTTATCTCTGATTCTGCATCTCCATATCCCTTCTCATCCTTTGATGCTCCTTTTTCTGGCAAGATTCTCCTGAAATTAGCAGACGCACATGTGCACGCAAGCATGCATATGCGCGCGGGCGCGCGCGCGCACACACACACACACACACACACACACACACACACACACACACACCATATCACTCTAGTAATTATGTGCTAAGGAAGGTAGAGAGTCTTACTAAAACAGGGAGGGTAACTGCCTTTCTCAGGAGGCTCACTAGTGGGGCACTGCCTCTGGGGTGGACGATTGGCCACCTATCTCTCCCAGCAAAGGAAGGTGGTGCATGGCCAGCAAATGAAAATCATATCCCAGTATTGTTTTCTATCCACATCTATCCCCTGTTTCCATACCCAGCCAGGCTGCAAATCCATAGCTCTCTTGGAGTGAAAAATCAGAGCTATGCAAACCAGCACTAAGATGACTTTTTGGGGGAACATGCCTGTTATTATTTCTTTTTTCACATAGCACTCTCAGAGTCATCTTTTATACATGTGTCTTTAAACACTTCACTATATGCATTACAGTAAGGTCCTATTCTTTTATGTTTTTGTGTTGTTTCATTTTGCTTTTGCTAATTAAAACTTAATTGGATGGACAGCCCTTTATTATAAGACTATGTCTTTTCTACTTAAAAAATATCCTTTCTGTTATGAACCGATGATAGATGAGAACAGTTTATTTTTAAAATTTGAAAGTAAAAATAATATACACATGTGACAAAATATAAAAATGTGTGAAATGAAAAATGGAAGTCACCTTTCTCTGCCCTCTAGTCCCTCTCCACCATGGTAATAATTGCAATAGCTTCTTGTGCAGCCTTTCAGAAAATGTAAACAACATACCTACATATATATGCACCATGTGCTTTTCATTTAATGTTCTATCCTGGAGATGTTTCCCTGTTTGCATGTGGAGAGCCACCTGACTCATTCTCATTGCTATCGATGATCATTTTTAATTGTTTAAAGTGCTGCCTGGCCTGACAATGATGCACAATGAGCTCTGTACTTGAACATCATTTAAAAATTCTTATTTTTTTTTTTTTATTATACTTTAAGTTCTAGGGTACATGTGCACATTCTGCAGGTTAGTTACATATGTATACATGTGCCATGCTGGTGCGCTGCACCCAGTAACTTGTCATCTAGCATTAGGTATATATCCCAATGCTATCCCTCCCCCCTCCCCCCACCCCACAACAGTCCCCAGAGTGTGATATTCCCCTCCCTGTGTCCATGTGATCTCATTGTTCAATTCCCACCTATGAGTGAGAATATGCGGTGTTTGGTTTTTTGTTCTTGTGATAGTTTACTGAGAATGATGATTTCCAATTTCATCCGTGTCCCTACAAAGGACATGAACTCATCATTTTTTATGGCTGCATAGTATTCCATGGTGTATATGTGCCACATTTTCTTAATCCAGTCTATCATTGTTGGACATTTGGGTTGGTTCCAAGTCTTTGCTATTGTGAATAATGCCGCAATAAACATACGTGTGCATGTGTCTTTATAGCAGCATGATTTATAGTCCTTTGGGTATATACCCAGTAATGGGATGGCTGGGTCAAATGGTATTTCCAGTTTTAGATCCCTGAGGAGTCGCCACACCGACTTCCACAATGGTTGAACTAGTTTACAGTCCCACCAACAGTGTAAAAGTGTTCCTATTTCTCCACATCCTCTCCAGCACCTGTTGTTTCCTGACTTTATAATGATTGCCATTCTAACTGGTGTGAGATGGTATCTCATTGTGGTTTTGATTTGCATTTCTCTGATGGCCAGTGATGGTGAGCATTTTTTCATGTGTTTTTTGGCTGCATAAATGTCTTCTTTTGAGAAGTGTCTGTTCATGTCCTTTGCCCACTTTTTGATGGGGTTGTTTGTTTTTTTCTTGTAAATTTGTTTGAGTTCATTGTAGATTCTGGATATTAGCCCTTTGTAAGATGAGTAGGTTGCGAAAATTCTCTCCCATTTTGGAGGTTGCCTGTTCACTCTGATGGTAGTTTCTTTTGCTGTGCAGAAGCTCTTTAGTTTAATTAGATCCCATTTGTCAATTTTGGCTTTGTTGCCATTGCTTTTGGTGTTTTAGACATGAAGTCCTTGCCCATGCCTATGTCCTGAATGGTAATGCCTAGGTTTTCTTCTAGGGTTTTTATGGTTTTAGGTCTAACGTTTAAGTCTTTAATCCATCTTGAATTGATTTTTGTATAAGGTGTAAGGAAGGGATCCAGTTTCAGCTTTCTACATATGGCTAGCCAGTTTTCCCAGCACCATTTATTAAATAGGGAATCCTTTCCCCATTGCTTGTTTTTCTCAGGTTTGTCAAAGATCAGATAGTTGTAGATGTGCGGCATTATTTCTGAGGGCTCCGTTCTGTTCCATTGATCTATATCTCTGTTTTGGTACCAGTACCATGCTGTTTTGGTTACTGTAGCATTGTAGTATAGTTTGAAGTCAGGTAGTGTGATGCCTCCAGCTTTGTTCTTTTGGCTTAGGATTGACTTGGCGGTGCGGGCTCTTTTTTGGTTCCATATGAACTTTAAAGTAGTTTTTCCAATTCTGTGAAGAAAGTCACTGGTAGCTTGATGGGGATGGCATTGAATCTGTAAATTACCTTGGGCAGTATGGTCATTTTCACGATATTGATTCTTCCTACCCATGAGCATGGAATGTTCTTCCATTTGTTTGTATCCTCTTTTATTTCATTGAGCAGTGGTTTGTAGTTCTCCTTGAAGAGGTCCTTCACGTCCCTTGTAAGTTGGATTCCTAGGTATTTTATTCTCTTTGAAGCAATTGTGAATGGGAGTTCACTCATGATTTGGCTCTCTGTTTGTCTGTTGTTGGTGTATAAGAATGCTTGTGATTTTTGTACATTGATTTTGTATCCTGAGACTTTGCTGAAGTTGCTTATCAGCTTAAGGGATTTTGGGCTGGGACAATGGGGTTTTCTAGATATACAATCATGTCATCTGCAAACAGGGACAATTTGACTTCCTCTTTCCCTAATTGAATACCCTTTATTTCCTTCTCCTGCCTAATTGCCCTGGCCAGAAGTTCCAACACTATGTTGAATAGGAGTGGTGAGAGAGGGCATCCCTGTCTTGTGCCAGTTTTCAAGGGGAATGCTTCCAGTTTTTGCCCATTCAGTATGATATTGGCTGTGGGTTTGTCATAGATAGCTCTTATTATTTTGAAATACGTCCCATCAATACCTCATTTATTGAGAGTTTTTAGCATGAAGGGTTGTTGAATTTTGTCAAAGGCTTTTTCTGCATCTATTGAGATAATCATGTGGTTTTTGTCGTTGGCTCTGTTTATATGCTGGATTACATTTATTGATTTGCATATATTGAACCAGCCTTGCATCCCAGGGATGAAGCCCACTTGATCATGGTGAATAAGCTGTTTGATGTGCTGCTGGATTCGTTTTGCCAGTATTTTATTGAGGATTTTTGCATCAATGTTCATCAAGGATATTGGTCTAAAATTCTCTTTTTTTGTTGTGTCTCTGACTGGCTTTGGTATCAGAATGATGCTGGCCTCATAAAAAGAGTTAGGGAGGATTCCCTCTTTTTCTATTGATTGGAATAGTTTCAGAAGGAATGGTACCAGTTCCTCCTTGTACCTCTGGTAGAATTCAGCTGTGAATCCATCTGGTCCTGGACTCTTTTTAGTTGGTAAGCTATTGATTATTGCCACAATTTCAGCTCCTGTTATTGGTCTATTCAGAGATTCAACTTCTTCCTGGTTTAGTCTTGGGAGAGTGTATGTGTCGAGGAATTTATCCATTTCTTCTAGATTTTCTAGTTTATTTGTGTAGAGGTGTTTGTAGTATTGTCTGATGGTAGTTTGTATTTCTGTGGGATCGGTGGTGATATCCCCTTTATCATTTTTTATTGCATCTATTTGATTCTTCTCTCTTTTTTTCTTTATTAGTCTTGCTAGCGGTCTATCAATTTTGTTGATCCTTTCAAAAAACCAGCTCCTGGATTCATTAATTTTTTGAAGGGTTTTTTGTGTCTCTATTTCCTTCAGTTCTGCTCTGATTTTAGTTATTTCTTGCCTTCTGCTAGCTTTTGAATGTGTTTGCTCTTGCTTTTCTAGTTCTTTTAATTGTCATGTTAGGGTGTCAATTTTGGATCTTTCCTGCTTTCTCTTGTGGGCATTTAGTGCTATAAATTTCCCTCTACACACTGCTTTGAATGTGTCCCAGAGATTCTGGTATGTTGTGTCTTTGTTCTCATTGGTTTCAAAGAACATGTTTATTTCTGCCTTCTTTTCGTTATGTACCCAGTAGTCATTCAGGAGCAGGTTGTTCAGTTTCCATGCAGTTGAGCGGTTTTGAGTGAGATTCTTAATCCTGAGTTCTAGTTTGATTGCACTGTGGTCTGAGAGATAGTTTGTTATAATTTCTGTTCTTTTACATTTGCTGAGGATAGCTTTACTTCCAAGTATGTGGTCAATTTTGGAATAGGTGTGGTGTGGTGCTGAAAAAAATGTATATTCTGTTGATTTGGGGTGGAGAGTTCTGTAGATGTCTATTAGGTCCGCTTGGTGCAGAGCTGAGTTCAATTCCTGGGTATCCTTGTTGACTTTCTGTCTCGTTGATCTGTCTAATGTTGACAGTGGGGTGTTAAAGTCTCCCATTATTAATGTGTGGGAGTCTAAGTCTCTCTGTAGGTCACTCAGGACTTGCTGTATGAATCTGGGTGCTCCTGTATTGGGTGCATATATATTTAGGATAGTTAGCTCTTCTTGTTGAATTGATCCCTTTACCATTATGTAATGGCCTTCTTTGTCTCTTTTGATCCTTGTTGGTTTAAAGCCTGTTTTATCAGAGACTAGGATTGCAACCCCTGCCTTTTTTTGTTTTCCATTTGCTTGGTAGATCTTCCTCCATCCTTTTACTTTGAGCCTGTGTGTGTCTCTGCATGTGAGATGGGTTTCCTGAATACAGCACACTGATGGGTCTTGACTCTTTATCCAATTTGCCAGTCTGTGTCTTTTAATTGGAGCATTTAGTCCATTTACATTTAAAGTTAATATTGTTATGTGTGAATTTCATCCTGTCATTATGATGTTAGCTGGTTATTTTGCTCGTTAGTTGATGCAGTTTCTTCCTAGTCTTGATGGTCTTTACATTTTGGCATGATTTTGCAGCGGCTGGTACTGGTTGTTCCTTTCCATGTTTAGTGCTTCCTTCAGGAGCTCTTTTAGGGCAGGCCTGGTGGTGACAAAATCTCTCAGCATTTGCTTGTCTGTAAAGTATTTTATTTCTCCTTCACTTATGAAGCTTAGTTTGGCTGGATATGAAATTCTGGGTTGAAAATTCTTTTCTTTAAGAATGTTGAATATTGGCCCCCACTCTCTTCTGGCTTGTAGGGTTTCTGCTGAGAGATCTGCTGTTAGTCTGATGGGCTTCCCTTTGTGGGTAACCTGACCTTTCTCTCTGGCTGCCCTTAACATTTTTTTCCTTCATTTCAACTTTGGTGAATCTGACAATTATGTGTCTTGGAGTTGTTCTTCTCAAGGAGTATCTTTGTGGCATTCTCTGTATTTCCTGAATCTGAATGTTGGCCTGGCTTGCTAGATTGGGGAAGTTCTCCTGGATAGTATCCTGCAGAGTGTTTTCCAACTTGGTTCCATTCTCCCCGTCACTTTCAGGTACACCAATGAGACGTAGATTTGGTGTTTTCACATAGTCCCATATTTCTTGGAGGCTTTGCTCATTTCTTTTTATTCTGTTTTCTCTAAACTTCCCTTCTCGCTTCATTTCATTCATTTCATCTTCCATCGCTGATACCCTTTCTTCCAGTTGATCGCATCGGCTCCTGAGACTTCTGCATTCTTCACGTAGTTCTCGAGTCTTGGTTTTCAGCTCCATCAGCTCCTTTAAGCACTTCTCTGTATTGGTTATTCTAGTTATACATTCTTCTAAATTTTTTTCAAAGTTTTCAACTTCTTTGCCTTTGGTTTGAATGTCCTCCCGTAGCTCGGAGTAATTTGATCGTCTGAAGCCTTCTTCTCTCAGCTCGTCAAAGTCATTCTCCATCCAGCTTTGTTCCATTGCTGGTGAGGAACTGCATTCCTTTGGAGGAGGAGAGGCGCTGTGCTTTTTAGAGTTTCCAGTTTTTCTGCTCTGTTTTCTCCCCATCTTTGTGGTTTTATCTACTTTTGGTCTTTGATGATGGTGATGTACAGATGGGTTTTTGGTGTGGATGTCCTTTCTGTTTGTTAGTTTTCCTTCTAACAGACAGTACCCTCAGCTGCAGGTCTGTTGGAATACCCTGCCGTGTGAGGTGTCAGTGTGCCCCTGCTGGGGGGTTGCCTCCCAGTTAGGCTGCTTGGGGGTTAGGGGTCAGGGACCCACTTGAGGAGGCAGTCTGCCCGTTCTCAGATCTCCAGCTGCGTGCTGGGAGAACCACTTCTCTCTTCAAAGCTGTCAGACAGGCACATTTAAGTCTGCAGAGGTTACTGCTGTCTTTTTGTTTATCTGTGCCCTGCCCCCAGAGGTGGAGCCTACAGAGGCAGGCAGGCCTCCTTGAGCTGTGGTGGGCTCCCCCCAGTTCGAGCTTCCAGGCTGCTTTGTTTAAGTAAGCAAGCCTGGGCAATGGCGGGCGCCCCTCCCCCAGCCTCACTGCCGCCTTGTTGTTTGATCTCAGACTGCTGTGCTAGCAATCAGCAAGTCTCCGTGGGTGTAGGACCCTCCGAGCCAGGTGCAGGATATAATCTCGTGGTGTGCCGTTTTTTAAGCCTGTAGGAAAAGCGCAGTATTCGGGTGGGAGTGACCCGATTTTCCAGGTGCCGTCTGTCACCCATTTCTTTGACTAGGAAAGGGAACTCCCTGACCGCCTGCGCTTCCCGAGTGAGGCAATGCCTCGCCCTGCTTTGGCTCGCACACGGTGCGTGCACCCACTGACCTGAACCCACTGTCTGGCACTCCCTAGTGAGATGAACCTGGTACCTCAGATGGAAATGCAGAAATCACCCGTCTTCTGCGTCGCTCACGCCGGTAGCTGTAGACCGGAGCTGTTCCTATTCGGCCATCTTGGCTCCTCCCTCTAAAAATTCTTATTTCTAGCCTGGGGATTGGGGCCACAATTTAGAATGAAGCAGCTTCTTGTGAGGATTTACAATAAGATGGAAACACATACTGCATCCCACATTTTGCAGCAAAACCTGCATAAAATGGTCCTTGATTTCCACATTGCCTAAATGTGCCATCTGTCTTCAGGGCATCTGGTAGAATGCATCAGTATATCAGCATGGCATTCTTGATGGGAGAGGGCATTTCTGACTCCCATGCTTACCACCAGGTTTGGATTGGGGTTTTAGCATATTCAGGAATACATTAGTAAATGATGCTTACACCATCTACCTCATAGTCTAACATCACTCAGTACTAATTGAAAATGAAGTCCCCAGATGTTTTCTTGGGTTCTTCTATGGAACAACAAGAAAGATGAGCTTCTCTTTTTCTCCCCCTGCAGTATAGTCAGTATTTTGAGAAAATACAAGTATAGCTCACAGGGATATTCTTTTGTATTCTTAATGCCATTAAGGAATTGCCCAAAGAATTAAATGGATATCTTCTGATGTTTTCTAGCTCATCTTTTCAAGCATTATGAACAAGGCCCAGTGTTCTGAATAGCGTTCTGCATGGGCTAGGCCTGTCAATAAACACCCCAAGCCTTGGTTATTAAAAGCACTCTCTACTCAGCAAATCCTCAGACTCCTGAGCCATGGAGGCAGAGTTCACTCTCTGGACTCGTTTCTCTTAGCTGCTGTAGAAGCTCTTCCTGCTTCAGCAATCCAAGTGATCTATTTTTCCTGTCCTAAAAATTAATTGATTCCTGCTTCTGAGTGCCATGGACTATGAAAAGGTATGTCTTTGCTCAGCAACAGTCTATTAGACTAGATCCAGCTGGACTTACTTTGAAAGGCTCCATAGCCTGGCACAACCTGGGGACCCTGGATCTGAAGTCTGAAAGAAATTAGGACAGGCCTACTAGAAGCTTGTCTAAGACAGCCATTTAAAAATGTGAAATATGACCAGCAGTTCTTCACGGTACAAATTTTCCGACTCCCAGAAGATGAGGGAACTATTGTTATTACTGAAGGAACGGACCAGTGGACAGTTTGCAAACTGAAAACCATTGCAGGGAGTGGATCCTTAAAGCAAGACTCACTTGGGTCCAAGTTCCAACTATAAACACTTCGAATTGAGAGGTCTCAGGAATAACACTTAACCACTCTGACCTCAGTTTCTTCTGGGGAAAAAAGTCTACATTGGGTGTCATGGAGAGAATGATAATGAAGTATATGAAGAAATGTATGTTAGGAAAATGACAAATGATGCTAGCAGAGTGCTTGGCACTAGTAGCTGATGAACAATGATATCAATAATAGCAACAATGATTACTAGTCAAAAAAGTATCCACATTCAGGCCACTAGCAATTTTCTCGGGGAAAGGCTATGAGAATTTCAGATACCTATACTATATTCTGGGGGACATTTGCAGTTCAGCAGGCCACCGCCTGCTCCTCCTTTACAGCGGTTGTCTTCAGGCTCACTAGACTTGAAAACTCTCTCTATGCCTCCCGTGAGTCAGTGGTACGGAAAGTCCCAAAGAGATTGCTTTGCTTCCAATGAAGGATGTAGTTAAGGAGAAAATGCATGGAGACTCTGAATAGCAAATGCTTAATTAACTTCACAGTACTGGGGGAAATGTCTTGCCGAGGCTACTTAAATCTTGAGAAGCATACGCTCCTTTCTTGGACCTGAGTCCTTTCCTTCCACAGAGCACTGTTCATGTTCAAGTTATTGAAATTACATATGACCCTGAGTTTGGACCCCTTTGGCCTATGAAACCTCCATTACTTTTAAGCCACTCTTACACTTGAGGTAAGTTTGTAATTTGGGGAGTGTTGATGGCATTTCACTGGGTCTGCACCACACCAGGAAAAGGGTCTGCAAGGTTCCTTGGGGCCACCAAGTCAAAGATGGAAGGTTAGAGTTTGAAAGATTCATAGAAATCCGTAAATTTAGTAGCTTGGCTTTTAACTTATTTGGGATGAGTGCAAAACAGGTTTTATTAAATAAATTCCTGAGCAGGACACCAATTAAAGCAATTGATAAAACTGCAGTTACGCGCATTGCAGTGGAGGGAGGGAAGAGAATCCCTGAGATACCTCTGGGATCTGAAACACCTTTGAAGACCACATTTGTCTAATTTAATTTTCGCCTATTAGGAGAAGATGACAAGCCAGTTCTATCTTAAAGTATGGTATCCTGGGTACAGTATCAGCTTCACCCCAGAGCTTGTTAGAAATTCAAATTTTTGGGCCCACCCCAGACCGACTGGAGGCAGAATCCAGGAGTCTCTGCTTTAACAATTACTCCAGATGATTCCGATGCACGCTCACTGAAGTTTGAGAACCAGTCCCCCAAGGGCCTTTCAGTGAATATTTCAAGCTCATTTAATACAATGCAGCTTCAATAGATGGCAAGGATAGCCCTTCACACATCCCAAGGAGTTTCTGCGGTACACACCCTGTCTTGGGAGTGGTTCTCTTCCATTCAATACACTTTAGCAGCATTGCAGGGAACTCTATCATACATTGGAAACAATTCAAATGGTGGTTCTTCTAGACAAATGGCTTCGAGTCAAGAGATTTTGATCCCTATAATAGATTGTTTTAATGGATTTGGCCAGTAGCCAAACTGTTGCAATGGAATTACACCCCAAAAATAGCTATTCTAAAGAAATTATTTGTCCTTAGAGAAATAGTGAACTTAAAGAGTGATTTTCGGTTTTCAAAACATGTTTTGCATGTAGTATCTTCTCGTGTGATAATGCTGCCATCTTAATCTGACACCCCCACATAACTTTCCCTTCCTATATTTAGGAGTACAAAATCAAGAACGGAAGGGTTAGGTAAATTTTCCTAGATCACATATAAAGATAGTTGCAGAATGAATATTGGAATCCGGTTCTCCTTGGTACCTAGTTCACTGCTTTTTTTTTCTGATGAATATATTAGGCCATTTCCTGAGACATGAATTTACAACCAGATCAGTTACCTCTATGGAACTTTATTTTTTCTCTCTTTTCTTTTGTTGATAATTGATCATAATAAATTTCATAAGCCTTAAAATTGTTGAATTCCCAGTTTGATTATTAGTTAGGGAGCTTCCTGCCCTATCCCAGTAACAAGTGAGGTGTGAGGTGTTGTAACTAAGGCAACTATTCCCTTCTGATCCTATTGGTGGGCATCTGTTTCTAGTTGTAACTGGCCAAACATCCCCTTTGCAGGAAAACTAATAACCTCTTAACATATGGTCTTGAATGTGAGCCGCCAAATGACCTTGCATGGAGATTAATTGAAGGTGTTAATGGCATAGTTCCCAGCCAGGAATGTCAAAATACTGGCTTGGCCTTCTATGTACATGTTTTAAGAGGATTTGCTATTGACACTGAACTGGATTAACTTTAAATATAAAGAAAAATACTATAACTTTAGCAACCACCTGTGAAGCAAGTTTCTGTAGCAAAGAAATCTAGTGCTCCAAGCATGGTGCAGGATAACGAATTTAACATCCTTTCGGACTCCCTTGAAAAAATTCCCAAGATACAATCTTCTTAAGTGGGGGTAATATAGGGAGCAAAATTCTGTTGAGGGTAAAAAATCTATTGTATGACCTTCTCCAAGCCTCTGCTGGAAAATGCCATTAGAGATTAGAGTTGATTTATAGGTGTTCTCTCCTACTGCCCCCTTCCCTCCCACCTCACCCAGACAGGAGGAATAGGCCAAAGACCAGTGAAAAGAACTGTACTTTAAATTGCATTTCCTCAAATATTTACATAGAAATATGTTCAACTTTTAGGAAGCTGATTCAAGGTTAGTTATCATAATTATCTCATAACTTAATCCTGGTATAATATCCCATTCTCTGATGGGTTCCTTTTTTTAAAATTTCTATTTTACTACCCTAGTGCTTGAGTTCTTTTGCATGTGTGTATGTTTATTATAATTCACCTTAAGGCTGCTTGTGGGATATAGATTATAAAGACATAAAAATAAACATGGAATAATCTCCTTTCACGCATATATTTGCAAACCCATAAACTCTAACGAAGAATGAATTAGATTTTTAAAACATTGAAAATTATGTTTACTAAGCCTTTCTTTGCCCAGTTTATACAGCTATTTTGGCCAAAGGGGCCATATAAATATGTCAATTGCTGCCGGCACAACTGACTAGAAAGTAAAAATTATTAACTCAAATATAGCACCACCAATCCAATAATGACTTAGAGAAGAGATCCTTGAAATTACAATTTCATATCATTTTAGGAACTACTCAGTGTCTAGTTCTTTGAGTATTACTCTTTGCTCTTGCAACATCGCCTACATACAAATCTCAATCTTCTATATTATTATATAATATTTGTGTATATTTTCATTTGTCCTGACAAACTGTGAGCCTCCTGAGGGTAGACCTGTGTTTTATTTATCTTTTTAATACCCAGTGTTTTCTGCAATGACTGACACAAAATAGTTCTCAGTTGTTTGGGGTTTTTTAAATAAATAATTCTGTGAGGTGTGCAAATGAGATCTCAGCTACTATCTTGGCTGCAAGGAGGTTTTGTGGTATCAGTACTTACTTATCTGAGCAAGAAGAATGAAATTAACCCATAGTATCAATACCAACATTACACATTTGATTTTGCAAACTCACTGAAGCCAGTTAAGTAGTTTTCTTTAGGCCATCCAATAGCACACATTTGTGCTTATTGAGAAACATTTTGTAGCATATGAAAAAACTCTAAAAGCTTAATTATTCTTGGAAACTTAGCACATTTTGTGCTCATGTACTTGTGCCAACAAGATTCCACATGTGCATTTTAATTTTCCCCTAAATAAAATTCTCCAAATTCTTTTTTAAAAAAATCTTAACTCATTGTGTTCAGATGAAAGAAGTAGAAAACGAAGTGGGCCAGCTTTATCTAATTTTCCAAATTGAATAAAATGAAAAACAAATAAAGGGATGATGAAAAGCAAGGTATGTCTGATTCCCTTGGCTTTGCTGTTGGTCAAGCCACTCAGGTCATTCAGTTGGGTCCCCTGTAATTCTTTGCACATTTGAATTTCAACATCAGGCAGAATGGCAAGCCATTCACTGGGCAACCCAGGGCAAAGGGAACCATGCAAACCATAAAATGAAGGAATGCTGACTCCAGCTATCATTGGAATGCCAGGCTTAGGTATCTGGGAGCTGTGAAACCCAAATAGAGTTATAAAGAGATTATATGGCCCTGGATATTGCAAATACGTTATACACTGTTTTCCCTCACTAAAATGAGGCCATGGATAGATACCTCAGTGGAAAAAGCAATTAGTAGTAGGGAATGAAGTTCCGTACTTTTCTTTCCCCATTCTCTCCCTCCCAATCCTTTCAAATCTCCCTTGGGTCCAATTTGGGAATTCTTGCAAAGGCTAAAGTCCAGCAGCTTAACAGCTATTAAACACGGTCGTAAAGTGAAGATGCAGCCTGTGAGTTGGGCTCTTGGCAGCGTCAGAGGAATAAGGCAAACAGCACAACTCTTTTGCTGAAAGGAAATAAAGAAAGAGATGAAGGGAGGGGATGTGGATAAACCAGATTGGGAGTTTCAGATGGCAACCCATGGAGCATACTAACCCACTCTGGTATTGCTATTTAGTACCTGTGAAGTCTACCATTATGCATTATTAAATTCATGTATTATTGAATCACGAATCCTTGTTCCCTGATAAGAAATGGAGATGATTTCTTAGTTTAAATTAAAGCCCTTCCTCCTTATTTGAATAAAACTGCATTACTGTATGCCTAGCATGCTAATCAGAAAACTGCATTAAGCAGGTAGGACTGTACGAATTAAAAAATAATGAAACAAGACTTTTCAGCCAGACATTGTTCCCTCACCTGCTTTTCATGACAGCGGATTTCCTACTTGGAGTTGATAAGACAACGGCAAATGAAGATAACAACATGAGAGGGAAATCATTCACTCTAATGGGCTCCACCTGTGCAGACTTCAGCTCATTTACATGGCTGCAGAAAAATTAGAAATCATGCGGCAATTAGTCTGTTCTAGATTATGCAGTGTGTCAACTGATACCACTCAGGAGAGCACTAGTGCTAAAATGGTTTCAGAAGATAAATCTACTCTCCTATACAAACAGTTTTAATTACCTGGAAAATGGCATTGCCTATTGAGAAATCTCCATTGTGAACCTGGGCTGCTCTCTTGCTATTGGAATCAGATGTTGGGAAATTCCAGTGTTTATGTAATTGACTCATATAGTATTTGATGACCTGTTGAAACTGAAATTGGGCCTCTTGTTCCGGTCCCCAGTTGTTCATCAAAGGCCTCTTTTTTTTTTTTGTTTTTTTGAGACAGAGTCTTGCTCTGTCACCCAGGCTGGAGTGCAGTGGCGTGATCTCAGTTCACTGTAACCTCCACCTCCCAGGTTCAAGCCATTCTCCTGCCTCAGCCTCCTGAGCAGCTGGGACTACAGGCGTGCACCACCACACCCAGCTAATTTTTTGTATTTTTAGTAGAGACAGGGTTTCACCATGTTAGCCAGGATGGTCTCTATCTCCTGACCTCATGATACTCCTGCCTTGGCCTCCCAAAGTGCTGGGATTACAAGTGTGAGCCACCGCACCTGGCCCAAAGGCCTCTTTTAATGTCTACTTCAGAGTTGGTCCAGAAAATGTAGGAGAGGATTAGTTTTTTTCGGCCCTTCTGCTTATAGGTAGTCTTTGCATCGTCAGCCTTAGTTCTCAAAGGTCTATAGAAATCTGAGAAATTATCATAAATTAGTTTCAAATATGAACCTTGAGTCAGCAGATCAAACAACTATAAACATCTCCTTATGAATAAAATGTTAAGACCATAAAGGTTTTTGTTTCTCACTGAAGACATTGAGATAGTATTTTTCTTTATTTGAGACGGAGTCTCGCTCTGTCACCCAAGTTGGAGTGCAGCGGTGAGGCAGTATTTTTCTATTTATTCTGGCCTTAAAGTATATGTATCACTTTCTTTAAAAAGTATATCTAGAGAAGAAATGTTCATAAAAATCTAGTTTTTGCATATATGTATAAGGGATTATTTAAAGGTTTTGCTTTGGGTTGCTTATAGAAGTGCTTATGTATTCACACCCGCTTTATTTCATCATTGTTATTTTTCGGGGGGTAATTGTTTTATTGGATTTGGGGGTAATGAAGTCAGGGTTAATGGATCAATTTTCAGCAGAAGCAATAGTTGAGGAGGGGTATCCTATAAGACAAAGCTTTGGTCCCTGGGTAGGAATTACCTCCTGGGGTGTTGGTGGAATGTCTGTCTTCTGCCTGTATCTTTAAGGATGAGAGGGTCAAGGACTCCTTCAAGAAACAGCAGGCCAGGCCGGGCATGGTGGCTCACACCTGTAATCCCAGCACTTTGGGAGGCTGAGGCGGGCAGATAACAAGGTCAGGAGATTCAGACCATCCTGGCTAACATGGTGAAACCCCATCTCTATTAAAAATACAAAAAATTAGCCGGGTGTTGTGGCAGTCGCCTGTAGTCCCAGCTACTCGGGAGGCTGAGGCAGGAGAATGGCATGAAACTGGCAGGCGGAGCTTGCAGTGAGCCAAGATCACACCACTGCACTCCAGCCTGGGTGACAGAGTGAGACTCCATCTCAAAAAAAAAAAAAAAAAAAAAAAAAAAAAAACCAGCAGGCCAGCACTTAGCATTGTCTGCAGCGATATTTATAGCAATATTTGATATTCATAATATCAAAGGGACTCTAGTTTCCTCTGCTAACCTTTATCTTCATTTCCTCAATCAGTGAAGGCACTTACAGTGACTTCAAAATTTGCATTTAATGCCCAGAATGACAACCTGCCTTTGTTTCTTTGTTGTGGGCCCAGTGTCAGTATCTGCGTGCCTTTATCAGCCACAAAAGATCAAAAGGTGTGCAAAATACAATAAATGGCAGACAGAATACAGCAGATAAAGCCACACCTCTGCAAAATACCCTGGATTTGGTGAGAACTTAGAGCAGGAGTTAGCTGAGGGAGTTTGCAGTATGGTGCCCAGAGTATAAGATATAATCCACCACACGAGATTCCATTGACTAAGAGCATAGTAGAGCACTCAGAACATGGGACAAAATTAACATCTGAACAGTATCCCATTCACTGTAAGCCCAAGGAGACTCAGTCCTTCATCTTGTTCTCTATCTCTGCTAACTCCCTGGTGATCTCTTTCTGAAATATGACTTTAAATACCAGAAAATGCTGGATACTTGGAAATGTTACATCTCCAGCCCAGACCTCTCCCCTGAACTCCAGATGCATATATCAGATTCAACTGCCTACTTGACATCTCCTCTTGAAAGTTTAAGAAACAGACTTTCATGAAACTCCTGATTTCCCCATATAAGCATGCCTTCCCTATCTCAAAAAGGTAGCAATTCCATTCTTTCAGTCACTCAGTCCTCTCTTTTTCTCATCCCACCTCTGAGAAGGAAATCCTGTTGGCTATTACCTTCAAAATATATCCAAAATCTGGCCACTTCTTACCACTTACACTGCAACTCCCCTGATTCAAGCCCCCATCATCTCTCATCTCAATGATTGTCATGGTCTCTAAGTGACCTCCTCAACTTTGCTCTTGACACCTACTGCCCATGATTATCACATTAGCCAGAGTCTGTCATGCCAGACCTTCAACAGTGGCTTCTATGTCTTTCAGAGGGAAAGCCCAGATCCTCACAATAGCCAGAAGACCTTACTGATCTCCCACCCACACCTTACCTCTTTGACACCATCTCATAGTCACCTCTGCCCTGCTCATTCTGCTCTAGCTACATTGGACTTCTGAATGTGTTTTTAAAAACATGTTAGGCATGCTCTACCTTGGGAATTTTTTTCTATTTATTTTGTCCTATGCATGAATGATTCTTCCTCCAGATATCTGCGTGGCTAACTCACTCATCTCCCTTAAGTCTTTGTTTAAATGACACCTTCTCAATGAGCCTTTCACAGACCACCTTATTTGAAATTTGAACACTCACCATGATATCCCCTATTCGTTTCTCTGCTTTCTTTTTCTCCATAGCACTTACTTTACGTGAAATTATAACTTTACTTAATGATTTACTGTCAATGTCTTCCTGCTAAAAAGTAAACACAGTGAAGATAGAGATTCTTTTCTCAGTTCTCCACTGCTATAACCTCAGTGCCTGGAATAGTGCCTGGAATGTAGACAACATTTTTTAAAAGAAAGAGAAAAACATTTACATATCTTTTTATTCACATAAGATAATATTTAGGAGAGAAAGATATGTATGACAGGTCAGTGCTGTGCAAGGCAGTTTATATGTAATGCTAACAGCTGTGACAAACATCTCTAAATCCTAATGCCTTCATGCAAAAGTTTATTTCTCATTTGTACCAAAGCCCACTGTAGATGGCTCCTGGTTGTGCATGTCTTCTGGATGTCTCTCCTACAAGTAGTAACTCAGAGATCTAAACTATTTATATGTATCTTTATCTATGTCCTCAGAATATTTGACTTATACCAAACAAGAGACAGAGGCAGATAGAGAGTGATTTCATGAAGTTTTACATAGAATACCTGTATTGCATGGGGCAGGCTTATAAGTGGCATACATATTTTTGCTCATCTTTCTTTGACCAAAACTCAGGTACATGGTCTCATCTTGATACAAAGATGGTGGGAAGGGGGCTGGAAAAAGTAGCTTAACTATGTGCCCCCTTCCCACCATATAGCTTAACTATGAGAAAGTAGAACAAGATGGTGAACATTAGCAGTCTTTATGACATATTACTAGATGATATAAATTGATAAGATAAACACCATATCCCTTATAGGCCCTGAATAGCTTACTCATAGAAGAGAAAATAGAAAAGCTAATGAACATATAAAGGGATTGTATAACCTCAGTATTTCAAATAAAAATGAAAATTTTAATGAGACAACATTTTAGGAAGTTCTTTTCTAGTTTGCTGAGTGTCTATTATGAATGGTTGTTTAATGTTGTCAAATGTTTTCTTGTCCGCCTTTATTGTGATAATAACTATTTTCTTCTTTAGTTTGCTAATATTATTAATTACATTAATTAACTTTTGAATGTTAAAACAACCTTGCATTCTTGGGATAAAGTACAGTTGGTCATAATGTATTAGACTTTTTTCGTATATTGTTGAATTCAATTTATGAATGCTTTGTTAAGGATCTTTTTGTTCATGATCATGAACAATATTGGTCTGTGATTTTCTTTTACTGTAATGTCTTCATTAGGTTTTGGCATCAGAGAAATTGAGAAGTATTCCTTCATTGTCCATTTCTAGTCTACTTTCAAAAAGAGTTTGTGTAACTTTGGTATTATTTCTTCCTTAAAAGTTTGACAGAATTCAGTGGAGCCATCTAAACTGAGTTTTCTTTGAGGTAGAATTTTTAGTAACAATTTCAATTTATTAAATAGACTTAGGGAAATTCAGAATTTTTACTTTCTTCTGTGTAAGTTTTGATACATTGTGTCTTTCTTTTCAAGGAATTTGTCTATTTCATCTAAGTTCTGGAATTTATTGGCATAAAATTGTTCATAATATTCCCATATTACCATTTTAATGTGAAATATCATCTTAAAAGTCCATGTTAGTGAATTGAATATGCAACGGGATTTATATTTTCATGTACTGCTGATGAGAGAGTAAATTTGAACAACCTTCTGGAAGGCAATTTGACAATGTGTACCAAATGGCTTTTAAGTATTTATACTCTATAAAAAGATGCATAAAACTTGTTAAGATAAAAAAACTTTATCAAACATATAGTTGTACTATATGATTAAATTCTGACAAATGTATGTATATTTACACTTTTGGAGTATACATATTTGATGTGCATATGATGTGTAGGTATTTCATACGTGACTATTTCATGCTTTTTTGGTCTGTTCTCAAATGTCTAACACTTTTTCTCTCTCCCTCCTCCCATCTGATAAACTTATTTCTTCTTTCTCCGAATGTGATGGTTAATTTTACATATCAAGTTGACTAGGCTACGAGATGTCCAGATAGCTGGTAAAACATTAATTCTGGGCATGTCCATGAAGGTGTTTCCAGAAGAGATTAGCATTTGAATCAGTGCTTGGCCCTCCGCAACATGGACAGGCATCGTCCAGTTCCTTGAGGTCTCAAATAGAACGAAAAAGAAGAGAGAGGAGGAATTCTCTCTCTTTCTTTTTAAGCAGGGATATCCATTTTTTCCCGCCCTAGGACATTGGAGCTCCTGGTTCGTGGGCCTTCAGCCTCAGACTGAATCATACCCACTGGCTTTCCTGGTTCTGCAGCTTAGAGATGTCGCTTCTCAGCCTCCATAATCATGTGTGCCAATCTCCATAATAAATCTCTTTTTATTTATATCTACACATATATCTTCTATTGGTTTTGCTTCTCTGGAGAACCCTAATACACTAATGAAAAATAAAAGTAATCAGAAAAGAATTCCCTGAAAGAACTAACATCAAATCCACCATTTATCTGCATTGATACTCCCAAATTCTCTGCTTCTCTTCCACCGCAATGCAAGAAGTGGCCCCCTCCTGTCTTTTGTCAAGCTCTCTTTGGATATGGAATCTCATTCCTCCTCAGCCTTTCACAGTTATCAATGTTGAAATTATCCCCTTCTCTCCTACATCATACATTTCTCTCTTTTTACCAGATTATTCTGATTAGCTCACAAATATTCTATGTTATATCCCAACTTAAAATGAATCTCCCCACATCTCCCTCAATCTACCACCCTAATTATCTGATTCTCTTTAGCGCAAAACACCCCAGCAGTCGTCTATACTAGGCTGCTGTCATGAACATCCCACTGAAATGGTTCTTGCCAAATCCAGTGGTCAGGACTTATTCCTCCTGTTACTCCACTTCCAAAAGCATTTTAGAATACAAAGCAGTAGGCCACTCCCTCCTTCTTGAAACATTTTTGCAATTGACTTCCAATATACTATACCTCCTTCTTTTCCTTTTATCATACTGACTACAACTTCTTAATTTCTCTGTTCTTCATTTTATATACTCTAAAATTTGGAGAGTATCAGAGTTTACTCCTTGGTCCTCTTGGCCATGTCACTCCCTGAGTGAGCTCATCTACTCACTAGTCATAGGTTTGAATACCATCTCTACACTGATAATTTACAAGTTTACATCTCTAACACAAGCCTTTCTCTCTCAAGCCCCAGAGAGCTCTCCTGAGTTCAACGGCTTCATCTGGGCCTCGAACATAACTTGTCCAAAAAGAACACTAGATGTTCTACTCTAAGATGCCCTTCTCCCAGTCTTTGCCATCTTAGTAACTACTTTCATTACACCTTTAGTTTCTCTGCACCAAAACCAGCGACTCATCTTTTCCACACACCCCACATCCATCTAACAGTGAGTCGTGTCAACTCTATCTTCAAAACAGATGCTGGATTTGACCAGTTGGGCACCTCATCCACATCATTAATTGCAGTTTAACTAATGCAGTTCATCTTTTGCTCAGACTACAGTGATGTCATCTAACTCACTGTTATTTGAATTACAGATAAAATTATCTTTCCGTGGTTAGGCTGTACCCATCGTTAAGATCAGCATCCACTTACTTTGGAGGAAGTGGAGAAAAGTACACATTCAAGGGAAGAATCAATTGTAAAATACATCCCTATTTTTTGAACTCTGGAAAATGTTATTCTTACAATTAAATAAATTTCAAGTATTTATACAATAAAATTTTATTAGTAGATATTTCCCATTGCTATTTTCTTGTTGCACAGCTAAAGTTTTTTAAGTTTTGCACAGAATAAAGCAATGTGACATTTGTTAAAGGGGAAAATAAGTTATTTTAAAAAATTTGTTACTTTAATACACTGATATTTTTTGTAAATCTAATTTAAGGAAATAATTATAAATGTGGACCCAGATGTGCATATATAAGTAGTAATCAGAGCAACTGTTATAAATGTTAATTTATAATATTTTAACCTTAAATGGTTCTGTTTTATCAATTTCAATTTCTGATTTTTCATTGTGAGTGTATAAAAAACACTAATTGATTTATTGTACATTGATTTTGTATCCTGTGACCTTTGTACACTTACTTATTAGTTCTAGAGCATTTTTATAGATTCTTGAGAATTTTCTACATTGATTACCATGTCGTTTACTGATAAAGATAATTTCACTTCTTCGTCTCCAACCTGTGTACCTTTCAATTAATTTTCTTTCCTTATTGCACTAACTAGAACCTCTATTATACACATAAATAAAGTTATGACAAGGAAATAGGTGTCTTGTTCCCAACCTGAGGGAGCAAGCTATCAATTTTTTTGCCATAAAGCATGATGCTAGCTGTAGATTTCTTTTTTCAGTAGGTGTTCTTTATCATGCTTAAGAAGTTTCCTTCTGTGTGTATTTTGCTGAGAGATCTTATCATGAATAGACATTGAATGCTGTTAAATGCTTTTTCTGTATTGCTTGTGATGATAATTTTTTTAAAATTCAATAGTTTGTTGATAGGGTGAATTACATTAATTGATTGATTGTCAAATATGGAACCAGTCTTGCAAATTAGTCACCATGTTTTATCCTCCTTTACATATTCCTGAATATAATTTGTTAGTTTATTAATAATTTTGCCACTATGTCCCTGAGGCATATTGGTCTATAGATTTCTTTTCTCTGTCTGACTTACTACTTGAGTAATTTTGGTCCTATGAAATGACTTGGAAAGCATTTTCTCCACTTCTGTCTCTGAAAATCTTTGTAGAATATGGTACTATTTATTCCTTCAATGTTGGTAGAATTCAGAGAAGCCATTTGGGCTTTTTTCTTTCTCAGAAGGCTTTTAATTGTGGCTTCAATTCCCTTGTAATAGATATAGGAATATTAGGATATCTCTCTTCTTGAGTGAGTTTTGGAAGTTTGTATCTTTCAAAGACTTTTTTCTACTTCATCTAAGACATCAATTTATAGGCATAGTTGCTCATAATATTTCCTTTTTATCCTTTTAATGTCTATAATAATGTGATATCTATAATAATGTCCTATCTTTCATTCCTGATATTGGTTGGTTTGTGTTATCTCTTTCTTGGTAAGTCAGGCTAAAGATTGATCAATATTATTAACATTTTCAAAAATAATTTTGTTGTTGTATTGATTTTATTGATTTTTTATTGGTTTTCAAATTTTAAAAATATCACTGATTTCTGTTTATCTTTTCATTTTTCTTCCTTCTACTTGCTTTAGTTTTAATTTGCTTTTATTTGTCTAGATTCCTAAGATCAATAATTGGATGTCTGATTTGAGATCTTCATTCTTTTCTAATATAAGCATTTAATGCTGTCAATTTCTTTCTGCTTTAACTCCATCCCACGCATTTGGATATGATGTCTTCATTTTTATTCATTAAAAATAGTTTCTAATTTATTTCTTTTTTGGCACATGGACTATTTAGAATGATGTTGCATAATTTTCAAACATTTGGGGGTTTTCCACATATTTTTACACAATCCAGGTTGTGGTCACAAAATGTATTTTGTGTAATTTCATTTCTCTTAAACTTATTGAGACTTGTTTTATGACCCAAAATATGGTCTACTTTAGTGAACATTCCAGGTGCACTTGAGGAGAATCTATAATCTGCTGTTGCTGGATGAATTATTCTGTAGATATCAATTAGGTCAAATTGGTTGATAAAGCTGTTCACATCTCCTGAATGTCTACTGATATTCTGTCTACCTGTTTTATCAGTAACTGAGAAAGAAATGTTTAAATCTCCAAATGTAATTGTGGATTTGTATATTTCTTTTCAATTCTTTTGGTTTTTATGTGTTTTAATGTTATTACATACAATCACATTTAGGTTTTTAAACATCTTTATAAGCTAATCTTTTAATCAATATGAAATATCCCTCTTTTTCTCTTTTAAAGTCTAATCTATCTGATACTAGTTTAGCCACGATAGCTTGCTTATGTTTAGTTTTCAGTAGGTATGACTTTTTCTATTTATTTACTTTCAACCTTTGCATTTGTATTTAAAGTACATTTTTGTAGCAGTGTGTAGTTGGTTCTTGTCTTTTCATACAAACTGACAATCACAGCCTATTAGCTAATGTATCTAGATGGTTTATATTTAATGTAGGTATTGATATATTGCATCAAAATATATCATCTTATTATTCTTTTTCTATTTGTCCCACCAATTCTGCTGTTTTATCTTTTCCTGAATTCTTTTAAATTAATTGACCTTTTAAATAATTTTATGTTATCTGTAGTATTGGTTAATTATCTGTACTTCTGTTTTTGGTTTCATGGGTTGTTCTAGCTGTTATATACCTTTAACTCATCAACTTCTACCTTCAAGTAATATTATACTTCAAGTAGAGTGTAAGAATTTTACACAATGTATTCTCACTTCTGCTTTCCTTTCATTTGTGTTAATGTTTTCATACCTTTTTTTCTGTACATAGCTACAAGCCCTTAATACATGGTTATCCATTTTGCTTTAAACAGTCATATATTATCTTTTAAAGAGTATTTGCTTTTAAAGAGTTTCAAATTTTGGGAAAATAACTTTTAGATTTACTGACATATTTACCATTTCTAGAGCTCTTTATTTCTTTGTGTAGATCAAAATTTCTGTCTAGTGTCCTTTTACTTTTTCATGAAGAACTTCCTTTAACATTTCTTATAGTGCAGATCTGCTGGCAAAACTGTTTAAACTCTGTTTTTTATTCAATTGTGAAAGATATTTTTACGGGGTAAACAATTCTAGATTGACAGTTCCTTCTTGTACCTCATCATGTCTTATATTGTCTTCTGACTTCCTTGTTTTTTATGAGAAGTCTGCTACCATTCTTTTTGTTGTTCTTCTTCTCTGTACATACTGTATCTTTTATTTCTGGCTATTTTCAGGATGTCCTCTTTGTCACTGGTTATAGAAATTTTATTAGGAGGTACATTGACATAGTTTTCTTTATATTTATTCTGAATGGAATACAAATATTTGCTAGCTTCTGTCTCTATGGGTTTATAGATTTCATCATAGTTGAAAATTTTTAGTCACTATGTCTTTTAATTTTTTTCTGTATATACATTTTCTCTCTTTCCAGGACTTTAATCACATTTAGGCCACTCAATAGTTTTCTACCTATCACTGGAACCCTGTTCATTATTTTTATTCCTTTTTGCTCCCATTTCTTTATTTTGAATAGTTAAAGATGGACTCGAGTTCACTGCTCTTTTCTTCTGCAGTGTCTAATTTGCTGTACATTCTATCCAGTGTAGTTATCATTGTAAATATTTTAACATTCATCTATAGAAGTTTTATTTGCATCTTGTTTATATTATTTATATCTTCCATTTCTTTCTGCATCATGGTCATATTTTTCTCTACTTCCTTAAATATATATTATACGTATGTATCTGTGTGTGTGTGTGTGTGTGTGTGTGTGCGTGTGTGTGTGTGTGTGTGTATTTGAGACAGGTTCTAGCTCCGTCACCCAGGCTGGTGTGCAGCGGCACAATTTCGGCTCACTGCAGCTTTGACCTCCTGGGCTGAAGCAATCCTCCTCTCTCAGCCTCCGAAGTAGCTGAGACCACAGGTATCCACCATCATGCTGGGCTAATTTTTGTATTTTTTGTAGAGACAAGGTTTCACCATGTTGCCCAGGCTGGTCTTGAACTCTTGAGCTCAAGTAATCCACCTGCCTCAGCCTCCCAAAGTGCTGGGATTACAGGCGTGAGCCACCATGTCTGGCCCATGCTTTTTTTTTTAATAGCTGTTTAAAAATTCTTGTTGGCTACTTCTACCACCTGTATTACTATTGGATCTGTATATTTATGGATTTTTTTCTGGTTATGGATCATATTTTTGTGCCTTTTTTTTTTTTTTTTGAGACGGAGTCTCGCTTTGTCACCCAGGCTGGAGTGCAGTGGCACGATCTTGGCTCACTGCAAGCTCCGCCTCCCGGGTTCACGTCATTCTCCTGCCTCAGCCTCCCAAGTAGCTGGGACTACAGGCACCTGCCACCATGCCCAGCTAATTTTTCTGTATTTTTAGTAGAGACAGGGTTTCACCGTGTTAGCCAGGATGGTCTTGATCTCCTGACCTTGTGATCCACCTGCCTCAGCCTCCCTCTGCTTCTTTTTATACCTGGTAAGTTTTTAAGTGCACATTTTGACAAGTTTTGAAAAATGTGTACAGCAATGTTATCTATCAACTCAATTGTGATAACCTTTTCTTTACCCCCAAAAGTTTTCTAGTATCCTCTGTATTCAACCCATTTCCTCAACCCTCAAGCCCTGGAAATCACTGTCATGACCTTTATTACTATGGTTTTGCTTCTCCTGGAATTTCACATAAATGAAATCATACAGTGTGTAGACTTTTATGTCTGGCTACTTCATTTATCACAATGTTTTTGAGATTTGTCCACTGTTGTTGCTTATATCAATACTGTGTTTCTTTTCATTGCGGAGTACTAGTCCATTGTATGGATATACCACCTTCTGTTTATCCATTTACTATGTCAATGGATGTTTGGGTCTTTTTATCCCCCATTTTTGTGCTATCATGACTAAAGCTCATTGATTATTTGAGTACATGATTTGTGTGGGCATATGTTTAAATTTCTCTTGGGTAAATACATACTAGGTAAATTTTTGTTAGTTCCAAACATTGTGCATTTTACATTGTTAGTTGCTTCATTCTGTTGACTTCTTTTAGATAATGTTGGGTTTTCTCCTTGTGTGCAGTTAATTGAAATCTGTTGGGTTATTTTGAGGCTTGCCTCAAAATTTTAATAAGGCATATCCAAAGCACTCTTTAGTCTCAGGTTAATTTAACCCTATTACTAGAGCAATAGTCTATTGAGGAGTCTACCCAATAGTCTGTGTATTTTGAGATATTTCCATCCTTCAGTTAGATACACAAACTATTCCTAGCTCTGTCAAAGCTTTGGAGATAGTCTTATTTACAATTTCTAGTGACTCCTTCCCTGGCCTCACACTTAGTCCCTCCTCATACATGTACAGGTCAACAGTCTGCAAAAGACCTGTGGGAAACTCTCTCTCTCTCTCGCTCTCTCATTCCCTGTCCCTTTTCCTCTCTGTCTGTGCAACTCTCTTGTCTTCAGTATTCTGCCATGCAAATTCCAGACACCTTAGCCTCCCCAAACTATGATTTCTGGTCTCTTCAACTCAGTAAGACTAATGGGCTGTGTTTGAATTTCACCTCCCTATAGTTGTGTCTGAAACTTACCTCATGGGAAGGCTATGTTTGTTTCTGTTTGTTTCTCTTCTCTCTGAGAGCAGAAGTATGCGCTGCTCATTTTCTAATATCTGAAAAACCCATCTTTTATGTATTTTGTTTTATTTTACTAGTTCTTTAAAGTAGGAAGGGGAACTACAATTCTTCTTACTCTATTTTGACTGAGTGTAGGAGATACTGTTCTTTTTCTTTTCTTTTTTTTTTTTTTTTTTTGAGAGTTTTAATTAAAAATAACCATGAGGCTGGGTGCGGTGATTCACGCCTGTAATCCCAGCACTTTGGGAGGCTGAGGTGGGCGGATCATGAGGACAGGAGTTCAAGACCAGCCTGGTCAGCATGGTGAAACCCTGTCTCTACAAAAAAATACAAAAAAATCAGCCAGGCATGGTGGCTTGTGCCTCTAGTCCCAGCTACTCAGGAGGGTGAGGCAGGAGAATCCCTTGAACCTGGGAGGCAGAGGTTGCAGTGTGCCGAGATTGCACCGCTGCACTCCAGCCTGGGTGACAGATCGAGACTTCATCAAAAAAAAAAAATGAATATGGCGTCAAACTTTAGTAAATGCATTTAAAAAATAAGATAAGCATGCATGTTTTCTTATAATTAATTGATATATTACATTGATAGTTTTTTTAATGCTAAACCATTGTCTGTGAAATGAACTTACTTACTTGATCACAATGAATTATTTTTAATGCATGCTTGGATTTAATTGACTAATATTTTTGATAAAATTTTCACATATAGTTTCAAGTAATGCTTTCATAATATTCTTGTGAAACTAAGATTACGCTAACACCTAAAATGAGTTGGGCAGTTTTTCTTCCCTCCTTGTTTTGTGAAACAATATTTTAAAAATGAGAGCTATCTTTGCTTGATGACTTATGATATAGAACAAAAAAAAGAGAGAGTGACCTGTTTCCCAAAAATTTGGAAGAAATTTTCTTTACAGGTATTTATGCTTAGAAAAACTTTGGGAATTATAAATCTCTAATTACTATTTCAATTTATTTTGTGGCTATACATCTATACATAGATTCCTCTTTTTTGCTCCAATTTTTATATTCTGTGTTTTTCATGAATTGCATAAACTGGATTTTCTACCTTCCTAAGTTAAATGGTTTTCTCATTTGGTCTTATTTTTTCTTGGAATTCTACAAAGATGTTTAAAGCTATACATTTTATTTCAAATATTAGTTAACTATGACCCTTAATGTGTATGTATTGTATTCATATTTATTCAGTTTTAAGTATTCCACAATTTTCCTTATAATCTGATTATCTATTTTTCTCAAGGGCTATTCAGAAGTATGTGTTCTATTTTCCAGGTATATGAGAGTTTTTTTTTTTTTTTTAAAATACCTTTTTGTTGTTCATTATTGATTCCTGAATATAGTAGATTGTGAATTTAGAAGACAACCACTGTGATGTTAATCTTGTGGAATTGATTGAGGTTTGCGTGTTTGTATGTGCCTCAGCATTTGGCCAATTTTTGTAGAGATTCTGTTTAGTGAATGTTTCATGTGACTATTCCACAAAGAGAATGTGATTTCGCTACGCATTTTGTATAAAGATATACATATAGAAATAGATGCAGATATGAAATTGGAATTTATTGGATCATGTTATTACTATTTTTAATATCTTTAGTTATCTTTAATATGCTTGATGTAGATATAGCTAAGAATGATGAGTTTGAAATCTCTAAGTACTATTGAATCTAATTCTTATACAGTTCTATCTCTTACCATTTGTATAAACAAATATATATTTCGTTTGATACACATACACTCCTTGTTGATATCTTTTGATGTACTATAGCATCTCTTTTTGATATTTCCTGAGAATTATTTTGTCCTGATATTGTAATCAATATCTTTCTTTTTTCAGAAATGTCAAGTTTTTTTTAGTTTTCATCTTAGTAACAATAAATTCATCATTTAAAGACTTAGGCCAGGCGCGGTGGCTCATGTCTGTAATCCCAGCACTTTGGGAAGCCGAGGCAGGTGGATCACCTGAGGTCAGGAGTTCAAGACGAGCCTGGCCAACATGGTGAAATCCTGTCTCTACTAAAAATACAAAAAATTAGCTGGGCGTGGTGGCAGATGCCTGTAATCCCAGCTACTCGGGAGGCTGAGGCAGAAGAATCGCTTGAACCTAGGAGGCATAGGTTGCAGTGAGCTGAGATCATGCTATTGCACTCCAGCCTGGGCAACAAGAATGAAACGCCATCTCAAAAAAAATTATGTAAGTACATATTTTACTTTTGGATTGCTATTACATTCTTCATTGTCAAATTCTTCGTGTAGAGCTTCAGAGTCTCTCATAATTCTCTGTGATTTTAGGTTGTTTTGAATTTCTCTCATTATTTTACACATGTTTCCTTTATTCAAGCTTATGCTTTCTGATGAAAAATATAAACAGAAAGTATCATACTTTACAAATGTAAATAAAGAAAGAGTGTGACTAAAATTGCCCACAACTTCCTCTTCCTCAATTTTAGGGTCTTCTGAATTTTGGGTGAAGTCATTTCAAGTGAAACTATGAGTAGTTAAATTTTGAGAAAATACTTGGTGAAATATAAACTGAGAAGTTGGATAGATTTGTAAAAGCTTATTTTTTAATCAAAAATTCTTCTTTTTAAAACTAATAATTCTTAAATGAACAGACTATCTTTGCCAGTGTCTGCTGTTCACCAAGAAATTCCAAACCACATTTCTGAATCAACAGACAGACATTAGTACAGTTGGCCTCCTGTATCCATTGGTTCTGCATTCATGAATTCAACCAACCACAGGTCAAAAATATTCAGAAGAAAACTTCCACAAAGTTCCAAAAAGCAAAACTTGTATTTGTCATGTGCAAAGTACTACACTGAATTCAAATGAATGAAGTGATGTGTAGGTATTTTATTAGGTACTATAAATAATCTAGACATGATTTAAAGCATATGGGAGGATATGCACAGGTTAAACCTACATATATGTAGTATATGCAAACACTAAATCATTTTATATAAGGGACTTGAGCACTGCAGAATTTGGTATTGGGGCAGGGGGTCCTGGAACCAATCCCCTATGAATACCAAGGGATGACTATGTACTACATTTTTTTCCCCTGGTTGCAATGATTCAACTGTAGCACTAATCCTACTGGGTTCCTCATGACATAAAAGTATGACATTTCCTAATTAACCACCACATATAAATGAACACATCTATATGTATTCTCTCTCAGTTTTACTTTTTTAAAAAGATGGAACATGTATCAATAATATCATAGTATAAACATAATTAAACTCCAAACATGTTTTCTGGGAGTCTGGGGATCCACCTGCCCTGCTCACTGCCACTGACACCTGTGCCTGAGCATGCTATCCAAGGGCCTGAGGACAGGGCTGCCCTGCTTGGCACCACCATCACTGATGCCTGAGGACCAGCCCAGCTGGTATCCCCATTCTCAGCAAAGCCTCACCATAGCCTTTATTAACAACTGCAGTCTAAGCTACTGAGTAACTCACAGACATCACTGACACTGATTATGTCCAAAGAAATCTTATGGAGAATACACTACTGCACCCATTCAGAATCAAAACCAAAATACCCCATCCAATCAATTCTATAAATACATGTATAGGAAAAAATCTTTTCCTGTGAAAGCCAATCTGTGAAATTAGAAGAAGTAACTATTACACCAGATGTTCAGATATCAACATGAGAACACAAGAAACATGAAAAAAAAAGACAAGGAAACATGATATCTCCAAAGGAACACAATAATTGTCTGTCTGGTAATAGAACCCAAAGGAAAGGAAATTTATAAAGTGTCCAAAATAATGATATTAAAGAACTCAGTAAGATACAGGAGAACTCAGATAAACAATATAAATGAATCAGGAAAACAATTTGTGATCTGAATGCGAAATTCAACAAAAAGATAAATATCATAAAAAAGAACCAAATAGAAATGTTGGAACTGAAGAATTCAATTAATGAAATAAGAAATACAACCAAGAGAATCTGCAATAGAATAGATCAAGCAGAAGAAAAAAATGTCTGAACTTGAGGACAGGTCTTTTAAAATAACAGAAAACCAAATACTGCATGTTCTCACTAATAAGTGGGAACTAAATGATGAGAACTCAGGAACACAAAGAAGGGAACAACAGACATTGGGATATACTTGAGGGTGAAGGGTGGATGGAGGGAGAGGACCAGAAGAAATAACTATTGAGTATTAGGCTTAATACCAGAGTGATGAAATAATCTGTACAACAGACCCCTGTGACACAAGTTTACCTGTATAACAAACCTTCTTATGTACCCCCAAACCTAAAATAAAAATTTTTTAAAAACCTAGTTAGAACACAAAGGAGAAAAGAATGAAAAAGAATGAAGAATGCCTGCACGACATATGGGACATTATAAAGTGACAAGGATTCAAATTTTGGTGTCCCAGAAGATGAAGAGTAAACCAAAGGCTTAGAAAAGCTATGTAATGAAATAATAGCTGGTAAGTTCCCAAATCTTGCAAGAGATGTAGACTTCCAGATAGAGGAAGCTCACAGATCCCCAAACAGATTCAACCCAAAAAGGTCTTCTCCAAGGAATGTTATAGGCAAACTGTCAAAAGTCATAGATTAAGAGAGAATTCTAAAAACAGCAAGAGAAAAATGTCAAGTCACACATAAGGGAATCCCCATAAGACTAACAGCAGATTTCTCAGCAGAAACCTTACAGGCCAGGAGAAAATGGGATGATATATTCAATGTATTGAAGGAAAGCAAAAAGAAACATATCAATGAAGAATACTATACTCACCAAATATATCCTTCAAAAATAAAGGAGACATAAAATCTTTTACAGACACGTAGAAACTGAGAGAATTAATCACTACCAGACAAGTCCTACAAGAAATGCTTAAGGGAGCTCTACATCTAAAAGCAAAAGGATGATATCTACTATCATGAAAACACATGAAGGGATAAAACTCACTGGCAGAACAGACACACAAATGGGAAATAAAAAGGAGCCAAATGTTATACTAAATAAAAACACCAAACTGCAAAGATAAACCATATGAGAGGAAGAAATAAACATGGGATTTCCTTAAAACATCCAGAAAACAATTAACAAAATGACAGGAATAAGTCCTTACCTATCGATAATAGCTTTGAATGTAAATGGATTAAATTCCCCACTTAAAAGATATAGACTAACTGAATGGATTTTTTTATTTTATTTACTTATTATTATTATTATTATACTTTAAGTTCTAGGGTACATGTGTATAACATGCAGGTTTGTTACATATGTATCCATGTGCCATGTTGGTGTGCTGCACCCATTAACTCGTCATTTACAGTAGGTATATCTCCTAATGCTATCCCTCCCTCCTCCCCTCACCCCACGACAGGCCCCAGTATGTGATGTTCCCCACCCTGTGTCTAAGTGTTCTCATTGTACTTTGTGTACAACATATGACACTTACATATAAATACATCTTTTAAGATCATTTGCAAAGAATCTGCTCTCATAAACTCAACCCTTTCTGTATTCTTATTTATTAATTAATTTAGGAAACCTTTTCCTCATAACTAGTTCAAAAGTGATCTTCATTTCAACCCCTCTTCAATGCAGACAAAAATGCTTAATGCACATTTCTCCCAACACCATCCACATACACAGCTGTGTGATGTTCCCCTTCCTTTGTCCAAGTGTTCTCATTGTTCACCTCCCACCTATGAGGGAGAACATGCAGTGTTTGGGTTTCTGTCCTTTGACCCAACTATATGCTGCCTACAATAAACTCATTTCATCTGTAAAGACACATATGGACTGAAAGTGAAGGAATGGATAAAGATGTGCCATGCAAATGGAAACCAAAAGCAAGTAGGAATTACATCAAATAAAACAGACTTTAAGTCAAAAACTAAAAAACAAAAAGACAAAGAAGGTCATTATTTAATGATAAAAGGATCAATTCAGAAAGATAATATAACAATTCTAATTTTATATGCACCCAACACCAAACACTCAGTTATATAAAGCAAATATTATTAGATTCAAAGGGAGAGATAGGCTTCATTACAATAATAATTAGGGACTTCAACACCAAAACTCTCAGCACTGAATAGGTTGGTTATATAGACAGAAAATCAATAAAGAAACATTGAATTTAAACTGCATGTTAGACCAATCGGATATAATAGATATTTACAGAACATATTATTTAACAAATGTAGAATACACATTCTTCTTATCAGCACATGGAACATTCTCCAGGATAGAATATATGTTAGGCCACAAAACAAGTCTTAACAGATTTTAAAAAACCAAAATCTAATACCACAATGGAATAAAACTAGAAATTAATACCAAGAGGAACTTTGGGAACTATACAAACATACAAAAATTAAACAACATGCTCCTGAATGACCACTGGATCAATGAAGAAATTAAGAAAAAAGCCAAAAATGTATTGAAATAAATGAAAATAGAAACACAACATACCAAAGCCTAGGACACACAGCAAAAGCAGTGCTGAGAGGGGGGTTTATAGCAATAAATGCCTACATCAGGAAGATTTCAAATAACCTAATGATGCAACTCAGGTAACTAAAAAAGTAAGAACAAACCAAATTTAAAATTAGTAGAAGGAAAAGAAAAATCAGAGCAGAACTCAATGAAATAGAGACTACAAAAGCAATAGAAAGGATCAACAAAACAAAAGATTGATTTTTGAATAGATAAACAAAATTGATAAACTGCTAGCTAGACTAGCCAAGAAAAAAAAAGACCCAAATAAATAAAATCAGAAACAAAAATGGAGATATTACAACTGATAATGCAAAAATACAAAGAATCATTAGCTATCATGAACAACTATATGCTAACAAATGAGAAAACCTAGAAAAAGCGGATAAATTCCTAAAAACATACAACATACCAAGAATGAACCATGAAAAGACAGAAAAGCTGAATAGACCAATAACTAGTAATGAGATTGAAACAGCAATCAAGTCTCCCAACAAAGGAAAGCTCAAGAGTGAAAGGCTTTACTGCGAAATACTACCAAACTTAAGGAAGAACTAACACTAGTTCTTCTCAAACTATTCTAAACAATTGAAGAAAAGGAAACTCTTCCTAACTCAAATGAGGCTAACATTACCCTGATACCAAAACCAGACACAACAAAAAGAGAAAACTACAGGCCAATATCCTTGATGAACACAGATGCAAAAATGCTCACTAAAATGCTAGCAAACTGAATCCAACAACACATCAAAAAGACTATACACCATGATCAAGTGGCATTTATCTCAGGGATGCAAGAATGGTTCAATATATGCAAATCAATAAACACAAAACACCACATCAACAGAATGAAGGACAAAAAACATATGAGCATCTCAATAGATGCTGAAAAAGCATTTGATAAAATTCAATATTGCTTCTTGATAAAAAACTGTCAACAAATTAGGCATAGAAGGAAATCACCTTAATATAATTAAGACCATATATGACAATTTCACAGCTAACATCGTACTAAATGGGGAAAAGCTTAAAGCCTTTTCTCTAAGAACTGGAACAAGGTAATGATGCCTACTTTCACTACTTTTATCCAGCATTGTAATGGAAGTTCTATCCAGAGCAATCAGACAGACAAGAGAAAGAAATAAAAAGCATTCAAATTGGGAAAAAGGAAGTCAAATTTCCTCTATGCAGATGATATAATATTATATACAGAAAAATCTAAAGACTCTACCAAAAAACTCTTACACATACAAAAATCAATAGTGTTTTTTTTGTTGTTTTTGTTTTTTTTTTTTTTTTTTTTTTTTTTTTTTGAGACGGAGTCTCGCTCTGTCGCCCAGGCTGGAGTGCAGTGGCGGGATCTCGGCTCACTGCAAGCTCCGCCTCCTGGGTTCACGCCATTCTCCTGCCTCAGCCTCCCAAGTAGCTGGGACTACAGGCGCCCGCCACTACGCCCGGCTAATTTTTTGTATTTTTAGTAGAGACGGGGTTTCACCGTTTTAGCCGGGATGGTCTCGATCTCCTGACCTCGTGATCCGCCCGCCTCGGCCTCCCAAAGTGCTGGGATTACAGGCGTGAGCCACCGCGCCCGGCCTCAATAGTGTTTTTATATACCAAAATGATCTAGTTGAAAAAGAAATCAAGAAACCAATCCCATTTACAATAGCTACAAAAAATAAAATTCCTAGAAACAAATTTAACCAAGGAGGTGAAAAGCCTACCTCCACAACAGAAACTAGAAAAAACTGATGAAAAAATTGAAAAAGACACAAGCAAATGGAAAAACATCCCATGCTCATGGGTTGGAAGTATTAATATTGCTAAAACGACCATAGTACCCAAAGCAACCTACAAATTTAATGCAATATCTACCAAAATACCAATGTAATTTTTCACATAAATAGAAAAAACAATTCTAAAATTCATCTGGAACATATGAGAAAGAGCCAGAATAGCCAAAGCAATCCTGAGCAAAAAGAACAAAGCTAGAGCCATCACACTACCTGACATCAAAATATACTACAAAGCTATGGTAACCAAACCAGCATGGTATTTGTTTAAAAACAAACACATATGCCAATGGAACAGAATAGAGAACCACCCAGAAATAAATGCATGTATTTAAAGCCAACTGATTTTTGACAAAGGTGCCAAAAACATTCACTGGGGAAAGAACACCCTCTTTAATAAATGTCCTGGGAAAAGTGTATATCCATATGCAGAAGAATAAAACTAGACCCCTATCTCTCATCCTACATACAAATCAACTTAAAATGGATTAAAGATTTAAATGTAAGACCCAAAACTATAAAACTACTAGAAGAAAAATAGGGGAAATATTCAGGATACTGGTCTAGTCAATGATTTCATGGTTAAGACTTCAAAAGCACAGATAACTATAACCCCAAAAGACAAATGGGATTATATTAAACTAAAAACTTCTTCACAAGAAAGGAAGCAATGAATGGGGTGAAGAGAAAATTCATTGAATTGGATAAAATATTTGCAAACTATACCTTTAAAAGGCACTAGTATCCAGAATATATAAGGAGCTCAAAGAACTCAACAATAATAAAAAAATCTCATTAAAAAGTAGGCTAAGGACATGAATAGACATTTCTCAAAAGACTTACAAACAGGTACATGAAAAATATTCAGCATCACTAATCATCAAGGAAATGCAAATTGAAACCACAATGAAATATCATTTTATCCCAATTAGAATGGCTACTATTAAAAACACAAAAAATAATAGATGCTGGTGAGGTACAGAGAAGAGGAAATTCTTATACTCTGTTGATGGAAATATAAATTAGCACAACTACTACGGAAAACAATATAGAGATTTCTCAAAAAACTAAAAATAGAACTACCGTATGATCCAGCAATATCACTACAAGGTATTTATCCAAAGGAAAAAAAATTGTATATCAAAGAGATACCTGCACTCACATGTTTATTGTGACACTATTCACAATAGCTAAGATATGGAATCAACATACATGGCCACTGACAGAAGAATGGATAAAGAAAATGTGGTATATATACACAATGGAATATTATTCAGCCATAAAATGAATAAAATTCTGTCATTTGCAGCAATGTAGGTAGAACTGGAGGTCATTATATTAAGTGAAATAAGCCAGGTGTAGAAAAATAAATATTGCATGTTCTCACTCACATGTGGGAGCTAAAATAGTTGATTTCATGGAGGAAGGGAGTAGAATGATGGCTACCAGAAGCTGGAAAGAAGGGGAGGGAAATGAATAGAGATTGTTTATTGGGTACCAATATACAGTCAGATAGCAAGACAAGTTCTAGTGTTTGACAGCACAGTAGGGTGACTATAGTTAACAATAAAGTATTATTTATTTCAAAATAGCTGGAAAAGTAGAAATGTTCCCAACAAAAAGAAATGATAATTATTTGAGATGATGGACATCCTAAGCACCCTGATTTGATCATTTCACATTATATGCTTATATCAAAATATCACATGCACCCCATAAATATGTACAATTATTATGCATCAATTAATTAATTTGAAAATGTCTCTTCTAATATTTCTAATAAAATTGGTGCTCCAGGAAGATATGTTCTGTTTAGCATAATATCATGTATACACCCTGCATGTGTGTATCTCTGAGCATATGTGCAGATTTGTTTTAAAATCATAAACAAGGTAGGATAAAATAGAAACTCCTCAACTTACTACTTAAAACCCATCGTGATCTGGCTACCTACCAACCCAGCTTCACTTCTATTACTGCCTTACTTGCATCCTATATCGTAAGCATATCAAACTTCTTGTTAGTCTTTTCATCACCTGTCCTATTTCATACCTCTGTAACTTTGCATATACAGTTTCCTTTGCCTGAAATACCCCTCTTCGTTGTCTATCAGGTAAAAACATATTTATCTTTCAAGTCTCAGGTCAAATTATTCCTCCTTATGGAAATGTCACTCATTATCCCAGGCAGAAATAAGAATTCATTCTCCACTCCCACTGTTCTTTATACCAAGTCCATACTGTGTCGATTATTTCATTATATTTTAATAACCATCATTTGTTTATAAAATGTATTTTTCATCATTATCACCCATCATTGTCACCTAGCATAGCACATATTTATTAATGTATCAATATTTGTTGAATGAGACATTTTGGGTCCAGGAATTTAAAGACACAGGAAAACACCCCCTAAACACTCAATTTCTAAGATTATATTTGATATTTTCCTAGAGGGACAAGGGCCTGCTTGACAGAACTTTACACAGAATGGATGTGAAAATTCTCATATCCACCCTACAAAACCCCCTGAAGTTCCCAAGGCTCTGTGACTGCTCAGCCTCACTGACCTTTGTTTTCTCTGAACTGTGAACATATAAACTTTCAAAAGCCCAATTTCCCATTGAGAAAAACCAGGCAGTCATGGGGTAACAGAATAAATCTTCAAAAACTGAATCTTTACCTACTGATAACATAAAACTCTCTTTTGTAGGTTGGAGGAAAAATTTGGACAGATAGCTATTTCAAATGTTGCATAAATCCAACGATCATAATTTTTGCTCATCTGCCATGTGATCTGTCTTTTGTACTCTGTTGAAAGACATCAGATGATGAAGTGGACCCTGGCAAGTGCAGCCTGCAGAAGGGCAGACCTTTAAACCTGGGAAAAGCTAATGAAGATGCAGTAAACCTGAAACATACTAAAAGAATATGTAAATATGTAAATGTGTGTGTCTAAGTAGGTATACTTTTTTTTTCTTCAGTTTTTGTGTTCTTTGGTGGCATTGTTTTTGGAATAAGACAAACCTAAGTTTGAACCATGACTCCACCATATATTTGCCCTCTTAAACATGAGCAAGTTAGAGCTAATCTTTTTAAGCTTTCATTTTCTCAACTCTAAAAATACCTCTTTTTCATCACTAATATACTTATAAGTACACACACACACACCCTACATTTGTATTTAAATTAATTAGAAACATACATATAATTTCTTCCTTTGTCGTGATCATATATATTGGTCTAGACAGTCAGTGTCTCAAAAATACAGTAAACCTGAGATAAATAATTTGACACTCCCTAGAATAATTTAGCACATTACTTATTTACTTACTAGGGACTGCAATGGGGAATGAGGCTAGAATCCACCTTTTGGCCTCTCTATCTTCCCACCCCAAGAGGCACCTGAGATACATGAGCAGAGTTCTAGCACCACACTTTTGAAAACACTGAGCTAAGCCAACGCCCTTTATTTCTAAGAAAACAGACTCAAACAAGTAGAGTATGTTGCTCAATGTCACATATAACCAGAACTAAGACCTCCGACTTCTGATTTCCATAGCAATGCCAATTCCACAGCAGACCAGAAAATCTGGTTGCAGGAGAATCTCCTGATGGGCTGAACACCTCCTGTTTATTTCATAGATCCACTCTCCACTCCCTTTCATCCTGTGTTGTCTCAAGAAGGGGCAGAGGAGGGTTGACCTTTAAGGACAGCAACAAAAGGCTCCCTTATCTTCCCGCTTCTAGCTGGGTTCTGTCATGAGGAGGACAAGTAGCAGATGGAGGGGGAAGATGAAAATGTGGTTGGGATATAGCTTCCCTGGCTGCCTTCATATGAAATTACCCAGGGTTGGCTGCATCCTTAGACTTAAGGTCATATAGCTCCTGTCAGGTGACTCTCCCCAGGGGGGCTTCCCCTTTCTCTGGGTTCTGATGACTATTTCCACCCTTTCCTTTTCTAAACTAGGGGTGATAATAACACCCTACTGCTCCTAGACTGAAAGTACTGCACTATTCCTTCTAGTTTCCCTGTACTCTGCTGGCACCTTTGTAAAGAGTCCCTTTATTAAACTTTCTTCAGCTTACCCAGTTTGAATCTGTCATTGATTTCCTGTTGGGACCATAACTGCAGAGCTTTTAAGAAGTATAAATGCCTGGGGGCTTTCAAAAGCTGCCCGGATGATTCTAGTTTATAGTTGGAGTTGAAAACCTCTATACTAAACAATGATGATAATTTTTGTTATTAAGTCACTAGTGTACACACACACACACACACATACACATTCACATTCACTGTTAGAATGGTAGAGGCTTCAAATGTGAGGAAATATCATGAGCTATGTTGGCTGAATTCTGGTGATCTATGGTTTTTGCAAACTACCATTCAGGCTGACCTATAGATTGCTAAATGTGCAAACTCTTAGAATCAAGCAGCCTTGTAAATGCATTCAAAATATTTACTTTCATGCTGTTTCTTTCTTCTTCTAACACCCAAATGTCAATTTTAATGGAAGCCACATCTCCATGTATTGATTGGTTCATCTTGATTTTTTTAAGGTTCAGTTTGGCTGCCCAGGAAGCTTTTCTAGCATTTGAAACATTTATAAAAATTGTCTATTTGAGAGGGGCAGAAAGGGAGACAAGGTAGGTGGGGGCAATGAAAAAATATCCCATCTTGTCTAAAGTAAAACATAGTTTGTTGCCAAGATTTCATTAATTCAATAAATAAAAATACAAGTAAGGTCCAACTTCAACAAGCTCGAGTTTCCCTCCTAGCTGTGAAACCACAGCACCCCAACGGCTTCTAAATATGTCAACACATCCCTTCCCATCCCAAACTCACCAGTGTGGAGAATATGATTTATGAGGTTGTCTGACCATCCTTGAAAGAGGTTTTTAATGTTTTACTCTTATAATAAGTGTAGTTCCTTCATTCAGTGGTAAATGATTGTGGGTTCTTAGAGAAAAGGGGTAATTTCTGGAAGAAGAAAAAAAAAGCCTAAACTTGGAAAAGATCTGCAAATAGCTCTGTAGCACCTTATGGTGTGTGAGCTAATTACTGGCCCTAAGTTGCCTAGTAAACGGTCTTTGTTTGGGAAGGTTAAGTTTCATCTTGGTTCCAAAAACGCAGAGCCAGACAGGGAAGGGGAAAAAATGATGGTGTCTGTGGCGAGGCTGGCAGTGCTGCCTGCCGGCTGGTTATTTGGAAAGGTTTTAGAAGATGTGTTATGAGGCACAGTAATGTGTGTCATTTGTCATGACTTAAGTCAAAGGATTTAGCAGGTTGAGTCTGTGGACTTGAAGTTGGAATGGAAATTATCAGATAATGTGTCAGCTTGACTTTCATACCATCAAAGAGGGAGGAAGAGGGCACAACTTTTTGGACTGCAGAATATAATCAAGTGGAAGAGGGGAAATTTGGCTCACCCAACTTTAAATTTATTTTTATATAGGAAAGTGAGTTTCAGTTGCAGAAAAAGTTCCTCAGTTTAGAAGCTGTTAATGAAGAATGTGAATGTTCTAAAATATTTCACAAAGGAGGCATCTCTTGTTCTGAGACAGAAGTAACACTTAAAAAAATGGAATGTGAAGATGGCCGAATAGGAACAGCTCTGGTCTACAGCTCCCAGCATGAGCAACGCAGAAGACGGGTGATTTCTGCATTTCCATCTGAGGTACCGGGTTTGTCTCACTAGGGAGTGCCAGACAGTGGGCGCAGGTCAGTGGGTGCACGCACGGCGAGGCATTACCTCACTCGGGAAGTGCAAGGAGTCAGGGAGTTCCCTTTCCTAGTCAAAGAAAGGGGTGACAGACAGCACCTGGAAAGTTGGGTCACTCCCACCCAAATACTGCGCTTTTCCAAGGGGCTTAAAAAACGGTGCACCAGGAGATTATATCCCGCACCTGGCTCGGAGGGTCCTACGCCCATGGAGTCTCGCTGATTGCTAGCACAGCAGTCTGAGATCAAACTGCAAGGCTGCAGTGAGGCTGGGGGAGGGGCACCCGCCATTGCCCAGGCTTGCTTAAGTAAACAAAGCAGCTGGGAAGCTCAAACTGGGTGGAGCCCACCACAGCTCAAGGAGGCCTGCCTGCCTCTGTAGGCTCCACCTCTGGGGGCAGGGCACAGACAAACACAAAGACAGCAGTAACCTCTGCAGACTTAAATGTCCCTGTCTGACAGCTTTGAAGAGAGCAGTGGTTCTCCCGGCACGCAGCTGGAGATCTGAGAACAGGCAGACTGCCTCCTCAAGTGGGTCCCTGACCCCTGACCCCTGAGCAGCCTAACTGGGAGGCACCCCCCAGCAGGGGCACACTGACACCTCACACGGCAGGGTATTCCAACAGACCTGCAGCTGAGGGTACTGTCTGTTAGAAGGAAAACTAACAAACAGAAAGGACATCCACACCAAAAACCCATCTGTACATCACCATCATCAAAGACCAAAAGTAGATAAAACCACAAAGATGGGGAAAAAACAGAGCAGAAAAACTGGAAACTCTAAAAAGCAGAGCGCCTCTCCTCCTCCAAAGGAACGCAGTTCCTCACCAGCAATGGAACAAAGCTAGACAGAGAATGACTTTGACGAGCTGAGAGAAGAAGGCTTCAGACGATCAAATTACTCCGAGCTACGGGAGGACATTCAAACCAAAGGCAAAGAAGTTGAAAACTTTGAAAAAAATTTAGAAGAATGTATAACTAGAATAACCAATACAGAGAAGTGCTTAAAGGAGCTGATGGAGCTGAAAACCAAGGCTCAAGAACTACGTGAAGAATCCAGAAGCCTCAGGAGCCGATGCGATCAACTGCAAGAAAGGGTAACAGTGATAGAAGATGAAATGAATGAAATGAAGTGAGAAGGGAAGTTTAGAGAAAAAAGAATAAAAAGAAATGAGCAAAGCCTCCAAGAAATATGGGACTATGTGAAAAGACCAAATCTACGTCTGATTGGTGTACCTGAAAGTGACGGGGAGAATGGAACCAAGTTGGAAAACACTCTGCAGGATATTATCCAGGAGAACTTCCCCAACCTAGCAAGGCAGGCCAACATTCAGATTCAGGAAATACAGAGAACGCCACAAAGATACTCCTCGAGAAGAGCAACTCCAAGACACATAATTGTCAGATTCACCAAAGTTGAAATGAAGGAAGAAATGTTAAGGGCAACCAGAGGGAAAGGTAGGGTTACCCTCAAAGGGAAGCCCATCAGACTAACAGCAGATCTCTCAGCAGAAACTCTACAAGCCAGAAGAGAGTGGGGACCAATATTCAACATTCTTAAAGAAAAGAATTCTCAACCCAGAATTTCATATCCAGCCAAACTAAGCTTCATAAGTGAAGGAGAAATAAAATACTTTACAGACAAGCAAATGCTGAGAGATTTTGTCACCACCAGGCCTGCCCTAAAAGAGCTCCTGAAGGAAGCGCTAAACATGGAAAGGAACAACCAGTACCAGCCGCTGCAAAATCATGCCAAAATGTAAAGACCATTGAGACTAGGAAGAAACTGCATCAACTAACGAGCAAAATAACCAGCTAACATCATCATGACAGGATGAAATTCACACATAACAATATTAACTTTACATGTAAATGGACTAAATGCTCCAATTAAAAGACACAGACTGGCAAATTGGATAAAGAGTCAAGACCCATCAGTGTGCTGTATTCAGGAAACCCATATCACGTGCAGAGACACACATAGGCTCAAAATAAAAGGATGGAGGAAGATCTACCAAGCAAATGGAAAACAAAAAAAGGCAGGGGTTGCAATCCTAGTCTCTGATAAAACAGGCTTTAAACCAACAAAGATCAAAAGAGACAAAGAAGGCCATTACATAATGGTAAAGGGATCAATTCAACAAGAAGAGCTAACTATCCTAAATATATATGCACCCAATACAGGAGCACCCAGATTCATACAGCAAGTCCTGAGTGACCTACAGAGAGACTTAGACTCCCACACATTAATAATGGGAGACTTTAACACCCCACTGTCAACATTAGACAGATCAACGAGACAGAAAGTCAACAAGGATACCCAGGAATTGAACTCAGCTCTGCACCAAGCGGACCTAATAGACATCTACAGAACTCTCCACCCCAAATCAACAGAATATACATTTTTTTCAGCACCACACCACACCTATTCCAAAATTGACCACATACTTGGAAGTAAAGCTATCCTCAGCAAATGTAAAAGAACAGAAATTATAACAAACTATCTCTCAGACCACAGTGCAATCAAACTAGAACTCAGGATTAAGAATCTCACTCAAAACCGCTCAACTACATGGAAACTGAACAACCTGCTCCTGAATGACTACTGGGTACATAACGAAATGAAGGCAGAAATAAAGATGTTCTTTGAAACCAACGAGAACAAAGACACAACATACCAGAATCTCTGGGATGCATTCAAAGCAGTGTGTAGAGGGAAATTTATAGCACTAAATGCCCACAAGAGAAAACAGGAAAGATCCAAAATTGACACCCTAACATCAGAATTAAAAGAACTAGAGAGGCAAGAGCAAACATATTCAAAAGCTAGCAGAAGGCAAGAAATAACTAAAATCAGAGCAGAACTGAAGGAAATAGAGACACAAAAAACCCTTTAAAAATTAAAGAATCCAAGAGCTGGTTTTTTGAAAGGATCAACAAAATTGATAAACTGCTAGCAAGACTAGTAAAGAAAAAAACAGAGAAGAATCAAATAGAGGCAATAAAAATGATAAAGGGGATATCACCACCGATCCCACAGAAATACAAACTACCATCAGACAATACTACAAACACCTCTACGCAAATAAACTAGAAAATCTAGATGAAATGGATAAATTCCTCAACACATACACTCTCCCAAGACTAAACCAGGAAGAAGTTGAATCTCTGAATAGACCAATAACAGGATCTGAAATTGTGGCAATAATCAATAGCTTACCAACCAGAAAGAGTCCAGGACCAGATGGATTCACAGCTGAATTCTACCAGAGGTACAAGGAGGAACTGGTACCATTCCTTCTGAAACTATTCCAATCAATAGAAAAAGAGGGAATCCTCCCTAACTCATTTTATGAGGCCAGCATCATCCTGATACCAAAGCCTGCCAGAGACACAACCAAAAAAGAGAATTTTAGACCAATATCCTTGATGAACATTGATGCAAAAATCCTCAATAAAATACTGGCAAACCGAATCCAGCAGCACATCAAAATGCTTATCCACCATGATCAAGTGGGCTTCATCCCTGGGATGCAAGGCTGGTTCAATATACGCAAATCAATAAATGTAATCCAGCATATAAACAGAACCAAAGACAAAAACCACATGATTATCTCAATAGATGCAGAAAAGACCTTTGACAAAATTCAGCAACCCTTCATGCTAAAAACTCTCAATAAATGAGGTATTGATGGGACGTATTTCAAAATAATAAGAGCTATCTATGACAAACCCACAGCCAATATCATACTGAATGGGCAAAAACTGGAAGCATTCCCTTTGAAAACTGGCACAAGACAGGGATGCCCTCTCTCACCACTCCTATTCAACATAGTGTTGGAAGTTCTGGCCAGGGCAATTAGGCAGGAGAAGGAAATAAAGGATATTCAATTAGGGAAAGAGGAAGTCAAATTGTCCCTGTTTGCAGATGTGACATGATTGTATATCTAGAAAACCCCATTGTCTCAGCCCAAAATCTCCTTAAGCTGATAAGCAACTTCAGCAAAGTCTCAGGATACAAAATCAATGTACAAAAATCACAAGCATTCTTATACACCAATAACAAACAGAGAGCCAAATCATGAGTGAACTCCCATTCACAATTGCTTCAAAGAGAATAAAATACCTAGGAATCCAACTTACAAGGGACGTGAAGGACCTCTTCAAGGAGAACTACAAACCACTGCTCAAGGAAATAAAAGAGGATACAAACAAATGGAAGAACATTCCATGCTCATGGGTAGGAAGAATCAATATCGTGAAAATGGCCATACTGCCCAAGGTAATTTACAGATTCATTGCCATCCCCACCAAGCTACCAATGACTTTCTTCACAGAATTGGAAAAACTACTTTAAAGTTCATATGGAACCAAAAAAGAGCCCGCATTGCCAAGTCAATCATAAGCCAAAAGAACAAAGCTGGAGGCATCACACTACCTGACTTCAAACTATACTACAAGGCTACAGTAACCAAAACAGCATGGTACTGGTACCAAAACAGAGATATAGATCAATGGAACAGAACGGAGCCCTCAGAAATAACATCGTATATCTACAACTATCTGATCTTTGACAAACCTGAGAAAAACAAGCAATGGGGAAAGGATTCCCTATTTAATAAATGGTGCTGGGAAAACTGGCTAGCCATATGTAGAAAGCTGAAACTGGATCCCTTCCTTACACCTTATACAAAAATCAATTCAAGATGGATTAAAGACTTAAACGTTAGACCTGAAACCATAAAAACCCTAGAAGAAAACCTAGGTGTTACCATTCAGGACATAGGCATGGGCAAGGACTTCATGTCAAAAACACCAAAAGCAATGGCAACAAAAGACAAAATTGACAAATGGGATCGAATTAAACTAAAGAGCTTCTGCACAGCAAAAGAAACTACCATCAGAGTGAACAGGCAACCTACAAAATGGGAGAAAATTTTTGCGATCTACTCATCTGACAAAGGGCTAATATCCAGAATCTACAATGAACTCAAACAAATTTACAAGAAAAAAACAACCCCATCAAAAAGTGGGCAAAGGACATGAAAAGACACTTCTCAAAAGAAGACATTTATGCAGCCAAAAAACACATGAAAAAATGCTCACCATCACTGGCCATCAGAGAAATGCAAATCAAAACCACAATGAGATACCATCTCACACCAGTTAGAATGCCAATCATTAAAAAGTCAGGAAACAACAGGTGCTGGAGAGGATGTGGAGAAATAGGAACACTTTTACACTGTTGGTGGGAATGTAAACTAGTTCAACCATTGCGGAAGTCAGTGTGGCGATTCCTCAGGGATCTAGAACTAGAAATACCACTTGACCCAGCCATCCCATTACTGGGTATATACCCAAAGGACTATAAATCATGCTGCTATAAAGACACATGCACACGTATGTTTATGCGGCATTATTCACAATAGCAAAGACTTGGAACCAACCCAAATGTCCAACAATGATAGACTGGATTAAGAAAATGTGGCATATATACACCATGGAATACTATGCAGCCATAAAAAATGATGAGTTCATGTCCTTTGTAGGGACATGGATGAAACTGGAAATCATCATTCTCAGTAAACTATCACAAGAACAAAAAACCAAACACTGCATATTCTCACTCACAAGTGGGAATTGAACAATGAGAGCACATGGACACAGGAAGAGGAACATCACACTCTGGGGACTGTTGTGGGGTGGGGGGTGGGGGGAGGGATAGCATTGGGAGATATACCTAATGCTAGATGAGGAGTTAGTGGGTGCAGCACACCAGCAGGGCACATGTATACATATGTAACTAACCTGCACATTGTGCACATGTACCCTAAAACTTAAAGTATAATAACAAAAAAAATAAAATGGAATCTGCAGTGTCTTTCCCCTGAAGTACTCTTTCTGTTCTGGTTGCTTTAAAATTTGTGTTCAAGGGCAATTGAGTGTAAATCTAACTCTCCTCACCAAGGATTCTTAGTTTCAAGTAATAGACACTCTCTCAAACTAGTGTAAGCCAAAAGAGTAGCATTTCTTATAAGGACAGATAGGTATCTCATGGAACTGAACAGGCTAAAGTGAGTTCAGACTTAGGACAGACCAGAACCAGGAGCCAGAAAACCATGAAAAATCAAAGCACCTGCTCTATCTGTAGGCCTTCCTGGTCTCCTGATTTGCCTTTTCACTCCATTCTTTTTTTTCATCTTGTCCTGAAGACTGTCTTTCCCTCCTTATTCAGGTCCAAGCCTGAAGTTGATCATTCCACAGTGTCTTCAATTCCCAGACCTACAGCTCTTTAATTCATGTGACCAGCCAAGGTCACAAATTAGCCAACCCTCAGATAGATAGTGGATGCCACAGTTCAGACTCTACTCCAAGCAGTTTACATGTTGTATTAACTTATTTAATCCTCTCATCTAAACTATAATGTTTATCCCCATTTTACAGATAAAATTGAGGCAGAGAAGCTAAGTGACACGTCTAAATTCCCATAGCAAATGAGTAGTAGATTTGGACGTCAAACCCAGGCAGCCTGGCTCGAGAGTCTGTGCTCTTAACCATTGCTGGTCTGCTTGCTCAGTCCTGATGCCACACCCCGGAAGAGAGAATAGAATTGGCTTATATCTGCTTGAATAATACCTCTTGGATTGAATGGCTATCCCACTCCAATCAGCCCTTCCGTGGGTGGTGATGGGACCCCAACAGGGCCACATGGCACCACATGAATTTTAGGACCCATTATGGTGGGGGAGAAATCAGTTTTCAGGGATTGGGGAATGCAGATTGGACGGGTACTAACAATGTCTTCCACATTTCACTATGAAAATGCTTATGCTTTCTGAGCCAAGTCATGAGATAGTGTGGCAATATAGAATTGAAGGTCGTTAAAATTTTTGAAACAAAGAGGATTTTCCTGGACACGATTATTTTCACTAAGGCAATTCTGTATGTGAGTGGTGGTTTCACTTCTCTCTAGAATTCCCTAGAGATGAGGATTTTAAGTTCCCCACATAGCGCTTCTGCCAGGTTCTTGCAGTCTGGGAGTTCTTCTCCCAGTCCAACCTAAATCTCTCTAATGGCAGCTGAAATTGATTTCTTTGTCTTGCTTTCAGGGTAAACTCTACCAAAAAAGAAACATGAGGATATTCTGAAGTAATTCTGTTCTTTGGCCGAGTGTCACACTGACTTAATTAGAAAATTTTATCAAAAGACTAATAACAAAGGCATTATAAAGTTCCTGGAATTATGTGTCTGGAAAGAGATTTATTTATATATATATGTATGTATGTATATGAGTACACGAGTGAGAAAAGTATTCCAAATCTGAGAAAATGTTGGCTTCATAGCAGAAATGATGAGGAAGATAAAACTGTGAACTAAGAAATAGGCATTTTTTGGATACATATTTCTGACCCTCACCCCATAAATGCCCTAATGCATGAGACGTTGGTCTACATGGAAATTTTGATGCATTTAACACTTTCCTAATACAAAATTCCATTGAATGTATATAATATTCTACCATGGCAAAAGACCAAAGTAAAATGAAAAATCAAACAAGATATGCTCGTTCTGTTCTAAATTATCCAAAGACAGTTTCAGCTCACTCTCTCCTTCCCAGAATTGCCTAGTTTTTGCTGCTAATATAATAGTTATCTCAGTTTTGTAAGCCTCAAATCTTTTAAGCAGTTCTCATCTCCCTTCTACTGCAGCCAAATGATTAGCTGATGGGTTAGCCCTGCTTCCGTCTCCGACACACACACACACACACACACACACACACACACACACACACACACAAATACACTTCCTGTGTCTATTCCTTCCCATTTTCCTTGCAATATTGGTTTGGGCCTATTCTACTCCAGGGTTAACCTGTAACAATAAGCAGCCTCTTAGTCATTCTAGGCCTTGTTTTCCCTCCCAGAAGACAGCAGTGGCCATCAGCTTCCAGAGGTAGCATTTCTGTCTTATTGCTTCATCTTCGCCTCTCATTACCTTGTAGAACCAACAGAGGTTGCAACTCAGTGACCTCTCAAAGGTCTCTGCCTTAACTAGAAAACTTCAGTTCATACCATACCTCCACCTGTGATTTCACTCCAACTCTATGCAGCAACCTGCTTTCTGTTTCTGTTACTGTTGAGAATCCCATCTGGTAAGCAATACTTGACAGAGATGTCAAATGCATGAATTATGAATGAAGCCTCTGTTCCACTGGCGTGAGAAACAACTTCAACCAAGGATAATCCCACAAAATGCAAAGTACGGATTCCAGGTCCATTCCACTCCACACCTCATGGAATTAGAACCTATTTCATAGGCACCACACCCTTGATCAAATGCTCTAGAGACCAAGCAAGAAGGCTTTAACAATCAAGATGGCTTCAGAGGGACGCACTGGAAATATTCGATTTATTCATTCAACAGATACTTATTAAGCTCATGGACCAGCCACTGAGTTACTACTTCAGGTTCTTGTGTTCTTTCAGCTCCTTGGAGGTATTTGCTGAAAATCTTGGTGGGAGTTGGGGACTAAGAATTTCAAGGGTAGTGGGTGGGAGGCTATAGCCAACCCCTCGTAGAGCAGCCTCAGTGGCCCGATCATGCTCTCCTGCCCGTAGATGCCCCCACTGTTTTATGACACCAGTGGTTTCCTTTGGATATCTCTTTCGTTAACCCCTTTACCTCTAGCTTCTTTGTTTGCCAATGTCCCTATCTCAACACCTCTTTGTTCTGCTCTTCTGCCTCTCACTAATTCTCAGGGTTCTCCCTGCCCTCAATACCTTCCACTCACAAGAAAAGCTAATTGAGCCAACCAATCCAGACCTCTCCCCTTCCAGGAATTTTTTTTTCACAAAGCACAATGCTTCAAGGGGGCAACATTTAGCTCATATGAATGAATTGCTATTAACTGAATTTCAAGTATTTTTGCCTTGGTTGAGAATGGAAGGGCTGCTCTACAAGGGGATTTTTGGCTGATGGAAGCTCTCCTGAGGTAGTTTAAGGCAACTTAAAGAGACAGCAACCTTTCTGCCTACTTCCAGGGTCAGCTCTGAAGAAAAGTTTCAGTGTACTCTAACAAAGAAGGAACAGAGGCTTAAATAACCTGTGTTGTCTACAAAGTTGACTCCTTGGATTTGTTTTAAACTTTAATCTGTCTCCAGCCTAAAGTTCTCTGCCAATGATAGAGAAGTACTTTTCTTTAAGACTTAGTGGCCTTAGTGTGACCACATTGGCCTTGACTTTCAAGTCACCAGACACAGCGGTCTAGTGTAAGAGGGGTTGGTTGCATAGCTGGTGCCACTCTGTATGTGTGGACGGTGGCTTTGTAAAAGACACACTCTCTAGGAATGTGGGGAAGGGCTACACCAATCATTCAGGCCAGCTGCGTGGGGTGGTGGGTGAAGCATACAGGATGGGGAATCACTAGTCCTGGGTTTCCCTCTCTGCTCTCTTCCTTCTGGGGCTGACCTTTCCAAGGCATTTCCCTTTTCTGTGTCTCAGGTTGCTCATCAGGGGTTGCAGGATCCCAAATTCTTAAGTTTTCCTGCAAGCTCTTAGATCCTGGGATTCCTTGGACTTTCCTCTTAATCCAGTCTTTATGACTCTGGTTTCACCAGAAACTCTTTGTGAGGAACAAGGCCCAGCTGTGGGAAGCATCGGTGAGAAACCTCAAGTCAAACCTAGGGCACAGGGCACATGGATGGACCATGAACAGAATGCCTGAAGGTCATGATTTTCACGTTTTTAGAGGCCTGGCAGGTGACATGTAATGTGTCATGCGGCTAAGTCTAGGACAATAGGAAATGATGAGGCTCGCTGTAAACTGGAGAGGGCACTTCCCACCTAAAGGCCCTCCAATTCTTACCTTTTAAACACAGTGCCTGTCACACAGAATGAACCTGTGGGCTGGATTGCACTCACAGGCAGCAAGTTTGCGACCCAATATGATCTCCAGAATTACAGTAAATACCTTTTTTGAAGCAGCCAACTTGTCTGTCACTGACCTAGAAAATTTTTTTTTAGGAGCTTTAGGTCAGTGAGTTCCATTTCAATCAGATGTTTCCTATGGCATCTAAAAGCAGAGAGACAAAGAGGATAGAATTCACAGGAAGGAGCTTAAAAACTTACAGCCCATCTGAATCACCTCTAGGTGCAGCATTAATTTCAAAGTTTGTTGTGCTGCTAAATTGAAAACCTTGTCTGCAGCCAAAATGATCTCCAACTGCCTTCCAAACAATGTAGTCTCTGGGAGCTGGGGAGAGTCTCATAGGACTGTGGCTTTTCAGATGAGAGAATAGTAGGCAAGAAAGGAGACTTCTTGCTAAGCCCCATTAACGTCTTAATAGAGCTTAAAGCAATAGTCCTCTTTGAAAATACTTTATTCACAATTGACCAATTGTCATTAGATGTAGTTACACTCCATGGCATCTTATTAGAAGGAGCTTTTTTGAACCACCTCCTCATGCATTCATAGTAAATTCCTAACAGATGATGTCATAACAGGCCGTTACGATCCATAACATGTAGATACCATTAAAGCAATGTGTGTGACTTTTTGATACTGAAACATCTGACTTTATTGTGAAGTTTGCTATAAAACCTGCTATGATGTATTTAACAATATTAAAGCGTTTATTCTTTAATATTGGAGTCATACTGCCCCTGTAAAGCCTGTTACTGCTGCCACAAATGAAAATTGCCAAATCTATCAGTTCAACTTTTAAACGCTTCCTTAAGAGATTTTTTCCTTCTTCTTTCGTCTTCTTGCTTTTTTTTTTTCTTTGCTATGAAAAAGCAGATGTTCTAAAGCTATAAGTAACTGAAAACCAGCAATATATGCTCAAAGGCTGAAACCTAATACTTACAATAAGCTGATCCAATGAGAAATGTCTCCATGGTGACCCTGGTCTGGTCATGAAGTAGGAACCCGTGTGGTTGTCAGTCCTCGCTGAGAAGGTCGCCACTCATCAGGACACTGTGCATTAGGGATTCTCAATTAGAAACTTTCCTGACATCAGCAACTCTCCACTTACTTGATAAAAAGGCAAAATAAACATAAAATCTAACTTCACTGCATCACATTCCATTGGCTTCACAATTGTCATATATGGCAGTTATTCTGCAATTTATGTGGATTCTGTGATGTATGTGAATTCTATAATTCTGTAAGGAGATTTGAGTTTTGAGGTGGTGGCCCTACTTTTAATCTCTATTACTATGGCAAACATTAAATATCCTAATAAATCCTCCAGATAGGAATTGCTGTCATGAATATGTATTTCTAAGACCTAATAAGATCTATAGATCTTAATATGCAGACCAATGCCAAAAATGAGAGGAAAGCTGATCTTCCCTAGAAGAAGCCATAAAATTCAAACAATGGAAGGGATTTGACTAAGTATGGCACCAAATTGCTAACCTTGGACTTCTAGGGAATGTGTGTATGTTGGGAAGAAATTCAAACTTCTCATAAGACCTTTGAGTCCAAACATGTCTGCATATTCTATCAGTTACACATGAATTTACTACAACCAGATCCTCTTTTAAACTACATACATTCCTTAGAAGGGTTAAGCCTATGGATTATTCATTTTTTGCCTACTTTTCTTTGCTTTACTAATTTTTAGAAGAGTCTCTTCAATTCAACTACCAAATAATTTAATGAGCACCTATTAGGTGTAAAATAGAGGACTATGTTCACTTGGAAGTTATAAAAACAGATGCTGTCCTCTTCCCCTTGACAGCTCCTCAGAGGAGAGGTTGAAGGGTCTCAGTAAGAGGTTTCAAGTACTTCTGGTAACAGGCTCCATCCTGCTCCTCCTCGCCCTCCAGAACCCTCTGGATCTTCCCTGCTGTTCCTGTGGCCTGTATCCATGGAGACATTTTATGCTCATATTCTTTCCCAAGTCTTCTTTTCCATCTGGACTCTCTCAATCTCATGGCTCTAAATGCCACAGCCATGGTCCAGCACTTCTTACTCTCCCTATTCTAGAACCTCACCTGGACCAGTGCTCTGGGCTTCCATTTGCCAAGAGGAACATTCAGATGGCAAAGAATCTATTTCTCTGGCTCCAGAACTGCACAACCCATAGGTTGTCATTAGAAGCACCTACTCATTTCCCACAATAGTAAATCCATGGGGTACTGTGGTTTTCTTCCCCCTCCTCATTCATTGATCACCCCAGCACTTGCCTCCTGAAAAGTGGTGAGTTAACTGACCAGGAGTTTGAAAGAAGAAATGGTCATGCTTGGCTCAGGCCCCTCTTCTTCCTTTTCTCTTCACACACCTGCCCACAGATATAGGTGTCTGTTTGTGGGCCATGGAGAAAAGGCCTCACCCTGGGAGTGAGGCCGCTGATTTCATGGGGGACATCAGATTCACAGCAGCAGAGTGTTAGCAAGCCCATCTGGTCCCCACATCTAAGCCATGTTCTTTAATTCAGTTCTAATAAGTAAAAAGCTGTTAGTCAGATCTTTACTTGTCCAAATTCTGTGCCTACTACCTCTTATCTCATTCTGAATTCTGGCAAGGAAGAAGACTGTTATTCTTTGGGTCCCCTAAATCACAAGCACTTTGACACTTTCTATGCTCTAGGTGGTACCTACTCCACCCCTCCCCACCATGCTCCAGGTCTGCCTCCTGTAGCATTTACTTGGAGGCACTTTCCCTAAAAACAGGTGAAGAGTTATTCCACAGGCCTGGAATAACTCTGGGCGGTGCCCTGCCATCCAACCCAGTTTTCTACAAGAGAAATGTTTCTTTTTGGACACAAGTAGGCAAAGAGTGATCTCATTAAATCCATACCAATTTAATGTTAGAAAAGTAACACTATATTTCCTCTTTCAGAAGTATTTGCGTTGATTTTCATAGAGGATGGATGACATAAGGAGTTAAATAGCCCAAAGCGATGAGTAGTAATGGGGAAATTTCAGGCATACCTGAGGCAGATATTTGGGGACAAATCCAATCACTCTTCACTGGAGATGGAGGGCCCAGGCAGGAAACATAAATGGTTGAAGCTTCTGAGCCTAAGAAAACCACTACCTCAAGTATGATCACTGGCAACTGGTATTTGGTGTCAGCATTAAGAAGTAATAGAGAGTGGAAGGGACTCAGCCAAACTTAACATTTGTGGACAGCAAATAGCTTAGGTCAGTTTGCAACAAGAGGAGGAAGCAATTAAAAAGACACAGCCCCTACCTAGTGCCAGTGAATAGATCTTTTGTATTTTCAAGGGAAGTACCAGAAATGTGGATTTTTATGCAAAAATGCATTCCCCCTTCCATGTTAGCCACTAACTCATTAAAAAAACAAGAACAGGCCAGGCGCAGTGGCGCATGCCTGTAATCCCAACATTTTGGGAGGCCGAGGCGGGTGGATCACCTGAGGTCAGGAGTTCAAGACCAGCCTGGCCAACATGGTGAAAACCTGTCTCTACTAAAAATGCAAAAATTATCCAGGTGTGTTGGTGCGCTCCTGTAGACCCAGCTACTCAGGAGGCTGAGGCAGAAAAATCGCTTGAACCCGGGAGGCAGAGGTTGCAGTGAGCCGATATCGCATCACTGCACTCCAGCCTGGATGACAGAGCAAGACTCCATCTCAAACAGAAAAAAAAAGAAAAAGAAAACAAGATCAAACAACAACAACAACAACAACAAAACCTTGTGTGGGTGATTGTTTGCAAGACGTCCGAGATTGTCCTCAGGCCCATGCGGTGGCATATGGTTTGCCTGCTGTAGCCATCACCGAGTCTTTCCTCTTCCCCTCCTTCCCTTCCACATATTAGTTGAAATCACCATGAAAACCTTCAAGGAGATAAGCATAGACTCATTTTCAATAAAATGAATTCTGGCTAGCCTGAGAAAGGGTTGCTTCTCAGCCATGAACAGCTGTTACTATCACCTTTAATGTGCAATATAACTTAGTGACTTCTGATATCACTACTTTAAAAAGCTGAACTATACCAGAGGAAAAAAATGATAAAATTATTATCAAATTCAGACTTTTTCAAAACACACAATTTTCCGCCATAGACTATAACATCTTTAGAGTTTAAAACACCTGAAAAAAATCGGCGAGGGTGAATCCATCTTTCAAGTTACAGCCTTCATCAGCATTCGGGGTGTCTCTGTTCTGCCTGCTCAGATTTTCACGTTGAAACTTAGCAACTTTATCCTTCTTACAGCAACTCACTCCTCCAAGCTAGAATGGGTTCAATAACTTGGTCCAACTGAGTCTTTTGATTGTTGATCCTACACTGATCTTACGTCTCAAACAAACTGTAAAAGGAAAGGTGAATTTCCCACTCCATTGGGTACCTGATGACAAGGTGCTTGGCCCTACAGGTTTTATTTACAGATCCACAGGGAAATGCAGTCTATCTGAAAAGTGCTAAAAAAAAAAAAAAAAAAAAAAAAAAAAAAAAAAAACAGTCCACGTGTGTAACTGCCACATGTGTGTAACTGGAAGCTGATGATGCTCTTTTGGGACATCAGCAGGGCCCTGGGGCTGTCTGCATGAGAAACTAGCCTGCCCCACGGTGCAGGAGAGCTCTCCGCTGCAGAATGGATGATGGAGGTTGACAAAAACAGAATTGGAGGCCAGTGATGACTCCTTGCCACTTCCTCCTCAAAATCCCCACCAGAGAGAACTTTGTAGGGACTGGATCATTAAATACATTAAATTTATGGAGACAAAACAAGTGGTTTGGGAGTAAAAATCAAATTACTGCAGATCAGGGCTAGGGAAGGTGGTCACACAGCATTTATTGACAGACTTGAGCTGGTTCCTTTCCCCCACCCTCTCCAGAAGGGGTGAGTTTTTGGCTCAGTGCAACCACCTGCTGCTGTTTGGGTGTGTGTTTCTCTGCCCTCAGAACCACTGGCTAGTTAACACAACTCAGCCTTGAGAAGTGCTGCCCTGCTTTAAAATGCTCAGTTCCTCAGATGCATTTGTGTGTGTCACAAATTGGTTTCCAGATACAGAAGCCTCCAAACTCGGTAAGCTAGTGTGGATTCCTTCTGGTCCTATTCTTCTCAGCTTTCCTTACAGGCATGAAGGAAGTTTGGCTTACAGTTCAGTTGCATAGGGACAGATAAACCTCCGGCTATCCAAAAACCCGGGAGGACATATGGTGGGAAAAGGGAGGGAGTTAAGTAATTTTCAATTTAGTTTAACAAAGAATTATTCAGAGATCCCCATCTTGAGGGAGTTGATAGCTCAAAAAGACAATGGATCATCATATACTGAATTTGGTGGTTAATTAGAGTGAACAAACAGCCAGCCTAGTTTGCCTGGAACTGTCCTGGTTTACACCTTTTGCCCCAGTATACTTATTACTGAAAAAAAAAAAAAAGTCCCTGTTTGAACACTTAAAGATGTATTCACCAGATGTGAGGAGAAAAGAAGAGAGAAGACTTCTCAATTTTTTTCTTGGCTATGATTGTCTTCCCTAGCAAGGCACAATAGCAGTATTGTTGATAGCTCCAAGAAGGTTCTTCAATGCTCTTTAGACATGGTTTCGGTATTCCTGCCATTCCTGGCCCCTAACAGCGCAGAATAGTATTGCTCCACAGGTGTAAATGTCCTCTCTGTTTTTCCTGCAGACATCCAATTAGTGTCAAATTTAATAAATAAAAACACAGGATGCTCAGTTAAATTTAGATTTCAGATAGACAACAAATAATATTTTTAGTATAAGAGGTTCAATTCACAGACCAGACTCAACCAGTGTTTTAGCGGCTGTGATCTGTGGGTACCTCGTCCTGCTCATGAGTTGCCCTCTGGCAGGCACTGCTTCCCCAAACCAGCTGATGGGACCTGGATGTCAGAGGGGCCCTAGGGGAGCCCCGACCATCTCTACCCTCTTTCTCCCAGAGTCAAAACATTTTCTTTTCCTCAGTGGAAGATGAAAGGTTGCACAGAGAGGCCTACTCCTAGATGATGGTGACATGAGACAATGATCTTCTGGGAAGAAGAAATACACCACTTTGGAGAAGTGAGCAACTTCTCGGAGGGTTCAGTTCTTTGCCTGGAACCCTTTGCCCTTGTAATTCTTCCATCCAGCACTAAAGAAGGGGAATGAAGGAACCCTGAGAGGATGGGCTGGAGCCACAGTCATTCTTCCCAGTGGGGTTTGGAGAGCAGCGTAAGCAGCTTCCAATCTGCATCCTCCCATGCCCCCAGACACTGTGGTCTGAGTGGTCTGTATGTTAAAGCCCACTAATGTCAGCCTTAAATCGTGCCAGCTTCCACCTGTGGGAAGATTCCAGGGGACAGGTGAACGCATACGGAAACACACACATACACACACACGTACACACTTGTTTGTAAGACACATTTCATACCTTAGGTAAAATGTAGGTGGCGGACACACATGAAGGAAAGAAAGAAAAAGGAAAGAAGGAAGGAAGGAAGGGAGGGAGGAAAGGAGGGAGGGAGGGAGGGAAGAAAGGCAGGCAGGTGGGCAGCATGGTGGATGAGACCCAATGTAGCTTCAATTCAGCGATTTTTTAACTCGAGCCTCCTCTGATTTATTAATGTTTTTGATCTACTTAACTGTCTTTCTCTGAAACCGAATTCTGACAGGAAAAAATATTTTAATGAGATGAATATTCAGAGTTTAGAAAGGTGAGTTTAGAACTGAGAAGGCCGGGATTGTTACTTGTCCTGGACTTCTGACCGCAGAGGGATTTTCAGTTCTTTGTCTTCTCAAGCACAGGAGGAAGGGTCCAGAGAAGGGCCTGGACAGCAGGTGTGCTCAGGCTAGAGGCCAGGTCACTGTTTGCAAACTGCAGGAAGCCACCTATTTGGGGATTTCTCATCTAGTTACACTGCAGGGAGATAGGACAAAGCGTGACTTTCTGGGACTCAGAAATGGATGTACCAACCAGGCAAATTAAAGCTGGTGGTGGGGTTGGTGGGGGATGCATGTACTTCCGGAAGCAGTCGGGTGACACCCAGAGGGGCTGTGTTGAAATTGACCCACATCCACCCAACCGCAGAAAGGACCGCCTCTCACCCTTTCCCAAGGGAAAGCACTCAGGGAAGGGACAGAGAGTGTGGAAAGAGTGAGAGCTAGGGAAGCACTAGGTGAGTTGCCTTCAGGCCTGGCTGTAAACTGAGAGTGAATCTGAGACCCCGCACACTTGGACACACACCTCATGTTCCAAAGTACAAAGGGATGTCCTAGAATTGGGGGTTTGGCCCCCATGTCATACATTTTTAATCTTTTTACCAAAGTGATTTGTTAAATATTTTGCATGGTGAAGCTAGGTTATTACTGCTTTGTAAGACTTTTCAGCCAAGAAAGCCCACAAATCAGAGAAAATCCTGCCAAACCCAGTGCTGAAATTTCTGCTTCACGAAGTTCAGTTACCAGATCTGGAAACTGGAAATAGGACCTGCCCCAGGCAAAATTCTGAAGTAAACATAGTTTGCTTTTTAAGTCATGCGCCCGGCCTTTCTTTTCCTTGCTTTCCTGATCATTCTGACCCCTGAGAATCCCAGCCTCATGGCAGGCTCTCTGACACAGGTGTTTGAGGTCATCCAGGGTTTCCTCTTGGTTTTAAAATTGGGGTGTTGGATGTAAGCCCTATTTCTAACAATAGAAGGATGTTTTGCTCTATGGAGAAAGTGGTGGAAGAAACTGGGGGCCAAAAGGTCCACAGCCCCACGAGAAATCATGACCCAGAATGAGCACCCGTTCCAGCAACAGCTGGGAAGGTCCTGAGAACCCTGGCTGGAGGAAGACTTGTTTGAAGCTGGAACCTTCAGCTAGAAATAGAGCACACCCCTTGCTTGATTCTTGAGTTTAGTCTCAGAGTGGTCTAGGAAACCTTCTTTTCTTTTTTTTTTTTTTTTTGCCAGACTTTCAGTGTCTGCCTCTGTGACTTGGAGCTGGTCGTCATTAAGAGAGGAAGAGAGTTATCAGTGAGAGGTGTTCATTCTATTCTTTGCATCCACTCCAGAGCAGCACCATGTGATAAGCCAGATGGGGACTATGTGCATGTGCCCACAATAATGGGTGAGTTTCTCTAGAGCACCTGTGTCTCCTGCTTACAACTCCAGTCTAAGGTGGCTTAAGGGAAAGTGACCCAGGGATGGGACTGTTCCCATAATGGTTGCATCCCATCAGAAGGACTGGAGGTGCACACACATCTGGCCCACCTCCTACTCTTGAGCTCCCTCCATTGGACCCTGTGCTGGCCAGGGACTTTGGCCAGAGTTCATGGCTGTAGAAAGCCAGGTCACAAACCCTTGAGCCTATGGGCCCACTCTGCACCACCAGACACTTTAATATTTCCAGCCATTTTCAGGGTCTAGCCCCTCCCAATCCATGACTCCAAGATGGCTCTCAAATAGTACATGCTGCTAGCCTAGAATTGTTCTCCTTTTGGCACTGCTATGGGGAGAGGTGTTGAAAGGAGGCTGGAGCAGATGGAAATGAGATTCCATTACTTTGTAAATGCCTAAATGGCATTTCTTTCTAATGCAACATGAGAGTTTTAGCATGCTTAAAAATTGTCCTATGCTAATTATGAGGCCCATTTTTGTTAAAGATGCATACACCTCTCTTGTAGTTGGGGACATTTTGGCTTTGAGGTTGGTTTCCATGTGTGAATTCCATCCTGGGCACTGTTTAGGTCTGTTAGTAACCGGCTTAGCACTTGCCAATTTCCCTCCCTGGGTAATGACAGAGATGCTAACACAATAGCAAAGCTGTTAATCCCAAACATGTTACTAATAAGGCAGGCTGCCTTGCTAGAGGTTGCAGAGAAGAGGAGACGGATGTGGAAATGCTAATATGTGAACGAGAGAGCTCTCTCATACCCACGGATTTGCGGATAATGAGGAATGTCCTGCTTTTTTCAAAATGTCACCGCACTTAATCAACTCAGAGCTCCCTCACTAATCACATGCCAGCGACTGATGTTTGGTATTTGGGAGGCAGTGAAGGTGAACGGCAAATGTGGATGATTTCGCTCCATGGGTGGCACTGGAAAGATTCTTGCTGGATTCAACTTTCTTCGTCATTTTTGACATGCTTCCCTATGTGCTTTATTGACTCTTTGGACACATAATAGACCCCATAGCTATTTATTTATGGAAAGAAAATCAATAAATGTGGGAATGAAACCAAACCCAGCTCAATCTGGGTTATCATTTCAGAAAAGAGCAAAAGCAGGGAGACTAGATACTGTAAGATTTGGGCCAAATGTAGTTTGGAAGCATGGCCTGGCCAAGTTCAAGAACTCTGAGGAGGTGGAGGAAAAGACAGAAATCATGGAAACTGATTCTTCCTTTCCCTAAGGAACAGGTGCAGACAGCTGTGGAGGAACCACACAAACAAATTCCAGCTTTGATTTGGAAATAGAAGCTGCACTGCAGACAATTGATTAAATCTTTAAGCAGTCTCAATTCCACCTGGCAATCTTGTTAGTAGTCCCGGACATGCTTGAAATTTGGTCGTGCTCACCTGATAGGTTTGGTGATGACAGAGGGGTAGCCACTGACCAAACTGATACATCTTGCTTGACATGTAGGGTAGTTCTGAAAAGCCATAAATAATTCTTCAACTTAGCCATAAACCAGAATGACTTCAGGAGCTTTAAAATAATATTGCGGCATTGTGGCCTAACCTTCACCTCCGGAGATTTGGTTTCAATTAGTTTAGTGCGGGCTCCTGAGAACTCCATTTCCTAATGCTTTTTAGATGATTCTGGAGCTCATCTAGGTTTAAGAAGAATTTCTGTGTTTTCCAGACTTTGGTATTTCACAGACGAGTTAAATTTCTAAATAGGAGCTTGACTTAGGGCTGTCAACATTTTACTTTGCCAAGTAAGGGGGAAGGAACTAGCACCTGCTGTCTTGGTCGGCTTGGGCTGCTCCAACCAGAATAGTAGGTAAACTGGGTAACTTATAAACAACACAAATGTTTTTCTCAAAGTCTCAGAGTCTGAGAAGTCCAAGATCAAGGTGCTGGTAGATTTGGGGTCTGATAAGGGCCCATTCCTCATAGTTGATACCTTCTAGCTGTGTCCTCACACAGCTGAAGGACAAACAAGCTCCCCTGAGCCTCTTTATAGGAGAACTAATCTCATTCTTGAGGGCTTTGCCCTCAATAGGTGACCTAATCACCTCCTAAGGGCCCTACCTCTTAATCCTATCTCATTGGGGATTATATTTCAACATATCAATTTTGGGGAGACGCAAGCGTTCAGACATAGCACCTTTTGTCAACATTATTTCATAAACAAAAAGGTGGATTCATACCAAGGAAAAAACTGGAAGTACAGATCTTTAAACACATTTAGCTTTATAAAAAAAAATTCACCATGCTGGGCGGGTGCAGTGGCTTACGCCTGTAATCCCAGTACTTTGGGAGGCCAAGGAGGCGGATCACTTGAGGTCAGGAGTTCGAGACCAGCCTGGCCAACATGGTGAAATCCTGTCTCTACTAAAAATACAAAAATTAGCCAGGCATGGTGGTGCACACCTGTAAGCCCAGCTACTCAGGTGGCTGAGGCAGGAGAATCACTTGAATCCAGGAGGCGGAGGTTGCATTGCAGTGAACCGAGACCATGCCACTGCACTCTAGCCTGGACGACAGAGTGAGACTCTGTCTCAAAAAAAAAAAAAAAAAAAAAAAAAATTACCATGTTGCCACAACCTTATCCATAGCAGCTTATTCACAACACCTCAAAGGTGGAAACAGCCCATTAAGATGAACGGATAGGCCAAATGTGGTATATACATAAAATGCACTACTATTCATTCTTAAAAAGGAAGGAAATTCTGTGACATGCTATATAACATGGATGAAACTTCAGGACATTTTTATGCTAAGTGAAATAAGTCAGTCATGAAAGTCCAAATATTAAATGATTCCACTTACGTGAGTGTCCTGGAGTAGTTAAACTCATAGAGAAAATAGAATAGTGGTTGCCAGGGATGGAGGGGATGAGGAATGAGGAGGGAGCATTTAATGGGCACAGTTTCCGTATGGGATGATGAAAGAGTTCTGGAGAAGGATGGTAGTGATGGTCACGCAACAGTGTCAATACACTTAGTGCCACTGAACTGTATACTTAACGATACATTTCATGTTATGTATATTTTGCCCCAATAAAACAATTACAACTTTGCTTTTATTCTCTAATTTTGTTGTGCAGATTGACATTTGAAAGCCACTGCTCAGAATGAAGTAATCTCCGATGTCTTAGATAGAGGAAGGAAGGCCTGTGGATGCAGCCTAGGTGACTGAGTCCAGTTACCCAGGATCCGTTCATCAGAAAGCCTCTAAACTGCTCCAGAGAGGCTGCAACAACCTAACTCATGCTAGATGATGAAAATGCACTTCGAGATTACTAAACAAACCAACAAACAAACAGCCATGCCCTTGGAGAAACGAAACAATCTCTCAAACATAGACATACCTCAGGCCAGGGGTCAACTTGTACATTAAAGTGTTTGATACTTTTTATGAGCAAAGATGTTTAGTGGATGTTGCTCCCAAGAAAGTTTTCAAGAAGACCCTAAAGATTATCTAAGTGGGCAGAAATTATAGGTGACACCTGTTTTTTTCTTGACAAAGCAATAGAGTAAAGTAGGAAAGAACTGGTGGTTCTTTTCTACAGAGAGATTAAAGTTAAAGCACAGAGGTTAAAGTTAAAGCAATTTGGCACCCACAGGAAGACACTTACAGACAAGATGTTCTCTGGCACAGACTTCATTGTTGGTGAAATTATAAGATTACACAAAGAGCAATACTATTCTTTCCTATAGTGGTTGCTTCTTATTAATATATATGTATATAACACATAGTACCTGAAGTTTTGTGATGACTGGTTAGTAAGTTTTCAAAATTCAGATTAATCTATTCTTAACAATATGGACACTGATAGCCTATTAGCAAGCCATTTATTTGGAATTTATAATCATGGAATTTTCGTACTACATTAAGAATCTCCATGGGTGATAATAGAGCACTAAAATAGCTAGCATTGCACTGATGTTTCTCACTCTCTACATTTGTTTAATTCCTCTGCCAGAGACACTTACTTAACTTGTCTTGGTGGATTTTTGTAATGTGTCTTTCAAATGGAAAAACCGTATTCAAGCATTCCAGTTTTATCAAGTAGCAAAAACACCCAGGCTGTTGGCCAGAATTTGCATGTTTGTTACTGCAGTACATACCCAGATATCTCAGGCAGAGGAATAATAACAATTTTCCACAATGTCATTGGATCCATAATTCTGGCAGTAGGTTAATTCACTTAGCCACTTCCATTAAAGCAATAATTATTGGCATATAATCTTAGAAATCACCATGCATTGCGGTGTTCAATTCCAGTTGAAATAGAATTTTTAGTTCAATAAATGTTTGCTAAGTACCTACTATGTGTACTGCTGTATTATTTCTTACCTTTGTCCAGCACTTCAGAATTGTAAAAGTTATGTTGATTTTATCATTTCATTCTGACAGAACCTTGTGATGAGGACAAGCAGGTTAACATACAAGGAAACTGATGCATGCAGAGATTAAATACCTTGCTAAATACCTTGCTCAAGATCTCGAAGACAGTAAGTGATGTAGTTACAAATACAATCCAGGTTTTCTCAAGCCCATTCCAGTCTTCTCTGCTCTGCCCTGCTATACCCCACCTCATTGTCACCACTCGCTGTTGATGTCTATCTTAAATTGCCCTTTACCAATTCTCTGAATAATTTTCTGTGCCAATATTTTTTTCTTTTGTTTTTTTGAAATGTTTTACAATCTCACTAAGCAACGTGTTATGTGATTCAGAAGGTCTTATCTTCATAAGCTCATCTAATGTGGCTACCAGTATTTGCCAATCAGTTCCTTTGCTTTCCATATTGCTAATGATAGCTTTGCATACCTCTTTCTTCCAGCAGCAGGAACAAAAGAGAAACCTGGCCATTGCACCAGGATAAGCAGTGTGATACACAGAGAAGTCTGAGAGTGAAGAGACCTGAATTCTTGTGTTGATTCTGCCATTACTTTGACATGAAATGTTGGACAAGGCAATATGCCACCACAGGCCTTACTTTTCTACTCTACAGGGATTGCAATGCTTTTTTGGACCTCAGAGGGTTGAGGTTAGCACAAAATATGTGAAGGATTTGAAAAGAATTAAACTCTATATTAATGTAAATATTACCAAGTCTTTTTAGAATCCCTGCTAGCATAAAGTGTGTGTGTGTGTGGTGTGTGTTTGTGGTGGAAGCTGGGGGAGAGTAAAGAAACTTCTCAATGGCTATCCTGGATCAAACATATTTGAATTATATTTCTGTGTGTCTGTAAGCACACACGTTATAATTCTGTGCCTGTGGGATGGAGAGTGTAGATGGGAATGCAGAAGGATATAAGATACTACCTTACATTTCAGGGACTTGATGCCTTTGTAATGTATACATAGACTCAATTTTCTAAGCACTACTATCTACCCAGTTATGCATATTCTGGGCACAAAACCAGATAGGATTTCTCCATTTCTGGTATCTGCAGAAAAACAGAAATATCTAGATTGATAGTTGCTATGGTTTGAACGTCCTCTCATAAATTCACGTTGAAATCTAATTGCCGTTGTGATGGTATTAAGAGATGGGACCATTAAGAGACAGTTAGACCATGAGGTCCCATCCTCACAAATGTATTAATGACATTATTGTGAAAGTGGGTTGGTTATTGTGGGGGTGGTTTCCCAGGTGAGTTTGGCCAACTCCCTCTGTCTGGTATGCTTGCTTGCCCTTCCACCTTCTTCCATAGGATGGCTCAGCATGAAGGTACTCCCCAGATGCCAGTGCCATGCTCTTGGATTTCTCAGTCTCCAGAACCATGAACCAAATAAACTTCTGTTCATTATAAATTACTCAGACTCAGGCAATCTGTTATAGAAGCAGAAAATAGACTAAGGCAATAATTTAATATAGAACTCAGTGAAGATAAAAATAAAATCATCTACCAGTACACACTTATCAGAATGGCCAAAACCTAGAACATTGACAACACCAAATGCTGGCCAGAATGTGGAGCAACAGGAGTTCTCATTCATTGCTGGTAGAAATGAAAAATGGTACAGCCACTTTGGGAGAAAGTTCAGTAGTTTCTTTCACAAAACGAAATACATCTTTACCATATGATCCAATAATCAAATTCCTTGGTATTTACCCAAAGAAGTAGAAAACGTTCACACAAAAACCTGCACACAGATGATTATAGCAGTTTTGTGTATAATTTCAAAAACTTGAGAACAACCAAGATGTCCTTCAGTAAGTGAATGGGATAAACTAGTACATCCAGACAATGGATTTACTAATGAAAACTTTACATTTCAAGTCATGAAAAAACATGGAGGAGCCTTGAATGCATATTACAAAGTGAAAGAAGCCAATCTGAAAAGGCCACATACTGTACGATTCCAACTATATAACATTTTGGAAAAGGTGAAATTATAGAGACAGTAAAAAGATCAACGACTACCAGGGGTTAGGGATGGGGAAGAGAAAAATAGGTGGACCTCAGAGAATTTTTTAGGGAGTAAAAATACTCTGTATGATAGTATACTGATGGCCATTATACATTTTTTCCAAACCCAAAGACTATACAACACCAGAGTGAACCCTAAAGTAAACTATAGACTTTGGGTGATTGTGATGTGTCAGTGTAAGTTTATCAATTCTAACAAATGCACCACTTTGGTGGGGATGTGGATAATGGGAAATGTTATGCACGGGAGGGCAGGGGGTATATAGGAAATCTCTGTAACTTCATCTTGATTTTGCTGTAAACCTAAAAGTGCTCTAGTGCTCTAAAAAATCATGTCTTAAAAATAAAATAAAGTTATCTGAGAATAATTAAATAATATCCAATGATGATAATATTATATTGATGATATATATTTACAATGATGTTAATATTTACATTGAATGTACTAAAAAGAATCCTGAATCTAGTCTCTACTTCCTATTCATTAAGGAACTAGTGGTAACTTTTAAAGAATATGATTAATGGAATTATCTTCTAGCCCCCTCTCCATGTCCAGATCTTACAGTTTCAAGCCTTCTGCATTGAGATGGCTGATTTTAACTACAAGTCTCTTATTAATCACAGAAAAAATAATGGTCTATCTACACTTGCCACTTTCGAGGAACAAAAACTTTACCAATTTACACCTATGAAAAATTCCCTTTCCCTCCAATGCATTCTGCAAATGATTAGTGACAGCTTGACTATGTGTTAATAAAAATGGCAGCAAAATACTTTATTTCTCAAACCCTTTTTAAATCTGTCTTCTTTCTACCTCATTCAGTGTCCTCTTTGCTATGTGATACTGAGAGGAGCATTTTAAGTCTTTTTTCATGCAATGAATTTTTTGCTGCTTGAAGTACCAGCTGAAAAAGGTCACCCATTGCATTGCACCATATCACCTCCTATGTAACACCATTAAGCTCACGCCTGGCACTCATTGCTCAAAAGTAGTGTAGGGACATACCAAATTAATTACCTAATATTCAATATTGCAAAGGTTCTGTTATTCCTCTCGGAATAAATCTGCATCACAAGAAGAAAGCCTTTTGAGGGTTGTGTTTCCTTGAGTTAAGAATCATGTAAAATACTGGCCAAGATGTTTCCTCTCTAATCATCTTTTTTATTCATAGCTTAGTTTGGAAAATGTAATTCCTTTGCCCCAGGGCTCCAGAATGATAAGATTTGTTTCTTATATCTGGATTATGAACAGGTTAATCATCTGCAACTGATTGCACTTGTCTTCGTGAATGTTCATAGGTAATTGGAGCACTGCTTTTTCTTTGCTCATTGGATCATGACACAAGAGTTGTTCAATAACTCATCCTTTCTGGTCACTTCGAAACAAAAAATTCTCTCAGGAAGAGAAATTTCTAAACAATATTTCCCTCAGAAAAAAAAATCAAGACTCTCTTATTTGACCTCTGGGTATGATACCAAGATTGTGTAACTCGAGGAAAGGCAGCAATGAGCAGGTCTGTTTGTCTTCAATCTGTCTCTTCAAAAACAGAATGGTCTACAATGTGGTGAGTAATGCCCAAACTCCACTGGCTGTATTCTTCCTTAAATGGGCTTATAGTTACTCTCTTAGGGAGTAAGGGTCAGAATATTAAAAATCTGGCAGTTTTCTATGATATCCTTCCTTGGGACCCTTGCATCCTTGGAGATGGTACCCCAGGCTCAGGAAAACAGAAAACAACCTAGAATGGGCAAGGATAGGATTGTGACTAATTAAATACTGATCTAGTTCTTGAATGAGCTCTGTAGTCATGCAGAAAGTTGATTACCCTTTGTCATTATGGCCTGGGGCTGGGGATCTCGGGATTATAAAAACATGAAAAAGAACTATGCCAGAGGGACTTTAACGTGGACTCAGTGTCTAATATAGATCAGGTCATTTCTTGGAGTTTGAGAATTTCCCCCTGTAGCAGATCTATGACGTGATAGATTCAAATGATTTTAAGAATCCTGCATCAGGCTGTGTTTATGAGGCACAAAACATGAATTAAACTTTTTGCAAGGAAGTTTCATAGAAAGTAAGTTATTCTTACAAGGGACGTGAAAGACCTCTTCAAGGAGAACTACAAACCACTGCTCAATGAAATAAAAGAGGATACAAACAAATGGAAGAACATTCCATGCTCATGGGTAGGAAGAATCAGTATCGTCAAAATGGCCATACTGCCCAAGGTAATTTATAGATTCAATGCCATCCCCATCAAGCTACCAATGACTTTCTTCACAGAATTGGAAAAAACTACTTTAAAGTTCATATGGAACCAAAAAAGAGCCCGCATCGCCAAGTCAATCCTAAGCCAAAAGAACAAAGCTGGAGGCATCACACTACCTGACTTCAAACTGTACTACAAGGCTACAGTAACCAAAACAGCATGGTACTGGTACCAAAACAGAGATATAGATCAATGGAACAGAACGGAGCCCTCAGAAATCACGCCGCATATCTACAACTATCTGATCTTTGACAAACCTGAGAAAAACAAGCAATGGGGAAAGGATTCCCTATTTAATAAATGGTGCTGGGAAAACTGGCTAGCCATATGTAAAAAGCTGAAACTGGATCCCTTCCTTACACATTATACAAAAATCAATTCAAGATGGATTAAAGACTTAAATGTTAGACCTGAAACCATAAAAACCCTAGAAGAAAACCTAGGCATTACCATTCAGGACATAGGCATGGGCAAGGACTTCATGTCTAAAACACCAAAAGCAATGGCAACAAAAGCCAAAATTGACAAATGGGATCAAATTAAACTAAAGAGCTTCTGCACAGCAAAAGAAACTACCATCAGAGTGAACAGACAACCCACAAAATGGGAGAAAATTTTCGCAACCTACTCATCTTACAAAGGGCTAATATCCAGAATCTACAATGAACTCAAACAAATTTACAAGAAAAAAACAAACAACCCCATCAAAAAGTGGGCGAAGGACATGAACAGACACTTCTCAAAAGAAGACATTTATGCAGCCAAAAAACACATGAAAAAATGCTCACCATCACTGGCCATCAGAGAAATGCAAATCAAAACCACAATGAGATACCATCTCACACCAGTTAGAATGCCAATCATTAAAAAGTCAGGAAACAACAGGTGCTGGAGAGGATGTGGAGAAATAGGAACACTTTTACACTGTTGGTGGGAATGTAAACTAGTTCAACCCTTGTGGAAGTCAGTGTGGCGATTCCTCAGGGATCTAGAACTAGAAATACCATTTGACCCAGCCATCCCATTACTGGGTATATACCCAAAGGACTATAAATCATGCTGCTATAAAGACACATGCACATGTATGTTTATGCGGCATTATTCACAATAGCAAAGACTTGGAACCAACCCAAATGTCCAACAATGATAGACTGGATTAAGAAAATGTGGCACATATACACCATGGAATACTATGCAGCCATAAAAAATGATGAGTTCATGTCCTTTGTAGGGACATGGATGAAATTGGAAATCATCATTCTCAGTAAACTATCACAAGAACAAAAAACCAAACACCGCATATTCTCACTCATAGGTGGGAATTGAACAATGAGAACACATGGACACAGGAAGGGGAACATCACACTCTGGGGACTGTTGTGGGGTGGGGGGAGGCGGGGGATAGCATTGGGGGATATACCTAATGCTAGATGACGAGTTAGTGGGTGCAGCGCACCAGCATGGCACATGTATACATATGTAACTAACCTGCACATTGTGCACATGTACCCTAAAACTTAAAGTATAATAATAATAAAAAGAAACTAAGTTATTCTGGAGGAGAAAGAGGTTGGTGCTCCAGATATACTACAGAGTAACCATATGTACTGTTTTTCCATGGATGCTTGAGATTTGCACCTGTTGCCCTGACTCAATAGTGCTTCCCCTTTCATATTAAAATATTTCCTAGTTTGGCAGAAGAATTCTATGGTCACCCTAGCTATATGATATTTGACTATTACTTTCCAACAGCAATGGGTTTGTTGACCTTGCACAGGATTGGTCAGGCAAAGCATGTGTTCATGTAAGAAGAGCCATAGTGAAGCCCTCTGCTAGACGACACTGGATACAAAATATAAAAAGAGTCAATACTTGCCCAGCTAATTGGTCCCCAATAAATGAAACCCTAAAGGAATAGGTTCCAAATGTTTCTGAGACAAATTTTCTCAACTCAGATTTCTCTTCATTTTACAACAGGAACATGGGGCCAGATAATTCTAATCAAAGGAAGAGCTGAAGTATCATTCTTTACCTATTATATGTAGATAAAGAACAACATGCAACTCTGAAGTAAATGGGAAAAACTGGAAACACTGCAGATTTGTGGAACAATGAATTCTATGGCTTCAATATCCAAATCCGTAATTGTTGTGCCCGTGCAATTTCCAGTCAAAGTAATTTAAGAAATGCCACTTGGTGCCATGTGCAACCCCCTATGTCTCCCATCTAGAACTCCCACCAATGCATAGATACTTAAATGTTATATAACAGAAATTTCCTCTTCACCCAATTCTGTTCATATCTGAAGATGACTGATATCGCTGAGAGATTTTCTTATTTCACAATGTACTTTGAGTAAATATGTTACACATTTTTATCATTGAGACACAATTCTCCACTTTATTGGTTATTGCACTGATTTTAGTAAATAATAAGTTAGCATATTAACATAAAAATCTAACTTTGATTTCAAAATAAAATAGGAATTTTTTTAGAAGCCTGACTTTAAAAATAATTCAGAGAGGGGAGAGGTGAATGTCCTACAGCAAGAAATTAAAATTGGATACAATGATGTAAAAAAAAAAAGGTTTTATTAACTTTAGATTAAACAGACATGAGGTATTCAATTAAAATGATTTCTGAGGTTTTAAAACTATCATGTCCTGTGATTAATACAGTAAATGTATGTTTGATTGAAATATTAAGCAGAAGGGAAATAAATAACAGAGTTTTAAAAATATATATTCTCATTAGCAATGCAAGGCTGAAGTAAAAAGTCCGGTAAAAATATGGCTTGCTTCTAGGAGATGAGTAATATTATTTACGGAACTCCTTTGAACAAGTCATGATGTTCTCATTTACATGTGTAGCCTGATTGGTGAATTATGCCCTAGATTCCAAATCATTGTTCTCTAAACTTGAGCCCAGAAATATACCTGTGGTCCAACCTCCTTCTCCTTGTTTCTCTCACTCTCTTTTCCATGCAGTGTGGATGGAGCAGGGGGCGGGGCATCTGGCTGAAATAAAGACTGCTGCTCTATCATTTTAAAGCAACTGGATGAAAAGCAAAAGAATTGGTCAAACTGAGTATTTAGTGTCATGTAGAATTTTTTTAAAGTCTCGTCTGGTTGTATTTAAACCACCAATCCCTTCGAAGTTTTTCTTTGAAATTTAAATTGGTGACTATTTGAGTGAAGATAACAATCAAGGTGGGTAAGTACTAGGAAAGAAAAATCAATGGTCCAGTTCAAGAGGGGGTCAAAAGGCAGAAGCAGCAGTCAAATTTTAGCTGTAAACTTAACTATGAATAGGCCAGAAAAATCTCCAAATAACATGCAAATACACTATGACTTGAAATATCCTTCCCTGACAGTAAGCAGCTGTTTGACCCTAGACAACTCCATGCAATCTCTTCAATCTTTGGTGACCTGAGCCATAAAATAAGGGCATTCATTCACTTTCCACTCAACCAATATTCTCTGAGCCCTCACTATGGATCAGGAGCTGTAAAAGGTCCTAGGAAATCAATGGTGGGTAAAATAGACACTCCTCTGTCCTCTAGAGGGGCATGTGGATTACTAGGAAATAACCACATAAACAAATACAAAACTTACAGCCAACACATGTGCTGCTGCACAAAGAAACATGTGCTGTGAGAGTCTATAATGAGGGAGTGACCCAGTCACGGAGGTTAGGAAGAAGAGTTGAGGTGAGATCTAAAGGCTCTACTAGGTGAAGTGGAGGTAGGGGGAACCATTGTAAAAGAGGAAATAGCACATGCGAAGACCTGGTGGTAGGAAGAAGCAAGATAAATATGAAAGACTGTAAACACCCAATGTGGCTGAGTCCAGAGAGCAAAGGTGAGTAGACTAGAGGTGAAGTTGGAAAGGTCAAGTAGGGGTCAGACCATGCACAGTTTGTAGGATTATGTTCTGGCTTCTCCTAAGAGCCACAGGAAGGTCATTGAGGAGTTTTAAACAAAGGGATGACACAATCAGAATTGAAAAGGTTACTGTGCCACCAGATTGTTTCAGAAATCAAAAATATGGCCAGGCACAGTGGTTCACACCTGTAATCCAGCACTTTGGGACACTGAGTTGGGAGGATTGCTTGAGACCAGGAGTTCGAGACCAGCCTGATCAGCACAGCAAGACTCCACTGCTACAAAAAAATTTTAAAAATTAGCTGGGCATGGTAATGCATGCCTATAGTCCCAGCTATTTGGGAGGCTGAGGCAAGAGGATTGCTTGAGCCTAGGAGTTCAAGGCTACAGTGAGCTATGTTTGCACCACTGCACTCCAGCCTGGGCAACAGAGTGAGACCATGTCTCTAAAAGAAAAAAAGAAAAGAAAAAGAAAACCCCATTATGCCAGCTGCTGGGAGTTCTGCCAGAAGAAAGCCTTACCTGTAAAATACCTTTAGGAATTGCCTAAACTGCAGAGCCACCAGGCCCAAGATTGCGCTCCTTTCCAGAGTCCTATCTTAATCAATCAGTGCAGGAGTGGAAAGGCCTACCCTGCACTTTCCACCTTGAGACAGCTCTGAAAGGTCACCCCACCTTCAGAAACCCTCACAGTGTTGGATGAAGCTGCAGTTGAGACTTTATTGCTGCTCAGCTTCTCCCTCTGCCCAAGCTTACTTCCCTTCCTTTCACAAGAAACACTCCCTCATCAACTTCTTGCTTGCTAATCTCCATCTCAAGTCTGCTTCCTGGGAAACCCAACCTGTGACAGTCTGAAAGTAACATGAAGAATGATCCAAAGAGGGGCCAGTGGTGGTCATGGTAACCTAAGTAAGTGGCTATATAGTAGTAAACCAAAGACAGCAGTAGCTGGGTCTAGAATGATGGAGAGAGACATGGGGAGAGTGAGCAGATTCAGAAGACATTTAGGAAGTGAAAACGTAATAAAATCTGGTAAAGAAATGGATATGGGGAAGAATGATAGTGGAGAGTGAAACATCAAGGATGATTCCTTTGTTTACTATGCACAGCTAAGAACACTGCGATCCTGAAAAGGATTGGGTGTGAGGGAAAGATCCAAAGTTTCCTCTTGGTGCCAGCTGAGTTGACACATTCAAGTGGTGTTTCAAAGGAGGGCATTGGCTGTAGGCTCTGGATCATGGGAGTAAGTGCCTAGATCACACAAGGAGCCACGGATCTAGAGTCATTTAAGAAAAAAGAATAATCTCAGAAGAGAAAAGGCCTGAGGTCTACACCTAGATGGAGGAATCTCACTGTTCTCAGTGCTGATTGTCTATACTTCCACGCCCTCAAGAGCTCTAGAAGCAGAGTTCCTAATTTTTGAGAAGTGATTACCCCTTTGAGAGTAAGAGGGAAATTAGAGCATTTTTGTTCATATACACAATGTTTGTGCACAATTTCAGGGTGTCTCATGTCCATAAGTTTATCACTAGGCCTCTTAGTGATCCACAGCCTCCAAGTCATACACCCCCACTCTAGAGAAAGCCTCTGCTCTTGTAATCTTACTGTTCTTGTAGTATATAAAATGCTACAAATGCACACAAAAATCCGCTCACAAAAAGCACTTGTGCATCTAGTAGATATAAAGGAAAGCTTAGGAGTTGGAAAATACAGTTTGCATTGCAACAATGAGCACAATTTTAAATACTAGACATTCTCATTCTTAAAATCTGCTTTGCCCATTCCCATGTGGAAAGTTCACTAGTTGTTTATCTCACAAAGAGCTCAAGTTCATGCCATTCCTTCTTCCCCCCATTGTACCTTTCTATCCATCTATTGTCTTCTCTCCCTATCCTCTCAGGAACAAAGCACATTTCTTTTAGTCTCCCATGAAAAGCACTTAAAGGATCTGTTAAAAACCATGTGATTTGACCGTGCGGGGTGGCTCATACCTGTAATCCCAGTACTTTGGGAGGCCGAGGCAGATGGATCACCTGAGGTCAGGAGTTCGAGACCAGCCTGGCCAACATGGGGAAAGCCCATCTCTACTAAAAGTACAAAAAATTAGCTGGGCATTGTGGTGGGCACCTGTAATCCCAGCTATTTGGGAGGCTGAGGTAGGAGAATCGCTCGAACCCAGGTGGCGGAGGTTGTGGTGAGCTGAGATCTCACCATTGCACTCCAGCCCGGGCAATAAGAGTGAAACTGTCTCAAAAACAAAACCAAACCAAACCACGTGATTCTGTTGAAACTGTTATCCTCTGAGTCTCACTTTCTATCCCAAATGGCTAAAAAAGTTATTTCCCCCAAACAATGACAGTTCCTTATCCTAGAAGAGAGATTATGCTAGTATCTAAAATGATAAAATTTTCACTAACTTACACGTATGTTATCTGGCTGAATTACCACTTTAAGTCACTTTCAGCCATTAATACTTTAGCTTAGGTCAGTTAATCAGATGAGTTGAAAGAGAAAAACCAAGTAAACAGAAGAAAAAACATGTTTTGTTGGGGTAGAGAAGGCCAGGGAGGAAGCACAGAGAGAAAGTTTTTGGAGAAGTAATATATGGATGAGACAAAATCCAACAAAACAAAGCTGGAGGGACAGTGGGGAAAGAAAGGACGAATGATATACGAGAGGATGAGAGAGTGTGCAGAGGAAATGTGTCTGTTTTGCCTAGAGCAGGATATTGTTTTAGATTTTGCATGAGTGGAATTGAATCCTATCATACAGCACCCATTTAAGAGGACAAGGAAAATCCTCCTTTGATGTGGCCATAGCTAGCAAGGACATCTGTGCCTCACCCTGTGTGAATCTCAGCTGCTCTAGAAGTCTGCTTTGGCTCTGCCCTGCCGGGGTGTGGGGGCCCCAGAGGATGAAGGATATAATGTAATTGATTACCAACGCTGTAAACTGTACAACTCTAATGACGCTCTAATTAGGGTGCAGAGGGCTGGGGGAGAGGGCGGAGGCCATTTTTTGTTGCTGTTTTCTGCAGGCTGCTTTGGCATTTTCCCAGCATTCTCTCTATAACAATAGACATTAGCATTTTCATATGTCTTGAAAGTTAAAGCAACATGTGGGAAATTCAATTGTTGGAGAGCAAAATTCTCTAATTACACTGTTCAGAGATTTCCAGTACTTTTGGAAAATGTGCATTGACAAAGGGCTTAATTTAATTAGTGGTACTGTTTCGTTTCCAGGGATGGCCTGATTTCCAATCCACCCTCCCACCCTGATGTACTTGCTCTGCTGTGGAAGCACCCACTAGCTTCAAAGGGAACAAAGAATAGTGCAAAGATGCTGAAAGGTGGAGTTAGATATGATTCACGGTGATTTTTTTTTTCCATCCTCCCTAAGTCTGTGTCATCACTGCAGAAAGCAAGTTGCTTCTGGGCAATTGACATATTAAGAATTGTTCAAAAGAGCTAGAGTGGGACCTGGAATTTTAACTGGCAGGGGTGTTTCATAGTTAAACAAGATGTCTCATCAGATTTCATCTATTTTCTGAGACAGTATTGACTTCAATTAACATGCGCACTGTTACAGATTTACAATCCTCTCCCTGTCGCCTCTCCAGTACCAACCCATACACACTAGTTAGAAGCTTGGCTGAGAAGAAAAATCAAATTCACCCTTATCATAACCTTGCATAAAAATTCATATCTTCTCCATTATTATTAAGGAACATTTAAGAAAACCCTTATTTTCCAAGCATTAAATGTCTTTGCTTTTACTCTAAAGATTTCTGTAGACAGCGGTGCCTTCCACTATGGCCCAACAGAGCATGCTCCATCCATGTCTTCTGACTCATGGATCCCACAACCAAGCATAGTAGATGGAATGTACGAAAATGCCTACAGGGGCAGCCAGGCCCTTGCTAATGAAATTACAGCAATGACTAAATAACTAGAAACTAAAAGTCTATTTGTATGATGCTTTTTTCATACATTTAGCAGATAATCCAGAGGTGATGGTAGGGAATGAATGAATTGAAGAAACAGGAAATGTGACACCAGCTAAGATCCTGACCTGGGATCCGCCAGAGGTTGTGGGCTTGATGCATTCAAATTGACCATTGACTAAGATGTCAGGAGGTCTTCAATTTTATGGAGCAATTGGCATGATGCTAGATGGAAATCAATACCTGCAATCTAAATTTTTTATTTGGTGTGTTGTCAGCTGAAGTTTGATGTCTGTTTCTCTTTCTTGGAGTGATTTTCTTTCTGCAATCAGCATGATGAAAAAGAAAATAATGCTTATAAATGAAGTCAACATATATTACTGGCTGAGCCAGAGGAAGTTGGCAGCTGCAGAAATTCTGTTTTCACTTTACATTAAGTGGCATTAATTACACTGCTATGTAACTAAGTATAACCACACGATTGTGGAGTAGGATTCTGTTCTTGTTTCAGAGGCACCAAGATACAAGCACGTGGCTGTGAGGTGGGGAGGCCAGGCCCTCTTGGTCATCTTTAGTAAGGACTGAATCATTGCACTCAGGACCTCATTCTGGGCCAGAGACTGTCAAGTGCTTTCCCCTGACCAGAAAGTAAACCAAGCCCAGCTGCCCAGCAACAGCTGGTCTACTAAGTGAACCAAAAGCCATTTTCCCTCCAGTCCAAAGATTGAGGTTTATGAAATATAACTAAGCCAGAAACCTTGCACTGCAGGCCTTAGGGCTGGCTTTGAAAATGAAGTCACTATCCAGTTTATATTCTCTGATTTTCCCATTAAATATTGAAGTGTTACAAACCAATGCAACGTCTAACAAGAACAGCCTGTTTATGGTTCCACTTGTGAATGAGGTGACACAGCCTCTAGTAACCACCAGCCAGGTAATGGGAATTTCTCAGCACGTCCAAGGGTAATATCTTCCTCTGTTAACCAAGACACTGTACAAGGCAGAAAGGATGGTGTTCTAGCTTCCTCTCTACCTTTAAACAGCTATGAGGCACTGGGGAAGTTAAATATTAACTCTCTGTATTAGTCTGTTCTCATGATGCTAATAAAGACATACCTGAGATTGGGTAATTTATAAAGAAAGAGGTTTAACTGATTCACAGCTCAGCATGGTTGGGGAGGCCTCAGGAAACTTATAATCATGGCACAAGGGAAAGCAAACATGTCCTTCTTCACATGGTGGCAGGAAGAGAAGTGAGTAGAAGTGGGGAAAGCCCCTTATAAAACCATCAGATCTCATGAGAACTCACTCACTGTCATAAGAACAGCATGAGGGTAACCACCCCCATGATTAAATTACCTCCCACCGGGTCCCTCCTATGACAGGTGGGGATTGTAGAAACTACAATTCTAGATGAGATTTGGGTAGGAACACAACCAAACCATATCACTGACCCTTCCACGGGTCATTTATAAGGTGGAGATAACAGCCTAGCTGCTGAGAAGAGCGAGCCTAACTTAGTAGAACTCTTAAATTCTCCTCAGCTCAAAGATCTGGAATTTAAGGTGTATTTTTTTGAGTGTTCCTGAGGGCAGAGATCTTGATTTTTATTTCAGTAACCTCAGTATTCGGTATATGGTAGAGACGCATTCACACTGGGTTGAATACATAATTAAATAAGCGTAATTATAATGCTCAAAATATATATTCTTGCAAATAGCCCACAGTGCAGCTACCCAATTAATGTTTTGGGTTTTCAGGGGCTTTTTGCAGGGGGCAGGAGGCAAAGAATAAAATTCAGCCAGATAGTTCTGCATACCAAAGGGGCCCAGCGAAGAACAGAGCTTTCAGAAACAGTGAGAAAAAGAGAGAGAGGTAGGGAGGTAGGGACACTCCTACCTTTCAAAGGGCTTGGGAGCCTGAGAACACAGGCAAGCATGCAGTCACTCCCGGAACAGCAAGGCTGTCTTGTTTGTGCAGATTACTGAAAATTTAAAGCTATTGGAAACGATCATTCTGTACGTGTGAACTTGGCTCCTCCCTCTTTAAACCTCTTAAACAAATGACCCTATAATAGCAGAAGAAAGATGCATTTGTTTATTTCCAGATTATGGAAAATTTATATGTGATTTAGGTATAAAACTAGTAGGGACAGATGAAGACTCCTCCCTGATGTCTATCCACATGCAGTGGCTGGAGGTGCCTGGAGCTGTGATCTGTGGTAGAAATAGAGGGTCTGGTCCCAGGCAGTATGCAGGAATTTTGGCCATCATTTGAGGAGCCACACAGGTTCCAGAGAAGTCCAAGGCAGCAGAGTCTTGTCTGGGGAAATGAGCTTCAATAGATGGAGGCAAGACAGCAAAGTTATTTCACTCTGCTAGTGACAAAAACTCAGTTATTTCAAGGATTCCTTGAAGACCCACTTTACCAACTTCCTATCACAACTATATTTGGGGTCATATGCTTTCTATGCTAATAGTCATATATGGAGGGTCAGGATTGGTATAGGCAGGACTCCTGCATACTATTGTGAGGCTTACCTTGACACCAAGGCACCCAGCCTAGGAGGTGAGTAGGGTTTGAAATCCAGCCTACTCTCTGCTCAGAAAGTCATGTGCCCCTAGGCTGAGTATGTTGTTCCCTAGCTGGGTACATTAACAAAGTTACTCATTCTTAAAACTGTATCTGCCCAGAGAACATATATTTTGTAATTTGGCAGGCAGGTCAGAGAGCTGTATGCTGATTATTCTCCATTTCCTCCTCCCCAGATCCAATCACTGTTTTCCTCTGCCCTGCTCTGTGCTCCAGATGGTGACTTCCACACAAGGCATCTGAGACTCCCTTATGTTCTGACCTCCAGGTGGGGTTGGCCAACTAGAATGACCAGTAGGAGATGAGAAAAGTGAGCAAAAAGAGAGGCCCTAGGATATGAAGTGTAACATAACTAATTCTTGTTTGGAGGAACCAGATTCTAATAACTAAGCCAGAACCATGAAAAGATAGTTTTAACATAATCTGAAAAATACTGAAGCTATGAACTTTAAGTTTAGAGAAAGCTTCCTGGGAGGAAGAGGATTTTAGCTACATCTTGAAAGATGATTAGAGTTGGTTGGTTGAAAAAAGGGAGGGCCTTCTAGGCACAGAGAACAACATGGGCAAAAGCTTTACTGGCACAGTTACATACGATTGGTCATTGTGCACATGTATTTGACATACTGTCATTGTCAGTGACCTGAGAACAAGAGCTATATCTCCTTTCTAATCTTGCCTCCACATTCCCTTCAACATAGTACTGAGGACATAGCAGGAACTCAACAATATCTTTTGATTGAGTGAGTGAATGTCTCTTCCTGAGAGATACAGAAAGAATAAGTGATACCATGCCTCTCTGATTTCAAGGCCAATGCCAAGTTGCTTCCCAGTCAGCAGAGTTGAAGCACAGAGCTGAAGATAGGAATATTTTCAAGTGGCAGAGCTCATCAGTGGTGTGACTGGAAATGGAGTGCAGATTGGCTGGAACTCTGTTAGGTAGCATACCATTTTGTAAGATCTAGTAGCCCTTGTGTCTAAAGTTTCCCCAGAGCTAATGTCAACATGTTCAGGAGAAAACTTCAACAGAACATATAAAGGATATGAAAACACTCCTCTAACTTCCAGGAGCAAACCAGAAATACGTGAAAAAACCACCTTGTATTGATAACTTATTTATAAATCCTCTCTTTCCTCCCCTGAAGATATTCAAAGTCATCGTAGCCTTTGTTCACTTGGAGTATTAAATAACCTCAGTTCTACATAGCAAAAATTATCTTTTTTTTTTTGAGACAGTGTCTTCAGCTATAGTGGTGGCAACTCACTGTAACCTCAAACTCCTAAGCTCAGTGATCCTCCCATCTCAGCTTCCCTAGTAGCTGCAGGCATGTACCACCACAGATGGTTGGTTTTTAAAATTTTTATAGATATGGGGGTCTCACTATGATGCCCAGGCTAGTAGTGACCTCATGACCTCAAGCAATCCTTCTATCTTGGCTTCCCAAAGTGCTGGGATAATAAGCATGAGCCACTGAACCCAGCTCAGAAATTATCTTTAAATTGTACTTGAACATTTCTTTGACTTTAAGTAAACTTTCATTTTATAATTGCACATTGTTCTTACTTCTGATGCTTTAATGGGTGAAAACTGTCCATAGGAGAAGAGTCAGTAAGTTGTCCCATCACCAAGCAAAACTAACATCTGTATCAGCTGTGAGAAGATATTCGATTTGCCTTCAAATGACATTTTCAGAATGGCTTACATCATATATCAAAACTCTCTTCTAAAATCTAAACTAGGACATTGTAAGAAACCTTATATGTGATGTGCATCTAATTTGTAGTTCTGCAAATTGAAGCTATTTTCTAATGTTGTTTATTCTTTTACTAAAGTACTGTCTCATTCAAGTGGCAATAGGTGCTTAACGCTTTATAAAAGTTCTTGGATGCATTCCTTGTAAATGCTAATTATGAAGAAGAAAATGTTATAGTGTTTCTTAGGAAATCAATACTTTATTATGCAATAATTGCATCTGCAAGTTTAATGTTCTCCATGAGCCCCAGCAGAATGAGAGAGGTCACTGGGTGAGATGGTGCAAATGGTCCTCGCCTGACCTGGAAAATCTCCTAGAATTTGAGGGCTAGTAAAGTGCCGAGATGTCATTAAAATATTTTCACAAGTACAACATTTATTATGGAAACCAAATTGCAAGAACATCTGTCTGGATGACACTTGGCCTAAAGTTGGGTCTAAACCTGGTAACAGTTATAATTGAAACTGTGGCTTCATTTTTCTCCCAAGATCTTTGAATTTTCCTTTGCCTCACAGAGCAATTTATTTCTCAAAGCTACAGCAGTTAACTTTTGTTTTCCTAAACCTTCCTTGGCAAAAATCCCAGCTCTTCCAGCTTTCTACCAAGAAATTATGGAAGAAAAGGAGCCTTTAAGGAGATAGAAGGAAGCTCAAAATCACTCTTCCAAGAATTTCTGGGTCACTGTCTAATTGATACGCCTATTGGCAGGACTCGGATTTAAGCCCCTCCTGACTTCACAGGCAGTTCTCTTTCTGCACCCAGCCATGTGTGAAGACTCAAGGCATTGAATGTGGAACCCACCCGCACCTCCCCCCGCAAAAAAAAACCCAGCCCGCTCTACTTAAAGCACTCAGGCTGGAGAACTGTACCATAGCAAAATACCCCAAACAGTTGTTTTTCCATTATGATCCTGAGCCTGGCATTTATTATCATTTTATATTGCACACTTTTAAAGGCAATGGTCCATTTTACTTAGATGATTAATTTGCAAAAATCATGAGATATGAGCAGAGATGGTGTTTTTTATGGGCCATGCTACACCTCTACAGGACCCCAAAGGAAATGAGGTGTGGGTCTCAGCATATTACAGAAAGAGGCCCTGGGACTGCAAACTCCATAGTCTTCCACAAATGGAAAAGCCATAGTACTCTCAAAGAAAGATACAGTTGAATGAATAGAGAGATGCATAAATAATGGACAGTCTGAATAAATGAATGGATAAATAAGCAATAGGGTGAAAGTCTGACCAGCAGTGGCATGTAGCAGAAAGACCCTTGGATGTGGATTCTGGAGATCTTGGGTCCACTATGCCTTGTCACTTAACAGCTGAACTACTCCTGTCATTGAATGTCTCTGAATGTACTTCACCTCTGCTTCTATAAAATAGTAATAATAATAATAATACTTTTTTCATAAGATTGTCAGGCAGTAGAGCTCGGGGAGTTACAGAGCTGAATTGCCTAGGTTTACATTTGAGCTTCCCTCTCTTGCTTGCTTTGTGATCTCAGGCATCTTATCCTCTCCACATTTGTGTTTCCTCATCATTAAAATGGAGGATTAGATAAGTTAATATGTGTAAAGTGCTTAGAAAACTACCTGTTACATAGTAGGTTAAAACATCACAATAGTGTCACTACTATTTTGTATATGTAAAAATGTTACATAGATACATTGTAATGTTATGATTAGCTATGATTATAAGTAGAAGTACTAAGGTTATATAAATTATTGCTCTTAGTTCAATAAGGAAGTCAAGTCTGGACAATTTAAGCAGAAAGGAATATTAAAGGATATTAGGAAGAACATAGACTCTCTAGGATAATCAAAGACCCAGGTTTGTTCATCAGACAGGCAGAACCAAAGCATCCAGGAATCCAGGGCTGTTATAGTGAAATACCACTGCCCATCTCTGGGCACTGATCACCTTTGAGATTGGACTCCAAGCGCTTTGCCACTGCTGTCTCACAAAAAAATCTTCTTATCCAGAAGATCCCATTTTTCTTTGCACAGCTACTTGCTTTTATTTCTCCAAGTCACAAATGGGATGGCTCTAATTGGTGGAACCAAGGCTTTCTGTCTAGATCCTAGCTGTAAGGGAGTCTGGGAAATGTAGTTTTTAGCTTTCCAACGTGTATAGTAGGAAGAAACAGCTAAATAAATTGGAGTGGGTATTGATTGAGCCAACCAACGCTGTCAGCTATAAGGATTATTAAATAAAATATAGGTCTGGCAGCCCCTGTTTGATCTACTAAGGTAGAGATGAAAAACCTTTGGTTTGTTTTTCAGAGTTTAATTCGAAGTTTCTAAAGATAACTAATAATTACCCTTGTAATGCTACTGTGTTTCAACGAAAGATAGGCAAGATGAACCTATCTAATAGCTGGTTCTCTGATTTTGACTTGAAAAGAAGACATGGCTCCTCTTCCACCATTGTACATTGCCCTGTGTAGAACAATGGGGACAATTCTTCCTGCATCTTCTCCATCCATAGAGTAGATGCAGACAAATGTGATCTGGCAGGACCTGGGCTGAGGTTTGCTCCTGGAAGAATGACCCTGGAAACTTCAAATGTACGTCCAAAGTACAATGATCTATGAAGTACTGGCTATTTGAAGTCATGATGATTTGGCAAGACTGGGGACCATCAGTAACCATTAATGCAATTAATCATATTTTAAATAAACAAAATGGCAAGTATTGTATTGTATTTTAAATAAACCAAATGGTAATTATCTATCAGGCATGTTTTTAAAATTGTCTGAATACAGATGAATGTAGAGTCAAGAAATCTGGCTTCTAGTTCTTTTCTAGAACTAGAAGAACTAGAACTAGAACCACTGCTGCATAGGTGAATTCTATAGGTTGTTTCAGATCTCTAGATCTGTTTCCTTATTTAAACTCTGACCTTCTTTGAAGTTTTAAAGTTCTACTTTTCTATACTTTAAATATTTAAATATTTATCAATATAAATAATTATTATTTCTGTTTGACAATCATATGTCCTGTCCCAGGGAACACAGAAAACAAAGTGCAACACAGTCATTCCCTTTATATTTTATGAAAAAATGTACTATTGCTTGATACTTTATTATGCTGCAAAAAAAAACATACCAATTATTATCAATGCAAAACGTAGGTAAGCTTGATCATATTCACTGTCAGTGAATTTATTTTCAGTTAGTAAATTAATTTCAGTCAGTGAATTTTATGTCGGCGCTCCAGAAATAATTTTGCTTGCTTTCTTGCAATCAAGCCAGTGAACGACTGGCTACTTAAATGTGAAAATTGCATCCTCTTTGTTTCCTATTTAATATTGAACAAGCTTAAAGGATATACCTAACTATATTTTAAGAAACCTATCAAAGCAAGCAAACCTTTCAAAAGTTCTTATTCTAGAGATAGTCACAGGAGATGAAGCTTAACTTTATTCAAGTGGCTTAATCTTCAGAGCATATTTAGTTGTGACAATAAAGAGTAAACCTAAGCCAACTTCCTCACTGTCTCTAATTCTACAAAAGTATCCATGCCAAAGCAATATTAACAAAAAATAGTTTACATTAATTTGTTGGAAAGAATAAAAAATTATCAATTATCAATTATCATTGATAATTATATATTTTTTCTGCTTTTAAAACCCAAGAAGATTATTTACTGAAAAAAATGATTACTTCTAACCAAGTTTAGCTGGAGTAACTACTATAAAATAGTAATCAAAATCAACAGATTTATAAGATAAATAGATGTCCTAAATGTCAGCAATAATCAACTAGAAAAAAAAGAAAAAAATGAGCTCATCCAAATTAATGTAAAAGTATAGAATACCTAAAATAAGCTTAATAAGAAATATGTATACCACACATAAAGAAAACTGCAGAGCTTGACCAAAGGATATAGAAGATGGGAACTGGTGGGGCAAACTATGTTCTTGGGTAGAAAGTTTTAATATTGCAAAAATTAATTAATCAGCTTACTGGAATTCAAACTAAAAATTTCAACAGTACTTTTTTGAGGGGAGATGAGTAGGGGTAAAAAGCCAATATGCATCTAAAGAAAAAACATACAACAGATGAAATATTTCTCTCTTTAGTCTAGTATAGGATTGGAGCATAGACAGGACGAGTCCTGTCTCTAACACTTAAATTTTGGGGATATAATGCAATAACTTTTTCTCTGTATGATTTGTTTGTCCCACTTGTAAAAAGCAATGATCATTTATAGTCATTATCGTTATCATCATCATCATCATTTTATTCCTTGGTATCCAATAAGACAACGTATATTAAAGTGTTTTGTAAAACTCTAAACAGAGACACAAATGTTAGCTATTGTTCTTTACCATTTTATCCAAAATTAGACAAGCAAAATAAAGAATAAGACTCTAAGGTCATAGACTACATGGATGTGTACAGATGTTTAAAAGAGAATTGGCCAGCATATAAGAAGGCAAATAAAGAAAGCTGGACTCACCCAAGGAACAGATGGGCCCTTAAGAAGAGAGGAAGAGGCCTATTAAGGTGCATTAATCACACAAGCTGTATACATACAGCTGTCAGCAAGGAAGAAAGGACAATAAAAACAATGCATAAAACACATAAAATAATACTCTACTGAGTACTTACTATGTGCTAAACACAGTAGAATAATTGTTTCACCTAATCCTCACAACTGCTATGACAAGACTATCATTATTTCCATTTTAGGATTTAAAGGTGAAAAGGGAGGAGTCGGAACACAAATCAGGCTGGTCCTACTCCAAAACTCACAGTAAACTGCTTAGCAACCACAGTAAACTGCCTCTCTTTTTTTTTTGAGACAGGGTCTTGCTGTATCATTCAGGCTGGAATGCAGTAGTACGATCATGGCCCACTGCAACCTTGACCTCCTGAGCTCAAGGGAACCTCCTACCTCGGCCTCCCCAGTAGCTGGGAGGTACACACCACCATGCTTATCTAATTTTTTATTTTTTGTAGAGATAGCATCTGGTTATTTTGCCCAGGCTGTTCTCAAACTCCTGTCCTCAAATGATCCTCCTACCTTGGCCTCCTAAAGTACTGGGATTACAAGTGTGAGCCACCAGAGTGGACCAAAAAATTATTTCTAAATAGATCTTTTATCTTTGCAAAGTACATTTACATCTGTTTCCTCATTTGCACTAGTCAACAGTCTTGTATAGACAGATTAATTCTTAGGTTAATTTTCCATTTCTAGATGAGAAACTGAGTCATGAGGAGATTAATTCAGAAGTCTCTGTATCCAGTTACACACTGGAATCTCCAGTAGAGTTTGTAAAGCTACAGATTCCTACACCCTCCTCTAAAATCTGTTGAATCAAAATATATCTAGGAATGGGGCCCTGGAGTCTTCATTATTCAAAAGCTCTCCCAGCTGATTCTCAAGTGACTACACTGGGAGCTCCCGGATTGGTGGCTCTCAAAGCATGGGCATCATCACTTATTAGAAAGGCAAATTCTCAGGCCCAGCCCCAAACCTACTGAATCAGAATCTCTGAGAGGAAGCCATGATTTAACAAGCTCCCCAGGGACCCTCATGAGGCTCACTGTGGTTGGAGAACCACTGCTCTAGATTAAAAGAGGTGACATAGCACAGTGATTAAGATGGCAGACTCTCAAGGCTACCAACTCAAGTTCAACTCTTACGTCTTCCACTTCCTAGCTGTGTGGTCTTGGACAATTGCTTAATGTTCCTGGCCTTGGTTTACAATACTGGTAAAGTGGAGATGATAGTAGTTTTCCCTTCATAGGGTTATTATAAGGAATAAATGATTTAAATTAGTAAGGAACTAATTACAGTACCTTATATAAAGCAAAAGCCTAAATAAAAATTAAGGTTCTTGCCTAGGATTAAAGCTGTGAGTGAAATGAGAAAGGGTGAAGAAAAGACCCAGGAACCAAAATCCTTGGGTTGAAGCAACCAGAGACCGAAATTCTTGGAGATAATCAACATGAAGGTTTCAATGTTGCAACGAGGCAAATAACCATGCTCGCCTCTTTTTAATGATCATAGGAGAGAATGCAAAGCACAATTTGAACAACCAACGAACCCATCAAGCATCTGAAACATGCCCTTGATTTTGGGAGCCAAAAGAGCCCTGGACTGTTTTAGCTGTGTGGACTCAGGGCAGCCACTTAACCCCTCTGGGCCTCAGTTTCTTCATTGAGATGATTCAGATAATAAAAATGAACTGACTTCCATAAGATTATTGTGATATTCAAGTGGAGCGATTGGCTATCCTAATACTTCTAAAAAGTCAAAAGATATAGGCAGCCATTTAGAATTATTACCTTACTATCCTTTCCTAGTCCAGGCTTCTTTTGACATTGCATTAACTTTCCAATCTGGAGCACTAAGATAGTCCAGCATGAGAGGATAAAGAACAGTGATGCTGCCTTCCAGAATTTTACACTGATGTCTGTTGCCTTCAAATCCCAGAGCTGCTGAAGCCAGCCATCAGCATGCTGTGGGCTAGGCCAGGATGTCTACCTGGTAGAGCTGTTTGTCCCAGAATGTGGGTAAGTATATGGCACACTTAAGATACATTTTTAGAATCTTTAGAAGCCAGATAAGTTGTATTCACAGCCCCAAAGGGAAGCCTCACCTATAAATCTCTATTCCAGGACCTTTAAAAATATTGACCCAAGTTCTGAGAGTGTGTAATAGCTTAGACCTTCTTTCAACCCAGGGCTGGCTGTATGGCTTTTCTGGGATAAAGAAGGCAGGGCAAAGGAAGATTAGTCGCTGCCACAAATTCTTGCTCTCAGGGAAGATGCTGGGGAGCACTCTCACTGTCGATGGCCCCTGAATCTGTGGAGATTCCTCCTGCACCGTTGGCCTCTCTCCTGTTAGAGGAAGCTGCAGATACTCCCTCCACATGCCTCCTCCACGTCTTCAACCCAGCCCTTCTAGCTAGTGCTGGGCACCCAGCATTTCTGCTTCACCTGCACTCGACCGTAGATGGATCTTTCTGCTCAGATGGCTCCATGTACCTGACAGCTTGGTAACAGTCATGTATCACCAGAGATACAGCTGGCTTTGTCATGCGCTGAATCCAGAAGCTCAGAGGAGAGAAGCGCCTGCTGGCATTTCACTCCATCACTACTTGAGGGCCTTGCCTGCTTGGCCTAAAGGCCTGTGCCAGGAATATCTCCCCTTCACTCATCTCCAGGGCCACATCCATGGTGGGTCTCCAGCCCTTGGCCGTGCAAAGACCGTTGCATGGCCTTCCAGGGAGAGCTGTTTCCACAACAGGTTGGCAAACACCACTGTGTATCATAACTCAGCTTATATCAGGTTTTGATGGCTTCTTCCAGGGTTTTCTTCCATCCCCAGGGACCAAGCTCAAGCCCCCGTTTCTAGAGAAAATCAGTGCCTTCTATCTGCTTCTCCAGTCTGGATGAAGTTTTAAAGTTGTTGCCATATAGATTTTCCAAGAATCTAGTCTGATTGGGTTGGTTCACCAAATAGAAATTCTTTTCAATGCCTGAAACACTCATCAAATATCTGTGATCACAAAAACCCACAAGGGTTGATAGCGATGGTAGGCTCTGTCCAGCACCCATCCATCCCACCAGGCCCCCTACTAAAGCCGCTTAATCCACACATGCAGGCTCAGCTTCATGGAACCCAAAGGAACAATTCTGATTTTGGAAAAGTAGACTTTAAGCAATTTTAACTTCAGATTTTGATTACTTGCAATCACTTGCTGCTTCTGTGGCTCCCAACTTTTGTTCCTGTTTTGCCAAGGGAGGACATTTTTCTTGTTTCTGAGACCCAGCCCCTTCTTTTGCCATAAACCAGGTAACAGCCTCTGTCTTGATCCTTACACCCAAGCCTCAGCCTAAAACCTGAGTTGTTCCCAGGCCCTCTAGGGCTGCCCTCCTGCCCTCCTCTGTGGGCTTCTCTTCTTCCTCTCAGGAAAGTTCCTGCTCCTGACCTGGTCTACAGCTAAGGCTTGAGTTGCTAACAGACTTCCCTGGATTGTGGGGCCTCCTCCACCTGACATCTTGCCATAACTGTTACCTTGTTCTTCTGTTACCTTGTTACCTTGTTCTCTGTTACCTTGTTCTTCTGATGCCATATTTTACCCACCAACCTGTACTTCCTAGCACCTGGTCCCTTCTGGTAGGAAGGCCAAAGTTCAGTCCTGGCATTTTCCAGGCTGGCTATCAGGTTGCTGTAAGTTGGGTCACACCCCACCATATCATGCACATGACAGCAGATTATAGGTGATATGGTTTGGCTGTGCCTTCACCCAAATCTTATCTTGAATTGTAGTTCCCATAAACTCGATGTGTCATGAGAGGGACCTTGTGGGGGGGTAATTGAATCATGGGAGAGTTACCCTTATGCTGTTCTCCTGACAGTGAGTGAGTTCTCCTGAGATGATGGTTATAACGGGCTTTTCCCCTTTGCTCAGCACTTCTCTCTCCTGCCACCATGTAAAGAAGAACGTGTTTCCTTCCCCTTCTACCATGATTTTAAATTTCCTGAAGCCTCCCCAATCATGCAGAGCTATGAGTCAATTCAACCTCTTTTTTTTTTTTTTTAATAAATAACAAGTCTTGGGTATTTCTTCATAGCAGCATGAGAACAGACTAATTACAATAAGCTTGAGTTGATATCTCCTGAGTAATCATACACAGAGCTGCATTTGAAAACATTTGTTGTGGCACAAAGTAGGCACTGAAGAGGTATTGGTGGAATAAATTAATGAATGGAGCTTGTCTGCCCATCTGAAGCTCCTAATCACATAAGGAAGAAAGTGCAGATACTACTTTGTGTCCCCAAAATCTTTTTTAACTTGCATTACACAGAATAAGATGGCCTGGAATGCATACAGGGATTGCACTGCTCAGGCCCTGTGATGGACAATTGTATGTCAACTCATCAGGATTAAAGTATGCCCAAACAGCTGGTAAAACATTATTTCTGGGTGTGTCTGTAGGGTCTTCCCAGAAGAGATTAGCATTTGAATTGGGTAGACTGAGTAAAGAAGGTCTGCCCTCACCAAGGTGGGCCTGAAGTGAACAAAAAGATAGAAGAAGGGTGAACGTGCTCTCTTTCTCTCTCTTCTTGAGCTGGGACATACATCTGTTTCTGACCTCAGACATCAGAGCTCCTGGTTCTCAGGCCTTTGGTTTTGGAGTGGGAATTACACCATCAGCCACCCTGGTTCTTGGGCATTCAGGCTCAGACTGAATTATGCCACTGGCTTTCCTGGGTCTCCAGTCTTCAGACAGCAGACTGTGCAACTTTGCAGCCTCTATAATTGCCTGAGCCAATTCCTATAACTAATATCATTTTATATGTCTCTCTGTCTATCCTATTGGTTCTCTCTCTCTCTGGAGAACCCTGACTAACACAGGGTCCCCAGTCAGCCTCTGGATTGCAGGCATCCTTGAAGACAGCCCACCCAGCAGGCAAAGCCAAATTCCTTCTGGCAATAAACTCAAGGATCTCAAGGTGAGGGCAAAAATGACTACACAGGAAGATGGGAGGAATAAAGACAAAAATCAACCCAAAGACCTGGTGTGTAGGCTTGGAAGGAGGGAAAGCGAGAGACCGTTTTTCTTAAGAAAACAAAAACAGAACTAGAAAAAAATAACCCAGCCAGTCCCTACCCCACTGGTGTCAGAAAGCTCCTCTTCCAGCTGTTCTCACTCTTTCTGCTGTTTCTACACCACTGAGCTGCAGAATGATGAGAATACAGCTGAGGCAAGAGAGAGCAAGCAGAGAGATTTCGGGTATGTAGCGAGGAGCTTCCCAGACCAGGGGAAGGAAGCTCCAGAGGAATCTAATGCTGCCGGATGACTTCAGGTTAACCCTGGTGGTGAGCAGGTTTATGACAGAAGAGGATGCCAAGGGTTTCTCTGCTTTTAATCCCAGCCTGAGGAAAGGGTGCACAGCAGACGAAAGGGAAGCTGGGTTCTTTCTACTCTCTGGCCACAAAAAAAAAAAAAAAAAAAAAAAAAATTAGGCATTCTAAGTAAGCCATTGGTTAAGAAGCAGGGAACAGCCAAAGTGTAATAAAATGGGGCTCCTGTCCCCTTATTGTCTATGCCCAGGTCCTGAGATGTTCCCCCACAGCATAGAGTTTCCAGATAGAAAGCTGAAACTGGATCCCTTCCTTTCACTTTATACAAAAATTAATTCAAGATGGATTAAAGACTTAAATGTTATACCTAAAACCATAAAAACCCTAGAAGAAAACCTAGGCATTACCATTCAGGACATAGGCATGGGCAAGGACTTCATGTCTAAAACACCAAAAGCAATGGCAACACAAACCAAAATAGACAAATGGGGTCTAATTAAAGAGCTTCTGCATGGCAAAAGAAACTACCATCAGAGTGAACAGGCAACCTACAGAACGGGAGAAAATTTTTGCAATCTACCCATCTGACAAAGGGCTAATATCCAGAATCTACAAAGAACTCATACAAATTTACAAGAAAAAAACAACCCCATCAAAAAGTGGACAAAGGAAATGAACAGACGCTTCTCAAAAGAAGACATCTATGCATCCAACAGACACATGAAAAAATGCTCATCATCACTGATCATCAGAAAAATGCAAATCAAAACCACAATGAGATACCATCTCACGCCAGTTAGAATGGCAATCATTAAAAAGTCAGGAAACAATAGATGCTGGAGAGGATGTGGAGAAATAGGAACGCTTTTACACTGTTGGTGGGAGTGTAAATTGGTTCAACCATTGTGGAAGACAGTGTGGCAATTCCTCAAGGATCTAGAACTAGAATTACTATTTGACCCAGCGATCCCATTACTGCATATATACCCAAAGGATTATAAATCATGCTACTGTAAAGACACATGCACATGTATGTTTATTGTGGCACTATTCACAATAGCAAAGACTTGGAACCAACCCAAATGTCCATCAACGATAGACTGGATTAAGAAAATGTGGCACATATACACCATGGAATACTATGCAGCCATAAAAAAGGATGAGTTCATGTCCTTTTCAGGGACATGGATGAACCTGGAAACCATCATTCTCAGCAAACTATCACAAGGACAGAAAACCAAACACTGCATATTCTCACTCATAGGTGGGAATTGAACAATGAGAACACTTGGACACAGGGCAAGTAACATCACACACCAGGGCCTGTCCTGGGGTGGGGAGCTGGGGGAGGGATAGCACTGGGAGAAATACCTAATGTAATTGATGAGTTGATGGGTGCAGCACACCAACATGGCACATGTATACCTATGTATCAAACCTGCACATTTTGCTCATGTACCCTAGAACTTAAAGTATATATATATATATATATATATATATATATATATATATAAAAGAAATGCAAAGTGGGAGCAAAAAGGAGGATATCTAGTCTAATTAGGAGTCTAGCTGAGCTTTTCTTATAAGAAGCAACCTGATAAGATCCGGTGATACAAAACAAGGGACTGGCATATGCAGAGGTTTGAGGAATAAAACCATTTTGAAAAAAAAGAATACAGGACACTCAGTTAAATTTGAATGTCAGATCAACAAGGCATAATTTTAAAGTATAAGTATGTCCCATGCAATATTTGGGACTTATTGATCCTTTAAAAAATTATGTTGTTGATCTGAAATTCAAATTTCACTGGGCTTCCTATATTTTTATGTGCTAAACCTGGCATACTTACCCACAAGCCGACTGTTCATCCAGCCCCAAAGGCATTTGAGGATGTGACCAACACAGGAAAGAGGACGCTGGCCTGTGAAGGGGAGTGAAATCAGAAAAGTTTCTGCTTCTGAGGTCACATTTGCTGAATTCACTCCTCTCTCCATTCCTTTAGTCCACCCCTCACCATTCCTCACTCCCTCATTTATATTCCCCCATCCTTGACCGCTCCTCCCATAAGAAGCTGTACTACCTGAGCTCCTTTGGGGTTAGATGCTGAATTGTAAGTTTCTCCAGTGATGTCATATGTGCATATTTTGATCTTCTCTGTTTCCAAAGACAAGGACTCTTCCTTCTGCCTCTTGTTCTTTCTACATCCCCCAAGCTTTCCTTCCACACACTCACTCCACAGCACAAAGGTTAGGTACATTGTGAGAGTTGAACTATAAACTCAGGAGTGTACAAAAATAAAGGAGCCTTGGAAATCACCAAGGCTCATCTCCCTCCCTGCATTTGCTAATAGGGAGATGATTGACACCCCAAAAGCTGAAGGGACTTACCCAGGAGCAAAGCTTGCACATGGAGAAGACAGCACACAGTTCTGATTTCCTGGCTTCACTCCAGGAGTCTTTCTGTTATTATTAGTGCCTTGCACAATACCCAGCAAATACAGTTGTTCTCAGTAAATATTTAACTGAACTAATAAATGAATAAATAAATAAACAAATGAAATCAGTGCCTTATGACTTGACTTGCTAATTGTATGATGGTTTCTCCTTCTGGATAAACTTCTTGGCCCCTGCAATGGTAAATGTAAGCGAGGAAATCCAGCCATCTTTCCAGAAGAGATGTTCCTCTATCAGACAGAATGTGTGGCAGGAATGCCATTTTCCTTCCACAGGGCAAAACTAGGTAAGTCTACGCTGAGTTGGGAAGCAATAAAAAGCAACCTCACTGGGCAAAAAGCTACCTGAAATTGCTGCATGTACAACTACAAAAACTCAAAGAAAAAAATAGTTTAAAACATTTTAGTTGGCTATGTGACCTTTAAAGATGTCACATAACTGGTCCAACCTTTGGATTTCTCATTTGCAAAAAACATTAAAAAAATAGTGACCAGGAAAATAAATATGATTTCACTGTTCCAGTTACCTTCTCCTAGCAGATACTCAGTAAGTGTCCATTTGCTTTTTTCTTTTCTCAAGGAGTATCCCACCTTCTTAGTCGACAGTGCTTTAAAGAGGCATTCTTTCTGGGTTTTAGTAGGACATTGGTTCTCAAAGCATGGCCCCTGTCAGCAGCAGCAGCAAGATCACCTGGGAACTTGCTAGAAATGCAAATTCCTGGGCCCTACCTCTGACCTACTGAATGAGAAACTCTGGAGATTGGACTCAGTAATCTGGGTTTTTAACAAGCCAGTCAAGTGGTTCTCATGCATGTTCAGGTTTGTGAACCACTGTGCTGGGCTGATGTTTCCAAAAGTCTAGTTCAGATACCACATGCATCAACACTATTCCTGGTTGTTACTAAAATTGCAGACTTCTAGGCCCTACCCCAGACTTGCTCAGTCAAAACCTATTCTGAATCTCCTTTATAAAGTGCAACCCAGGCAATTGTGATGCACTTTTAGGTTGAGAACTACTTGACAAATTGGTGTCAAAATAGCAGGTGATGGCATTTGAGCATTTGTGGAGGTCAGGTCAGAATTCCTGTTTCCTTTTCTTTGTGACCCTGGAGAGATAGCAGGGGGGATAGCTGCATAAGCCATGGCAGTTGGCTCTAGAGGAGTGGCCTTTAATGGCTTTGTGGTTGCCCTCTAACCTTGGGAGAAGCATGTTTGTTGGTGATCAGCGGGAACAAGCCACACCACCCAATCTGCTCTCTCAACCCAACATGGCTCAGACCGTCATTTCCTAATGGCAAAACCCACCTTGGTCTGATAGATTAGTGATGTTTTGTTTTGTTTTGTTTTGTTTTGTTTAAATACACAAACACGAAGTCAAAACAGTCCTAAAAAACATTTCTCTTGCTTATCGAATCCTCATCTTATCTGGTGAGAGATGGTTAAAGGACGTCATGAAATATGTCTCCAGTGTTAATTCAGCAGAGCTGATTTCTTTCATGGAAACTTGAATGTTGGGTGACAAAAAACTGGGCAAAATTTTTTTATCAGATTCTCTCTACTTTGGGACCTAATTGTCTTTTTACCCTTCACTTAAAAAATTATTTTTATTGTTTTATTTCAATAGGTTTTTGGGGAACAGGTGGTGTTTGGTTACATAAACAAGTTATTTAGTGGTGCTTTCTGAGATTTTGAAACACCCATCACCGGAGAAGTGTACACTGTATCCAGTGTATACTCTTTTATCCCTCACCCTCCTCCCACCCTTTTCCCCAAGGCCCCAAAGTCCACTGTATCATTCTTAGGCCTTTGTGCCCTCCTAGCTTAGCCCCCACTTATGAGTGAGGACACAACGATGTTTGATTTTCCATTCCTGAGTCACTTCACTTAGAATAATGGTCTTCAACTCTATCCAGGTTGCTGCAAATGCCATTATTTTGTTCCTTTTTATGACTGAGTAGTATTCCATGGTGTGTGTGTGTGTGTGTGTGTGTGTGTGTGTGTGTGTATATATCACAATTTCTTTATCCACTCTTTGATTGATGGGCAGATGGGCATTTGGGCTGGTTCCACATTTTTGCAATTGCGAATTGTGCTGCTATAAACATGCATGTGCAAGTATCTTTTTCATATAATGACGTCTTTTCCTCTGAGTAGATACCCAGGAGTGGAATTGGTGAATCAAATGGTAGATCTACTTTTAGTTCTTTAATCTCCACGCTGATTTTCATAGTGGTTGTACTAGTTTATATTCCCACCAACAATACAGAAGTATTTCCTTTTCACCACACCCACACCAGCACCTATCATTATTATTCTTTTCATGGCCATTCTTGCAGGAGTGAGGTGACATCACATTGTGGTTTTGATTTGCATTTCCCTGATGATTAGTGATGTTGAGCATTTTTCCATATGTTTGTTGGCCATTTATATATCTTCTTTTGAAAATTGTCTTTTTCTTTTTTTTTTAATTATACTTGAAGTTTTAGGGTACACGTGCACAATGTGCAGGTTTGTTACATATGTATACATGTGCCATGCTGGTGTGCTGCACCCATTAATTCATCATTTACACTAGGTATATCTCCTAACACTATCCCTCCCACTCCCCCCACCCCACAACAGGCCCGGGTGTGTGATGTTCCCCTTCCTGTGTCCAAGTGTTCTCATTGTTCAATTCCCACCTATGAGTGAGAACATGCGGTGTTTGGTTTTTTGTCCTTGCGATAGTTTGCTGAGAATGGTGGTTTCCAGCTTCATCCATGTCCCTACAAAGGACATGAACTCATCATTTTTTATGGCTGCATAGTATTCCATGGTGTATATGTGCCACATTTTCTTAATCCAGTCTATCATTGATAGACATCTGGGTTGGTTCCAAGTCTTTGCTATTGTGAATAGTGCCACAATAAACATACATGTGCATGTGTCTTTATAGCAGCATGATTTATAATCCTTTGGGTATATACCCAGTAATGGGATGGCTGGGTCAATGTACTTGGCTCACTTTTTGATGGCATGCTTTGTTTTGTTCTTGCTGATTTGCTTGAGTTCCTTGTAGATTCTGGATATTAGTTCTTTGTTGGATGTACAGATGGTGAAGATTTTCTCCCACTCTGTGGGTTGTCTGTTTACTCTGCTGATTGTTTCTTTTGCTGTGCAGAAGCTTTTGAATTTAATTAAGTTCCACCTATTTATCTTTGTTTTTGTTTCATTTGCTTTTGGGTTCTCTAAGCCCGTGTCTAGAAGGGTTTTTCCAATGTTATCTTCTAGAACGTATATGGTTTCAGGTCTTAGATTTAAGTCTTCAATCCATCTTGAGTTGATTTTGGTATAGGATGAGAGATGAGGACCCAGTTTCATTCTTTTACCTGTGGCTTGCCAATTATCCCAGCACCATGTGTCGACTACGGTGTCCTTTCCCCCATGTTTTTCTTTGCTTTGTCAAAGATCAGTTGACTGTAAGTATTTGGCTTTTTTCTTTTCTGGGTTCTCTATTCTGTTCCATTGGTCTGTATGCCATTTTTATACCACTACCAAGCTGTTTTGGTGGCTATGGCCTTGTAGTATAGTTTGAAGTCGGGTAATGTAATGCCTCTAGAGTTGTTCTTTTTGATGAGTGTTGCTTTGGCGATGTGGGCTCTTTTTTGGTTCCATATGAGTTTTAGGATTGTTTTTCTAGTTCTGTGAAGAATTATGGTGGTATTTTGGTGGGAATTGCATTGAATTTGTAGATTGCCTTTGACAGGAGGGTCATTTTCATAATATTGATTCTACCCATCCATCAGCATAAAATGTGTTTCCATTTGTTTGTGTTGTCTATGATTTCGTTCAGCAGTGTTTTGAAGTTTTCCTTGTAGAGGTCTTTCACCTCCTTGGTTAAGTATATTCCTAAGTATTTTATTATTATTTTTTGCATGTATTCTAAAAGAGATGGAGTTCTTGATTTGATTCTCAGCCTGGTTGCTGGTGGTATATAGCAAAGCTACTGATTTGTGTACATTAATTATGTATTCTGAAACTTTGCTGGATTCATTTACCAGTTCTAGTAGCTTTCTGGAGGAGTCTTCAGGGTTTTCTAAATATACAATCATGTCATCAGCAAACAGTGACAGTTTGACTTCCTCATCACCAATTTGGATGCCCCTTATTTCTTTCCCTTGTCTGAATGCTCTGGCTAGGACTTCGAGAGTACTATGTTGAATAGAGGTGGTGAAAGTGGGTATCCTTGTCTTGTTCCAGTTCTCAGGGGGAATGCTTTCAACTTTTCCCTGCTCAGTATAGTGTTGGCAGTGGGTTTGTCATAGGTGGCTTTTATTACCTTAAGGTATGTTCCTTCTATGCCAATTTTGATGAGGTTTTAATCATAAAGCAATGCTGGATTTTGTCAAATGCTGGTTCTGCAACTACTGAGATGATCATGTGATTTTTGTTTTTAATTGTTTATATGGTGTGTCATTTATTGACTTGTGGATATTAAACCATCCCTGCATCCCTGGTATGAAACCCACTTGATCATGGTGTATTATCTTTTTGATATGCTGTTGGATTCTGTTAGCTACTTGAAGATTTTGCATCTATGTGCATTAGGGATATTGGCCTGTAGCTTTCCTTTTTTGTCGTGTCCTTTCCTGGTTTTGGTATTTGGGTGATATTGGCTTCATAGAGAGATTTAGTGAGGATTTCCTCTTCCTCTATCTTTTGGAATACTGTCAGTAGGATTGGTACCAATTCTTCTTTGAATGTCTTATAGAATTCAGCTGTGAATTGACTGGTCCTGGACTTTTTTTTGTTGGTAACTTTTAAATTACCATTTCAATCTCACTGCTTGTTATTGGTCTCTTTAGAGTTTCTAATTCTTCCTGGTTTAATCTAGGAGGGTTGTGTATTTCCAGGAATTTATCCGTCTCCTCTAGGTTTTCTAATTTATGTACATAATGGTGTTCATAGTAGCCTTGAATGATCTTTTGTATTTTTGTGGTATCAATTGTAATATCTACTGTTTCACTTCTAATTGAGCTTATTTGGATCTTTTCTTGGTTAATCTCACTAATGGTCTATCAATTTTATTTATCTTTTCAAACAACCAGCTTTTTGTTTCATTTATCTTTTGTATTTTTTGTTTGTTTGTTTCAATTTCATTTAGTTCCGCTCTGATCTTGTTTTTTTTTTTTTTTTTTTTTCTGCTGCTGTATTTGGATTTGGTTTGTTCTTGTTTCTCTAGTTCCTTGAGGTGTGACCTTAGATTGTCTATTTGTACTCTTTCAGACTTCTTGATGTAGGCATCTAATGCTATGAACTTTCCTCTTAGCACTGCTTTTGCTGTATCCCAGAGGTTTTGATAGGTTTTGTCACTATTATCATTCAGTTAAAAGAATTTTTAAATTTCCATATTGATTACCAATGATCATTCAGGAGCAGATTATTTAATTTCCATGTATTTGCATGGTTTTGAGGGTTCCTTTTGGAGTTAATTTCCAATTTATTCCACTGTGGTCTAAGAGAGTAGTTGATATAATTTCAATTTTCTTAAATTTTTTGGGACTTGTTTTGTGGCCTATCATATGGTCTATCTTGGAGAATATTTTATGTGCTGATAAATAGAATGTACATTCTCCAATTGTTGGGTAGAATGTTCTGTAAATATCTGTTAAGTCCATTTGTTCTAGGGTATAGTTTTAGTCCATTGTTTCCTTGTTGACTTTCTGTCTTGACCTGTCTAGTGCTGTCAGTGGAGTATTGGGGTCCCCCACTATTATTTTGTTGCTGTCTACCTCATTTATTTGGTCTAATAATAATTGTTTTATAAATTTGGGAGCTCCACTGTTAAGTGCATATATACTTAGGATGGTGATATTTTCCTGTTGGACTAGTCCTTTTATCGTTATACAATGTCCCTCTGTCTTTTTAAAATGCTGTTGCTTTAAAGTTTGTTGTGTCTGATATAAGAATAGCTACTCCTGCTTAGTTTGGGTGTCCATTTGCATGGAGCATCTTTTTCCACCCATTTACCTTAAATTTATATGAGTCCTTATGTGTCAGGTGAGTCTCTTAAAGACAGCAGTCACTTGGTTGGTGAGTTCTTATCCATTCTATATCTTTTAAGTGGAGCATTTAGGCCATTTACATTCAACATTAGTATTGAGATGTGAGGTACTATTCTATTCATTGTGCTATCTGTTGCCTGAATACCTTTTTTTTCATTGTATTATTGTTTTATAGGGCCTGCAAAATTTATGCTCTAAGGAGATTCTATCTTGGTGTATTATGAGGATTTGTTTTAGGATTTAGAGCTCCTTTAAGCAGTTCTTGTAGTGATGGCTTGGTAGTGGCAGATTTTCTCAGCTTTTGTCTGAAAAAGACTGTATATGTTCTTCATTTCTGAAGCTTAGTTTTGCTGGATACAAAATTCTTAGCTGATAATTGTTTTGTTTAAGGAGGCTAAATATAATACCTCAATCCCTTCTATCTTGTAGGGTTTCTGCTGAGAAATCTGCTGTTAATCTGATAGGTTTTCCTTTATAGGTTACCTGATGCTTTTGCCTCATAGCTCTTAAGATTCTTTCCTTCATCTTGATTTTAGATAACCTGATGACTATGTACATAAGTGATGATCTTTTTGTGACGAATTTCCTAGTTGTTCTTTGAACTTCTTGTATTTGAATGTCTAGATCTCTAGCAAGGCCAGGGAAGTTTTCCTCAATTATTCCCTCAAATATATTTTCCAAACTTTTACATTTCTATTCTTCCTCAGGAACATTAATTACTCTTAGGTTTTATCATTTTACATAATCCTAAACTTCTTGGAGGCTTTGTTCATTTAAAAACATTTTTGGGGGGTCTTTGTTGGATTGAGTTAATTCAAAAGCCTTGTCTTCAAACTCTGAAGTTCTTTCTTCTACTTGTTCAATTCTATTGCTGAGACTTTCCAGTTCATTTTGCATTTCTCTAAGTGTGTCCTTGGTTTCCAGAAGTTGTGACTGTTTTTTATTTATGCTATCTATTTCCCTAGACATTTTGCCATTCATATCCTGTATCATTTTTTTTTCTCTTTATGTTGGACTTCCCCTTTCTCTGGTGCCTCCTTGATTGGCTTAATAATCAACCTTCTGAATTTTTTTCTGGCAATTCAGAGATTTCATCTTGGTTTGGATCCATTGTTGGTGAGCTAGTGCGATCTTTTGGAGTTAAAGAACCTCATTTTGTCATATTACCAGAATTGTTTTTCTGGTTCCTTCTCATTTGGGTAGACTATGTCAGAGGAAAGACCTGGGACTCAAGGGCTGCTGTTTGGATTCTTTTGTCCCGGGGGTGCTCCCTTGATGTGGTGCTCTCTCTTTCCCCCTAGGGATGGGGCTTCCTGAGAGCAAAACTGCTGTGATTGTCATTTCTCTTCTCGGTCTAGCCACCCGGCGGAGCTACCAGGCTCTGGGCTAGTACTGGGATGTGTCTGCAAAGAGTTCTGTGCTGTGGTCTGTCTTTAGGTCTCTCAGCTGTGGATACCAGCACCCACTCTGGTGGAAGTAGCTAGGGAGTGAAGTGGACTCTGTGAGGGTCCTTTGTTGTATTTTTGTTAAGTGTGCTGGTTTTGTGTTGGTTGGCCTCCAGCCAGGAGGTGGCACTTTTAAGAGCGCTTTAGTGGTGGTCATATAGGGAGGATACAAGCTTGTCCTAGGGTCGCCTTTGGATAAGTATTCAAGTTTCTCAGGCAGTGGGCAGAGCCATAGAGCTCCCGAGAGATTATGACCTTTGTTTTGACTACCAGGGTGGGTAGGGAAAGACCACCAGGTGCAGGCAGGGATAGGCATGTCTGAGCTCAGACTTTCCTCAGGCAGGGCTTGCTGTGGCTGCTGTGGGGGATGGGGGTGGTTCCTAGGCCAATGGAGTTATGCTCCCAAGGGATTATGGCTGCCTCTACTGCTCACACAGGTCACCAGGGAAGTGGGAGAAAGCGGGCAGCCACAGGACTTACCCAGCTCCCTCAAAGCCCGCAGCCCAAAAGAGGCTGGTCTCAGTCCCCATGCCTCCCCCGCCCGCCCCCCACCCCACTCTGCCAGAGCCCGCAGCCCAAAAGGCTGGTCTCAGTCCCCCAGACCCCAAGTTTATCTCCAAGCAGCTGGTGAGCAGGGCTGAGAACTTGCCCCAGGCTACAAGCCTCCCAGCTGGCTACAAGCCTCCCAACTGAGAAAGCAAACAGACTCACAGTTCCTCAGCTGTCCCACAGAGCCTGCAGTGACAAACCACTTCCTCCAAAGGTTCTGTGGATTCTCTTGGCTTTCTTGGTATGTTCCTGTGGTAGTTCTTGGAGAAAAAGTTCCAGTTGTGGGTCTCCACACTCTGCTCTGTCCCTTCGAGTGGAAGCTGCAGGTTAGTTCTGCCTCGTATCCGCCATTTTTTTCACTTCCTTTTTTCCCCCTTTAAATTGTTCATCTTTCTTGAGGGTAATGAGTAAGGTCGTGGCAACTTAGATAAGGTTCCTAAACCCAACGACATAAATGCAAATTTCTAATTTATGACATAAATGCAAATCTAGCTTGAGCAAAAGTCTATTCCAGGCCAAATGTGAAGCAACTAAAAGCTTTTTAAGCCATTCTATAAAGGAACTTTACAATAAAAATATTTTTCCCAGGGTACCTTGAAGAACTAATACGGATACTTGAAGTAGATTTCTTATTCATTTCTCTTAAATGTATTTGAAATTTATAAGAACAACCATGTGTCCATTCCAATTAACTACAGATGTGACTAAAGTAAAGTTTATTAATGACCAAGAGACCCCTAACCATCCAACATGTGGTGATAATAATCAAAAAGGCAAGTTTTCTTAAGTCAAAACACCCAAACAAATAAAACAAACAAAAAGGAAAAAGACAAAAACTTACTTTAGAGGTTCAACTTATACAGACGATATCACAGAAAGAGTTATGAAACACTGACTCCTGCAAGAACAAAAGGGGTTCTTTATTGCTTTTTACATAATTTCCTTTTGTAGATGGCATTCTGAGTAGTAACAAGCAACCAGGCTTCAATGCCGTCTTCCTGTTGGAGCCTACATTCAGCTCTCACCCTGTAAAATAAAATGATAAAAATGAGGGGTTTAGGCATGCCATAATGTACTCACACAGACTCAGAAGTCAATACCTACTTGACATTATCCTGCTGGAAAGCACAGCATCTGCGACTTACTTGAATTTGGTTTTTAGAAGTCTGTGGAGGGGTTGCGTTTGTAGATGAAAATGCAGGGTGAAAACTGTATCACCCTTGGAAGCCTTGAAGCTCTTACAGTTCTCTGAAGTAAGTCTATCATGATTAGTAACTACTTTGGGAATACGGAATGTCAGCTGCACTGATATCAGTAACAGCAACAGCAGTAATAATAGTCACCTTGCTTAAGCATTCATTGACCAGCCTTGATGCTAAATGCAGAAGATTGGTCATATCATTTTACCTTCAGGACAATTCTTAATGTAAGTATTACCACTTTATAGGAAGTGTAAAAGTCTCCAGAAAAATGGATAACCTGCTCAGGTTCACATAGGCTTGGAGTCCCAGTACTCTATTGACTGTTCTTTGATTAATTACACCTCCTCCATGTTTTTGGACTATCTGATGCTGTAACCTGATAAAGGATTTAGTAATGCAGTTTTCAAGTCAATACTCTGCTGAATCCAAAGTTAGGACTCATTCATTTATTTATCCACTGGACCCATTCATGTTGCCTTGACACCTTGGCTCACAGTGAGCTTGAAGTCACTCACAGGTTTCCATCACAATTTGATGTCCAAATCTGTACAAGTGTTGCTGCCAATTGCTGGTTTGGGGCTTTTCAATTGCATGAGGCATAATTGAGTAACTACATCAAAGATTTCTGATTTAAATATAAAACTTCAGGATATAAATATTACTAAGCAGCCACTAGGTGCCCAATTTCTTATTGAGGAGGCCAAAGAATAAAAACTCTTCTCATTCAGAGAAGAAAAAGTGTAAATGCTCATGAAAATCAAAATAATCTTTAAGCTCTATTTCCTCAGTTATTCTTTCCTGCATTTAACCCAAGTAACTGTGACAAGTTCCAAAAGCTTTTCCCCCTCTTTACCAACCTCCTACATGGTAAAGTTATTTAACACAGTCTTATTTTAGTGGAAGTAACAGGGTTATGTCTTGCAAGAACATAGAATGCATTTCATATTTTTTGAGTGGAAAACTAACTGCTAAACCCAAACTGGTCTAGACTTTTATAACAGGGCCCCAAAATAATGTGGGAAAAGGTGCATTTGTTCCTGGTTTTCTTGCATCTCACATGCTATCAATGGGTTTTTATTTGGTTTACTATGGAGGGTCCCCATGTGCTATCAGTAGGTTTTTTTCTGGCTTACTATGGAGGGTCCCTACAACTTAGGTCCTGCCAACTCTATTGAAGAGGGAAAGAAGATGGATAACTAAAAAAGTTAGAAGAGCACAGGGAAATGATAAGAACAGTAATAATCTAACTCCAGAGACAGGCTTTCCTTCCTTTCTAGAAAATTAAAAAACTAGAATAGAGAAATAATTTGTCTTGATGGACACTAAAGCCAGAGGAAAAAGAAAAGGACGCCTTTCTTCCTTCATGGTCAATGTCTCTAGGCAAAACATAGCACAGCAACAGAAGACAGAGTAAGAGTTGGCTTTTTTTCCCCACCTAATTGGTTCATAGCAGCATCTTTGCTCTTTTTCTCCCCTACCCCCTCTCCCCAACTGCGGTGATCTCTCAGATGGCTGGTGCTGAATGTTGCCTGGGTGACACAGCTGCTCAACAGAAACAGAAGAAAGAGCCTCCTCCCCTGAAGCTTGTGGCCTCCTGGTCCCCACAGCCATGCCCCCACCTGCTGCTACCAACCCTCTTCACTCCCTCTACATCCCTAGTGAGTCACAAAGGGCTTGACTAGGGAGAATTTTTACAGATCTTGTCTTTTCAATTTGGAAAAAGCTCCCAAGGTGATTATAGTGTGCAGCTGTCCTCCCATTCCCACGCAAAAGCCATTGACTTAGTTTCTCCCTGCTGCCCCAATCCCCATCTCCAGAAAGGATACAATTTGCCCAAGATCACACAACCAAGTATGGGGTAGGAGGAACCCAGGACCCCTGAATCTCAGCTCTGTGCTTTTTCTGCCAAAGCATTTCTCCCATTGTAAGACAGGGGCTTTTAGTAATGCCAAATAGACAAATATTGCATGTTCTCACTCATACGTGAAAGCTAAAAAGTGGATCTCATGGAGGTAGAGAGCAAAAGGGTGGATACCAGAGGCTAGGAAGGGAAGGGTGGAGGAGGGATGAAGAGAAGTAAGTTAAGGGGTACAAAAATACATTTAGAGAAATGGAATGAGTTCTAGTATTTGATAGTACAGTAGGTAAATTAGAGCTAACAATAATTTATTTATATTTCAAAATAGCTAGAAGAAAAGATTTGTAATTCTCTCAAAGCAAAGATAAATGTTTGAAATGATGGGTATACCAGTTACTGATTTGGTCATTAAACCTTGTATACAGCTATCAAAATATCGCATGTATCCCACTAAATATGTACAACTATTATATTAGAGCCAGGCGCAGTGGCTCATGCCTGTAATCCCGGCACTTGGGGAGGCCAAGGTGGGCAGATCACTTGAGGTCAGAAGTTCAAGACCATCCTGGCCAACATGGAGAAACCCTGTCTCTACCAAAAACATATAAATACCAAACCCTGTCTCTACCAAAAATAAAAAATTAGCCAGGTGTGGTGGTGCGCACCTGTAATCCCAGTTACTTGGGAGGCTGAGGCAGGAAAATTGCTTGAACCCGGGAGGCGGAGGTTGCAGTGAGCCAAGATTGCACCACTGCACTCCAGCCTGGGTGACAGAGCAAGACTCTGTCTCAAAAAGGAAAAAAAAAAAGAGAATAAAGAGCTGTCTGCAGGGTTCTAAGAGAGGAAAACAAAGAAACAAAAAAGATTAAATATTGATTTAGCTTTCCCCTACCTCTGGGGCAATTGCAACTGCTTATGAAGACCTTGGACTAAAGACCATTGCAGCTGCTTATAAAAACTTGCAGAACTTGAGGACTGAAACTATGGGAAGAATGTGGTCTAAGCATCCTCCTCTGGATGAAAAAATGCACAGAACAGAGGTCTCCCCTAGGTCCAGCCTTGAAACGTCTCACCTGGGCGACCAAAAAGTAGGGCCTCAGGATCCTGAACTTCACCCAGTCCTCCAAAAGCGTTGACCCACTTCCTGCGCCCTCCCTACTGCAGTTGTGTGTGGAAGCCTTTGCAACTGGAAAGAAATGCATTAAAATATCAGAGAGTAGAGCTAGTGATAATTTTAATGTTGTAGAATACTTCTCATATTTTCCAAATTTTTTCCATAAACTTATATTGGTTTTATAATTAGAAAAATACATAAGTACTCTTCCCAAAATGAAGGCAACGGCTCTTAGCATAGTTCTTTACAAATGGAAGTGTTCTCCAGCCCTCAGCATTTCCATGAGCTCTTCCTGCATTGGGCAATGGTTGAGTGATGGAGTGATGCCTTATCAAATCTAAAGTGAAGGAGCTGAGCTGGGCTTGGTGGTTCATGCCTGTAGTCCCAGCTACTTGGGAGGCCAAGGCGGGATGATCATTTGAGCCCAGGAGTTTGAAACTGCCCTGAGCAACATGGCAGGATTCCATCTCTGAAAAACAAGGTGGGTCTAAACAGACATACAAAGTCTTCTCTGTTGGTAGCCTGGTTTCTTTCTGCAAGACATTTTTAGGATATCTATATATCTATCTATCCATCCATCCATCCATCCATCCACCCACCCATCTACTCACTTACCTATTTATCTATCTAACTACAGAATTGTCATTTTCTCTACATCTAAGTCTATTGACCCACTCTAAATTGTCAGGTTGACTTCTCAGAAAGATCAATTAATTTCTGGTGTTTCTTGAGGGGGAAGTGGGGTAGGGTGGGTGTGTACATTTATTTTAAGAAGGCAAACCTGTGAGTATTCAAATTGCTTAGAATGTGAAACAGATGCCACATCTAAGGGCCAGTACAGCTAAGTGTAGCTGACTTAACTACTGGTCCTTCCTTGCAACCTGGCCCTTGAAACAATTTTAATCCTCCCCGTCTCAAGACCAAAAGCTGAAACAAAGGACATAAACACGCAAGGCAGTGAAACCTTATCAGCTACTTTCAATCTGAGTTAATTGTTTCTTGAGGTTCTGCAAGTGATTTATGCCATCTATAAGCATGCTCAACTGCCACTGGGCCCCCCAGGGGCAGAGATGGATCTGATTTCACGGAGAGGGTGGCTTTTGTTGTAAGCCTGTTCCCTCCTGGAGCTCCACGTGATGCTCCTTTCCAGGGATTCCCGACCCAGCCTGCTGCATGATCACAGTGTGTAGCAGGGGAGGGCTGAGCAGTCCAGGCAGATGCCCATGAAAACTGTGAGGACCCCACACTCCCCATCCAGATCTGCACAAGAACCTCCTAAGGGACCAGTGTCCTTTGTGTGTGAGGAGAACTTCTGCCCCTGAAATGGGAGGAAGTAATATGGATTAAGTGTCGTGTCATTTTCACCACAGTCTCTGTGTGCATTTAAGTAAAGAGACTATATTTTTGTATACCTTCCCCAGTTCAGAAGAAGGGATAATGATTTGGTAGCTTTTAGTTCAATATTGCTTTGCAGGGGGTGTAGAAAAGGGGAGGTGGGTCTGAGATTTATGAACATAAATTAGTCATCACATGAATAAGAATAGAAAACAGTCATAAAGGCAGGAGGCTTGGGATATGAATTCTTTTGTTTTGTCCCTATGGACACAGCCTACATGTAACAGAATATGTTCCCTCTTGGAGTCTACCCTAATTTAAATATCTATATTATCTATTGATGAAGTCCCAGTTTTCCATAACTGATACACGCAGTATGCTAGGAATTATTGTGGGTGCATAGGGACATTGCTTATTCCTTAGACATAGGTATTAGTCCCACTTGATAGATGAGAAAACAGAGGCTCCCGCAAGCCAAAAAAATCCTTCACACAGCTAACTAGCTACAGAGCACCTGCTCTTTTAATTGACCCAGCTTGCCTAATTCTAACAGTCGTGCTGGAAAACTAACCGCTCTTTTCCATCAGCTCTCTTGAAGGCATCATGTCTGTGCCCTAATGATCATGAGTCCCAGTCCCCTGTGTAGGGCACCCAGCATTTACCTCCAATAAAACTGTTTTCTCACTTGACTGTGATTCCTGCTTTTTATAAGACAGGCATTTAGAGTTTCCAGAGCCCCCTACTCCAGTCATTCTCATCTGATCAAGCACATTGGAGTGGTGAGTTGGAGCCTAACAAGGAACCAACAGAGAATGTGCAGAAGTGAATTGCCTCTAATTTTAATGCATGGTTAATGCAAGTGGAGCATGTGCTCAAACAGGGCTCTATTGCTTTTCTGGAAAATACCCTTCTGCACCAATTGTTTTTAAGTGTTATTTCTGCTTAATTATGTGCTGTCGTCTCTCTCTCCCCCCGACCCCCGCTCCATGTTTTTCTCTCTCCCTTTCTCTTTTTTTTCTCCTTCTCTCACTCCGTTTCCTTCTCTCTCTTCACAGACAGCCTCGTAGATAACCATGCATCTCTTTCTCCCTGTATATTAATTTTTCAGCATGTCTACTATTGAAAAGGATTAGGAAAAAGGAATAAGTCAATAGTTAATATGATCTAAAACTCTCCCAAAGCCTGAAAGACACCTCGCCACCTGTGCTCCAGCTTTGGCACGTGCTTGGCAGCAAATTGCAAGACTGGGAGGTCATAATCAGGAAAACAGAAACACATTACATTTTAATAATCACCTACCTTTTCAATAGCTTTGAGCTTTCACATGTCACCTCCAGTTACAGGGAACTAAAATCAACCTTCAAGCCCTCTCCCGAAAGAACAGCAGACAACTGGTGACAATTGTCGAAAGGAAAGAACCAATAAATATAAGCTGCAAGCTCAAAGCAATTCAGCAAAATCAAGCTCATCAACTTCCCAGCATGGATTTTGTTTTATTCTAAATCAGATACTCATTAATGGGGACCATTCTTTGAATCATCATTTTATTTACACTAGAGAAATGCAAGACATATTGCCTGGCCACAGAATGAAGTGGCTCTCTCGCTGCTCAATTATAGGTATTTCCTTCTGTAGCCTTCTGAATTTTCATGCTAATGGAAAACACCCAGGCCAGATGCTCACTAGTAACAAGTTAAAATGACACTGGAAAGTAAACAATTTTTTTTTTTGAGACGACATCTTGCTCTTTCACCCAGGCTGGAGTACAGTGGCGTGATCTCAGCTCACTGCAACCTCCATCTCCCAGGTTCAAGCAATTCTCCTGCCTCAGCCTCCTGAGTAGCTGGGATTACAGGCACCTGCCACCATGCCCGGCTAATTTTTTCTTTTTGTATTTTTAGTAAAGACAGTGTTTCACCATGTTGGCTAGGCTGGTCTTGAACTCCTGACCTCACGTGGTCCGCCTGCCGTGGTCGGCCTCCCAAAATGCTGGGATTACAGGCGTGAGCCATCATGCCCAGCAACAATTTTTTTATTAAAAAATAATAATAAACACAAAGAACAAGTGGCATGACAGGCAAAAAATGAAAAATCTTACCTGCCTCAGATGTCAGAATCAAACCATACAGATTATGCAAATTAAAAGGAGAACCACTGACCAGCTTCCTTTAGAGTTTGTGGGAGAGTCATGCCCTGGTTTGAGACAATGCCTGCCTTCTTGTCATCCTACTAGGAAATAGGTCCACAGAGATGCTTGCCCTTCTTCACAGCTATGTCTTCCCAGCTCCCATCATAGAGATCAACACATACTAGATGCTCAATAAATGTTGGTGGAGTGAAAAAACATCTGCATTCTGGGAGGTTCCCTTTCTGTTAAAGGTTAAGAATATTTTAATTCACTAATAATTGCCATTATTTTTAGTCTGTAGGCAAAAAATTAACATTCCTCCCCAACACCCCTCTGATCTGATGTGAGAACCATTCAAGGGAAATCTTCACCACCCATTTCCTCCAACACTCAGTGCTTTTCCTCTAGATTTTTTTTAGCTGGACAGAAACCTCAACACTGTAGATACTGGCTGCCTTCCAGTCATTTGCACTTGTGAAGAATCCTTCCCATCTTCAAGGGCCCTAAGGAGATGCTCCTTAGAGGGTGGTGGAAGGTTAGGCACTGTGCAATGGGTGACAGATACATTATTTACATTATTTGCTCTTAGAAAGTTTTGTTTGTTTGGTTGTTTGTTTTTTGAGATGGAGTTTCACTCTTGTTGGCCAGGCTGAAATGCAATGGCCCGATCTCGGCTCACCACAACCTCCGCCTCCCGGGTTCAAGCAGTTCTCCTGCCTCAGCCTGCTGAATAGCTGGGATTACAAACATGGGCCACCACGCCCGGCTAATTTTGTATTTTTAGTAGAGACGGGGCTTCTCCATGTTGGTCAGGCTGGTCTCGAACTCCCAACCTCAGGTGATCTGCCCATCTTGGCCTCCCAAAGTGCTGGGATTACAGGCATGAGCCACCACACCCAGCCAGAAAGGTTTTTGTTTTTGTTTTTGTTTTAAGATAACAGAGCCAGTCAGAACTGATGCCTGCTCTTAGAGGGGGCTGTACTGGTGCTTTGTACCTTCTGTGAAGTTATAAAGAGGAAGGCAGACCAAGAAGCCTCTTGCAAATCAGTTAACAGAATACCCTACAACAGGCCATGCATCTAGTTTCCACTCTTTCAGGAGGCTGTGCAGTTTTCAGGGTTTCGAACAACCTCTCTTAATCCTATGTTGTATTTTCAAAGCGTTTTCCAGTTCATGAGCATTAAACGTAATTATCTCATGTTACCCCGAGATAATACTCTATGAGGTGGATATTATTCTCATCCTTCCAGATGAGGAAGCTTATTTTAAATCATTGCCTTTCTCAATAATAAGTGACTCTCTGTGCACAGCACCATGGTGTTCTCAGAGAGACCTTTGACCTTCTGATTAATTGCTCACTCTTCTCATGACCTCCAGGACCTCCTTCCCTCGTCTCTCCTATCTTTGGCCAAGATGCTTTCTTGATAGGTGGATTCCTTTCAGTGTTTTATTATTTTTTTTTCCTGTGATACTTTGACCTAATCAGGGAAAGCCCTCTGAATCTCTAAAAATAGACAAATGTCTGATTTAAAAAAAAAAAAAACCCAGAAAAGGAAGAGAGATGTTTCAGAACTCAAGGATTTTGGAGAGCAACCCACATACAGATGGTGTGTAATATTCACTAAACACCAAATGCTGGTTTCCATGCCTGGCTCCTTGTTGCTATTTCCTGGTCACTTTGAACTGACTTATCAAATAGAATAGATTCCTTGATACATATGTTGGTATTTGAAGTCCTGGTGGGAATGAGGCCTTCCATTTGTTTCAAGTTTTATTCTTTAAAAATGTTTATAAAGACCCATCTTAGAAAAGGAATCTCAGTCAAAACCCACTATGACTTTGGCGTTCACCCATTTCAAGGAATGATGCCGACCACTAGGATTCTTATTAAGAACAACTCCAACAGGCTCCATTCTCTGCGGGGAAATGGACTAAGATTCCTGGAGATTCCAGCAGGCAGCTGCTGTTAATATAAGTTCCAGAAAGTAGAATGTTGAGACTTGAATATGAGGGCACCCAATAAATAATATTTTTCTTCCTCCCCCAAGTGCTGAATCAAATGAAATAAGAAAAACCAGTTAATATTTGGAGGCTCAACGACCATCCTCATTGATGAAAAGACCCAGGAGAAGGACATACTTTAGGGTGAGAACCGAGCACCTTTGATAACTTCCTCAATGTCCCTTTCTCTCTCCTATTTAGACCCAGGAACAGTTGACTCAAGGAAATTTTAGTCTGCAGAGCAGACACCTTTATCCACAACCCTGTCTTAAACTGGACCGGGTGGAAAGGGCAATAGGAGAGTAGACTAATTAGGCTCCATCCAGCCAAGAAACAAGAACCAATGCCTGCTGCCCACTAGTTCTGAATTCCCTCCTCCTCTGTGTGGGAAAATCACTTGACCTTTGTGGGCCTTGATGTCTTCAGCTTTTTAAAAAAAAGGGAGTTAGGCTGGGAGACAGCTATGACCCAATCTAGGTCTGAAATTCTATGGTTAGCCCCCACAGTGACCCCAATGAGATCCAGGCCACATTGCACTTTCTCCCTTAAGGTGTCAGTTCCCTTTGCTGAGGTTCATGGTCAAATATCACACCCCTGAGACTCACCAATTACCTCCTAAAGGATGGCGATCGTGACGGTGACTCAGTGCCCATCTGTCTCCACCACCAGAAAAATCACTCCAAGTGCACAGGTCAGCAGGAGCATCTCAGACCACAAAGAGCACTTTATCATCAACGCTAGTCCCTGGGAATATATAGGCCTGTCTGTTTCCTAATGATTCCAAGGCAATACTCAAGAACATTATTATGAAGATTATGTTGCAGCTGGTCGGTGAAGAACAATGAAAAACCAAGGTACTGGAGATTGTGGATTCTAAATTTGGCTTGGCACTAGCAAGCCATGTGTCCTTCCTATCTCTGGGCCTCTTTCCTCAGGTACAAGGTGATAGCATTAGTAGTTTTCAAGCTTGTTTTCCCCTTTTAAAAAATATAAAATCTTAGATGGAATCTTAATATATAATATGAGTAAAAATAAAACTGCTCTTCTCCTTGTGGAGGGAGAATCTCCAACCCATGCCACTTTTCTCCCTCCCTCTGGGTATCATCTCCAACCCCAACCATGCTGGACCCTGAGGTCTAATGGATCACTTGCCTGAGAAGAATTTCTCTGTGCCAGGCTAACTTTGGGGGCAACATTGCATTCTGATGTCATATCCATTTGACAGCCCACCCAGTTTTCCTGAAGCTATATACCTGTTAGTTCTGAGAAACTACTAAAGAAAAACTGAATCGTGGGCCGGGCATGGTGGCTCACATCTGTAATCCCAGTACTTTGGGAGGCCAAGGCAGGTGGATCATTCAAGGTCAGGAGTTCAAGACCAGCCTGGCCAACATGGTGAAACCCTGTCGCTACTAAAAATACAAAAATTAGCCAGACGGTAGTGGCACATGCCTGTAATCCCAGCTTCTTGGGAGGTTGAGGCAGGAGAATCGCTTAAGCCTGGGAGGCAGAGGTTGCAGTGAGCCGAGATCGCACCACTGCGCTACAGCCTGGGTGACAGAGTGAGATCCTGTCAGAAAGAAAGAGAAAGAAAGAAAGAAAGAAAGAAAGAAAGAAAGAAAGAAAGAAAGGAAGGAAGGAAGGAAGGAAGGAAGGAAGGAAGGAAGGAAGGAAGGAAGGAAGGAAGGAAGGAAGGAAGGAAGGAAGGAAGAAAGAAAGAAAGAGGGAGGGAAGGAAGGAAAGAAAGAAGGAAAGAAAGAAAGGAAGGAAGGAAGGAAGAAAGACTGAATCGTGTTTACAAGTGATGTGAGCCAATTATTATCAGAGTTAGAAAATAAAGACAGCAAACAAAATATACTTGAGCTCTCAGTGCAAGACTAAAGTTTGTCTCAATAGGGAGACCGAGAGAATAGGGTGGAGCATAAAGGGACAGCACTATTATTCAATAATTTAGCTAAAAAGATATTCTTCTCACTACTCCATGATGCACAGTCCAGACACACAGTGTGAGGCTTTTACCATGAAGAAGTGTGAGGAGGGCGAGGTTCCTCTCCTGAGAGAATGCCTCTCTCTCAACATGAAACACGAAGAGTTTTGGCCTTCAGAAGAGCTGGCCCCATCCTCCGGTCAGCCAGCCCCTCGTATATCTCCTCTGTATGTGTTAATTCTTTTGAAGGTGATGGGGGTTCTTTGCATGGAAGATATATGCAGCTCGATGGCGGCAAGTGAGATCCTAATTATCTGCAGCTGACAACCTTTCAGGGCCCATTATAAAAGAAACGTCTGCACCAGGCCCTCAGAGCCCTATATCCCAGCTCTAGGGAGTTTGAGGGAGCAACAAGGAGTGATTCTGAGAGCCTGATTTATCAGGGAAGATTAGAAGAGTTACATCTATAGTCTGGTGAAACAATGACAGAGGGGGAGCAGGCTAATGGTTGACAAAAGGGCAGAAGAAAGAGAAGAGATTTATGTAGCCTGGTCTGAGGATGAGCAATCAGAGGCATGGAATGAAATGAAGACGGGAAAGAAAGTCCTGAGTAAATATCAGGGAAACTTTCTGCACTGATTTATTAGACAGATGAGCAAATCTTCCAAATGAGGCTTCATCCTCACCCAGAGAAAAAGGCGAGCCTACATAAATGTGTCACGGCTATTCATCTCTGTCACTGTGGGACCAGTCATGATACCTAGCTTGGCTTTCTATCTTTCTCTTGACGAGTGTCCTTAAAAGTCAGAGTCAACCCTTTTCTGAGATCTCTGTGGGGGCTCTGAGAGGCTCTTAAAGGGAGCGTAGCACATGTCTGCAATTCTAGGCTCACCCACTTGCTAAACATCGCCAAAACTTATCATCTACTTTACAGTTTTTAGAGGAGACAATGCACTTGTCCATGGTACCCAGTCCAAAATCTCGCTGGGGATGGAGAGTGGCTTATGCTTCGGAGAAAAGCCAGGATACATCAAGATTCCATTGATGTTCTGTCAGCAGGGGCATATGGAAATGTTCTGGTGAACTATACTACCTACTGAGTGCCTCCATCTGATTCTGACCCGGATAGAGAAGTTCTTAATGTGCTCCTTCAGTTCCTCCCAGACTCTTCTTGTACCAGGCACTCCCATAGCAACCTGTTCTGCCTGGGCTCCACCTAACACTCTGCAGACTCCACCTGACCCACCTGGCCTCCTGTCTCAGGGCTTCCCTGTTGCTACAGAGAAGCAGGATGCCCAAGAGCCCACCAAACACCCACCTTATGCAATCTGAAAGTGATATGGAGTTATGTACAGTGGGGAAGAATTTGGTCCATGAGAGATGGGAGCTGGTAGATAAATTCCTTCCTTCTCCTCCCAGACAGACTGTCTGGCTACACAGTTTGTGTGGCTTCCTTGGGGCACAGTCCTGCAAGAACAAGCAATTAGTCAGACTTCAGTGGCAGCCAGAGGGGTAAGACATCCTAATACTGGCTCTCCTTCCTTCCCTGTCCCCTCACCCCTGCTCCCTGAGACTGTACCTTCTAACAGAATAATAGCACAACAACTTTGACTAAAGTTATGCTTTCTGGGGGATCCCAGGCTAAAATGTGACCAAATGATTGTTGGAGAAGAGTTAGTACACTGTCTGAATAGTGGCATGAATGTCTTTGGTTATTTGGCCTGGGCACCTGATCCAGACATTTCTCCTCGGAATTCCATAGAATTGTCTCCTTCTAACCTCAGCTCCCTAATGGGGACCCCATGACTGACTCCCATTATAGTCCTGACATTGCGAAGTATTTTGGTGTCTCCACTGGCTTACTCTACTGGAGACCGAGCTGGAGGACCAAGCCAGGTTGGTGTTTCCTATGCTGTCCCTGATGGGAACTGAGTTGCAATACACAGGTAAGTCAGGAATCTGGGGTGCTGATGGTCAGCCCCTTGGAGGTCACCCGGGAGGTCACTGACTAGTCTGTGGCCTTTCCATTCAGCTGTGAGGTCCCCCTACCACAACTATCTTTGATTCTATTCTCTGTGTCACAGGCATTACAAGTCTGGTCAAGCACTGGCAAATTCAGAATCTTCAAATGATCTTAATCTCCATATTACCAAAAACCCAGTCTTTGGCCCTCCAAAGAGAGGCTCTGCAACTCTATATTCTCTGTAAATGCTGAGGACTTTTTCCCTTTGTTTTGTTTTTAGTGTGTGTTTTCAGTTCAACTGTTTTTATGTCCCCCACCAAAAGAAAAAAAAATTCCTTCGTAACCCATTATGGGTTAGTGAATTCCCAAACCGTTCAAAAATACTTTAAAGTTCTTTTGGGACATAGCCAGATACTTAATATTGTATTACATTTTATAGTTGTCACTTAATCAAGCTATTTAATATTATAGTACATTTTAAAACTGTCACTTAATCACATTTTCTTGACCCTTTTATGGGAATTAAAGATCACTGTAGATAAAAAATGGCATGCTTTAGTTTAAATAGATTCAGTATGTCCAGTTTGACAGTTACTTCTGAGACATTAAAAGAATTTTCTGTGATTAATGTGACCCACACACGTTAAATGGTGTAATGTTCCATTTCTTCAGCCATTAGCGGAAACAGCATCAGACAGAAGGAGCCAAAATGTAGCCAACTGTATGTAAAGCCGGGTGGTGGCGTGGGGAAGGGGGAGTCTAAAGATAATATAGAGCCAGGCAGCCTGAGATAAGAGGGAGATTTCTACTGATTTAATATTTGCTTTCTCTGGGCATCTCGAGAGTGAAGTCGGAGGAACACAAAGGTCAGACGCTGGTAATGGAGTGGGTGCCGGTCCGGCAACACAGCCCTGGTCGGGGACCGCTCTTCACCAGGGGGCTGCGTCTCAGGCAGGCGAGCGCAGTTCTTCGGTGCTTATTATAAATGATTGATGAACGTTGCTTCTAAATTTAGAAAAGCTCTCTAAATGGACATTTACTCACAAGAAAAAAAAAAAAAAAAACTCTTCCTAAAGGTCTGTCCCTGGAACGGTTTTGTTTATGGCACCGCGATAGTTCTGGGCAATTAATCCAGAATTGCGTCATTGAAAGATTTTATATTCTTAAGTGTTCACTCATGTAGTTAAAGTAAATTATGTCCTTTTTCAAACATGTTTCAAAGAATTGTACTGGGTTTTAAAAATCCTGGTCCCTAAATCCTACTCGTTTGTTTAATTAATCTGAAAATAACTACTCCTGCTTTGTTTCTTAATCACAGATCAGATACACTGTATTTGTTAGCAGCTGAGAATGAAAGCATGTCCCAGTGTGTTTTTCTTGATTGTTTAATAAGAGTTGAATAATACCCTATTTAATCCATCAAGTAGGACATTACAATAACATTGATCTTTTATTTGACAGCAAATTTGTTTGATAACAGAATAGAATAGAATATAACCAAATCAGTGTCAGAAATGCATTTCAGAGGATCCAATTAAAAACACCCATACACATGCCAGATACTGAGCGATAGGGCAAAGAAACCAGACACAGCAAGACACAGAGGGGAGAAGGGTCCAGAGGGAAAATCTAGCTTTGCAAAATGCCCAGACCTTACTCAGATGACACAAGACAAACACTTCACTGCAAGGACTCCACATCCTAGGCCTGTGGCATTTTGGCTGATCAGGGTCAACCTACTCTAAGGCCAGAATGGGCACACCAGACCCTCAGGTAGAGGCCTATTGTGCTCCTCCTTTGTTGGTTCAAATGCTGTAATTCCTGGGGTCAAAGATGGCCAGATCCTGCATCACTTAGCACCCCTCCTTTGCCCTCCAGCTACCACATTGCAAGGGCTCCTTGGGGATGCTATTGTTCACAGCCCAGCATCCTTCCCCTGTCTCCAAACCTGTATGTAAGACATACTTTCTTTTCAGCACCCTTTATCTCCAGGAAGGAACTGGTTCAGAGGATCACGCAAGAGCTCATCTTTGTGGACTTCATTTAGGAGGACAAGTGTCAGCCCTAGTGTTTATTTGCACACATGTTTATTCGATGTTTTACAATTGTACCCTTCCCTTCAGAACCCAGCATGGAGGTGTAACAAAGCCTCTCTAGATGCCAAAAACAGATAATGCTGCAAAGAAGAGAAAAGGAGGTATAGCAACAAACAAATTCTCAAAGCGCTCAGTTTTGAGGGTCATTATCTTGTCCCAAAAGTTTAGTCAGCTGTGTTTCACACAAAGCTGTTCATTACACACACACACACACACACACACACCCCACATACATCTTGGAAAAATAATTGTTGAGATCAACTAGTTGTGTACAAAATACCCAATTGTTTAAGTAAATTAAAACTTTTTTTCTTCAGAATGATTTATGTGCAGACACCAACTGGATTCAATGTGCTGTCCTTCTCCTAGACAAGGTGCTAGTACAGACAGCAGTGGAGGGGATGCAGAGAATTCTCTTTATGTCACGTCGGGGGAAGGACAGTTGTATTTGAATATACTCCTAGAGAAATAAATAGCCATTGGAAACACCTGCACTCTCTTTAGGAGATTTTTATTAATTTTCATAAAAGCATAAACCTCACCTTTTGAAGAAGACAGAACGAAAGATCATAAAAGTAGGGTCTGTCATTTACCGGTGAATATAAGGTGAGAAGGCAAAAAAATACGTATTATCAAATTTCCTAAATCAACCTGAAGCTGTGCTGATGGCTTTCTGCTAACCCAGAGTGCAAGATAAATTACCACATTTTAAAACATTTACACCTCACACCCGAATTTCTCTGTCACTCACACTTCGTCTTCATCTCCTCAAAGGGGAAATATCCAGGATGATCTCGTGGATCTAGAAAGTTGAGGAGTCTTTGTTTTAATTCCTCCTTAGTTTTTCCTCACCAGCCTCCCTTGTCTGACACTATTATAATTCCTTCCCTGCCTTTCCATTCGTTTCCTCCTTCCTTATTCTTTTGTTCTCTGACTATTCTTCCCTTTTGTATTAATGAAGTCCTTTGTAGTTTCTTTTCAAATCTTCAAGTGGATTCCTTTGTGACTTATTTTTTTCTTTTTTTTTTTTTTACCTGATAGGGCCTTTTTAAAAAAACCATGAAAATTATTAATACTTCCATCCTCTTTGGCACTGTACCACAGGCCTTAAAACTTTCTATTACATTTCTGATCTGAAATGGCTTTCTCTTGACCCAGAAGTATTGGCAAATTACAGACCCCAAGACAATCTTTTATGGAGAAGGTCTGAGAGCAAGTGGTAGCCTTTCAAGTACTTATCCATGGAGTCATAATCTCTATGACAAATAGCCTCTTGCTTTGCAGTTAGTTACAGCTAGTTTACTATGCATATGGCTAAGAGAGCACCCCTTAAAGTGGTCAGGGGCTTTTTCCTAAACCCCCCTCCCAGGTGTCACATCACTCCTTTTTACTGTTCTTGTTAGAGGGACAGCATTAGCCCCACAGATCACCAGAGCTTCCTGACCAGCTGCCAGGCTGTAAAGCACGTGGAATTGGGGTGGTCGATCCAAAGACATCAACATGTCACTCTTGATGATCATTCATCTGCAACAGAAATAGCCCATGGTGCCTCAGAAATCGATGTGGAGACCACCACTCTTCAACATTATTGCCACTAATTATTAAGATGAATGCAGTGATTAATGGGAGTGATGCTTTTGCGCTTTATGCAAATGGAGAACTCATGCATATACATGGCGGAGGGGGCTCACCAACCTGGTGCCCAGAACAACGTTGCCGCTCAGCCCCCTTATTCAGCTGTCACTGTGACCCAGGTGCAACAACTTAGAGTGATTTAAAAAGAAACGCTAAAAATGAATTGTTGATCAGCAGCCTCAGGCAGCCTTTTGGAAATTCCCTTCTATGAGGGCCGTGCCTTGATTAGGGAGAGCTCAATCAAGGAAATAACCAGGGTTGTTAAGGATGCTGTTAGCCTATGGTCCTGCATTGGCGATGTCTGGAGGAAAGAATGGGTGAGGAAGGAGAAAGTGCAACTTACGCTGTGATGAGACGGTAAACTGAGGCAAGCCAACCTCTCTGGGTTTTAGTTTTCTCCTTGGTAAAAATGAGAGCATTCAATTAAATACTATAATGCTCCTTCAGGCTGGGAGTGGTGGCTCATGCCTGTAATCCCAGCACTTTGGGAGGCCGAGGCGGGCAGATCACTTGAGGTCAGGAGTTCAAGACCAGTCTGGCCACCATGACAAAACCCCATCTCTACTAAAGATACAAAAATTAGCCCAGCATGGTGGTGCACGCCTGTAGTCCCAGCTATTTAAGGGGCTGAGGCAGGAGAATCACTTGAAGCCAGGAGGCGAAAGTTGCAGTGAGGTGAGATCACACCACTTCACTCCATCCTGGGTGACAGAGGGAGACCCTGTCTCAAAAAAAAAAAAAAAAAAAAAAAAGCTCCTTCAAATCTTAGAATTATAGAATCCTACAAGACACAGGATAAGTGGGATACACGCATGCAGGCTTTTGTCTTCTACTAATATGAACACTTTCTGACACAATAACCTCTAATATAACAGATCTTTCATTGCTTGTTATATTCTACAAGCATATACTTCAGTAATTCAGCCAACGTCCTCTCATCCACCATCTTTTAACTCTGAAGGATTTCCAGGATTCAAGATTGGGGTAATAGTATACAAAGGATGGAGCAAGAGTTCTGTAGTCAGGCCTGAATATGAGTCCTGCATCTTCCCCTACCAGCTAAGTGACAAACCTTCAGTACTGTCACTTGCCAGATGGAGAGAATAACTGCATATGCCTGATAGAGTTATATTAAGGAATGAAGGGGATAAAGTGGGTGAAGTGCCTGGTACATAGAAAGCCCTAGATAAGTGAAACAGAAATACAATTTTTCCTCTGTCTACACTGGCTGGCCTAAGGAGTAGAGGTCAAGGCTTAAATCGTCATTCTTAAAGGACTATACATATCTTCAGGTTCAGCTCTTGCTTTCCAAACAAGCAGGGTATCATCCTTATTGTGATTATAATGACACAATGATGACAACAGTCATTCATGCTCAGGTGCTAATTTTTTTTTTTTATTTTATCAACATTTTGTTCTGAATTTCAGATTTCTGGATGGACTAAATTGCTCAACTTAATTTAGTAAAATATCAGTATAAATGCTACTAGAGTATGCTGCACAAGGGTTTGCATTTCAGATGATACCACCCCATCTACTGCTATATCCCTTCGCTGAAACCTGTTTGCCTCCCACAGCCTGGATCCCAGGGCATGCTGGTTGACTCACATGGAGCACTTATTAGAATGCTGAAACCCACTACTGGTTGAAAGTATAAAGAGTGTAGAATTGGCAAGCTCTGAAAGGGGAAAGGGAAATTATTTACTATCAGAGTTGCTGTGATGGACAAAGTGAGAAGCAGGCCCGGATTTCACAGTCAGCTTCAGCCTGTGAAGACATCTGGCCTCTCAACAGACACTGAGGCTCACTCACTACTCTACATACGCTAGGCCTATCCCGGGCTCCCACTGTCTCCATACATTGAAATGCATTTTCCATTATTTAAAGGTAGCTTTTAAGGAAGTATTTGTGGGTATGATGGATGCATCCCCAAGGACCTGCTTCTGTATTCTTCCTGTAGGCACAACCCCTTGCTGGTCACATCTACATTTGTCATGAGAAATCCTGCTTTCACCAGCCTCTTCAGCTAATTTCCATTCCTGATACAGTCACTGCTTCTCTAAAGACTGAGTCTCCCAGGCCTCTGCTGGAGAATTTAGTTAAGTCCTCAATCCCTTGCTTGGCTTCACTCCTGGTAGCCTGACTTAGCTATATTGCTAAACCTGGCTGCTCTAAGTGATGTTTGACAAGTGCTTTCTCTCTAAGGGTCTCCAGGGCAAGTCAGGGAAAAGTAATCAGGTTCAGGTTCTTTTTTTACCCCTTCTTCATAAAAAATCTAGAGTGTAAAGCCCTAACTTTAAACATGTTGCATATTTAAAGGGTCCATCAGAATTGTGGAAAATTGCTGCCTCTGGAGAAGACCATGAAGACCTCCAGTCTGTCACTTCAGACAGAACTGAGCACGGCAACGCTCACAGGGTAGTATCTACACGGTCCCAGGCTGGTCAGTGGTGGAGCCAGGAGGACCATGAGTCAGCCAACCCTTTCCTCTTTCTTTTGTTCCATAGCTAGAGCCTCTCAGAATGAGAGAGAGCCAGTCTATGGCTACTTCTTCCCTTCTCTCTTTATTTCTTTTATTCTTTCCTTCTTTTCTTCCTTCCTTCTCCATTTCTTTCTTCCTTTATTTTCTTCTTTTTTTGGTGGCAGGGTTGTAGGGAGCTTGGAATATATTATATAAAGGAAGAAATGCTGAAATAAGTTTAAATAAAATTTTATATATTTTATACATTTGTATTTAAATTGTGCTTTTTATAAGATACGTAGAAATTTTTTTAAAAATAAGGCATAGTGCACTCTGAACAGGACCATATGTAGTCACGCCTTCTGCTATAGTTTGAACATTTACCGTCTCCAAAACTCATGTTGAAATTTAACCCCCCATGTGGCAGTATTGAGAGATGGGACCTTTAAGAGGTGATTGGGTCAGTTGCAAGGGCTCTACCATCATGAGTGAATTCATCCATTCATGGATTAATGGGTTATCATGGAGTGGGACTGGTAGCTTTATAAGAAATGGGAGTGAGACCTGAGCTAGCATGCTCAACCCTCTTGCTCTGTGATACCATGTGCCACCTGGGACCCTGCAGAGAGTCCCCACCAGCATGAAGGCCTTCATCAGATGTGACCCCTTGACCTTAGATTTCTCAACCTCCATGACTGTAAGAAATAAGTTCTTTTTATTTATAAATTACCCAGTTTCAGGGATTCCCTTATAAGCAACTAAGACACCTTCTTTCAGTCCTTCGGTGTAGCTCTGTGACATGTATATGACCTCATCTGGGGATAATCTCTGAACTTGAGCCCTATGGGGATGCAAGGCCAGTGACATGACCCTCTCAACTCAGCTTGTTGCTTCCCTCCCAGACCTCCTGGAATGGGCTTTATCTACACCACAGCATTTTCCATTCTGAACAGAGGAAGAATTAAGATGTCAGAGAAGGTGATCACAAAGGGAGTGGAAAACAAGATAAGAGAATGAAGAGGAGGAAAGAAAAGGAAAAAGATAGCCAGGCGTGGTGGTGGGCACCTGTAATCCCAGCTACTAGGGAGGGTGAGGCAGGAGAATTGCTTGAATCTGGGAGGCGGAGGTTGCACTGAGTCAAGATCACACCACTGCACTCCAGCCTGGGCCGAGACTCTGTCTCAAAAAAAAAAAAAAAAAAAAGAAAAGAAAAAAGAAAAAGAAACACCTGCTTGCCTTGCTTCTATTCTTATTCATTTAAAAAATTATTCACAGATAAAGCACCAACAGGGGATTACAGGGAAAAGGGAATCTGGATTGAAGAGGAGCTCTGTGGAAATGTGCAACCTTCAAAAATGTGTGAAATAGAATTCAAGCCATGCAGATGAGGCAGAGTGTGTTTCCGGCCCCACATGGTCCCCCAGCCTCAAATGCAGCCTGGAGCAGATGAGTGCTGCTCAGATCCTCAGCTCTTTCCACCCAGAGACAACGTTTCACTGTACACACACACATCTTTATAAATAGATAATATGGGCTTGTTATATTATTGCAGATAATTGTTGAATCAAAATTAAAATGAACTGATAAATGCATTAAGCAGTTCAGCATATTTTCCTTTTTAACAAAAGTTAATTTTAAATGAAGTGGAAGCTCTAGCTACACCATAAGAAATCACAGGAAAACACAAAAAGGGAGTAAAGTCGTCATTTTGAATAGAGTGGCTGCATTGCCCATGCAGCATTCCATATTTAGAGAGGTGTACAGTTGGTTGGATGGTAGAATGGTCAAGGAGATAGGGAGACAGGAGGGACCACGGAAGGGTCTTCATTCCCAAGGAGGGTCCTGGATGCACAGGAGCAGTGGACAAGTGATCCAGCTTTGCTGTCACAGAAACTCCAGGTCAAGAGAAAGGATTTTTTATGATCAGCAAGAAAGATGTGTAACAATGAACCCTCCAATGAGCAGAAGGTAATAACAGATGAATGTGTACAAGTAATTGAACATGACTCTCCAGTCAAGACATCCAGAAGGGAGGGGAGAAACACAATAAGAATTTGAAAAGTCTGCAATATTTGGAAACTTTGAAAAGGCCAACAATAGCAAAAACAAGTTGGGAAAAATCTAAGAGGTACATTCCATCTGGGAGGAGATATTTTCTCACATGGAACATACTTACAATAACCTGGCAATATATTTCAATCTGAATATCTAAGCCCAGAGTTCAACACAGAATTTTGTAGTTTCAAATAGAGAATTTCCCTTCAATATGGCTTGTGACCCTATTCCTGACTGACATCTCTTAGAAAATAAGAAACATTTTACACTGCAGTTAGAAAAAAAAATACATACATTTTTTAGCCCAAAGAATAGGAGTTGATATTTAATGTCCCTTCTGACTCTAAACTCAACATCTTTGAAATTCTAGTGCTTGTCTCCATCCACCATCATAAGCAAAGGCTGAGACTGGAGGAATTTGTTAACAGCATACATATTAAAACAGCATTGGTCTTCTGCATACCAACAGCATAAACAATATAACCTAAGAATTAAGCAAAGCACATCTTGCAAGTCTATACAAATGTGCAGGAGTATATAAACTACTTTCTCTATTTCTGGAAGCTAAGAAATCTCACTTGTAAAACAGTTTTTCTTTCCTGCCCTTTTGTTGGTACACCCCCTCCCAATAATTCCCAAACTTCAACTGTTGTTCCTCTTACTGCAAATGCAGTATTTTTGTTCATTGTTTTTTTTTTCCCTATTGCAAAATGCCAAATCTATCTCCATCTCTTTTTCTCATTACAGTTTGCACTTGATGAAGTGAAAAGGTTATTTTTTAAAAAACTGAATGTCTAGTTGAATTATTAAAAAGATATTTATATTTCCCCTTGATGTGGTTGCTAAACAATTCCCATGTTGGCCAAAATTTTGGAAAAGCTGTAATTGAAATGTTAAAAATATTTTGGAGAAGATCTCCAGAAGGTCCCTAAGAAGGGTGTCTTAATTTTATATTCAGATAAGGTATGATAAGGTATGATAGTAAGCCTACTATGTGCCTGCATTCCATGGAAAGACTGAATGAATTTGTGGACGTTAAGTATTGTGTCTGATTATCCAGATTGTGAATTAGCAGGCTCTCCTGCCTTCTTTAATTTCCTCTTGGCTGACCATTCCCTGCCCACTAAAAACCTCAGGTTCAGTAGACATTTTTGAGCAGCTACTGTATATTGTAGGTACTTGCTAGGAATTGCCTAATTTGTCTTCTCCAAAAGTCTCCAGATTCTAAAAGTCAGCCTTTTCCCATTATATCACAGCAACCCCTGTCCCAGGTGGTCAAGAGGAAGGAAGAAAGAAGGTGACCCTCACATGAATTTATGTGCAGTTCTGGTAAAAGACTTGAAGAAGCCTAGGGCCAAACAGAAACTTATGGCCAAAATGAGGCTTCTGAATTAACTGTGCATCCACAAGGACCTGCTTCTGTATTCTTCTTCTGTATTCTGTGTTCTTCTTCTTTCCTTCTTTTCTTCCTTCCTTCTCCCTTTCTTTCTTCCTTTATTTTATGTATTTTTTTTTTTTTTTTTGGTGGCAGGTGTGTAGGGAGCTTGGAATATATTACATAAAGGAAGAAATGCTGAAATAAGTTTAAAGAAAATTTTATATATTTTATACATTTGTGTTTAAATTGTGCTTTTTATAAGATACGTAGAAATTTTTTAAAAAATAAGGCATAGCGCACTCTGAACAGGACCATGTATAGTCATGCCTTCTGCTATAGTTTGAACATTTATCCTCTCCAAAACGCATTTTTTAACCCCCCCATAGGCCGGGCGCAGTGGCTCACGCCTGTAATCCCAGCACTTTGGGAGGCCGAGGCAGGCAGATCACGAGGTCAGGAGATCAAGACCATCCTGGCTAACACGGTGAAAGCCCATCTCTACTAAAAATACAAAAAATTAGCTGGGCGTGGTGGCGGGCGCCTGTAGTCCCAGCTACTCGGGAGGCTGAGGCAGGAGAATGGCGTGAACCTGGGAGGCGGAGCTTGCAGTGAGCCGAGATCGTGCTTCTGCACTCCAGCCTGGGCAACAGAGTGAGACTCTGTCTCAAAAAAAAAAAAAAAAAAGAAAAGAAAAAAAAGAAAGAAATTTAACCCCCCATGTGGCAGTATTGAGAGATGGAACCTTAAGAGGTGTTCCCCGATAATGGGGAAAGAGAAAGGTTGTATTTCTTCACTTGATAGATGAGACATTCTCTGCAGAGATAGTTCTCCATGAGAAGTCATTTTTCAAAGATTTCTGAAAGCAAACAGGCTTCTAAGAAAGCTGTTTATAACAGCTACACTTGCTGAAATTCATGATTACATATGGATGAAATCAATCCTAATATACGGGAAAGGGACCAAGAGGCATTGTTCAAAAAGTTTAAGACTAGTTTACAAACAAGCTATAGCTTATTAGATTCTGTAGGTTAAGAATAAACATGGAAACTTCAGGACTAGATGCTTTCTAAGGTCTCTGGAAGCTCAGACCAGCCACAGTCCCATAAGATCAAGGCTGATACATAGCCAATACATATTGGTTGTTAAAATATTGAAGTCCTCCCATATCAGTTTTGAACAGCTGCTGCTTTGAGTCCACTGATGCCACCCCACCAACCTGACCTGGCACGACAGGAGGCTCCGTGTCCTGTGCTGTGGCTGGCATCTATGCCATGATGGTTGTTTAATATTTTTAATATCGCCCCTGTTTAAGACATGAATCACACATCTATCCTGACTCGAAAGTCTTGGATGCTTAAATGGCCTTTGATCATCAACATCATTGCTGTCATATTACAAACCTGCAAAAATATTTAGCACTTTCAGTAAAAGGGTAATCATTTTTTCATTCATAGTAAAAAACCAAACATGTAAGTTTCAAAGACACTTCCATCAGTGAATTAATTGCTTCCCTGCAGCCAGAAAGACCCTTGTGAGCATTGAGAGGGAAACAGTTGGTTTCCCCTTCTTTTTTAAATATGTCCAGTTCTTACCCAGTTAACATGAAGAAACCACTGTCTCTAGAAGAAAGCTTTTTTTTGCGGTATTAGTGAATCACTGAATAGCTTAAGTATGACTATCTAAGTTATAAGTTAGTCTTTAGTGGGTTTTAAAGTTTTTCTGACCCCTTTGAAAAATAACTACATAAGTACTTCTTGTTGCTGGGTGAGAAATACTACTTTATAGACAGTTTTGGTTTTCTATTTGCAGATACGATTGATGTATTACACCAAAATAAAGTATTTTTATGTTTATAAAGTATATTTAGGTTCACTTAGAATATATTTATTTAATAAGTTAAAATTCTTTTGGCACATTGTTAAATGCAAAAACTCCTTTCAAAACAAAAAAAGAACTACCTTATATTCAACATTTAATGTTCTTGGTCTCTGCTTTTATGTCTATACAATATACTGAGTTCAGTATGGTCTCCAAGAGTGCCCTGTATGGATAGATATGTGCACTCCTTCCAGGAGTGGGTACTGATTCCAGACTACAGATGCCTATTATTAGTTAGGCTTCTGAGCTTGCAATCATACTGAATGTATGAAGAGCAAAATAAAACCAAATCCTTATTTTTTTACAGTTTTGAAGTTTATACTTAGAATTGACCAACTCCCCAGCCACCTGGAGAGCTGTACAGTGTGTAAATCTGCCTTTACCTTGGATTGATTGGTACAGTATTTTTGCATCTGTGGGACCTACCTTTTCATTCAGTAGTTTGAACTGTATCTAAACCGTACAATCTGGGAAGTTTTTATAGAATAAATATTCAGCTGTGAAAACTGGTTAAATAAAACTAATATTTCTTAACATACACATACACACAAAAAAGAAATTTGGAGATTCCCTTGTAGCCATGCTGATAGAATGCTTTAAAAACTATCTAATGGCATTGAACTATACACTTAAAAAGAGATCATTCCACTGTATCCCTTCCCTAAGGTTTCCCTGGGGTGCTAAGGGAGGGATTAAATCATGGCTTTTGTTTGTTAAATAATTCAGGGGGTCTGGGTGTGGCTTGTACAACTAGATATATTTTCTAAACTTACATCACAGTTGTGTGCATGCATGTAAATGGACACACACACACACACACATATTTGCACATACACACAGGTTGAGTATTTGCTTGTTAGAACACACAGGATGGCATTTTAGTGGTGACCTTGCTGTAGTAAGCTAACTATTGGGACTATGAACATGGCCCTGGTTTCCAGCCTGCAAGAGAGAATAGGAAGGTATTTCAGCAGGAGATAAAGAACAGAGATATTACCCAACCAATCAACAAATATTTACTTTTAGAGTGTCTATGTGTGCCAAGCACTTTTCTAGAACAGGGTCCCTGCCCTTAAACAGTTACATTCTAGAGAACAAAACATAAACAAATCAATAAACAAAATAACCTTAGGTTCTGGGAAGTACTACACAGAAATATTTAGCTGAGATAAGAGAACGTATTAATAACTGAGAGTGACCAGGGGAGAATCTGGAGGTGGAACATTTGAGCTAAGACCTGAATGGTGATAAAGCGTGACCACGTGAAGAATTGAAGAAAAGAGTCTTTTCAAGAAAACAAATAACAGGTGAAAAGGCTCTGAGACAGCTGTGAGCTTTTACATGTTTGAGCTATAGTCCAGTGTGGCTGGCATGAAGTGAAGAAGGTGAGGGTCCAGGGAGATGAGGTCATAAAGTTAGGTAGAGGATTTTGCTTCCAGTAATGTGGCAGATCAGTTACTCTGAAAATCCTCCTGCTGCAGAACCCCTGGTGCAGAATCAATTGCTACCTATTTTTTAATGCATAGCTGAAGTTGCCTAAAAATAGGGGAGATCCACATGAGTCAAGAGCCGCCTGGTGAACTGATGCATTCGCCTGGTAAGCTAATGGTGAAGCTGGGTCTGCCCTGAGGCAAACACTGTTAGAAGTCTAGCGCTTCGGGGGGTTAGTGGTCACAGGGGGCACAGGAGAGACTACACTGAGAGCACACAAGATTGGGGGAAGACACACAAGATGAGGCCCCCACATTCAGTGAAACAACAGGCTAGAAAAGGTAGCCACAATGAAAACTTGTATTCTGCAATTCCAATTCCAGCTGGAGAAAATACTAGTCTGGGGTTCAAAGTTATTCTATCCCGGAGAGTAAGGAAACTTCAAACTGAGAAATGAAACTAAAATGGCCCTCTATTGCGTACTCGGATCCCCATAAAAGGAAACACAAATTTTCCTAGAGGGATGTACCTTCTATGCAGGTCTATCTGGATCTTACTTCACTGAAATAGGAGATCCCGATTAAAAATTACTGAGTTTGTAAGAAAGTAAGTTACTGAAAGAGCCATCAGAAACAACAGACGTTTAGACTTCCATGAACTTCAGATGATGGAATTCTTAGAAATAGAATATGCACTAACTGTGTGTAAAATATTTAAACAAGGAAAAATAGAATAGAAAAACATAAGCAAAGAACAAGCATTTCAAATGATCAATTTGAAAAAAAAACAGTTTCTGGAAATGAAAAATAGTTAATAGTTAATATTAAAAACTCAGTGGATGATTTTCCATGAAAAAGTCACCTGGATAATTAAAAAATAAAGGCCAGTATCTCTCTCTCTCTCTCACACACACACACACACACACAAACAAACAATAAAAGGAGAGAGGAATGTTTTAGATTAAAAGAGTCTAAAAAGGGATGATAACCAAATGCAATTTGAGAACCTTGATTAGATTCTGGCTTTTAAAAAGCACTATAAAAACATGTTACTGACAATCGATGAAATAAGAATGACTACAAATTAAAGCATTAAGTTATTCTTAGTGTTCTTATTGGATGATGTAACCAGTAAGATGTTGTAACCAATTTTTTATATATCAATTTGTAGTCCCAGAAGAAGAGACTAAAGAGAAAAGGGGAGAATAATTTTCTGCAATAGCTTTATAGAGATATAACTTGCAGACTATAAAATTCACTCATTTAAAGTATGCAATCAACTGTTTTTAGTATATTCACAGATATATGCAACCATCATCACAGTCAATTTTAAAACACTTTCATCACCTCAAAAAGAAACTTCATATTCTTTAGCTATCATCTCCCTATCCCTCTAATACCTCCCCACCAACCCTAAGCAATTATTAATCTACTTTCCGTCTTTATAGATTAGTATATTTTCAAAATTCTTTCACATTGTATCATGTATTGGTATTCACTCCTTTTTACGGCCAAATAATATCTTATGCTTTGGATATACTAGATGTCATTTATCTATTCATCAGTTGATGGACATTTCAGTTATTTTCATTTTTTAGCTATTATGAATAGTGCTCCAACAAACATTCACACATAAGTTTTTGTGTAGATGTATGATTATATTTCTCTTGGCAATATACTTAGGAGTGGTTAACTATGTTTCATTTGAGGAACTGCCCAGCTGTTTTCCAAAGTGGCTGCACCATTTACATTCCCACCAGTAGTGTGCAGGATTCCAATTTTTCCAAATCCTTGCCAATACTTATTATTACCAGACTTTTTGATTATAGCCATCATAGTGGATGTGAGAGAATAAATTTTTGAAGAGAAAATTTTCTAAGATTAATGGCAGAAATGAATCTCCAAATATAAGAAGAATAAACATGCTCTTCAAAGAAATATGAAACATTTGTCATTATAAGCCATTTTCTGGGCAATAAAACAAACTTGAATAAACTTAATTGTTCAATTGAAATTGTATAATGTATATTCTCTGACCACAGTTAAATTAAACTAGAGGCCAACAGAAGAAAGATATTTGTAAAACTCCTAGTGTTTGAGCATTAAACAATACACTTCTAAATAACTCATGCTGGCCGGGCATGGTGGCTCGTGCCTGCAATCCCAGCACTTTGGGAGGCTAAGGCAGGCAGATCACCTGAGGTCAGGAGCTCGAGACCAGCCTGACTAACATGGTGAAACCCTGTCTCTACTAAAATTACAAAAATTAGCCAGGTGTAGTGGCAGGCACCTGGAATCCCAGCTACTCGGGAGGCTGAGGCAGGAGAATCGCCTGAACCCAGGAGGCGGAGGTTGCGGTGAGCTGAGATCAAGCCATTGCACTCCAGCCTAGGTGACAGAGTGAGACCCCATCTCAAAAATAAATAAATAAATAAATAAATAAATAAATAAATAAATACTCATGCTTCAAAATGGAAGTCACAAGGGAAAGTAGAAAATATTCAGAATTAAATTAAATGAAAACATAATATACAAAAATTTCTGAGATGTGCTTTACCAGAAAAGATATAGGATGGCAGTGAAGCACATGAAAAGATGCTCAATATCATTAACCATCAGGGATTTGCAAGTTAAAACTATAATGAGACATCCCTAGTCACCTATTGGAATGGCTAAAAAAATAAAGTCCTGAAAATACTAAGTGTTGTCAAGTATGCTGAGCATTGGAATCTCTCAGTCTTTGGGGGTGGGAATGCAAATATTACAGCCACTTTGGAAAACAATTGGAGAGTTTCTTATAACCTTAAACATGCACTTACTATACAATCCAGCAATCTTACTCCTAAGTATTTACTTACCCAGGATAAATAAAATGTATGTACACATATAAATTTGTATGAAAATGTTTTTTATCAGCTTTATTCATAATCACTAAAAATCAGAAACAACCTAAGTGTCCATTAGCTGGTAAGCGAATAAACAAACTGTGATTGTCTTAGTCTGTTCAGATTGCTATAACAAAATACCATAAACTACGTAGCTTATAAACAACAAAAATTTATTTGACAGTCCTGAAGGCTGGGAAGTCCTAGAAAGGGACAGATTCAGTGTCTAGGGAAAGCCCACTTTTCACTGTGTTCTCACATGGAAGAAGGGATAATGGGTCTCCCTCAGACCTCTTTTATAAGAGCATTAATGCCATTCATGAGGGCTCCACCCTCAAACCTCCACCTAATAATCTTCCAAAGGCCCCACCTCTTAATATCATGAGCTTGGCATTTAGGATGTGAACATATGAATTTGGGGAGGGATCACAAAGATTCAAGACATAGCAGTAGCACATCTATACAATGGAATACTTACATGCAAAAGCATGAATTAATAAATCTCGAATGTATTATGCTAAGTGAAAGAATCTGAACTGAAAAGGTAACATTCTCTCTGATTCCATTTAAGTCATATTTTGGAATAGGCAAAATTATAGGTACAGGAAACTGATTAGTTGTAGCTCGTTGTAGTTTACATCATTATTGTGGTAGAGCTTACATGACTTTATATGACAATTCATAGAATTGTATACTTAAAAACAGTGAATTGTACCTTAATAAAACTTACTTTCAGAACCTGTTAAGGTGACCAGACATAGAGTAGACAGCTTCCAAACAAGAAAAATGGGGGAAATCCAACAAACAAACAAGCAAAAACAACTCAATCTAAGAAAAAATATGCATAGAAAAATTTGGACATATAAAAAGCAAAACATATGATGGTAGAAATTAATCCACATACATTTATAATGATAAGAAGTAGAATAAATGAATCAATTTTTAATAGATTTGGTCAGATTGACTTTTTTTAAAAAAGAACAAAATCCAGTTATATGCTATTTCCAAGAGACTCACTTAAAATACAATGGCGCAAAAATTTTACAAGTAGAACAGGAGAAGGTTTTCTTAAAAAACAGTCTCCAAATACAGAGGAAAAAGAACAAAAACTAAGAGGTACAAACCAGATTAGGCCGGGCACAGTGGCTCACACCTATAATCCCAACACTTTGGGAGGCCGAGGCGGATGGATCACCTGAGGTCAGGAGTTCGAGACCAGCCTTGCCAACATGGGGAAACCCTGTCTCTACTAAAAATACAAAAATTAGCGAGGCATGATGCTAGGCACCTGTAATCCCAGTGAGAGGCTGAGGCAAGAGAATCGCTTGAACCCAGAAGTTGGAGGTTGCAGTGAGCCGAGATCATGACATTGCACTCCAGCCTGGGCAACAAGAGTGAAACTCTGTCTCAAAAAACAAAACAAAACAAAAAAAAACAGATTATGTAAAGTCTTAAAAGTTATGAGAAGAAACTTGGATTTAAGGCCATGGGAAGGCATTGAAGGATTTAAAGGAAAGGAGTAATGTGGGTCTGATTTACGTTTTAGAGAGATCCCTCTGGCTGCAAAAGGAGAAAAGGGAAGCAGGGTCAAAGGAAGAGGCAGGGAGAGCAATTAGGAAGCTATTGCAATGATTTAGGAAGAAGATGATGATGCCTTGAGCTAGATTTGTAACAGTAGGGATGATGATTTGGGAGATGTATTGAGGTGAAGCTGATGAGATGTACTTATGGGAGGTGTGAGAGAATAATGGAATTAACCTAGATTTTAGGTCTGAGATTTTAGAGAGTGTGGTGGTTCTATTTAGCAAGATGGAAAAGGCATGAGTGGGAGTGTGATGAGGTGGAGTACTTTTAGAATTTAGAGAGGTCACAAAAGATTTGGGCCATATTAATTCTGAGATGCCCAGTAGGTATCTAAGTGGAGATGCTGAATAGGCCACTAGATATAGGAGTTTGAAGCTCAGGGATTTACATTTGAAAGTCATTTACATACAGCTGGGATTTGGACTTGAGGGAATTGAAGATTTCCAAGGAGACAGTGAAGAGAAAAGAACTAAGGACAAAGCTATCCAGCACTTTAATAGTAAGAGGTTTGGAATTTGGGAGGAATGAAAAGAGTAGGAAATCAATGAGGCAGAAGGAAAACCAGGTGAATGTGGAATATAGATAATCTAGAGAAGAGAAGCTTTCAAGGGAGACAGTGTGGCTTACTGTGTCAAAAAGTATTAAAAGTAGACTAAAATAAGAACAGGTACTGATTATTAGTTTTTTAAAAAGTAAGTTATTGGTGAACCTAATGTGAAAAGGAGTGTTCTTTTTAAAAAAAATATTAATCCTGTGAAGGCTTTTATATGCTAATGGGTATAATCCAATACATAGAGAGAAATTGATGACTGAAGGTGAATCATAGTACAGTCAACCCTTGAACAACACGGGTTTGAACTGCGTGGGTCCACTTATACATGAATTTTCTTCTGCCTCTGCCACCCCAGAGACAGCAAGACCAACCCCTTCTCTTCTTCCTCCTCCTCAGTCTACTCAGCATGAACACCATGAGGGTGAAAACCTTTACAATGAGCCACTTCCACTTAATGAATAGTAAATATATTTTCTCTTCTTTATGATTTTCTTAATGACATTTTCTTTTCTCTAGCTTGCTTTATTGTAAGAACACAGTATATAATATATGAAACATACAAAGTAGGTGTTAATTGACTGTTTATGCTATTGGTAAGGCTTCTGGTCAATGGTAGTGCTATAGTTGGATGTTTGTCCCCCGAACCTCATGTTGAAATTTGATCCCAATGTTGGAGGTGGGGACCTAGTGGAAGGTATTTGGGTCATGGAGATGCATCCTTCATGAACAGATTAATGCCCTCCCTAGAAAGAGGGAGAGTGAGTTCTCACTCTATTAGTCTCATGAGAACTGGCTGTTTAAGAAAACCTGACACCTCCCCTCTCCTTGCTTCCCCTCTCTCCATGCTGGCTCCCCTCTGCCTTCTGCCATGGATGGAAGAAGCTGGAAGCTCTCATCAGAAGCTGGCACCATGCTTCTTGTAAAGCCTTCAGAACCATGAGCCAAATAAACCTCTTTTCTTTATAAGTTACCTAGTCTCAAGTATTCTTTTACAGCAACACAAAACAGACTAAGATAAGTAGGCTATTTGTAGTTAAGTTTTGGGGAAGTCAAAAGTTGCATGTGGATTTTTGACTGTGCTCCTAACCTCTGCATTGTTTAAAGGTCAACTGTAATTGCAGAATTGAAATCTCTGAGGAGATGGCTGATAAAACGTACAAGAGGAGAAGTTAGCCTTAGATGAGGTCAGGCACTTAAGATGGGAGCTTGTCAGTGTTTATGTGAACTGTCCAAAGTGGCTACAGGCAAACCTAGAGGTGGGCTGGGGGCATCTGGGGCAGTACATCCACAGCATCTCCTTATATGAGTCTGCTGCGGCTGAAACCCCTGCATCTCTGGCCCAGCCCTGCTACTCTCTATGTACCAGTTCCACTTTGAGGTCCATCAGCCCTGGGTCATAACCAGGATAGAGGAGTTGACTGTGGGCCTCAGTGATGCCAATCTGACCAAACCAAGTGCTCTCCCCTTCTTTGGGGAATCTCCCCAATACTCCTCCTCCTCAAGCTGCTTTTATTCTTCCCATGGCCTAACTTGCAAACAAGTTAATTCCATGTCCTCCCCTCCCAGAACTATCCCTCCTTCCAAGGGTGTGTGTGTGTGCAGAATGAGATCCTAAAACCAGTTTGTTTCCTCCTAATATATGAATATATGCCATATATATATATGCCCAAGCCTAATGACTGGTAGGGCACCTGTATCACAGGCTTGGACTGACCATGGAATCCTTGGCCAAGAAACATTTAGTGTTTGCCATTTCTATTCTGTAAGAACTAACACCTGACCCACCCAAAGAAACCAGTTGTGATTGTTGAGATCAGCAAATCTAGTTTTGAACATTATCTCATGAGAACTCCAGCTTATGATGTATTTTTCTCAGCCATTCTCTGGAGGATAGAGGTCAGATTGTCAAAGATGGTGTCACAGGGACACAGAGACAGGGCTCAGGGGTGCTTGCGACAGCTGAAACCTCGTCTCCAGCTGACTCACGAAGCATCTCTTTTATAACAAGGGCTCTTTAGTGAAAAACAATACAACCTTTTTCATGGACTGTCAGGTGGGTGGAGGGTTACCTTTGCTTCATGAAGGAGTGAAAATGGTTCTGATTTTAAGCACCAGGAGCCTAGCAAGAAAGAGGAGAGGAGGCTTGTGTTTTTGGACAGGGATCCCATTCCTTAATGGCAGTGGAGAGTGGGTTGGGAATCTGGCAGAGTTGTGCATCTTATCAAGTTTATGTCTTTTGTCTATTAGGATGCCACATCAGATTCGTTTGCAAAATGCATTCCACTTCAATATAAATGGCAGTGGAGAGTGGGTTGGGAATCTGGCAGAGTTGTGCATCTTATCAAGTTTATGTCTTTTGTCTATTAGGATGCCACATCAGATTCGTTTGCAAAATGCATTCCACTTCAATATAAGCTTGAATATCTCTTGACTCTATAATCTCTAAGGTTAATTTTTTAAAAAAATCATTTATTATTTGTATTAAAAGTAAATTTTGGTTACTTTTCAATAATCATTATTTGTATTAATTTTATAAGTACCTTTTCCACAATTATCTTTCTTACACCCAGTAAGTTTAACTAGTTTTATTCAAAATAATCATAGTGCTAACAGATGCCAGGCATCAATTTCCTTGGATTTTGAAAAAAACCTAAAGGTGTTTGAGGATTGATCGCTGTCTGACTGGAGTTATTTAAGTCAGTGCCTTGCAAGTGTTTGCAAGCAAGTTCTCCTCTATCTATCTGCAACAATGCCCTTCTCTGCTCCATGTGCCCTTTCTCTGGGTCCTTGAGGCCTCTTCTAAATCTTAGGGTTCTGGTAAACACGATTTGCAGAGCCCTAATTTAGTCATTTTATCACAGAGAGATTCTTTGCTATCAGCTGGTAGATCCCAGCCACCCAGAAAGACACTTTTTGCATGGCTTGCTTCTGGACACTTAATAGAAAATGTAAATGGATCCCCAGAGCCCTAATTTTTGCTTCTATAAACTGGGGATGTTTCCTACATAGCAGGGATATTACAAGAATCAAATGAGATACTGCAATATAAAATTAGAGCTTGGTCCCTAATACAGAATACATGATGTTGTTGGGTTGTGCTCCTTGTTGTATCCTCAAATCAAAGATTCCAGGGGTCTAAAGCCACATGATTGATTTAACAAAAAGTAAATGCTGTATGTTATTAACAAATATTAGTATATTTATTGGCAATGACACATAACTTTAGTAGTGCAATTTAAGTTTGAGTCCAAGATTTTTTCACATTAGGAATGAAATAAATTTTGGGACCCACTCTTGGCCACGTGCAGCCATGCTTAGTATCACAATGAAATGGGGCTTTCCTAACCCGTGCTAGTGCCTTTGACCTCTGCATCCTCAGGCTTAGCAGGAATTGGAGGCAAACCAAGTGAAACCAGGATTTCGTCTGCATTTGTGACTTGGGTAAACTCATAGTTTTGATATCTCACTGGACGTGAAACAACATCTCTGGAGTGTAGTTAGAAAGCTCTTCACTGAGAGACAGTCGCCACCTGGCTGAGATTCCTGTTCAACCCACAAACTGGTTAAATGACTTTTCCAAGCTTTGAGAAGTCTATGATGTCCATAAGACATGTGATGATGTCTCCTTTACATTGCCTGATATGTACACAATAATGCATTTCTCTGTGGTCTGTAATTCATGATCATTGTGAAGATACTGACACACAGTGACTCTCAAAGTTTGTTGTGCATTAGAATCATCTGGGGAGAACAATTGCACCAGAATCTCTGGGTCTGAGACTTAGGCACCAAAGTTTTTAAAGCTTTCCAGATGAATTCAATGTGGAAACAAGTGTTTTATGAAAGTATTAGTGAGGAAATTTGACCTCTATGTGGTACCCCAGTACAGACAACTGAGGTGACAAATGGATAAACAAGTTGTACAGACCACACATTTCACACATCTTCAGGCAACAACTCAGATGTCACAAATTAATCTTTGCTTACTAGCTATACAATTTGTTAATATGATTGCTACACACCAATTTCAGAAAAGTGAACATGCAAAGAAACATATAGCTTAGAATTTGAGAAATGCAGTATTAATGTTGGTACACAGAGGGTAAATGTCCCTGACACCTTTTCAGCCATAATATTCTTATTTTAACTTTAAATTTGGATTCTGACTTTAAAAAGTTTGGCAGGCATAGTGACTCACCCCTGTAATTCCAGCACTTTGGGAGGCCAAGGCGGGAGGATTGCTTGAGCCCAGGAGTTCCAGAATAGCCCAGGCAACAAGGTGAAACCCTGGCTCTACAAAAAAATTAAAACATTAGCTGGCTGTGGTGGCGCTGTAGTTTCAGCTACTTGGGAGGCTGAGATGGGAGGATTGCTTCAGCCCAGGAGGTTGCGGCTGCAGTGAGCTGTGATTGTGCCACTGTACTTCAGCCTCGGTGACAGAACGAGACCCTGTCTCAAAAACAAAACAAAACAAGCTATCGCTCAGTGAAGTCCAAGAACTGACAGCCTTGCATTGCCTGACAGCTTGTTAGAAATACAGAATCCTTTCACTAGGTGCGGTGGCGCATGCCTGTGGTCCCAGCTACTCAGGAGGCTGAGGCAGAAGGATCACTTAAACCCAGGAATTCAAGGCTGTAGTTAGCTATGATCATGCCACTGCACTTCAGCCTGGGTGACAGTGGCACCCTGTCTCAAAAAAAAAAAGATTGCTGCCCCACACCAGACCTGCTGACTCAGAATCTGTATTTTTAACAACATTCCCAGGTGACTCAAATGTACATTTAAGTTTGAAAGGCACTGATTCAAGGCCCTACAGGGAGAAACAAAACCAAGTGTTAAAATTTGACAACTCAAGAGGTTTAGATATTTTACAAACTCACTAATCAGACCCTTTAAAAGACAGTGTTTGGATTTCGCTGCTTAAAAAGAAAAATCATTTTGTTGTGGTTTCGTCTTCTACCTCTTACCAGCTGTGTTTACAAGACACATCTTTCTTGGAACGCTTGGAGAATGATCGCATTGAGCAGCACAGGGGAGGCTGATGTGCCAGTGTCTTACATTATATGTCTCTCCTTCTGTAATTTTGGTTACTAAGAACATTTACATGATAATGGGATCTTTGTTGCTTAGAAGTCAGTCTGCTCCTTCAGTTGATTACCCACCTGAAGTCACTGTGCTTGGCTTGTGACATCATGATTGCCTCCCTGGCAAATGACTATGATTTCATAAACTGAGACTTAAGATTGCAGGTGAAGGGTTAGCAGCAAGAGCTGATGTGCTCTTACACAGCACAGCGCCTGTGTTCATATAAATGACCTAAGTAAACAGGCAAACATAAATACTAAGCATTACACACACATGCACACAGGAAAAGGGGAGGCCAAGAAAGAGTTTGAGATCATCGTGATTCAACAGGGTGGTTTTCAAAGTTGCAACTCGTCTTTAATGCTTCTAGGCTTATAAAACTTCTAAAACAATGAGACGACATATCATTCCCTCTTTGCACATGATTATTCCAACCCCTGCTTTTTGCTTTCTCTGGGTTTGGAGGATGACAACATTTAGCCGAAAGCACACAGCCACTGGGTCTTCAGAAAGAAGGAGGCTAACCTGCCAGAAGAATTGTTTTATTTTTTCAATATCCTGGAACAAATGGAGCATACCCACCTCTCCAATGACCAAAACACACATGCATGACTGTGCATCTGTGCCTTCATATAGTACAACTCCCTAAATATTGACATGTTTTGCTCATTTCAACAGATATTCCTCAGACACTTACTGTGTGAAAGGCACTCTGCAGGGCTCTTCAGGGAGCACCCAGATGAGTCACAAAAATACCCACTGATATCTCACAGTACATTACATTTACATGATGACTGCCACATTCAATAAAATCCTTGAGCTTCAAAAGAACACTGTGAGGGAGAAAGGGAATAATAATAGCAGTAGGTAAACAATATGGGAGGCATGCCTTCCATGTGTTGCTGCATTCGACCATTATGACTAGTTCTATAGGTTCTGGTGTTCATCTCCTAATTTTGCTGATTCTGTTTTGAGGACAAAATGACACGCCCAAGGACTCACAAAGAGAAACTGCCAGAGCTGGGAACCAGACCCAATTCACAAGCTCTGCCCATGAGCCCCAGAATTTATAATCCAGAGAGTGACTATAAGATCTAGAAACATATACAACTTGATCATGTATCTTAATGTAATATTAATATGTCATTTATTATTTATTTACCTACCACCTTGTAGTGGGTGTGTGTGTGTGTGTGTGTGTGTGTGTGTGTGTGTGTGTGTGTGTTGGCATACAGGAGGAGGGTATCACAGAGAGTAAGGTAAGTGCCAAGAGAAAAGAAAAATCGTAAGATTTCCCACACTTTGGACCACTTTATGGAGAAATGGCATTGGAGCTGACCCTTTATAATAGCTGAGATTTTAATGAGCAAAGGTAGAGCAAAATAATCCAGGTGAGAAGAGAACAGAGACAGGAAACAGGGAGACTACTGAGCTCACATAGTGGGTTGAATGTACATCTGACTTCCCTCCTTTCAGAAACCCTAAACCATAGTAAAGGAATATGTTTTGCAAAGGATGTAAAGGAAGAGGAGACAATGACAACTAAACTCTGAAAGCTAGAAAGCCAGTCAGCAATCGAACAGACCTAAAACAGGCAGAGGGGAAAGCTGAGACCCAACCTTATTTATACTGCAAAATCGTCAAAATATTCAGCAAAGTGCAGCTCCAGGTCTATCTGGAACTGAGGACAAAGAGAAGATTAATGTAAGGAAGATTGGGGAAAAGCTGTTTGATGAAATTTTTTTTGTTTTATTTTTTGAGTTAGATTATAATCTCTAATTTCCTTCCAATACTCCAAGGTGCTGTAAGGATCCCCTTCCGCAACTGGTGCGACACACAGACAATAGTTTTCTGGGGAAGGTGTAACAGAGGGTCTCTGGATTGTGAGCTGCCATGGCAGCTGAGGACATGGGTGCTGGGCCAAAAGAAACACATCAGTGCTGCTGCTGAGACCCAGCCTTCCTCCCTACTGGATCCCAGAAGCTGGTAGCCAAACTCTTGTCCTCCATGCAGGAGATTAGAAAATCCTCTGTGGGGAATTGGATCAGCCCAAGAGGAAAGATCTACAAGATGCTGACTTCAGGCCTTTCCCCAAAGAACAGGCCAAATTACTCTACAGTCAAACTCAAAGTGCACAAGCCACACCCACATGCTCAGAATTGTTATCATCTGTTTAGCTCCCCAATCTTAGGCATGGGAAGATAGACATGAATTACCAAATTTCTAAAGAAAGCTTGTAATATGAAAGGTGAGACACACACACACACAGGCACATACACACACACACACACAGGCACACACACTAGCATGTTGAAGAACCTTCAAAAAAAATCAATAATATCTTCAGACAGATAAGACAGTATATTGTATCTATGAAGCAAAACTAGAAAGTTATAAAAAAAGAACATTTATAAAATTTAACAAAGGTTCTTGGAAATTAAAAATATATGAACAGAAATTTTTAAAATTCAAAGTACAGGCTGGAATATAAAGTTGAAGAACTCTTTCAGAAAACAGAGCAAGAGTTGGAAAACAGACAAAAGGCCAATTCTGGGAATTGAACATGTTAACAATGAGTTTCAGAAAGAGAGGAAGAATAAAATAGATGAGAGGAAATCATCAACAAAATAATCACAATATAAAATTCGTAACTCCAGGATATGAGTTGTGAGACTAAAAGGGTCACTAAGTCCCAGGCACATAGAGGGAAAGCAGGTCCACATCAAGGCACATCACTAGAAAATTTCAGAACACCAGGGATAGAAAGTGGATCCCATAAGCTCCCAACAAGAAAGTTCAGGAGGACGATGAAGGAGGATTCTAGGATAACAGCTGAATACTAGATACAATGGCAAGCAGCTCAGATAGGAGCACTTTGACACAAGAAAAAAAATTCAGGGCTTTCATCACCAACATCTCCTATACCACTGTACTGTCTTTTCAACCCAAGAATAGAGTGCCCAGGTGCACTTGGCCCAGATTCTGATCTGTACTTGGCTTGTCTTTACCATGTGCAGGTCAAGTTTCTGCCATCCACACCCTGCTGCCGGATTGGATGATGATGCCCATTTCACCCACAGAAGACTTGCTCCTGAGAGCTGGAGCTAAGATAGAGCATAAAGCGCATCCCCTCCTGTGCTAGTCTGCTCAGGCTGCCAGAACAAAATGCCACCAACTGGGAGGTGTAAATAACAGAAAGTGATTTTCTCACAGTTCTGGAGGCAGGAAGTCCGACATCAAGGTGTAGTCATCAGGATTGGTTTCTTCTGAGGCCTCTCTCCTTGTTTTGCAGATGGCTGTCTTCTTGCTCTTTCCTCATGTGGTCTTTCCTCTGTGCACTCACATCCCTAGTGCCTCTCTTGTGTCCAAATTTTCTTTCCTTAAAAGGACACCACTCAGATTGGATTGGGTGAGCTCCATAAATGTACTACATACTTGACATGTGTGATCTCACTATCTCTGCTTTGACAGTGAGCTAATGGAGCAAGCATTGTTATACCTCATTTTACAGATGGAGAAACTGAGGAAACTGTCCTCAGTTTCTTACCTAGGTTCACAAGGCATTTCATGGTGGATTCAGGAGCTACACCCCTTTTGTCTGACTCTGAAGCCCATTCTTTTTCTATGATGCCTTCTCACATGGAGTGATGAGGAAATGCAGAGATGATCTTTTACACCACATAGCAAACCCATCTGCAGCATCTCTGAGCCACGGCCACCACCCACTGCTTGCAACCCATCAGTGATAGCAGCTTTCTCTGCTGTGCTGGCCAGCAGTGATTGACCCTCCTGTAAATTCATTTACTGGTCTTTGCTCTGTGCTCAAGAACAAGTCAGAGCAGGTGCATCCATCTTCCTTGTGGTAGCCTTTAGATATTTGAAGGCAGTCATTTCCATTTTGCTTGAGCTTCTCTCCTGCACGTTCAATGACCCTATTTGCTCACAGAGAACATCCTCAGGCTGTCTTCTTACTTGTCAATAACCTTCTAAATATGTCACAGGCAGAATGGACCACAGTACTGCAGGTGTGGGCTGGCCACTGACTGAACACCATGAATTGTTCATTCACTCCTCAGGTACGTCTTATGTCCCTCACCAGATTCTGGAAGATTCTGGGAGATTCTGGATTCTAAATGACTCATCACTCTTTTTATTTCACACTGAATTGTGAATAGAAGATGCTCAGTGTTCACTGGTATTTCTTGATCATCTGACTCATTTGTTCAGGGATGTTCTTTATGTTTTGGAGAGAGTTTCACTCTGTTGTCCAGGCTAAAGTGTAGTGGTCCCATTATAGCTCACTGTAGCCACCAACTCCTGGGCTCAAACGATCCTCTCACCTCAGCCTCCAAGTAGCTGGGATTAGAGAGGCACATGGCACCACACCTGGCTGATTTTTTTTCTAATTTTTGTAGATAGAGAGTCTTGCTATGTTGCCCAGGTTGGTCTCGAACTCCTGGATTCAAGCAAAAGCACCGTTTCAGCCTCCCAAAGTGCTGGGATTACAGATGTGATCCACTGTGCCCAGCCCAGGAATATTCTGTTCTCATTGTTCCTTGGAGCCCTTCATATGCTTCATATGTTCATTTTCCAAAGAACAGGCTTGAGGAGTTAGGATCGGCATGGTCGGGCTGCTCCCTATAAGCCGTGTGCATCTAAGAACCTCTTGAGGGTAGTGACAAATGTAACAAGGTCTGTGAAAATGAAGGTCTATGATAAATCATAAATGCAAAGGTCTATGAAATACTTGTCAATAATGCACATAAAACTATTTTATGTCAGTATTTATTGTACTTAAATGATAATCTATCAGGAATACACTCCGAAACACCAGTCAGAGTCAAATTCCTTGTGTATTAGTTATCTATTGCTGCATAACAAATTATTCCAAAATTTAATGGCTTACAAAAATAATAATTGTTTTTCTGGACATTGCTCGCAGTTTCTGAGGGTCAGGAATTCAGGTGTGGCCTGGCTGAGCAAGTCTGCTCAAGATCCCTTTGGAGGTTGCATCAGACATCAGCCTAGGCTTAACTGGGCCTAGCCTACCTTAACTGGGGCTGGTGGATTTGATCCCAAGGTAACTCACCTACATGGCTGGCAAGTGGTGATGTCTAATGCCAGAAGGCCTCAGTTCCTCTCCCATGGGCTTCTCCACAGAACTGCAAGGATATCTTCACAACTTGGTGACTGGCATCCTCCAGAGCACGCAATCTAAGAGACCCCAAGGCGTAAACTCCAATACATTTTCTTTTTATTGTTTGGACTGGGCCTTGAAAGTCACATACTGTTATACCTGCCATATTCTATTGGTCACACCAACCAGCCCTGATTTAAAGTACAGGGTTTACAAAGGGGTCACAAGAATCCATGGAGATCATCTTAAAGGCTTTACTGGGTATTTTATAGATAGCCCTTGGCTGCAATTCCAGTTGTGAGGCTGTGCACCATCTTCACACAGACAGTTGATTGCCCAAGTATAGGGATTCATTAGAAAAAGACAAGCCGCTTACATTCATGAGGTATGACCATAATGAGAGCCATCCAGAAGTCTACAGTTCATTCATTAATTTGACTAAATACTTATGGAGCCTTTACTGTATGTGAAGCACTTTTCTAGGTGCTAGAAACATATCAGTGAGCAAAACACAATAATAAGCAAGTATATTGCTATGGTCTGAATGTATCCCCACAATTCGTATGTTGAAACTTAATCACAAATGTGAAAATATTCAGATGTGGGGCCTTTAGGAGGTGATTAAGTAATGAGGGCAGGGCCCTCATAAATGTACTTAATGACCTTATAAAGAGGTTGAAGAGAGCACTCTTCCCTTTTTGTCCTTCTCCTGTTCATCATGTGAGGACAGAGCAATAAGCCACCATCTTGAAAGTAGGAGGGATGCCCTTTCCAAACACCAATTCTGCTGGCACCTTGATCTTGGACTTCCCAACCTCTGGCACTGTGTGAAATAAATTTCTGTTGTTTATAAATCACCCACTCTCAGGTATTTTATTATAGCAGTGCAAATGGACTGAGAAATATCCATTCCTCAGCTGTCCTCTCTCTAGATTTGGTACAGAGGAGATTGACATTTTCTGATTTCTGAATTTCTTGAAAGCCACTCTGCTCATTTCAAAACCTGGTCTCCATACATGTGAAACTAAAACAGAAGTAACAACAACAATTATTATTATTAAATAGTTAGCACTTGTTGGACATTTGCTGTGTGCCAGGTATGTGCTAAGCAGTTTACATTTATTGTATCATCTGATACTTTTAACAGCTCTAAGAAGTAAGTACTATTATTATCAGCATTTTTTTCTTACAAATGATGAACAACC